>NC_000017.11:41310980-41935980 GCF_000001405.40 Homo sapiens
TGTTTTCATCAACACAAAAGGCAGGCTCTCGCTTGGAAAAGCTGAGCCATTCTGCCATCCATTGTGCCATCCATTCATCCCTCCCTTCATTTATTAATTCATGCAATCATTGACTCAGTTTCTCTTTTATTTATGCACTCAACTCAGCCAACACTGGGTTCTGTGTGATAGATACAAAAAGAGTGAGTTGTAATTCTGGCCACAAGGAGCCCAAGTTTAGAAGAGAGATAGACACATCTATAAGCAAGTATGGTACAGAATGCAAGTGTTGTGAAAGAGGGATGCAGGGGGTGGATGCAGCAGAGAGAGATAGCTGGTATGGAGAGGCATTTCCTAGAACAGCATCTGCCAGACATGGTAGAGGTGGCCATGCTTCCTGTGAGTGCTGAGAGGTCACTGCCTGACTGTGACAGCTCCCCGAGGCCCTCACTTTGGAGGCACCCAGGAGAGATATTGACATGGTTTTTGGAGGCTGGGCATGGTGGCTCACACCTGTAATCCCAACACTTTGAGAGGCTGAGGTGAGTGTATCACTTGAGGTCAGGAGTTCGAGACAAGCCGGGCCAACATGGAGAAACCCTGTCCCTACTAAAAATACAAAAATTAGCTGGGCATGCTGACATGTGCCTGTAATTCCAGCTGCACTTGGGAGGCTGAGGCAGGAGAATTGCTTGAACCCGGGAGGCAGAGGTTGCAGTGAGCCAAGATGGCACTATGGGTGACAGAGCGAGACTCTGTCCCAAAGGAAAATTTTTAAAAGGACATGGTTTTTGGGGAATTAGAGAAGCCTTTTCAAGTAATATGAAGGCTCAAAGAGAGTGGACAAAAAGGGGGTCATAAAGGCAGGAAAAGGATAAGATGTGGAAATCAAAGACATAGAGCACATAACATTTGGGAAGCAGCAAATGGTTCAACATATCCAGGATGAAAAGCAGAGGGGATAGGAGGGAAAAGCAGTGGGGCTAGAGGGGTTACTAGGCACCCAATCATGAAAGGTCTTGTGGACCATGATTAAGAAGTTGTATTTTTTTAATGATAATGAGGGTTTAAGCAGGAGAGTAACTTGATCAGGGTTGCCCTTTCAGAAGGATGTGTCCCCTCTCTCTGGATGTGGAGAAGGGAGGTTGAGGGCAAGTCTGAAGGCAGGGAGACCATTAGGGGTCTGTGGCAATCACTTAGAAGTTTCATGGCAACAACCTGAATTGGGCAGGTTCAGAGACCTGAGAGACGGGTCATGGTAGTTGAAAATGGAGGATTAGGAACAGGGAGTGCCATTCTTTTAAATGTGGCTCTCAAGCAGTGGGCAAAGAAGACTTTTGGACAGGCCTGCAGAGGCAAACACAGAGGAGATGCTGAGACCCTTCTCTTTTCCATTCACTTCTCTTCCTCAGCTAAACCAGCAGTGAATGGAAGTCCGCCCCACAAACAAATTTCTCATAAACTCTCTCAGCCAAGAAACTCATCCATTGTGCTGGAATGTCATCTCTTCGAAGAATCCTTCCCTGCTAAATGAAAAGGCAGGTCATTCAACTATGTAGCCCATTTCTACTTTATTCTTCTTTATGGCTCTTATCACCCCTTGACCTCATATAAGCACCATGAGGGCAAGGACCTTGTCTATTCACAGATGCATACCCAGCATCCAGAGCAGCAGCTGATACATTGGAGGCACACGATTAGCATTTATTGAGTGAATAAATGAGAACCTCTGTGGATAGCTAAGAAGGGCAAGCCTGTATCAGTAATTCAAAAATCACTACCGCCACACATGCATCCAGGAGGCATGACCGTGCGCAATAGAATAATCAGCTGCTCTGAATCACAACTACTCAGTGCAGATTCACTGGTCTCTGGACAAGTGTGTCCCATTGGCAGCTCCTGCTTTGGCGGTGGCTTTGTCTTAGGGGTTAAAGAGCCAGTTCCTAGGAAGCCAGTTCCAGCCAGAGTGAAAATGGCTCAAATAGTAGAGTCCGAAACTGAACCAAGGCAGAGTCAAATCTCAGGTTCTCTCCAAAAGAAGACATTAATAATACTGCTGGGTTCATAAATGAAAGAAAAAAATGAAAACACAATGAGCTACCACTATACACCTGCTGGAATGGCTAGAAATAAAAAGACTGATAATATTAAGTGTTACCAAGGACATAGACACTGGAACTCTCAGACATTGCTGGTTGGAATACAAAATGCTGTGGCCACTTTGCAAAACAACTCGGCAGTTTCACATAAGGTTAAGCATTCACTTACCATTTAAACAGCCATCCAATTGCTAAGTATTTATCCAAAACAAAGCATATGTTCACCAAAAAAAAAAAATTGTACGAGAATGCTCATAGCAGCTTCATTCATAATAGCCAGAAACACAAAAGAATCCAAATGCCCATAAGTAGGTGAATATATTTTTAATGTAGTTTATCTGTATAATGGGATGCCATTCAGTAGAAAAAAAAATGAATTATTGATACCTGCAACAATGAACAGATACAAAACATGATAGGCAAAATGAAAAATAGTGCATACTGCATGATTTCTTTTATATGAAATTCTAGACATGGTGAAATCTGTAGTAACATAAAGAACAGGTTGATGGTTGCCAGGGTCTGGGGGTGGGGGAAGAACTGACTGCAAAGACAAACTGGGAATTTTGGGGGTGATGGAAAGTTCCATAAAGATCTTGAGTGCAGTGGTGGTTACATAAGTATACACGAATGTCAGATCACATCATACTGTTCACTAAAAATGGGAACTTTTTATTATATGTAAATTATATTTCAATAAAGTTGACCATAAAAAATGAAACAAAAAAATTTTTTAAAGAAAAAGGTAAAAGCAACATAATCCCAGTTTTATTCATAACTATGCTTAGAAAACAGTCTGGAAAGCTTATCAGTAATAGACTCTGAGTGGTGAGCCTTCGAATGCTATATTCTTTATATGTTTCTGTATTTTTTCATTTTTTAGAGTTCATTGCTATGCTTATAATCAGAAAAAAATTTTTCTTTGTCAAATGAAACATCGCTTTGTAGGCATAAAAATAAATACTATTTTTCCAGGGCAAGAGCAAAATTAGTTTTATTACACACACAGCTTAAGGTCACTTTCAACAAAAGGTTGATCAACTGTCTTTTGAGTTTTAACCTCCCAGGTGGACCCACACACCTTGGCTGGGCCCTACCTAGCAGAGGTATACTCACTCCCTCCTCCTTAGAACTCAGGCAGAAGAAACGTAGCTGGTTCCAGGTAAGACAACCTAGCACAGAAAAGTGAGACTGGACCAAGCATGAGGCTGGAAGAAGGAACTGTACTGCGCAGAACATCCTCAGAAACTGTGAATTCACTAGCTTTGCCATTAGAAATCCTTTCCATTCAGAACCAATCTTGTTTTACCAAAGCCTCCTTTCCGACTTTGCCAGAAAGTTCTGATCAAGCCTGAAGCCCTCCTGCAGAACCATCCTAGGAGAGCTGTAGTGCAGAAGAAAGCCATGCCCCTCAATCACCATTAAATGTGGCCAGCATCAGCATTCACCCAGGAGCTTTTAAAAATGCAGGTCCCTAGGGACTCTAGGCCCTAGAGCTAACGGGTAAAATCTCCAGTGATAAAACCCAATGATCTATATTTTTAAAAGCTTTTCAAGTGAATCTCATGCAGCACACGGAAGCTTCCGTCTAGATCTATGGTTCTCAAACTTCAGTGCATAAGAATTATCTAAGGTTCTTGTTAAAAACACAGATTCCCAGGCCACACTTTGGTGGATTCTGATTCTGTATGTCTTAGGGAGGGCCTCAGAGTCTCCAGTTTTAACAAGCTCCCAGGTGATTCCGACGCAGGTGATCCAAAAACCACAATTCAAAAACCCTAAGGCAGATGCCAGAGTGAATTTTTCTAACCCAGTCCTCAGCAGGGAGGTCAAGGAAGAGGCAAGAGAACTAATTAGGTTATGCCAGCATGCTCAAATTTATTAAGAGGCTCACAAAGAAGATGGACCTTTTTTGCATCTCAAAGCTGCAGAAAGCCAGGGCGGAGGATCAGTCCCAAAGACACCTTGAAGAAGAGGATGTCTTATAGTACAAGACATTGAACTTCATGTGAATAAGTAAAGTATTGGGGATTCACCCTTGAGCTTGGGATCACTTAGTTGTGACCGAGTTTTAATGTTTCATCAGAGTATGGCTCTTGTTCTCGGTGCCTTGAAATACCAGAGAAGGTGTTGGAGAACAAGCCCTCCTCTACAAATCACAGAAAGACAAGACACTGTCTTGGGGGTATGGAAGGTTCTGGACACGAGGGGCTGTCCCCCTGGAGCAGATGGAGGCTTTCGGTGGGACTGCATCAGTGGTGGAGGGAAAGGTCTTCATTTTGTGTCGCATATAGGTGTGGGCTGGCAGCACACAGGCCCACAGCACCCGGAGCCGCAGCAACTGGACCCACAGCAACTGGATCCACAGCAGCCACCCCCGCAGCCTCCGCAGCCTCCACAGCCTCCGCAGCCAGATCCACAGCAAGACGATCCGCAGCAGCTGCCCCCGCAGCCAGAGCCCCCGCAGCCAGAGCCCCCACAGCCACAGCAGGAGCCGCAGCAGCCACAGCAGCCCGGCTGACAGCAGCACTCTTCACAGCAGTTTTGCTCCTGGGTGCAGCAGGTGAAGCAGTCCCCCGGGCAGCACCCCATGGTCCGGGCCCGTCAGCTCGCAGGTCGGTAACGCAGCCGGAGTTCCCCACGACTGACGGTGGCCAGCCATCTGGATGGCAGCTTTTATATCCCCTCACCCAGGCATGAGGGACGGGATGTTTTCTTTGTTATTATTTATGCAAGTTTCCATAAGACCGGCTCATTAACTGGCTGTTTATTTTCCAGTCCTGAGTACCTCAACTCATAAAAACGCCCCACTCCTGCCAACTGCTGTTTATCCAGAGGGTAAAAATACATCTTCGAAAAGACCTGTCATCATGGCCAAGCATCTGCCAGCTGTCATTAGCCCAGGTTGGAGATGGGAAGGGGAAGCCGGCCACAGCTTCTGGCTCTGGAATGAGGGGCTTGCCTTCCACATCTTCGCAGGTTGGCGATGGACCCCATCTTCCATGGATGCTAGTCCTGGAAAGGCAGACCGGCAACAGCCGAATGCTCTGTTCCCCCTGACACCAGTGGAGGCTACTGAGAACGCCTGGTCACGTGGCTCCTCCCAGGTGGAAATGGCATCCTCATCCCGGTTCATGTGAGCCAGGCAAATGTTTGTGTCTGTGTGTGGTATGGGGAGTGTGCCACACGTTTAGGCTTGGCCGGTGAGCATCAGTCATGAGTAATAACTGCCCTGTGAAACCGAGAGAGACTCATCGTAAAGCTGCAAGAAGCTGGTAAGGCATGGTCTGTCTCGGCGGCAAGGTGAGCTGAATATTCGCACTTCTCTCTAAATAGGTGGGAAGAACTGAGATCAGAACCCTCTACCCACCCCCACTCCAGCCCCAGGCCTTTCCTTGACCGGGGAAGGAAGAGATGCAGGAGGAGGAAGAAGAGGAGAAGGGGAGGAAGAAAGGAAAGAAGAAAAGAAAGAAGAAAGCAGGAAGGAGATCAGTAAATATCCAAAATGCTACATTAAAATGGGAATGTAACGCACTTTTTTTAAGAGTTCGAACCTTATAGACCATCTGGCAGAAGGAGAAATTAGAATACAAAATACCCAGAGTGTCATCCCAAGGAATAAAATGCCTTTGCAAGGAGTCTAAAATCTACAGATGGTTCAGGTCCATGTGTAAATTTTGAGATGGGTCAAAATTTCTGTCTCTTTCTTGGACTTTGGTACCTTGTTCTCCTCTTGGAGTGCCCATGGCAGCCCTGGAGCTGGAATACAACATCTAGTAGGGGTAGAGGACAGAAGATAGGGGTGGGGTGGGAATGGAAGGAGGGATGGGAGTAAGGATCTGGATCAAGGGATCTAGTCCTTCCCTTTTCATTTCCCTTTCTTTGTAAGATGGGCTAGAAGTAAGACAGCCTCTAAGAAGGGCTAGAAGAACTAAGGACAGGGTGGGAGTCGGGAGGGTAAATGATGAATGAGTTACTTGGATCTGATATGATACTCAATACTTCACAGGATATGGAATTTTAGAGCTGGGAGGAACCCCTGAAACATCATCTGGTCCAGGGTTTTATATCAGAATTGCCTAAAAGGGGGCCTTTTGAAAAATACAGATTCCCAAACTGTATTCCAGTCCTTATGATAAATCAGAATGTGTGCTTATGAGAGCTTGAGAAGCTATATATTTTAAACTTTCTCAGGTAACTTGGGTTACATTAGGAAACACTGATATAATCTAATCCTATCATGACCATCACTGCCAAGCACTTGTGTTTTACAGAAGATGATACCAAGGCCCAGAGATGACACATCCGTGGTAGATTGGACCCATGGCCCAGATGTTCTCCCTCCTGGTCCACTGTTTCTTCCACCATACCACATCCACAGATGGGCACCTCTGAGTGAGTATAATACAGCAATGTCTATGGCAGACGTGTCCTTTTTTGTTTGTTTGTTTGTTTTTTTGAGATGGAGTCTCACTCTGCTGCCCAGGCTGGAGCGCAGTAGCTTGATCTTGGCTCATGGCAACTTCCGCCTCCTGGGCTCAAACGATGCTCCTGACTTAGCCTCCCAAGTACCTGGGATTACAGGCACGCACCAACAAGCCCAGCTAATTGCTGTATTTTTAGTAGAGACAGGGTTTCGCCATGTCGCACAGGCTGGTCTGGATCTCCTGACCTCAAGTGATCTGCCCGCCTCGGCCTCCCGAAGTGCTGGGATTACAGGCGTGAGCCACTGCACCCGGCCGACACATCCTTTTACATATTTATTTATTTTAATAAGAGGTCAAGCATTCCCAGGATAAAAGGTACAAAAGAGTAGAAAGTCTTCCTCATCTTCCAATGTCTCACCATTCAGTTCTCCTGCCTCTCACCCACCCCCTCGCTGCTCCCATAATTACTTAACCCCTGTGTACCTGAATTTCTTCATCTATAAAACAGAAATTAGGATAATAATAGTAGCAGTGTCGTAGAGCTGTTTTGATTAAATGAGTAAATATAAATGTATACATATTGAACACTTGGTTGTTTGAACAACTTGAAAATATAAATTATCATACTTTTATATTTAACAATTCATATACTCATGAGCATTTACTCAGATTAAGTACAACATTCAGTGTGCAACTCAAATTATACACTATGATTTCAATTGTGTAAATGTACATGTCATGATGAGGACTTGAAGTCCTCATGGTGGTGTTATTTTTCTTCTGCAATTTATTTCACTGTTGGTCTTTCCACACAAATTGGGCAGCAGTAGGGACTTTTTATATTTACTGCCCCCAGGGTAGGGTTATTACTGTAGAAATGCAGAGAGAATGACTTAGGTCAATGCTTAGCTTATACAATTCAAAGTAGACTTTTGCAATGCAGGAGAGTGGGTGGTCAGATGACCAGGTCCATCTAGCCGCCTGGATGGGGTAATGAGAGGATGTAGACGTAGAGGATGTAGTTCTTTTGTGGACTAAAAGAACTCTAATATCTTGGTTGATGCCATGAGAGGGATGATAGGGCCAAGAGTAAGAGAGAACCATGTATATTTCAGCAAATTCCCACCATGAACCTGTTGCCAGCCTCTTGAAGGCTATGAAATTTCCATTTGATTCAAACATAACACCCCTCAAAGCTCAGACACCTCCTCCAGATGAAGGTTGGGAGGGAGAAATCCTGAATGATTTCTGTGTTTACATAGAACTGACTTTTATTTTTTTCCCCCATAAGGTGGAATGAGGGTTTGAAATAAGTTTAAACAGTCTCAGAGGAAAATAAAGTTATATATTTTTAACATATCTTAGAACATGAATTTTGAAATTTGTAACTAATATATGTTATTATATATTTATATATGTATATATCTTTATGGATACTTATCTACATTAATATAAATATTTACATGCAGATATTTGAAAAAACACTAAAAGGAAAACTAAAGTATTAGCAGTAAATGTATTTATTGTGGCATGATAAATGATTTTTATTTTCTTCTCTTTTTTGTATTTTTTAGAAATTTGCAGTGTGTAGGTATGAAATTTATAATGTAAACATTTTATTATTATTATTATTTGAATACAGTGTCAAAGGCAAATGAAAACCTGGGAACAATACAAGTAACTCATAGACAAAGCTTGCTTTCATTTTCTATTTAACAAAGGATTTCCATCAATCAAAGAGAAAGACCAGCAACCGAGTAGAAAAATTGACAATGGAGATGAAAAGATAATTCATGGAAGAGGGAATATGAATAGCATTTGAGCATATGAAATATTGCTTAGTTGCATTCACAATAACAGAAAAGCAGATTAAAACAATTCCAAAATCCTATCTGTTACCAGATTTGCAAGGTCATATATTTTGATAACACATTATGTAATAAGGAGTGAAGAGACAGATAGTCTCACACATTGCTGATGGGAGTGTAAATTGGTACAACCTTTATGGCAATATCCATCAAAATTACCAATGCAAAAACTAATTGATCCAATAATTTATATTCTAAGAGTTTACGACAGGGATATATCAAGATATATATAAAATGATGTAAGTATACAGTATCTGTTGCAACATGGCTCCAGAATCAACACTATCAAACTACCAACATCATTTTTAACAGAATTTGAAAAAACTATTCTAAATTTCATATGGAACCAGAAAAGATCCCAAAGAGCCAATGCAATCCTAAGCAGAAAGAACAAAGTGGAAGGTATCACGTTACCCAATTTCAAACTATAGTGTAAAGCTACAGTAACCAAAACAGCATGGTACTGGTACAAAAACAGACATATACAATGGAACAGAATAGAGAATCCGGAAATAAAGCTGCTCACCTACAGCCACCTGATCTTTGACAAAGTTAACAAAAATAAGCATTGGGGAAAGGACTCCCGATTCAATAAATGGTGCTGGGATAACTGGCTAGCCATATGCAGAAGAATTAAACAACCTCTGTATTTCACCATATAGAAAAATTAACTCAAGATGGATTAAAGATTTAAATGTAAGGCCTCAAACTATAAGAATCCTAGAAGAAAAACTAGGAAACATCATTCTGAACACTAGTCTTGGGAAAAAATGCATTACTAAGTTCTCAAAAACAAATGCAACAAAAACAAAAATTGACAAGTGGGATCTATTTAAATGAAAGAGCTTCAGCACAGTAAAAGAAACTATCAACAGAGTAAACAGATAACCTATAGAATGGAAGAAAATATCCACAAACTATGCATCCAAAAAAGATCTAATATCCAGAATCTATGAAAAACTTAAACAATTCAACAAGGAAAAAACAAATGACCCTGTTAAAAAGTGGGCAAAAGACATGAACAGACACTTCTCAAAAGAAGACATGCGAGTGGTCAACAAACATGTGAAAAAATGCTCCACATCATTAATCATCAGAGAAATGCAAATCAAAACCACAGTAAGATACCATCTCACACCAGTCAGAATGGCAATTATTAAAAAGTCAAAAAACAACAGATGTTGGTGAGGGTGTAGAGAAAAGGGACCGCTTATACACTGTTGGTGGGAATGTAAATTAGTTCAGCCACTGTGGAACGCAGTTTAGAGATTTCTCAAAGAACTTCAAATAGAACTACCATTCAACCCAGCAATCCCATTACTGGGTGTATTAGTCTGTTCTTGCACTACTATGAAGAAATGCCTGAGACTGGGTAATTTAGAAAGAAAAGAGGATTAATTGGCTCACAGTTTCATAAGCTATACAGGAAGCATGATGCAGGCATCTTCTCAGGTTCTGGGGAGGCCTCAGAAAACTTACAATCATGGCAGCAGGCAAAGGGTAGCTGGCACTTCACATGGCCAGGGCAGGAGGAAGAGAGAGAGTGGGGAGATGCTACACACTTTTAAATGACCAGATCTCACAAGAACTCACTCACTATCACAACCAAGGGGGCTAGTGCTAAACCATTCATCAGAAATCACCCCTGTGATCCAATCACCTCCCACCAGGACCCACCTGCAACGCTGGGAATTAACAACTGAACATGAGATTTGGGCAGGAACACAGATCCAAATTATATCACTGGGTATACATCCAAAAGAAAATAAATCGTTCTACCAAAAAAACACACATCCACTTATATGTTCATTGCAGCACTATTCACAATAGCAAAGACATAGAATCAGCCTAAATGCCCATCAGCAGTGGACTATGTAAGGAAAATGTGGCACACATACACCATGGAATACTACCTGGCCATAAAAAAAAAAATCATGTCATTTGCAGCAACATGGATGCAGCTGGAGGCCATTATCCTAAGTGAATTAATACAAGAACAGAAAGCTAAATACCATGTGTTCTCACTTACAAGTGGGAGCTAAACAGTGAATTCACATGGACGTAAATATGGCAACAATAGACACTGGAGACTATGAGAGGGGAAAGGGAAGGAGAGGAGCAAGGGTAGAAAAACTAACTATTGGTTACTATGCTCACTATCTGGATGATGAGATCAATTGTACCACAAACCTCAGCATATATACCCAGGTAGCAAACCTACACGTATACCCCCTGAATCCAAAAGAAAAGTTGAAATTATTTTTTTAATTACTCTCCAGAAAAATTGTCCTCATTTGTGTTCACTTCACAGTGCCTTCGCCAATATTAGTTGTTATTTTTAAAATCTCTTTGTCAATTGGGTAGGCCAATTATGAAGTCTCATTATAGTATTTATTTGTACTTAGTAATTATCATTGCATATTTTTATAGGCCACTGTTATTTCCTTTTTAGAAATTATCTGCTCATTCTAATTAGCTACCCATCTTTCCCACCTTACTTATATGAACTTATTTTATTATGCCAGGTATATTAACTTTTCGTTGTGTCACTCACACATGTTGCAAAATTTGTCCCAGGGTGTATCACTTTCTTTTAGTTGTGTCTATATTTTTACGCACAGAAATTTCTTTCTATGTAGGGAAATCTTTTTTTCCTAGTGTTTTGTTTCAAAAGTTCTCCTCCATCCCCAAATCAGACAACTATTTGCTTTATTTTCATCTATTTTATGGTTGTATTTTTTATACTTAATGCTGCTATCCATCAGGAATTTACTTTGGTGTGTGGCAGATACTGCTTTACAAAAAAAAAAAAAAATCCTAGTTTTCCTAATTGGGGAACTTGACTGCCTATTAAATGAAGTTTGCTGACAAGATCCTGCCTCTACAAAAAATTAAAAAATAAAAAATTTGCTGGGTGTGGTGGTGCATGCCTGTAGTCCCAGCTACTCAGAAGGCTGAGGCAGGAGGATGGCTTGAGCCTAAGAGCTCAAGGCTGCAGTGACTGAGCTCAAGGAGCCATGATCAAGCCACTACACTCCAGCCTGGGCAATGGAGCGAGACCCTGTCTCTAATAAATAAAAAAAATAGTTTCTGTACAAGAAAGAACAGAATGTAGAGATCAAAAACGCAATCATGTCGTCTGTTCTGGCAGCCTCTAGTGTTCATCTCATGATATTACACAAGCAGCTTCTAGTGTTTCCTTTAGAAGCACTCACAAGACAGGCTCTGACACTAGATTCACCAGAAGCAACTCAACAAAAATTTGGTTTGATGAGAGAAGCTTATTATATTTACATGGAACTAATTTAAACCATGCATCCAATTAACGATCTCTTAGCAAAGGAGACACATTATCAGTCCCTCCCTCATGCCAGGCCCTGCTGTGAGCACTTTATACGTGTTTTCTTGGTTAATGCTCAAGATAGCTCAACACAAGTATTAATATCCTTATTTTGTGCATGAAGAAACTGGAGCTCATGGTGATCAATTACTTTACCCAGACAATGCAGAGCTTGGATTTGAACCCAGATCTGTCTGTTTCTGAAGCCCATCTTCCCTCCTCTATGTCTGGCTTTCTGAGAGAACCACAGAAAATTGCAAAGGCCCTGAGGCAGGAGCGTGATTGGCATGCTTGAGGCCCAGAGGGGAAGTCTGCATCTGGTCTGGTCTGGTGTGAGCAGGGGAGAGCGGCAGACAGCTCAGGGGAAGAAGAAGGCCCAGGTTCAATGACCTGAGGCCGTTGCAAGGCTCTAGCTGTCACTCAGAGGAGATGGAGAGCCAGCAGAGGGTCCTGGGTAGAGGAAGGCTCAGCTGTGGCTCAGGCGTTAACCATTCACTGCCCTCTGTCCTCTGCCTTCAACCCTCAACTTTTTGCCTCTCCACTCCACCATGCTGGGTGGGGAGGGCTGAAGTTAGGGAGCACCCACAGAGGCTCTGATGCTGGCCCTGGGACCCAGGAGTGAGAGTGATGAGGAACTGGCTGCACACATGAGTAGGGCAGCCGGATCTGGCCAGAGAAGCAACACATGCACCCTTTATCTTGGACCCCTCACCCTGGCTCCCTCTGAGTTGCAGGGATGCCCAGCTGGGCTGCCAGCGGACATGGGGCCTCACTATGCTGACATCTACAAAGGCACTGATCGCCTTGGGATTCTGCAGTGAGTCCTCATCCCTTAAAGCACCAATCTCAGCTCAGGGATGGGTTTTGCCCTTAGAAAGGCCTTTCTGAGGCAAGATGTGTCTACCTGGCTCCAGCCAACCTCCTTTTCAGGGCCAGAACTCCTCCCTGGCACCCCTGCAGGTCCAGCCCATGGTCGTTGTTAGGCCAGAGGTGCGTGGCCCATCTAGGGAGCGTGGTTCATCTAGGGAGCGGGTGGGAATGGAGAGAGGGCTAGGTCAGGCCCCTGGGCTCTCAGCAGTTCTGTCTCCAAGTTAGCACAAGAGGAGGGGGGCAGCCTGAGGGTCTGGCCCTGTCCACTTTCTGAGATCCAAGGGTTGTGGCCACAGGGTGAGGGGATGCTTGGCCCAGCCTGGGGGCAGTTGTCCGGCAGATCTCTGAGGGCCCACCTGCCTGTCTTCTTCCCCATTCCCCATGGGGAAGGGCATGGGGAGAATGAGGGCTGTGGCCCTGGGGGAATGGGGGAGAAGATGGGTAGGGCCATGTTCTGGGCGTCTCACGGTGAGACCAGGGAAGCAGCAGAGCTTGTGGCTAAAGGCCCTGGATCTGGTGCTGGGAAGGAATCTGGGGCCAGGTAGGAGCCCAGCCTGGAGCTGATCCCTCGGGGGTCATAGGATAGAGAAACAGAGGATCCCAGGGAAGGTGGGGTGGGAGTGAGCTTATGGGCTGTGCCACTTCTGAAATGCACCCCAAAGGAGCCGATGGTCTGGTGAGGATGACAGAAGGGGTGGAGCCAAAAACACCAACTCACCTGGGACTCGTCAGCAGAGTCCCAGCAGAGGGAGCCGGTCAGTCCCCAAGGCTCTGCGTGGCTTTCCAGAGACTCTGCTTCCAGTTGGCTTGGACAGCACGGTGTGCAGAAAGTGATGGGGGAGACTGACTTAAGGCAGGCGGGACAGTGGGAGAGGACAGTCAGGCGCCCCAATCCCAGCTGCTGCAGTGTCTGGGAGGAGGCTGAGGGCTGACAGCCAAGGGCTCCAAGAGCCAGGTGAGGCTGGAGGTGGGGCAGGGAAGCCATCCTGGCCATCTGTGGGGTCCTCGGTCACCCATGTCACCCTTGGCATCTCCCCAGCAGCCATCGGCAGCCCAATGAGAGAGCAGACAAGGCAGGCATGTGAACAGATCTGGGGAGTATCACTCGGGGGTTCTGACAGGACAAGGATCAAAGAAGGGCCAGGGTGGCTGGGGAAACATTCACCATCTCTGGGTTGACAGGATGGCAGAAATTGGGGAACAAGCAGGGTGGGTGGCTGGAGTGCAGGGAGAGGCAGGTGGATGCCGGGAGGTCAGACCCTGTGAGGGCTTGGGAATGTCGGGTGGGATGGGCCCTGGATGCACCCTGGGTACACCAGGCAAGTCTCAGGCCAGGATCCCTAAACCTCAGCAGGGTGATGTGGTCACTCCCTGAGGGACTCCTGTCAGGGCCCGGCTACCCACCCTGGGTGGCACCTGTCCCGTCTCGGGCTGATTTTTCTCAGCCACCCTGGCCAGGTGACCTCCACTTTTAGTGAAGGCACCTTCCTGTGTCGCCAACTTATCTGGAGCCTTTAGAATGTCTCTGCTGAGGGCCCCACAGAAGCCCAGGACTGAACGGATACCCCCAGGGCTACACAGGTACCCCCAGGCCCCAAATGAGACGCCTTTTATCTCCATCAACAGAGGACATCTTATCCCCCCGTGGCTGCCCTCTGTGGCCTGGAGCCACACCCTCTGGCTCTGATTCTGTGCAACTGACTGTCCCCTCCGTGAGAGTCCTCCTGCCCTCCTGCTGGCCAGGCTCCAGCTGCCCTTGGTGCCCACAGATGGGTCGATGAAGCCCAGATGGCAGCATCTCCCCTTCCCATGTACCCTGGCCCGACCCCACTTCCAGGAGACGACCACGAAACCCAGCACCCACCCAGTTCTTCCCGCCCTCTGTCATGGCCTCAAAGTCAGCCTTGCCTTCCTAGCACCCGGGCCCAGGAGGCCTCCAGGAGCACCTCCGGCCAGGCTCCAGAGGATGTTCCCATCCCTCTTCCCCAGGGCCAAGGCCGCATGGTGGGGTCACCAGGTGGGAGGGTGGGAGGCCCGGTGTTCATGGGCCTTTGCAGCTGCCCAGCAATTCCAGCCGACAGTTCCACATCTTGGGAACAGGCTCTGATTTCATGATGGGCTGGAGGCTTCTCAGGATTCCACAGCCCAAATGGCACAGGGGTCCAGGGGCTCCAAGACCACCAGGAGCATGTGGTACCCACGTCACACCCCAAGACCATGAGGCACTTGGTGAGTTTATGGTCCCCTCGACTCTTCCCTAGAGGCCCAGCATCCCATGGGGCCAGAGGAGTCGGGGGTGCTGGAGCCCCTCGTGGGGCTGGTGAGAGGCTGAGTCCCAGCCAGGGCCTGACCTGGGACGTGGGGTTCTCCATGTACTGGGAGTTGGGTTTCCTTTCCTGCCCTGGAGGAGACAGAGGCACAGGGACAGGGGCCCAGCTCCTGCAGAGCAGGGCTGAGGGCAGTGTGTCCACTGGGAATGCAGGAAGGGGGAAGGTGTTGTGGGGAGCCCTGGACACCACCCAGTACTCTGCACTTGGGGAAGGGTCTTCAGAGGGCCCTAGAAGAAGGAGGTTTTTAGGGCAGGCTAGGGGGCCCTGAGCACCTCTGTTCCTCCTGTCGGGACACGGAAGGGCTATGTGCTCAAGGTTCCTCATTAGCTTGGCTTCTACAGAGGGTGATCAATGGGATAAGGAGGCACAGGGAGACCGTGGCTCAGGGACCCTCCTTGCCCTGCAGTGCTCTACTTCCCCAGCCCAGGGGTCTGGCTCACCCCCAGCCCACAGGAGGCTCAGGCAGGTCCCTGTAGGACACACAAGCAAGGCCCTCTGCCCAAGAGGGGTCATCCCCCAGCAGAGGCCAGGGCTCAGGCCCAGCCTCATGGATAGACTGACCCAGGACCTAACTTGGGAGGGCTCAGGGAAGCCAGACCCAGCCTCCTGGAGGGGTCAGATGACCCTCATGGGGAGGGTCACTGACTCTGGGGGACTGAAGCCCCAGTGGGCCCAGATCCAGCCACCAGCCTCCAGCCTGGACGAGCCAGGGCCTCCCACACCTGTGTCCCCACAGATCTCTCTCGGGCTCACCCTAAGCCTGTGGAGGGTGTATTTGGTAGAAAGGAACAGGTGTTGATGCCAATGGCACGCACTGCCTTCAAGGTTCAGAGGAGTAAGTCCACGTGTGCCCAGTGGGGCCTGGGAAGCTCTGGGGTCAGACCCCGACTGGCCCAAGGGCAGCTTCCTCACACTGTCCCCATGTTTCTCTGCTCCAGCCCAGAAGAAGGTCTGGCCTGGTGAGCAGGGCAGGGCACAGTGATGCCGAGCCCATCCCGCACGTGACCCAGATGAAAGTCGGGAGTGTGGCAAGCACTTCCCTGCCCAGGCCTCCCCCAAACCACAGCCTCCTGTGCACATCTGCACCCCTGTTGTGGCCACAAAATGATCCGGCACCACCCAGTGGGAGACGACAGAGGTGGCAATGGGGTGTCGGCTCTGACGCCTCCCAGGGAACTTTCCTGGCCTGATCCTCACCCTGTCCCTAGAGCACCTCATGAAGGCTTCCAGGTCTGGCCTGTGGGCGCGTTTTCAGGACCAGTTCCCCCAAACCTGGGCCCTGGACAGTGATGCAGTTCTTAGGCACCTTCAGGCCTCTGTGCTCTGTAAGGAAACTACCAGGAAGCATGGGGACCTGCCACCCCCAGGAAGGCTCCAATACCCAGTCCCCCCACCAAGTCACCTTCTGGGGCAGTCAATAGTGGGGGAGTGCCTGTGACCCCAAACCTGGGCCTTCCTCTTACATCTTTTCTTCCTCCTCTTCCTCCTGGATGCTAAGTAAGTGCAGGAGGCCCACCGGTCCTCAGGGCAGGCGCTCAGTGCGTGTGTACTGGTACTCAGTGCTGTGCACACAGGAGGGGGATGTGGGCAAGACCCTCCAACAAACCCCCTCCCACTTTCCATTGTCCTGCCCTCCCCCTCAAATGGCCCTCAAGGGCATTGGAAGAGCCAGGCCTATTTGGGGGAGCCCCCGCCCCTCCCTGCAAGCACTGACAGACTCAGAGAGCAGCAGAGGACCCTCACTCCTGCACACCCTTCCAAGGGTGCCAGAAAAACAAGTCTCGAGCCAGGGAGACAAGGGAATTGGTGTCCCTGACTCCCAGAGCATTCAGGGAGAGGGCACGGGTGGGACCCCTGGCCCAGAGCCAGAGCCAAGAGTTCAGCCAGCTGTGGGAACAGTCAGTCCCGGCATGGACTGGGCAGCCCAGGAGGGCAGAAAGGGCCCTGTGTCCGGGTCCTCTCACCCACTGTGGAGATAGGTCCCCATGTGAGGTGACAAGGGGGCTGGGTGACAACCAAGGCCCCTCCCACCTGAGTTCTGACTAGGGACTGTATCCCAGGCCCAACAGCCCTGGGATGAGGGTGGTAAGGCAGGAAGCCCCCAGCCAGCCTGAACCCTGGGAGGCAGTCCCAGAAGGCAGTCCCAGGAGCCACCTCCCATGCCCATACAGCTTTCCCACCCCAGGCGGCACACACTCCCTCCCTCTGGGATCAGCAGCCTACAGGCGTGTCCTGTCAGGCCACGGGGGCCACACAGAGACCCTGAGGACTCTAGAGACCCAGGCAGGTGGGGCCTGACCCGGAAAGATCTGCATGGGCTCACTGGAGATGCTGACCATATCTGTTTTCCTTTCAGCCAAACCTAAGCAAGGGTCCTCAGCACCCAGGCCTGAGCTGGCTTCACCGTGTGGCAGGAAGACCCTCTGCAAGGGGAGTAGGCAGGCTCCTCCAGGCCCACAAGCCCACTTCCAGCAGTGCATTTGGTCAGCTTCCCCGCCATGGGTGCCTCTTCCTTTCACACCCTGTCCTGTCTTGGTGGGGCTATCCCAGGGTGTGCCCAGACTGGCCCCAGCTCAGGGAGGACCTCGGGTTTCCTGGAGGTACCTGCAGTGGAACTCCCTGCCTCAGCTCCCAATGGACTCGGACGTGGTGAGCCCTTGGTTTCCCCATTATGATTTCGAACAGGGCTGTTGGGCCCGTGTCCCCTCCAAATGTGTCCTGGACAGCCCTGGGACCATGGGACAGACCTAGCCCAGGAAGCCCATGGGGACCTCGACACCAGGCCCTGCCCAGGCCCATCAGGACTAAGAAGGAGATCAGGAGATACCCCCACTGCAACATGGGCACCTGTATCTGGAAGGAACCAGGGTGGCACCCACCAGCTTCCCCGCAGCCCCAGATACCTTGGAAGATCCCATTCAATGGGGAAGCTGGTCCCATCAAGGCCACAAGAGAGAGACGTGAGCACGGCATCCCTGCAGCCCCAGACAGCCAGCAGTATGGACCTGGGGCACAATACCCAGGCCAAGAGTGGCCTGGCCTAGACCCCAGCCCTGGGAAGAGAGGGGTACCAGGGCTGTGGTGGGCTCCCAGCTGCAGTCAGCATGACCATGCAGGGGACCCTGGCACTGCAGAGCTCTGCATTGTCACAATTCACCTTACAGAACCGGGGAGAGATCTCGAAGCCTTGCAGCCACTGCTGCAGCCACAGCAGGTGCCACCACCACGTGCCTTCCAGCTGCCAGTGCAGGCTCTCCTGACAGCAGGGCACCCTGCAGCCCTCACCTCAGCAGCTCAGACTCTGAAGGTATCTGTTGTTCATGTTCCCAGTGCTCCCACCAAAGAGAATTACTACAGAGAATACTCTTGGTCCTGAGGTGGGCAAAACAGCATGCCCTGTGGATGGAGCCGGCTTCTTTCCCAGCCACCATGCTTGCTGGATGGGCCCGCAGAGCAAGTGGCCATGAGACGGGCATGGGGACGGGAGAGGCTCAGCATCCTGCACATGCCCTTACCAAGGCTCACCAGGCTGACACCACTGCTGAGCGCCTTGTCTGTGGAAAACAGATTCACACCCAACCCCTGGGATGGCACCATTTCCCAGAAGGACCAGCTGGCCACCTACTGGCAGGCTGACCACACTGCGGAAGGGGCTGAGATTGGCTTTCACTGCACTGAGCCACAACGTGGACATGCACTTGCCGGCCCTGCAGTGCACACAGCACTGCTTCCGACCAGGGCACCCCATTCACAGCTAGGGACAAGCAGCAGTACACTCCCGAGGCCCCACAACCCAAACAAGCTTCCCATCCTCGTTTTACTTTTTTGTTAAACTTATGAAAATTTATGAAGAAAGTGCACAGCTCTAAAGACATTAACAGATGGAACACATCAGCCCCCAGATCACAAAGCCAACCCAGCCTCTGCGCCCCCAGCCCTGCAACCAGTGTTCTGACTTCTGACAACACCATGAGCCTGCCTTTTGTACTTTACACTCATGGAAGGATAACCACGTCCATGTTTTAAAATAAATGTTTACTTTTGAAATGATTTTAGATATATAGAAAAACTGAAAAGGCATTATAGTGTACTCCGACACCTTCCGTCCAGCTGCCCCTAATAATGACATTTTGCATTACCATGGCACATTTGTCCAAATTAAGAAATTTAGGCCAGGTGTGGTGGCTCACACCTGTAATCCCAGCAGTTTGAGAGGCCAAGGCAGGAGGTTAAGGTTCATTTGAGTCCTGGAGTTTGAGACCAGCCTGGGCAACATAGGTAGACCCTATCCCTGGAGAAAAGTTAAAAAAAAAAAAAAAAAAAAATAAGGAGCCAGGCATGGTGGCGTGTGCCTATAGTCCCACCTAATCAGGAGGCTGAAGCAGGAGGATCGCTTGAGCCCAAGAGATCCAGGAAGCAGTGAGCTATGATCGCACCACTGCATTCCAGCCTGGGCGACAGAATGAGACTTTCTCTCTTAAAAAAAAAATTAAGGAATTTAACATGGGTGCAATCCTGTTAACTGAATAATAATGTTAACTATTATTTAAGGTTATTAATGCTGTCACTATATTAATATGGTGAAATTCATTCAGATTTCACCTGTTTTTGCTTAACTTCTGGTACCTGTCCCAGGATCCCACCTCGGACTCACCTTCTGTCTTTAGGTCATTCCTCCTTAGCTTCCTTCAGAGGTTGCAACCAAACACACACCTTGGCTGAATGGTAGAGCTGATTGCTCCTGGGCTCCAAACCTCTGCAGCATGTTACCATACTGAGTACCATAGGTAGTGGTAACACAATGATGGCTATTTGTGTATCTAAACACAGAAAAGAATGATAAAAATACAGTATAAATGATAAAAAAAAAAAAAAATTGGTACACCTGGCCAGATGTAGTGGTTCATGCCTATAATCCCAGCACTTTGAGAGACCATGCCGGGAGGATCACTTGAGCCCAGAAGTTCTAGACTAGTCTGGGCAACATAAAAAGACCCCATCTCTTTTTAGATATCAATTTTTAGAGATGGTACACCTGTATAGGGCAGCTCCATTATAACCTTATGGGACCACCATTCTATATGCATTCTGGCACGGACTGAAATGTTGCTATCTGACACATGATTGCATAGGTAAGTAATCTAGAGATGATTTAAAGCATATGGGAAGATGTGCTTAGGTTATATGCAAATACTGTACCATTTTATATCAAGACTGGAGCATCTGTGGATTTTGGTATTTGTGGGAGGTGGTGAAACTGATTCCCGACGTACGCAGAGAGACAACTGTAAACATTTCGGACCCCACAGAAGGCTCAATTGCCTGCCCCCTCACCCTCAGGTAAGCTTTCTAAAGTGTTTGTTTCACTTTACCTGCTCATCCGTGAGCCAGAGGGCTCCATCAACAGCTTGGGCTGTCTCAGAAAGACCTGGATTCAATCCCATTCAGCCACTTAGTAGCTGTGTCACTTTGGGCAAATCATGTAACTTCTCTGAACCTCAGTGTCCTCATCTGTAAATTGGGCCGATGGTGACCCTTACTTTGCAGGCCCCCGTGAGGACTAAGTGAGATGAAAGCTGACACCCCAAGTGACACCACTTCTCCCTTCCTCAGACTCAACAGGAAAACGCCTTCACTGCCCAATGCAAAGGCTATGGGGAGGATGAGAGGCTCCAGGGATCCCCTGTCCCAGGAGCATAAACCCTGGATTTTTGCTTCCAGAAATAACCTTCTCTAGGATCAGGATGGTTCTTAACTCCCCAAAGACTGTGAGCCCACCCTAGGCGGCATCTTCAGCAGTGGGGAAGGGGATGCACAGTGCCAGCCTCACCCTGGCCACTGTCTGCCCTCATGACTCAGAGCCCAGCTAGGTCCCCACGCAGAGCAGTGCAGGAACCTACCTTGGTCCCAGGCTCCAGCCATCCCGGCCACCCCCACCTGCCACCACCCTGTCTCCTCCATCCCTCAGCCCCTGCTTGCCTCGTTCACAGCTCAGTGTCCTGACATCTTAGCTCCTTGCATGTCACCGTCGTCTGTCTCCTCAAGGGGAGTGCAGCACAAGGGCAGGAAACTCGGTCAGTCTGTGGATGTGTCTCTGGTGTCAGGCAGAGATTAAAAGCTCCATATATACTTGCCCAGTGTCTGCGTGCATTCCAAAGCAAGAGACAGCTTTGGAAATGAGAAGAGACCCTCCTGAGGTGAGAGTCCTTAGTTGGCATTTCCCAAGTATTCTCGGCATGCCAGGCACTGAGCTGGACCCATGGACATGTGAGCTCTGGACCCTGTGGGTGCTGTCACTCATGTACAGGTGGGTCCGCCTGGACCTGGTGCAGTCACATAGCTCCCTGATAGCTAAGCTGAAATTGGAACCCGTTCAGTTTGGCTCTTGCTCTGCTCAATGGCTCCCCAGCTGCTCCAAGGGAGAGCTGAAGCCTTGCAGTGGCCTCAGGTCATTGAACCTGGGCCTTCTCTCCCTGAGCTATCTCCTGCTCTCCCCTAGCTCACACCAGGCCAGATGCAGGCTTCCCCTCTGGGCCTCAGGCATGCCAATCATGCTCCTGCCTCAGGGCCTTTGCACAAGCCATTCCCGCTGCCTGGAATGCTCTCTGCCTAGAAAACTGCTTGGCTGACCCATCACCTCCTACAAACCTTGCTCAAACCTTGCTTCATCAATGAGGACAACCCTGGCCATGCATCTAGAAGGGGCCCAGCACAGGGTATGTGCTCAATACACAGATGAAGAAAGAAGGGATGGAGAAGAGGGAGGTGGAGGAAGGGCAGAATGCCCATGGCCATTTTTATTCCAGTGATAACAGGTAGCAATGAATACCTAAGGGCAACGCGGATGGGGCAAAATGAAAGATCACAAAAGGCCAACATGAGCAGGTTGGGAGAGTGCAGCTCTACTCATCTGCCCTGATGCAGATTTGGGGACTCCAGATGTGTCACCTCTGGGCAGCCCCTTCTCGGCCCCCTCCCCACTGAGCTCTTCTTCCACCTCCAAGCCTGGCCCATCCTCCAGGGATCCAGGACAATATAGGAGACAGCTGTTTATCTCCCAGAACACTGGGAAAGGCTGTGGGTGGGTAAGATGCTCAGCGGCCCTTGAAACTCATCTCAGTTTTGCTCCAAATGTGCAGCCCTGCCACTCCTGTGAACAGGAAGAGCACTGGAATGAGAATCAAGACACTGGGCCCTATTCCTCTTGACATCTGAATATCTTCCCCATCCCAGCATTTCCCAGGGGCCTGGGAGAGGGACAGTTGTCTCATGTATTGTCCTGCTTTGTCTGTGTATTGAGCACATACTCTGTGCTGGATGCCTTCTAGATGCGTGGCCGGGGTTGTAGTCCTCATTGACGAGGCAAGGTTCGAGCAATGTTTGCAGGAGGTGGTGGGTCACCCAAGCAGATATCTTGGCAGAGAGCATTCCAGGCAGTGGGAATGGCTCATGCAAAGGCCCTGAGGCAGGAGCATGACCGGCATGCCTGAGGCCCAGAGGGGAAGCCTGCATCTGTCCTGGTGTGAGCAGAGGCAAGCAGCAGAGAGCTCAGGGACAGAAGTCCCAGGTTCAATGGCTGAGGCTGTTGCAAGGCTCTAGCTGTCACTCAGAGCAGCCAGGGAGCCAGCAGAGGGTCCTAGCCAGAAGTGGGTTCAGCTGCGGCTCAGGTGTTAACAGGCCACACCACACCAGCAGGGAGGAGAGGGGGGCCAGCTGGCTGGTCCAGGTAAGTAATGAAGGGTGCTCAAACTAGGTGGGAGAAGGCAGATGGTGAGTAGAGTCACCTCAGGATCATTGTGAGGATGTCACCTACATGATTTGCTCATGGACTTAATGGGGATGGGGTCTGGAGGGAAAAGGAGAGACCAGTCCACAGGCCCCATGAGCCATATAGAAGCCAGACTGAATGGGTTTTAATTTCAACTCAGCTAGCAGGGAGCTATGTGACTGCACAGGAGCCGATGCAAACTGGACAGACAGGGACATCCTCCCTGGACTACTGTCCCACTCATCCATCCATTCATCCATTGGCCCACCTCTAGTACTGTCCCAACTACAGCCCTAGCAAGCGGAGACAACAAAAAGACCAGTTTTCCAGCTTTGTGGTCTTGGAAGAAGTTGCTACCAGTATGAGGAGAGACAATCAGTTTCCTCCAGGATCCAGAGAGCATATCAGCCAGCCTGAGGGTCAGGAAAGGAGGTCGGCCTCTCCACCAGCTAGACAGGCCTGCAGTAGGATGGGGCTGGGGCTGGCCATGCAGATCACTTGGGCCTCATGAGGGGAAAAGAAAGACCAGGGGGCAGAGGAGGAGCATGGGGGCAGCTGGTGGCCTCAGAAGAAGGCACCTCAGAGAAGGGGTCTGTCTTAGTTTGTTTTGTTTTCACACTGCTATGAAGAAATACCTGAGACTGGGTAATTTATCAAGGAAAGAGGTTGAATTGACTCACAGTTCAGAAAGCTTGCAATCATGGTGGAAGGCGAAGGGGAAGCGGGCATCTTCTTCACAAGGCAGCAGGAGGGAGTGAGAAAACGAGGAAGTGCCATGCTTTAAAACCATCTGCTCTCCTGAGAACTCACTCACTATCAGGGGAACAGCATGGGGGAACCCAGCCCCCTATAATACAATCACCTCCCATGAGGTTCCTCCCTTGACACATGGGGATTACAGCTCAAAATGAGATTTGGGTGGGGACACAGAGCCAAACCTATCAGTGTCTCACGTCTTGCAGCTCCCCTGGGGCTAAAGCTGAATGCAGATCTGCTGACCCTGATCTACAGCTTGCGGAAGCTCTGCCTGTGTGCCCCCATCTGCTGCTTCCTAGGGTTGGGGCCTGCTTCCTCAAAAGGAGAGTGGATCTGTTCTCCTGCCAGCCCCCCACAGGGCCTTGTGGAGCCCTGGCCATGTCCTCCCAAGGTGAGGTCATAAAACTGGGCTCCTTGCCCTTCTTGTTGCTTGGGTGACAAGCCTCGGGTCATCCCTAGGTCCTGTCACTGCTCCTGCTTCTAAAAGGAGAGCATTTTGCCAAATCTTCCTGGGAGAGGCTGGGGGCTCATCCCTGTTATTTGTTCTAGCTTGGTAAAATGAGGTTAAGACATCTAGGCAAGCAGACAATAGAGGGGCACCCAGGAAGGGTGGGTGGCGGGTGCTGGCATTTGGGCTTGCCTGGACCTTGTGGGGAGGGGGAAAGGTTACCAGGAGGCAGCACTGTCAGTCAGGGCTAAAGTCAGGAAGTGGGGGGAGTGGGGGCAGAGTGTGGCTGGCTTGCGGGGGGGCATAAGTGAGAGCCAAGATTTGTCAGCATGCAGTGGGTGTGGCTGACACCTGGCCTAGGGGCTGTGGAGCCCAGTGGTTGCTCTTAGTTCCTGGATCCAGGGAGATTTCTGGAGCCTGTGCCTGGGGCTTTCTAGGGGTGAAGATGGTGAGGGGCAGGGAAAGGGTGGCAGAGGAGGCCTTGCATGGCAGGGTGCAGGGCAGGATGCTGGGCAGGGACCAGATTGCAGTGGCTGCTCTCATCCCCACCACTACCCCTACCTCTACCCCAACCCTGGAGCAGGGTGGGGCCTTGGCAGGTGTCCTCTGTTTTGGCCTCGGCAGATCACAGGATGGAAGCCAGCAGTCCAATAGGCGTGCCACTCAAGCCAGCAGTGACCTGCAGCTTCTGCTTCCTGGAGAGTGGGGTGCCCACCCAAGAGAGCACAAGCACACCCCACACCCCTGACCTTGAGGGCACTGGGAGGTGGGGGCACTGTACTGGGACCAAGTCCCGGCAGCCTTGTGCGTGTGCCCTGGAAGGTAGCCTAGGAGTCCTGCGTGTGCCTCTCTGCACAGCAGGGAGGGGTGGGCAGGAGCCTGAACAGTGGCAGAGAGGGAGAGGAGGAGGGAGAGAGAAGTGGAGAAGGAGAGAGAAAGAGACATGGGAAGAAAGGAGTGAGAGAGAGAAAGAGAGATGGGGAGAGAGACAGAGACAGAGGAGGCTGAGAGGGAGTGTGGGGAGAGAGATAAGGAGAGAGACATAAAAGGTAGAGAGAGAGACAGGGAGAGATGCGCATGAGCAGAGGTCAGGTCACTCTTGATCTTAGTTCCCAGTGCAAACTGTAGGTCACCATCACCTGCCCACACATGCACTAAAGAGCTCTGTGCCTGCTGCCCACAGCCCCTGAGAACTCCTTCTCTTGAAGAATAAAACTTTTGATGGCTGCCATTCCTCACTGGATTTTGGTTGTGTCTTTGATGAACCATGATGTCCCACCTTCCCGGGCTCAAGTCTCCACCAAAAGCTGATGCCTCTTTTTGGGAGGCTCTGCAGTGCCTTCATCTCACTAGGCTCCCCAGGAAGCTTGTGAGCTTGGGTTGGACCCTAAGCAGTCAGATACATGCTGGGGCTCTGCTTGTCTCTTTCACTAACAGGGAAAGCCAAGAAAGAGATTGAAGCATGGTCTGCAGAGAAGGCACTTGTGCAAACACCAGGAGAACAAGAAGCCTGAGTTGTCTTCATTTCTCTTAAAAACACTCATTCCCTCCCATGCCACCTTAGTGAGGGCATGAAGCACAGCATGTGTGTGTATGTGTGCAGGTATGTGCACATGTATGTATGTGCATGTGTGTGTGTGTTGCAGGGGTGTGCTGTGGACAGGAGGTCCAGGGGGCAGCTCCAACTCAAAGCTGCAAGTCTCTGTGATAGAATGGTCAAGATTCACTGGACCACAGCAAGAGAGTGTTTTCATGTGCATCCAGTTTTATTAGCATTTAAACCCATATTTTTAGTACCCTGTAAACCTTAAGTTGCTTATCTATTCTTAGAAGCATTTACACCAGTGGTCCCCAGCCTTTTTGGTACCAGAGACCAGTTTCATGGAAAACAACTTTCCCATGGGCCGAGGAGAGGGAAAGTTATGATTTGGGGCTGATTCAAGCCCATTACATTTATTGTGCACTTTATTTCTACTATTAATATATTGTAATATACAATGAAAAAATTACACAACTAACCATAATGTAGGATCAGTGGGAGCCTTGAGTTTGTTTTCCTGCAACTACATGATCCCATCTGGGGGTGATGGGAGACAGTGACAGATCATAAGGCATTAGATTCTCATGGGAAACTCTGAAGTTTCCCATCAGCAAGAAGCTAGGAGTAGAGAAGCAAGAGACCCTCTTCCCTCTCTCCTTTCTTGAAGGAGAGAGGAAAGAAGCCCCCTCAGCTAGCCCTGAAGGCAAACGTATGCAATGCTTTAGAGTTACTAACGTCAGAGTGGTGTAAGGACTGGAAAAGATGGTCCATGTTGAATCCACACTCCCTCCCATTCCCAGTCTCCTATTTCCAGGAAAAGCTGTCCAGGCCCTTCCCAGGCCTGCGTTTTGTTTGGGGCACATATGCCACCATAAACTCCATCACCTGCCATCTTGGAACTCTCTCTCCACAAATCCCTTTTTTCTTTCTACTTTTATTTGCAAAATTTCTGACAAAGAAAATATCATTGGAAGATATTCTCAGTAAAAATCAGGGATGTGTATTTGAAAGAGAAAACTGCATCCTGGGCAACAAAATGTCCTGAGACAATGAATCGGCTAGACAGATATCTTAGAGAAACGAACCAACCCAAATGTGGTCCTCATTGGCAACATACACATATTTTATTGATGCTTCTATGGTTAATAGCATTGCCATGCTCCTCTTGACACATGGTGCTTCCCAGTCCATCATAGAGGGGCTCATTGTTTAAATACTCATTGTTTAAACCTTGTATAGTGTTTCCAGGAGAGCTTTAAATTATTGTAAAAAAGCAGCTAGATTTTTTATAAAGTGACCTTTGACTCGCTTAACCTTATCCTTATCATAGTAAGTATGAAAATTACAGTACCTTTATACAAATACCTTATTGGAGGGGTCTGAACAAATGTCATTGCCATCACTTAGATTTGTGTATACATTTACAAAACCATAAAATGCCAGAAGGACATACATTTAATATACATTAATGCATACATTTCATATGTATGTCCTTCTAGCATTTTATGGTTTTTTAAATGTATATACAAGTCTAAGATTTTTTTAAATACAAACATAAACATGAACTGGCATTTTTCAATCAACTTCTTTAATTGGATATACAATTTGTGTGAGTTTGATAGAACTCGTTGGTCCAACCAAAGAAGTTCACTATTTTACTAGGTCTTCACTTGTTATCAGTCACAGCTTAACCTAATGATCATTAATGGGAAAAAAGAAAAAAATTAACCACTTTGTGCCTGGGACTGTGGTGTCCTGGGTCAAACACAAGATATTACAGGTTACTCAGCCTATTCTAAGCGTCATAAGTTTCCACCAGATAAACAGCAATGCCATGAAGACTTCAAGGATTAACACCCAGGATTACCACAATTATTAGTGGCTGAAATAAAGAGATTAGCCTTTGCTTTTCCATCCAATTCTTTTGTATTTTGTTTTCTTTTAATAGCAATAAAATACTTTAAAACAAACATCTAGTCAAAAAAAAAAAAGAACAGAGAAAATATATTTTACAACTTGTGCTTTCCTACCCAGAATCTGTGGCTGTTAATATTTTTTCATATTTGCTCTAAGTGGGTTTAAAATTAAGAAATACAGCATTGAGAACTTCTTTGACTTCCATATCCATTCTTATTCCAATCTCTTCTTCTCAGAGACAAACACAATTATACATTTGATATGTATGTCCTTCTAGCATTTTATGGTTTTATAAATGTATTACAAGTCTAAGTTCTTTAAAAATATAAACATAAACATGAACTGGTATTTTTCAATCAACTCCTCTAATTGGATGTACAATTAGTGTGAATTTGAGAGAACTTGTTAGTCCAAACAAGAAGTTCACTTTTTCACCAGGTCTTTACTTGTGATCAGTCACAGCTTAACCTAATGATCACTAAAGGGAAAAGAAAAAGAAAAAGTTTAGAAACATCCTGACTCTCTCAATTAGAATTCAAAACTTTCTAGAATGGATGCCTCACATTGTTACATTTGACCACCTTTGATTCAACAGCCCCTGAGCTTTATGTCTAGCAAGAGATGCCTAGAGCTCTATGGAAAAAAGGGGCAGCAGACCAGACCAAAACTTTGCAGTCTCAGCATATCACGGAGACACAGGGACGTGAGCATGTCAGGTAACTTTCTGGGTTTACACTTAAGCACCTCTGAGAACTGGAAAAACCCTTGGCACAAATTCAATCTTTGTGTGGGCAAACCACTTTAGTTCTTAGTTTCTGTTTACTGTTGGGCTTGGTTCAAATGTTGCATTCTGTACCCCTGTTCTTGCCACCAAAGTTCTTTCACCATGAAGTTGCACGTCTAATCCTATGAGTGTCATGGTTGTTAATCTAAGAATAACATACTGCCTTCAAAGAACAGCGTCAAGTTTGAGAAAAGGAAGAATTACTCCCTTCTCATTAGAAAAAAGACAATCATGTACCCACATGTTTCCTGCTCTTCTCAGTTGCCTAAGTGCGTCTTCTGTTGATAAACAAAAACATTTTTTGCTGCATAGTATTGCTCAAGCAACCCCTCTATGCCTCATTTCCTCATCTGCCCTAAATAGGTTATGCATTTCAGGCAGGCAGATTATTAATTATTTGTTGAGCACTTATTGTGTGCCTACTTTACGTCTGCCATAAAAGTACCACAAGGATCAGTTTAAAAAATGAGAGAATTCCTCAAAATTATTTAAACTGTCTGACTCAAGCTCTAATCTAGCAGGGACAATGGCCAGATGGAGTCCAGGGATGAAGTTTTGAGCTGGCTGCATGGGTTGTTCCAAGGCAGCAATATGCAGGTATGAGCTGTGCCAGGCACAAGAGCACCCAGCTGCAGGGTGGGATGGAGACGAGCTTATGTGCTGCTTGCCAAATCAGGCACCTACAGGCTGCATCCACCCAGAGAGAGAGCCTTTCTCTAAACCATTAATGGTGCACAGGGGTTATTGCAGACCTGGCTGAGAGGCCAAGAGCAGAAAAAGCTAGAGAGAATGGGGGCATATATCAGGAGGCATCAAAGGCCAGAATTAGGAAAAGCTAGAGAGAATAGGGGCAAATAATGCCCTGGAGGCACCCAAGGCCAGAACCAGAAAAGCTGGATCTACCATTAAATCCAAGGGGTGAACATGGGGTTAGAAATGGAGACAAAGGCAAGGTAGTGACAGAAACAGGGCCACAAAAAACGACCAAGCAAAAAAACTGACAATTCACTAAATGCCTAAGACAACTGCAATAGACATTTTGTTTTTTTCTTCTTCTCCTCCTTTCTTCCTCCCTGCCTTTCTTCCTTCCTTCCTCACTCATTCTCTCTCCTTCCCCCTCGTCCTCCTCTTCTTCTCCTTCCTCTTTCTGTTTTAGTAACAATCTCAGAGCACAAGTGTAAACCTTCAGTTAAACAGACAGCAGTGAGGCAGACATCTGCTTTTCTAAAATCCTTGACATCCAAATGTGAAACAGAGCTCACTAAAGCTCAGTTGCAAAATTCTAGATGCTCCTCTCTCCATCTCTAACCCATGGAATATTTTCCCTCTTATAGCCCCTTGAAGTGTCTATGCACTTCAGTTCATAAAATGCTGCCGTGGGGAACCAATCTAATTAAGCACTTACCAAGAAAGCATTCAAACTCTCTCATCTATGTCCTTTCCCTGCCCCCAGAGTGCACCCTTCTTAGAGGCATGTCCCTCTGTGCTGGTCATACCTGTGCATTACCATGCATGGCCTGCAGTCACTTCCCGCAGTGACCCTCCCACGTGTCCCCCTGGCTCTTTGACAATGGACCACACACCCTCTGCTCTCAGGGTCTTGGTAACCCTCATGTTTCACAGCAGCCAGCAGTCAGTCAGCCTCCACAACCAACCAAGATGAAGTCAGCATGTGCAGGTCTGAAATAATTATTAACAGGAAATACAAACACGTTAAATTTTACCCAGGCCTTTAATGATACACTTAATTGTTGGTTTCCTGTGTAGAAAATAGGCATAAGTGGAAACCAGTTCCCATAAAGTGACTAAAATTCCTATGACTTTGACACCACCAGCTCTGTGCTTTACTTTTATCTTTCCATTTGAAAATTCTGATTGTTATAATCAGCAAAAATACCACCAGTTTCATAATCATAATTAGCCATCTTCCTCCTAACACAGCACGCACACACACCTGCACTCACACACACAAGCATAGGTGCACAGACCCACACAGATGCATGCAGGCACATCTGAATTCATTTCTCTCTGATTCTCAGCCCTCGAGCTCAGATTCTTCAGTTTCTTGTCCCATCTGGCCTGTCTTCTACAACCCTCAATTTGAGAGAACCTGAAACTAGATTCTCACCTGGTTACTGAAGGACTCAAATGAGCAAAACCTTTTATTCTCAAGGCTGTGGAGACCCTGTGATGAGCAATAGGAAAGGGGTCAGAATGCAGGGCTGCTAAGGAAGTGAATAGGAACTCCATTTACTGGACACTTATGATGTATCTGGTTGGGTTGAGCATCTTTGCAACATAATCTGATTCTACCTTTATTTAAAAAAAAGTGAGGTGGTTATTAGTCTCCCATTTTCAGTTTAAGAAACCGTGGCTTAAAAAGCATAGTAACACAATGCAGGCTGAGATACAGATAGAGGTTACAAGACTGAAACCAGATTGAAAACTAAAGCAGTCACTTTCAAATGCATGATTTTTCTGAGGTTTGGTTTCTAGCCTTTCTTTTTTCACCTTTTAACCACTTTTAAAACTTTAAACACATTCACTCCCATGTGCCACACCCAAGCTTTAGCTCGTCGGGATCCCCCACAGCTTCATTTGTGCCGCTGCAGGAAGTCATCTTGTGTAGATGCCATCACATCCAGGCCGCAGCTGAGCAAGTGTTTGAATTTTTTGTAAATACATCTTTGACTGGGGAGGCTGTAAATCCTCCCTAGGCTTTACTATTGCAGGATCTGGCCAGCAATCTGCAATGCAATGGGGCTCTTTGTTCCCAGGAGGATTGGCAGGTTGAGAAAGAATAGACACACACAAGATAGTGAAAGCTGGGTCCGGGGGGTCACCGCCTTCTGGTCCTGCGATGCCACCAATGCACTGGATATAAATATAGCATTTGTTATTAAGTTTAGTGAGGGTGGGGGTAGGTTAGTGAGGGATTTCGGGTCATTTGATTATGAGGTGAGATGGTCACATGGGGATGAAGCAATTCTTTAACATAACATCTGTATGCAGAAGTACAATATACAGAGATAAGAATTTACAATATAGTATGTGCATCAGTAATTTCTAACAGAGCCTTAAAACAGAAACACAGTGTTTCCATAACCTGTGATTAGCAAGATATTAATCAGCAGTAACAGTTGCAGCAAAAGCTGGTTACAAACAATCCATAGAAACAGGACGTGAAGCTAGACAACAGGTTAGACCAGAAATTCTCAGAAGGGAGAATGCCTTAACCCTAAAGAGGCCTAGAAGAGCTGTGGCAAGATGAGGGCATTTATAGCCCTATCTTATCCATATGAACATGCACCCCTCATGCGTCCGTTTATAGGCTCTCCTCAAGGGTCGCATTCCGTTCTCAGAGCTATGAACATCTGCTTTTCTGGGATAGGAATCTTGGTGATGTGAAACATCCCTGCCTGCCCTTCCGTTCATAGACTCTGCAGGGGGAAGCACATCACACGCTGTTGGCTTATTCTGGTAGTCCAGCCTGGCATTGTCTTTACACAATCCTGCATGCAACTTTGTATTTACAATAATCAGGAGCATTTCATCTTTTATTCCATAGCAATAGTTTCAAGGGCTCCCCCTACACTTTACATTTCAGTCCTGTGCTTGTCCCTACAAGTTTAAAAAAAAAAAGTGAGAGTGAGGGAAAGCTACCTCTGCACACCTGCAGCAGGCTCAGCGAGGAGCCTGGTGGGGCCGGGGCCCACCTGCCTGGCACATAACTTCATCAAGTTGTCAGTGTGCATTTTGCAATAACAAGGGACAGATCATGTCATCCTCATATCCTTTTATAGTTGGAGCCATTCTTGGGACTTTTGGTGCCTGCTGCCAGACTCTCCTGTTTTTGATGAGAAATGTGAGCAGTTGTTGTTAGATGTCAGTGATTCTTCTTTGAAACATAAAAGAAGACATACCTGACTTGTAATTGTCATCCACTACCCTGAAACTTTAAATGTTAGTGTTCAGTAAACCTATTTTCCATTCAGCTGCCAATGCACTCCTTTTAATAAAAGTGTCAATCAAATTCATCCTTTTAACTCTCCCAAGGCTTTCCTCTTCCCTTGAAATGAAATCGGATCCTCCACAGAACTGGCGAGCCCCCATGTACCCTGGCCACTGCCCACACATACAGGCTGATTGTTCCTCCCCTACTCATCACTCCCGATGCCCTGGCCTTGCTCCCTTCTTCAAAGGCAACTGCCTTACTCCCTCCCTTCCTTGACTTTCTGTCCCTCTCTCTGGAAAGCTCTTTCCCTCTGCTCTGTTTCTTCTCTGTTTTCAGGTCTCAATGCAAATGTCACCTCTCAGGCAAGCTCTCCAAACTGAGACAATAGGAGCTCGGTTCACATCTGTCAAAAATAGGAGCAAACAGGCTGTTAGGAGGCTGAGTAGAATGTTTTACTGGGACTAGACAATATCAAACTTAGATCCCAAGAGCCCAGGAATTCGTATTCAAGGTCAAAGTGTCAACAACAAGAATACTGAGTCTTACATAGGTACCATGCTGCACCATTTATAAAGCACTTCCATACACAGGGGATCTTCACAACCCCACAATGCTGCCAGGCCAGGTCTCTCAAAAGGAGGACTCTGATGGTCAGGGGAGTCAACAATATATCCAAAACCAGGACCAAAAAATGTTGCCTCCAAAACAAGCCATAATTCTTCTTCTCATCACAGCATCCCACACCATCTCCTAGTGGGTAAGACTCATAGCCCAGCGCCATCATGGTTTATTTCACAGGGAAGGGTGGGGCAGGGATTAGGAGACATTTCCCAGGGTCTTGTTTCCTTGCTTCCTTGCTATGGGCCTCTCCCCTCAGAGCACTGTTTTCTGAGAAGGCCTGGCTCGAGGAGCTGATGACCTCAGCGACTGCAGACCTGGGAACCTGCAGAAAGGAGAAATTAAGTTTGCACCTGGGAAAGCCCAGGGTTGAATAACAGAACCTCGCCTTTAAGAATTCTTGCTTTTTTTTTCCTGCCTCTGCATTGTTGCTGAAATATACAAGAGAGAAAGAAAGGATTCTGAACCCATTATTTATCTCCTCCTTCCAAGCAAGCAGCAGACATTCATGATTAATGATGAGGTGACTTTCTACATTGATTTAATTGAAATCTGTATCCTATCCAGGTTATTTTTAAAGTTTATAAAGACCTTTTCTACTGATTCTTCTCTTCCAAACTCAAATAAAGAAATGTTTTATATACATGATCTTCCACTAAAAAGGAGCCCAGACTCTCAGATCCTCAGGAACATCTGTTCTCCATTCTATAGGACTGTGCTGCTGAAGACAAATGGAGTAGCGAGTGACCAATCTTTGAGACTCAGCATTCTCTCTATGTTAGCCCTAACGCAAAAGAGAGGACTGGTCCGCACCTAAGGGAAGAAGGTGGCCACGAGCAACTGTTGAGGGCTGGTCTCCTTAGCTGTCCTCTGGTATCCACAGCCCTGAATGGAAGGTTTTGGGTATTTTTCCCTGGACATCTCTACCACACCTAAATATATGGTCTGCAAGTTTTGGAGAGAATTTCCAACCCCCACTCTACCTCCTGCCCCTCCCTACCTGTTCTCATAGGTTGATGATATTCTAATCTCTATTAAGAGTTCCCATTCTCAATATCTCTTCATTTCAATCATTGATTTAGAAAAGTAGGAGTAGAGAAGTGAAAAATGAGACTCAATCTCATTTGTGGGCTGGGCCTTGGGTTTCCTTACTTGATTGCTGTTTTTGTTTTTTTAAACATTGCCAAATCTGGATGCCACTGAAGGCAGTAATGTGACATAATGATGGTCCCAACTGCATATAAATAAAAACAGGTGGGGCCAAAGCTCAAGGCTCACTAGGACAAAAGAGACTTTTCCGCCAAATAACCCACTCACAGTTCTCCATCATCTGACGCAGACCCCAGGCAACTGAGCAGAGAACTCCAGCATAGAGTTCCAGGCCCACATCATAGAACTACAGAAAGTCACAAGGAGTCCTTGAGTGCCGAGGCAGGAACAAAGAGAGGAAGGTGAACCAAAGGCACCTCCCCACCATCCAGCCTAGCAGATCCCACACTCCTCCTGGCCACTATATCCCTCTACCCTTTGCTGCTCCTTCCTACTTTCTACCTAAACATTTCAGCACAGCATGGTTGTGTGTGTGCATGTGTGTGTGGTGTACATATGCTTATATGGTATGTGGTTATGTATATGTGTATATGAGATTATATACCATATGTTAAGGTGATAGATTTATATTACCTCAGTACAGGTTTTTTTTTTACTCAAAAGGTTTTCGGATCCCTCCACTTAATGTTTCAGAATAAATAGTTCCTGTGTCTCTAAAGACACCTTCATATGAATTTGCCATTCTGTTTCCCACCACCTTCTTCCCAAACACTAAATCCGGGTTAATAGTCTTTCATGGAGGCTTTTCCATTGAAGGAAATCATAGGCCATATATGGGGTGAATAACCTCTTCATCTGATGGAAAAACTCTGGTTATTTTTTTAATTTATACAAGACAGCCAATTTTGGAATTAATGAGTGAAACAGACAATTATAACTTTTGAATAACAGTTTATTAGGAGGTTAACAAAGGATTTCTATTGCATCTCCAAAGACCAAGAGTGACAAGGAAGATTTGCTCCAATTATGTTCTGTTTCATAGCATGCCCATCAGCTCTATCACATTTAATGGAATTTTCTCTAAATTGTATTATTTAAGTTTTATTCAAGTATAACATGTTATGCAAATGTGTCTTTATGGTGATAGATATTGCTTGATCTTGATCCTGCTGTAGGTCTCTCTATGTGACTCAGAAGACAGATTTTGCAGCCTTATGCTGAAGAATCAAGCCAGGGAATACAGTGGAAGGCTAGAGCTGACCCCTGGAAGCCAGGGTTGATAGAAAGGTTTCTGCCTCTTTCCAAAGTGTGGTCACTGTTGGAGATGTTGGGATGAAGTAGAGTTGAGGTGTGACTGATGCCTTTCTTCTCCTCCTGGTTGTGGGGCCTCTAGTACCCAAATGTGTTGCAAGGCCCACACCGAGCACGTAGGCCACAGGGATTAGAGATACAGGGCCCAGTGGACTTGTCACATGCATTGGTTGTGGCGCAGGGGTTGGAGGGGAGCCTGTGGGCAGAAAATCATTGGAGCAAGTTAGAGTAAAATGAGCTGAAGAGATTGGAAAATACTAAAAGGGCTTTGTGTAAGAATATTGTTCCTCCTTGGACTTCCTCCAAACAAAAGCTTGAAATTATAAATTCATTTCCATCAAGAAGACTATTCATCTCCACAGCAACCTAACATGCCCCAAGGAGAAGATTACTACCCCCATACTGACTTGCAGTCCTCGCTCTCCAGCAGGCTCCGGTACGTGTTGATCTCACACTCCAGCCGCGCCCGCACGTCCAGCAGCACCTGATACTCCTGGTTCTGCCGCTCCAGGTCACTGCGGATCTCCGCCAGCTGGGACTCCACGTTGGTGATCAGTCTCTGCACCTGGGACAGCTGGGAGCTGTAGCGGGCCTCGCTCTCTGTCAGCGTGTTTTCCAGAGAGTCTCGCTGTGGTGGGGAAGATTGAGAGTGTCAGAGAGCTGCTCCTTATAAGGTTCCTCCATGGGGTTCCAAAGAACTCACAAGCTCCAAGAGCTAAGGAGAGTGTGTGGCCCCAAGGGCATCCCCAAGACTCTGCCTCCCAAGTTCCCATCGCTCACCAGCAGGTCTGAACAATACACACCAGGTTGTGCTGGGCCTGCAGCTCGATCTCCAGGGCATTGACCGTGCGTCTCAGCTCGATGATCTCCGCCTGGTAGGACTGCAGCTGCTCCGAGCTGGATACCACCTGCTTGTTCAGCTCCTCGGTCTGAAACACCCAAGGGGAGAAAGGATCAGACCCTGCCTCCGGGGCCCTGGGGGGCCTCGGGTCCTGAGTGGCCACGTGCTTAGATGCCCACCTGCGTGGCGAACCATTGCTCCACTTCCCTGCGGTTGGTTTCCACCAGGGCCTCATACTGACTCCTGGTCTCATTCAGGACCTGGTTCAGGTCCACAGTGGGAGCAGCGTCCACCTCCACGTTGAGGCGGTCTCCAAGCTGGCAGCGCAGGGTGTTAACCTCCTGATGGAGAAAGGGCAAAATTTTAAATTTCACAAAGGATCTTGGTGCTCTCCTTAAGAGAATGCAATTCAACTTCTGATCATTCTTAAGCTTTCAAGAAACTTTGTTCCCTCTGATCCTGTCACTAACCAGGATCTATATTCAATGACTAATTTGTATACTCCACTTTTTACAAACTACTTTCAAGCCCATGACTTCCCTCTGCTCTTTGTATTAAATGTATCACTCCTCATTTAGAGAGATTCAGTGATTTGGGCTCAAAGCTGATACATGGTGGGCCATTATTTAAACTCTGGTCCCCAAATGCCCAGTTCAGTGTTTTTGCTAGTATACCATATAGCCTCACATGTTTGACTCTTAAGCATGGATAATAAAAAGAACAGAGTCTAGCTAAAGAGGAAATACAGAATGCTTACTTCAAAATCTGCCATCCTGGCATAGAAGAGACTTAAAGGGTGATTTGTTGATTCCACCAGCATAGATTTTGCTGAAGGCAATAAGTATCTGTTTACTTCCCTGCTAAGCATAGCTTGGTACTTGGGCTTAGGCGGATTTCAGACAAATTTGTATTCAACCTCATCTCTACCACTTAATACATTGCTTCTAGAAGCTTCTTGAAGCCTCGATTTCTTCATCTTAACATGAGAACTGCCTCCGGAGTTAAAGCACTTAGCACAATGTTTGGCACATACTAAGCACTTGATTAATATTAACTGTCACCATTTACATTGTTCTTGGATTTCAGGTTGCATAAAATACACGTCTTCTTTTTTGCCCAACTGACTTAGCCATAATGGTGAGCATTTTGCTCAAGGCTGTTTCCAAGCAACACTGAACAGCAAGCAGAAAGAGCTCTGGACAGGAACGAAGAGAATTGCATTTTGTTCTAGCTCAGCCCTCTCTGCCTGATGGGCCTAGGCCATCCTGGCTTCTCCAGCTACAAATGGAGAATTGGAATAGAAGATTGCTGCTGCATGCACTCTAACCTGGGCACAGGAGAGGCTGTGGCTTCTGCCTCATTACCCAGCTTTCCTCACTACTGGGCTTGCCAACTTCCTCACTCTCATTCCTGCCTCTGGCAGAAAAATCCTAATCTCATATCACAGGTTTTTAGATTAGTCATTCTCTACATATCCCTTTTTGTATGCAGAATTACTTCCTCAGCTAATTGAGCCTCTACTGACAGCCTGTCCTGGACCCTGTGGCAGTTGTGAAACAGGTCCTGGCTAGTCTGAGCCCATCACTCTTCAGGGAACTCACCTGCTCATGGTTCTGCTTGAGGCACAGCAGCTCCTCCTTCAGGGACTCCACCTGGGCCTCCAGGTCAGACCTGCACAGGGTCAGCTCATCCAGGATCCTGCGCAGGCCATTGATGTCCGACTCCACCAGCTGCCGCAGGGACAGCTCGGTCTCATATCTGTGATCACAGGAGGGTCAGGAACAGGCTGGGCAGGAATAGGCCTGGCCTTGACTCTGCTTTGGTTTGGTTAGTCAGGCAACTAGGAATTAGGGTTTGTAGTTTTTATAGCCATCTCTTTTGTTTAGGTTTTCAGCATCGAGCTGGAAGAAAATGCACTGGTAATTTTACGTTTAAAGATCCAGTGGATAGACTTCTATATTCCTAGCTATTCAGGAGGCTAAGGGGAGAGGGTTGCTTGAGCCCAGGAGTCTGAGGATCTGAAGTTACACTGAGCTATGATTGCACCACTGCCCTCCAGCCTGGGTGACAGAGCAAGGCCCTGTCTCTAAAAAAAAGAAGAAAGCCAGTGGATTTAGGATAAAAGCTGACAAACTGTAAGACTTCCAAAATAATATGCTTCCACATTCTCCATTCTCATGAATGGGTTCTGTGCATAGGAGAACATCGGGGGCCAACACGTCTACACTAACTCACAGTACGACTAGGGGTGTCACGTCACAGAGGAGAAGAAGGAGGAAAGGAAGTCTAAGGCCTGGGGAAAGGATCTCTGAGCTACGGTGTGTGGTGGCTCTGTGAATCTTGGAGAAAGCAGCTAGAACATAGCTCAGTCACTGTTTGTTTAACTTGTGTTGACAACAGGCTAAAGGAAAGGAGGGCTGCCAGAGAAGAGAAATAAACAGCAACACCCCGCTTGCCCACTCACTTGGTCCTGAAGTCATCTGAGGCCAGCTTGGCATTGTCGATCTGCACCACAAGCCTGGCATTCTCAGACTTGCTGCACAGGATCTAGAAGGCCCAAAACATTCAAGAATGAGCAAGGACTTGGTAATTTTTCACCAATGGCAGTCCTTCCTAATTCACTTCCTTGGAAGGATCAGGATGTCTATCTTATTAAATGCTTTCTATATACAGCAGGTACTCAATGAATATTTCCAAAATTATATTCAAAAAAAGAACACCAAAATATGCAAAAAGTATAAGTAGATAATCTTTTTTCTATCCTAATGAGCAATACTGAGAAGCTGATCATAATAGTTGACATTTATGAAAAACACCTACTATGTTTCTGGCATGATACTAGGAGCTGAGGATACAAAAATTGGTAAGCACTTGATCCTGCCCTCAAGAAACTTTCAATCAAGCAGAAAAGACAAATAGGTAAACTAGCAATTGCAGGGGACTGGATCAGGGAAGAAGCCACATGTTCCCAGATGTCCCAGACAACTGGGACTACTTTGTCCTAGGTAATTTCCAATCTTCCCAATTTGGGCCAAACATTTTAGGCTCTCACTGGACACTGTGCACCAGGAGAAGCCCAGAGGCATGAAGGTGAGGACAATGAAATCAGGATAAGTAGGAACCTAGAAGAGAGAGGCAGCCAGCAGTCCAAGGGGCAAAAAGCTCAGATGAGGGAGAAAGAAAATGGCCCAGTCTTTACAAAAGATTCCGTTTCCCCAGCTTCCTTTGGACTCAGTCCTTTTCTCTCACCTCAGGGTAATAATTCTGGAGCTTGGCAGGTGCATGGAAGCATTCAGAGGTAGTTTTTAATTACAGCTCATTTATGCAAAGTGCTGCTACCTCCACATAGACTAACACTATGCAAATATTTAGACCTAACAGTCCCAAGTCTAGTATTAGATGGGCCCTCAAAAAACAAAATGGAAAGGCCAGTTTTCAGCTTTTCATTCACATCAAGAGCTTACGTTGTTTCTCAATCACAACTCGGATTCTCTCCCGACAACTTCCTACTGGAGGCACTGTGTCGCCCACTCCTCACCTTCTGCTGGAGCTCCTCAATGGTCTTGAAGTAGGACTGGTAGCTGGCACACACCAAGGGCTCCTGCTGCTGTGACCGCTCCCGGATGAGGTTCTCCAGCTCCGCGTTGTCCCGCTCCAGCTGACGCACCTTCTCCAGGTAGCTGGCCAGGCGGTCGTTCAGGAACTGCATGGTCTCCTTCTCACTGCCATTGAAGGAGCCCTCACAGAACCAGTTGCAGTTGCTCACATTGGCGGGGATGTTGCAGGCCCCGGGCAGGGTGCAGCCGTGGCAGCTGGGGGGCACACAGGGCCGGGAGGAGCAGCTGGTGCGGCAGCTCAGGCTGGGCAGGCCACAACTGTAAGACATGGTGCAGGGAGGGAGTGTCCAGCTGAAGACAGAGTCCAAAATCTCCAGGTTGTAGAGCGGTGGGTCTCCTTCCTCCAGGGAGCATTTATACCTCGTCCATGGAGGGTGTGGACACGTAAGACAACCCCTTTTTTTTTTTTTTTTTTTTGCTCATTTGGTGATTGTCAAAAGCCCTTCCCTCCATTTGTTGTGTTTCTTCAGAAGAGTCTCTCCCCTCATAAAATACTTTACTTGGGCTTCTCGCTAAGTCGGGACTCCTCTTCCATGCTGTGTGTCATGATGTAAGAGCTTCATGGTGTGACTTCAAAGACCTGGACTCATGAAAGCCCTGGCCTTCTTCAGTGGGGTGCAGCAGGTCAAGAGACAGTATTGCTGTTCTGCTTTGTGGCTTGAGGCCCCTAACTCTTTGGCAAGCTCTGGCTCTCCTTGGTGAAATGGAAAAGCATAGCTCTTGCCCTGTGTCTTTTGCTAGGTCACATTTCCAAGTGCCAAATTCCAAATTCATGGTTCTCAGAAAGAGGAATAGATCCTTTCTGGGACAGTTCCTGATGGCCATGTTTCCTGATATGATGGGCTTTTTTCATGTCCATGATGACGTCAATCAACCAAATAATAGATATCCACTATGACAATTTCATCCAGGGCGATGTAATAGACACTGGGAGGGGTGGAAAATAGGACTCAATGCTATGGTCAGAAGAAGTTCTTACTTGTTAAGAAACTGCACAAGCCCAAGGTAGTGTGGACACTTTTCACAAACTAGATCCTTTTTACAAACATGATCCTCAAACATGCAGAACTTAGATGTCCATTATTCCTCACCAGAACTCTTAAAGGTAAACTGTATAATTCCCATTTTATAGATGAGAACACCAAGGCATAGAGGGTGAGGATAATAAGTTGTGGACCTAGGATTCCAAAGCAGATCACTTTTCTTTTCATCACAACACTTGGCTTAAATATAAATGGCTTACTTCCTTCCCTTCTTCAGACAGGCCGTCCCTTTCTCCTCTCCAAGCTCTCTTTTTACCTTGAGCATGACACTGTCATGACTTATGTGCTTGTCTCTCTGTCTCTATTTGAGGTCCCTGAAGGCAAGGGCAGGGTCTAGTTTGTCTTTGAATCCCCAGCTCTAGGCACCTGGTAGGCACTGTTGAATGGGTGTGGGTAGAGTGATGAAGGGATGAACAGGAAATAATAATCTGAGGCAGAAGTTGACAAGTGATAACTGAGTGGTTTACACACTGGGGAGGGCGAGCAGCTCCAGGATTGGAGGCTCTTAGGAATGGATGAATGGATTTGTGCTGGGATAGGGAGGCTTCTAAGAAGCAGAGGGGAGAAAAGTAGGAAGTGCAGGTGAGGAGAATAATGTGCACACAGGAATGGGGTGGGAAAGCCCAAGGCATGGTTGAAGGACCAGGGTAAGTCTAGGCAGCAGGAAGGGGAGAGTTGTGAAGGGAAGTGCTAGAAATTAAAGCTTTATGGGGGATTGTATGGGGACCCTATGGTAGGGGGTCTCGATGGTGAAGTGGAGCAGCTTGGACTTCCCCAGAAGCTGTAGAGCCAGTATAAGCTTTTGAACCTAAGTGTGGTGTGACAAAAGGTGTTTTAGGAAATGTTTTAGCAAATATTTATCTGTTTTTGAAAAATGAAGGAAAGATTGGAGGCAAAGAGTTCAGCAAAGAGACTATTGCAACAGTCCATGCAAGACTAGAATTTATGGCAGGGATGATGATACAGATAAGGTTTAGTACAAGTGAGAGAGTTAGAGAACTGGGCCAAGGGAGAGTACAAAGAGAAGAGCAACAAGGAGCTGAGGACCAAACTTTGGAGAATTTCCCAATCAGAGATCAGGAGAAGGAAAAAGAATCTGTGATAAATGGAGAAATGGTGAGAAAAAAATGATAAAAACAAGTTCATGGCATCCCAGAAGGGCAGGAAGGAGGGTGCTTCCAAGAGGAGGTGATGTTAGAAGTGCCAAGTGCAGCAAAGGGGCCGCACATGATCAGGACCATGGAGAGGGTATTGGCTGCCTTGACCAGAAATTTACCAGGACCTTTCCAGGGTCACACAGGTATGCCTGCTGTACGCAGCGCCTGTGCACATTCTTAAAGTAATGCCCACAGTGAACTTCGGTAAACCAAGACTTCAAACACACAGAATTGAGATGTTCATTACTTAGAGAAGTTCTGCTGCAATAAATTTATATATCTGATTATTAAGCTTGGAGCTTTGATCTTACCAATACAGACTTTTATACAATAATTGGAGTGGGCTTTACGCAGATGCCAGACTTGTTTGAACTTGATGATTCGTAATAGTTTATTATTTAGGAACAATTATCCAAGAAGCATGAGTAATCTGAACTGACCGTGCATATGACACCACTTCTGTTTTGTCACAAGATGTAAGATGAGCCTTATTTGATATCCTAAAGAGGCAATGAGGAAAAAATTCAAGTATGGGCCTGAGGAGGCATACATTGGCCAGAAAGAGGAGGGGCTTCCTATGTCCTTGCTAGCAGAGGATAAAGCAGACAACAGATTCCAAGCCTCCCAGCTACAGCTACCAATCCAAGCAGCTTCCAAGCCTCCCAGCTACAGCTACAGACCAAAAACCAGATGGCTTTGCATTTGGCTCTTCTCTTCCTCCCTCTTACCTCCTAACATAGATCCTAAATATGAAAATGGTTAAAAGAGAGAGGGAAAATCTTGGAACAAGATATTGGGGATCCTAATGGTCAACTCATCCAAACCGTTCGTTTTACGAAGGGGAAACTGAGGCTCAGAATGGAGAAATGCCTTGCTTAGTATCATCTAGCTAGGACCCAGATCTTCTGATTCCCACTGCATTATCAGCCCAATCACCATTCTACTGAAATGTTGAAGAATTTCACAAACAATCTGATCTGTTATTACCTAAGGACAGAAATCAAGGGCAGTGAGAAAAACATCTTGTTAACCATAGATATGCTGTGTTGAAGAAGAATTATGAGTCAATGTGTAAATAAAGATAGAATTCAGCAATAGTACAGTTTCTTGTTAACTCTCTGATTTCAATTATTTCTAAGTTGATGATACAATTATATACCAACAATTTGGAGTAATTTAAACATAATTATATCCCATCAGATATAGATTATATCCCATCTGTTTGGAGCAACTTAGAACAATTGGTCAAACAATGGTGACCCTACTCGACAGCAATATGCTTATCCAGAGTAAGGTACACAAAAGATAGTCACAACAAAATTAAACTATTATTAAAATGGGGACAATTGAGAGATTAAAGAAAACACACCACAATGACACTGGATGCTATTAAATGACAGGATTATGAATGTTTTTTTTCTTCTCTCCAAATTCTTTGAAAATATATGTTACTTCTGCACAATAAACAAAATAAAATTTACATTTAAAATTTCAGAAGGAAATTCTTGCAAATCTTCTAGAGGAACAATGAGTTATTAAAAAAAAAAAGCCTAGGAGGCTCCTGTTCCAATATAATTACTACATTACACTTGAGCCTGTTCTAGAAATAAAGTCTTTGTTGTGATCGGCATTCATGCCCTTGTGATATCTGCTGACTTTGTCCATTCCAAAGGTGAGCTACTAAGAAGGAATGAAGGGAAATCAAGCTACCTATAGCTCATGAATTGACTGGCATGAGGTCTGAGCTTCGGGTGAAGGAGAAGACAAGGAGGAGTAACCCTTGGAGAAACATTCTGCCATTGACTGCTAGCCCATGGTCCAAGATTGGCTGCTAGAACCACCTCATATTGACCCGCATCCATAGACTATACTTCCCACATACACATAAGGGATAATTAAATTTCTTTTCTGGAAATACTATCTAAGTCAGATAAAGCCTACAGGCTTAGCATGCTGGAGTTACCAAGGACCTAACTGGTCATTTCACTCAACTCTTTCATTTTAAAAATGGGATAACTTTGACCCAAAAGGGGAAGTGACTTGCCCAAACTTGCAGAGAGCTTGTGAAAGAGTCTAAACTGAAAGAGGATAAATTAGACTAAAGAAATAGGATAAGGCTTTTAGTCTTTATGAGAGAGTTCAGGCGGAGACCACCGAACGATGCAAGTCTCTCTAAACACTAAACCCTTAGTAAAAAGGTGAACTAGAAAAATAAAGGATGCTTGTTGTTAAAGGAAAACTTTAAAAAGCTGAACTATCTATCTCTTAGTGGGCTCTAATTTTAAAATTATAATAGTAAATAATAGTAAATAGTAAAATAGTAAAAAAAAAAAGTAAATAGTAAAAATCTCCTTTGAGATTGTTAAACTAGTGACCTATTTATCATTAAGGTTTGGGGGTTGAATCAATGCAAGAACCTTCATGCTGATAAATTAACAAAACACCCAAGGAAATAACTCACAATTAGCAAGGAGGAGAAGATACAAGAAACAGAAGGTTAAAGCCAAGTATATTAAATAACTATGTTTAAAGAGCTTATACGACAAAATAAGGAATCAAATCCCTAAAAGAAAATGGTAGCCACTATGCAAAAAGTATAGGCATGTTTAAAAAAAAAATGTCAAACAACTTCTAAAAGTGAAGAGTATAATTTAAAGTGCAAATTTTAAGTGTAAAATTTCATCACTAGGTCTTTTGTGGCTTCAAAAAATCAAAATTTTCTTTTGATATCAATAATATTATTCAGGGTGCTAAATTTTCACTCATCTCCTACTGAACTAATGAAATTTTAATTAAAAACAAAGTTTTAGCTCTCATAATTCTATTGGACATTTTTAGATATTTTATACTTCTCCTATTAAGTCACAGCAATTGTTTAATTGTTGCATTTGTTCTGTCAGCTTAATTTTATTAATAATTGTTCCACAGAGCTTCACAGAAATATTTTAACAGAGTTCTAGGAGTCAATAAATTTAATTGTTTTACTTTTTTCATTAAATGACAAATTCATTTTTATAAAATTAAGTTGACTCCTAATAGATTTTGTCTGGGAATTGATGTAATTTTGTTAGTTTTTACATGGAATGTTGCATTTATTCATTTCTGTTAAGATATAAAATATGCATTTCTGCCTTATTATTCCCTTTATTCAATCACTTTTTATGTATCAAATTGTTGTTAGCTTTAATAGCTGAAATATCCCTTTCTTACAAAGCCAAATAAAGTATTGTCATCTCTGTTAGAATTGCATTTATTAAAGCCAATTCTAAAAAAATTAATAATAAAAGAGCCTTTCTTTTCTACAAAAGTAAAATACAACAAATTTTCAAACTCGATTGATAGGTTAAACATTAAATTAGACAAAGATGAAAAGAGAATAAGTCAACTGGAAAAGATCTCTAAGGAAATTTACCAGAATATAACACAGAAATATTTAGAGATTGAAAATATGAAAGAGATGACAGACAAGCTAGAATGTGAAGGTCCAAAATCTGTTTGAAGAAGCACAGAAATGGTGGTATGAAGAGCTTGGGGAAGTCTCTCCCCTAGAAAGACATCTATTAAGCCACTCAAAATTAACAAAGACATCAGTCAAAGGCTCTAGGCATTGATTAAAGGGCTTACAACAAATGAGAAGCATTTACTCAACAACCACACACAAAAAATGGAAACTTGATAAGAACACTGGGGGCTATGATGTTTAAATGAGGGACTCCATTATTTCTCATGTCTCTGCCTTCCAGAAGCACCATGTGCTGGGCAGCTGAGTGGCAGTTCCCAATCCTCCCAGCAGCCAATACACATCAGCAGATCCCATTTTTCATAGCTCACCCATTTCTAACCCCAGTTCCCTCTACATAGGGAGGATTCAGGCAGGGTGGCTTGAGGAGTGCAGTCCTTCTTTCCTGCACACCTCTGTGTTACAGGAGAGATGTTCCATTGGGCTCCACAGTTAAGATGGCAGTATCACCCAAGTTGATCTAAACTTTCAACAACACCTACCAAAATCCCAGCTAGCTGTTTTATAGAACTTGACGTGTTGTTCCTTTTATTCATGTGGAAATGCATAAGACCAGAATAGCCAAAACGATCTTGAAAAAGAAGAACAAAGTAGGGGGATTAACATTTCATGATTTCAAAACTTACTACAAAGCTACAGTAACACAGACAGTATTCTATTGGCATAAAGATAGACATACAGACCAACAGAATAAAATTGAGAGTCTAGAAATAAACCCTCACATTTATGGTCCATTAATATTCAACATAGGTCCCAATATAATTAATGGGGAAAAATAATCTTTTCAGTAAATAATGCTGGGACAACTAGACATCCACATGCAAAAGAATAAAATGTTTGACCCCTTTCTTACACCACAGACAAAAAAAATGACTCAAAATGGAGCACAGCCTAAATGTAACAGCTAAAACTAGAAAACTTAGGAAAAAAATGTAGAAGTAAATCTTCATGATCCTAGGTTAGGATCATGCACTTATTCCTCCATGATACCTGTTATATGTTACAACATGGATGGACCTTGAAACATACTATGTAAATGAAGCTAGCCAAAAAAACACATATTCTATGACTTCATTATATAAAATGTCCAGAACAGGCAAATCTAAAGAGACAGCAATGATTTCCTGGGCCTGGAGGGTTGCAGGGAACAGAGAGTGACTACTAATGGGTACAAGGTTTCTATTAGAGGTAATAAAATGTTCTAAAATGGTAGTAGTAGTTATAACTCTCATTATACTAAAAACCATTTGATTTTATACTTTAGATCTGTAAATTTTATAGTATATGAATTATATATGATACATTATACTTCAGTGAAGCTATTTTTTAAAAAAAGGAATTCAGAAGGAGAAAATGGAGTATAAGATATAAGTAATATTGAAAAAATGTAATGGCTGAGAATTTTCCACGGGTATTGAAATACATGAATCAATCAAGAAGCACATAAGTCCTAAGTAGGAAAACTAAACCAAAGCCATCCCTAGAATAACATAGTGAAACTGCACAACACTAAAGACAAAGAGATGATCTTAGAAAGAGTCAAAGAGAGAAAAAAATAGAAGAATTACCAACAATGGAAATACAGGTTAGCAATAGGCTTTTCAGCATCAACAACAGAATCCAGAAGATAATGGTATAATATTTCCAACACGCTGAAGGAAAATAGCTGCCAACCTAGAATTTTATACAAACTAAACCATCATGTAAGAGTGACCACTAAGAAAAGACATTTTCAGAAAATAACAGAGAAGTTGTCACTTATAGATTCTTAGTCTGCTGTGTGTTGCTACAGCAGAATTCCACACACTGGATAATTTATAAAGAAAATAAATTTATTTCTCCAGTTCTAGAGACTGGGAAGGCCACTATCAAGATGCTGGTATCTGATGGGGGCCTTCATGCTGCATTGTCCCATGGTAGAAGGTGTAAATGCAAGAGAGCATGACAGCCAGAGAGCAAAAGGAGGCCAAACTCATTTTATAACAAGTCCACTCTCATGATAACTACCCCCCTCCCATGATAAAATGACATTAATCCATTGATGAAGGCAGGGTTCTCATGGCCTAATCACTACTTGACCATTAAGTAGTAGTGAATGGTTTAAGTAGTAGTGAATGGTTGGAGGTGTCATTCAAACCATAGCAAATGCTATAAAAACTACCAAAGAATGTATTTCAGAAAATAAAAAGTTAAAACCAGAAAGGACGAATAAAGTCCAAGAAACACTGCAAACAAATAAACTGGTAACCATGTAGATAATTCTAAATAATAATAATAATGACCAAATTTTGGAGCATAAAAATAAGGTAAGATTGAACATGGCGACTCACATCTACAATCCTAGCACTTTCAGAGGCCAAGGTGAAAGAATCGCTTGAGCCCAGGAGTTCACGACCAGCCTGGGCATCATAGAAAGACCCTCGTCTCTACAAAAAAAAAAATTAATTAGCTACACATGGTGGCATATGCCTGTAGTCCCATTACTCAGGAGGCTGTGACAGGCAGATAGGTTGAGACAAGGAAGGTGAAGCTGCAGTGAGCTATGATCATGCCACTGCACTCCAGCCTGGGCAACAGATCAAGATCCTGTCAATAAATAAATAAATAATAAAATAAACCAAGATAAAAAAGTAAAGTAAAGAACATAAACAAAAATTTCTGACAGGGCACAGTGGCTCACACCTGTAATCCCTACACTTTGGGAGGCCAACACAGAGAATCCCTTGAGCCCAGGATTTTAAGACCAGCCTAAGCAACATAGAGAGACCTTGTCTCTACAAAAATAAAAAGTAAAAAATTAGCCAGACATGGTGGCATGCATGTGTGGTCCCAGCTACTTCGGAGACTGAGGCAGGAGGGTCACTTGAGGTTAGGATCCTCAGGATCTGGGAGGTTAAGGCTGCAGTGGGCCATTGTATTAATCCATTCTCACACAGCTATAAAGAAATACCTGAGACTAGGTAATTTACAAAGAAAAGAAGTTTAATTACCTCACAGTTCTGCAGGCTGTATAGGAAGCATAGAGGCTTCTGCTTCTAGGGAAGCCTCAGGTAGCTTCCAATCATGGTGGAAGGCAAAGGTGCAGCGAGGTGTCTCACATGGTGGGAGAAGAAGCAAGGGAGTGGGGGAGGTTCTACACACCTTTAAACAACCAGATCTTGTGAGAACTCACTCACCGTTGTGACAACAGTACCAAGGGGGATGGTATTAAACCATTCATGAGAAACTGCCCCCATGATTCAATCACCTCCCACCAGGCCCCACCTCCAACATTTGGAATTACAATTCAACATGAGACTTGGGCAAGGACAACATCCAAACTGTATCGGCTATGATTACACCACTGCACTCCAGCCTGGGTAACAGAGTTAGATCCTGTCTCTTAAAAACAAAAAACAAAAACATCTTCTATGGATCTTGTTTTTATGCAAGAAGAAAGAGATTAAATTAGATAGTGCTAAGTCAAGTGTGCACATTTAAAAATTAAGAACACATATTAAAAGGGGGAACAAAGAAAACAAGATCAATCCACAGGTGTCAGGAACTGAGGAAACAATAAGCAACAAAAAAAAATCATCCTTAATGGAAAGGACAAAGTAAGATTTTTAAAATAAGTCCAAAAAGTCAGTAATAAAATTACATGTAAATAGATTAAACCCTATTTCTCCTCATCAGACATAGAGTGCCCTCACCACCTTATCCAAAAGTTTCCACTTCCTATTCCCTTTCCTTGCTTTATATTTCCTCTCAGCACTTATTGCTTGACACAGTCATGCTTGTTTGCCTCTTTTTATTGTCTGTCTTCTTCCACTTGAAAGTAGGCTTCTTAGAGCAGGTCTTTGTTTTGTTCAGTGCTCTGCCCAACAGGCACCATCGTAAGCATTCAATGATTATACATTGGATTGAATTGATTTATAGAGAAGACACATGAATGACCAATAAAAAGATTTTTTAAATATTTAATTTCACTAGAAACTTTAAAATTATGAAGTGAGACAAGCTAGATTATACCCACATTTCATTGGCAACATTGCCTTGTCACACTAGATGGCCAATTGCAGGTCATCATGTCATGGTGAATTTTACAGCCAGCGTATCTTGCCAAGTCAGTAAGCTAAGTAGTGCCAACTGAAAAATCACAAGATTAATAAAGTTGGAAAGGAGAGCTTTATTTCTCATAAAAGGCTGCAGCCTCCAGGCTGACCATCCTGCAAGCTGGGAAGCGTAGCCTCTGGCAGAAGCCAAGAGTAAGCATTTTGAGGGAGGGAAATGTGAGAAAGGAATGTATGCTGAGTGAGGTGGCCAAATGCACTATTTAATAAGCTACAGGAGGAGTCATGAATATTTATGAAAAGACAAATGTAAGCATGTGCAATTGAGCTTCATGCCTCTTCATGGGTCGCATGTTCACAAATGGTGGCATTAGCATGATCCAAGGATGGAGTTTTTGGCCCTCTGATGTTGAAAGGTGAGGCAGAGGATGTGAAAACCCTCACCGCACATCCTCTGTAGACTGGCCAGACCACTCCATGGTTGGTGGTCTCTTATCAGGAAGGAATGCCAGCCAGTTGGTTGCTGTGTTGAAACTGCAAAAGGCGGGAGGAAGGAATCCAGTCACAGCTTCAGATGATGGGCTAAAGGTGATAAAGGAATGATTCATCTGTTTCTTATTTTCCAGAGCTGGTTTCTGCTTACTCCTTAGGAAAGAATTCTGGTTAAAAGTTAATAAGGAGGGGGCATACTGAGGCATGTCTGACCTCCCATCCTGTCATGGTCAGGGACTCTGTTTTTTTCTTTCTTTCCTTCTTTTTTCTTTTTCTTATTATACTTTAAGTTCTGGAATATATGTGCAGAACGTGCAGGTTTTTTACATAGGTGTACATGTGCCATGGTGGTTTGCTCCACCCATCAGCCCATCATCTATATTAGGTATTTCTCCTAATGCTATCCCTCCCCTAGCCCCCCACCCCCCAAAAGGCCCCAGTGTGTGATGATCCCCTCCCTGTGTCCACGTGTTCTCATTGTTCAACTCCCACTTATGAGTGAGAACATGCGGTGTTTGGTTTTCTGTTCCTGTGTTAGTTTGCTGAGAATGATGGTTTCCAGCTTCATCCTTGTCCCTGCAAAGGACATGAACACAACCTTTTTTATGGCTGCATAGTATTCCATGGTATATATGTGCCACATTTTCTTTATCCAGTCTATCATTATTGGGCATTTGGGTTGATTCCAGGCCTTTGCTATTGTGAACATTGCTGCAATAAACATACATGTGACTCTGTTTTTAAGGTTTCTCTTCGGTCCCCTTGGCCAAGACAGAGTCCGTTCAGTCAGCTGGGGGACTTAGGATTTTAGTTTTATTTCTCAGTGGTAACACTGACCCTTCCCAGATACTTCAGAAGAGCAATTTGGCTTTGTCCTGAGAAAAAGTGATCTCCCTGACACTCCTTTCTTTTATCCTCCAAGGAGAGCACCATGGCAGAGATAAGAACTAAGGACTGTTTTCCCTAGACCCATGTTTTCCGCTGACACAACATCAAACATAGAAACAAGTTTTGCTTAATATTTTATAAATTGAACACTAAAAACAAAGTGTATTTACTGTGTTGAGAACTTTGACCTCTCACTCACAAAGCATGCAACTGGGTATTTGGGAGGCACTGTTCCTGGTGAAGGTAGCTGAGAGGTAACTATCAGTGGACAGTAATCCCAGCATGTGTGGAGAACTGCCGGGATAAATTGAACAAGGGCGGTTTTCATGAGGCATGCAGGTAGCTCCAGGGAATGAACTCTCCCTGAGGAAAGAGAGAATAGAGTCCACAAACTGGGTCTAAGACATTCTGAGCAGAGGATGGAGTATCACTCAGACGGTCTTCCAAGGTCTCCTGTCTAAGCTGCAGCAGCATCAACAACAAAGGAGTAGATATTAAGTGAACTAGAATATGAGAGCACAAGAATTTAAGACTGGCCAGGTGCAGTGGCTCACACTTGTAATCCCAGCAATTTGGGAGGCTGAAGTAGGCAGATCACTTCAGCCCAGGAGTTCAAGACCAGCATGGATAACCCAGCGAAACCCCTCTCTACAAATAATACAAAAATTGGCCATGCATGGTGGTGCATGCCTGTAGTCCCATGTACTCAAGAGGCTAAAGTGGGAGGATAGCCTGAGCCTGGGAAGTTCAAGGCTGCAGTGAGCCGTGATCATGCCGCTGCACTCCAGCTGGGGTGACAGAGTGAGACTCTGTCTCCAAAAAAAAAAAAAAAAAAAATTTAAGAATTTAAGACTGACATGTGATGATGGAACCGGCATCATCACAGCAGGGGAGATAGTATCAGCTTCATCTCAAGGAGAGAAGACATAATTAGCAGATTGGTTAATCTGGGAATAATCTGCAGACTGAGGGAGTGGCCTTGGCACAAACCACAGCATGCACAGTGATGGGAGCCATTAACCTTGGTTAGACATCAGCAGGCACCAGTAGGGGCCAGGCACCAGTACCGTGGTCACTGTTAGCATTTGCAAACACCTGACTTGTAATATCCTAATTTGATTCTAAATAACTTTGAGGGGGAGGGTCCCGAAATTCATATGTAGTTCCCATGGTTAAACAATTCAAGTGAGAAAAGAAACACTTTCAAAATAGGTTGGGTATTGCTCAAATATGGAAGATGGCAAGGTGGTGCTTTTTAGTATTGAGTTATTCAGTATTTCACAAAGGAGAGTTTCAGAGATGTTTTGAGCACTAACAGCATTGTGTCTCCCCAGGAGGATGTATAAGCTCTGGGTGCTTGTTTGAAATCAATTTTGTCCTCTCATAATCACACCTCATGTGTAACTGACAAGCAGAGAGTGAACTCTGGGTTCAGTCCTGCCATTGATTCTTCCTCACTGTGAGGAAGAGAAAAAATTAGTAGCACAATTCCTGGCATTTGGTAGGTGTTCAATAAATATTAACTTCTGTCATCCCTGCTAGGGACTTAAAAGAATGAGTGGAACTGTCTAGAGATGCTCACCGTTGCATTTTACTGAGTAAGGTCCCATGAGAAATATGTTTATCATATTCAGACGAGGCCTCTTGTCCTAGTGATCCTACTTGTTTTATGCTGGCCTAAGTGGATGCTGGGACTCACTGTGCTTAATGAATGTTAATGAAGGTGATGAAGACCTTTTAGGAGATGATTAACCTATAAAGTCCTCCTTCTGCTTTCAAGTGGCTTTATAAGAAGCACACAGAGAGTCAACACTTTGAAAAGAATGAATACAAATGAGAATCATGTCTGCTTTGCAAGAGGAAAGTTTATTAGGCGATTTGGGGAACTGCAATAAAGGTAGAAGCAGCAGAGAGAACAAAACACCTCGTATGCCACTGTCACAGCTCCAACCTCTGACCATCAGAACTCAGACTGACTACAGGAGAGGGACCTGGGGTGAGGAGGATCAAGTAGCCCTAGGCTCAGAGTCAGACCCAAACGCTGGGCATTTGTTCTCCTTCCAGACCATGATTTGTGGTGATGCCTCGGGGTGGGGTCCGGTGGCTGATGGTTGTCAGAGAGGCAGAACTGGCCCACCGATGGTAGTTCTGTCTTCATGCTATACTTCTGCTGGCCCCAGGGTATCTAGTACCCAAAGGTGTTGCAAGGCCCACAGCGGGAACGAGGACCACAAGGATTGGTGACACAGGATCCAATGGGCTTTTCACATGCATTGGTGGTGGCGCAGGGGTTGGAGGGCAGCCTGGGATGCAGAAGCATTAGACTGTCAGCATGAGAAGGGTGATTCAAACAAGGGAGACTCAATCCAAAGAGACACAGAAACAAGCAGAACCCGTTCTCTGATGTCCTAGGAAGCCATGCCTTGTTTGGATCACTCCTTCTACAGAGTTCTGATACAGTGGCAGAAATGAGCAAAGAACATGTAAGGTGGAATCCCAGCCTTCCTTGTATGACCCTAGACACACAAGAAAGTCACTTCCTCCTTCTAAGCCTCAGCTTTCCCACCTGTAAGGTAGGACTGGTAGTACCAACCACACAGGATTATGAAAATTCCACAAGACTGTGTTCATAAAAATATTATGTTCGCTGGCAACTGCTGTACTGTTAGTTATTGATCATCAACCCTATTGACACTCAAATGCTCATCTATAAGAAGGTGATAATGATTCCCACTCTGCCTGCCTCAGATGATTCTAACAAGAATTAATGAAACGGTGGATTTGAAAGTTCTGTTTAAATCAGAAAAAGTGATCATTGTTACAGTTTCATTTTCCTTTTTGTGGTGACAAGACAGTCCTGAAGACAGAAAGATTTATTTGGCCATCAACATCCAAAAAATCTCTACTGGAGGAAGGAGTCAAGTCCCATGACTATCTTTTGTAAAAGAAAGTATCTTTAGCCCAGATAATGTTAGCAACAAATATCCTACACTTCCCACGGCTGTAATATAAAACTCTCGCCTCTACAGACAGATTGGCATCTGAAACTTGATTTTCAAAGTCTCTGTTTTATCCTACAGTAGAACAGTGCCTGTCCCTTGCAGGGGTGCCGTCCGCCAGGTACTCACTTGCAGTCCTCGCTCTCCAGCAGGCTCCGGTATGTGTTGATCTCACACTCCAGCCGCGCCCGCACGTCCAGCAGCACCTGATACTCCTGGTTCTGCCGCTCCAGGTCACTGCGGATCTCCGCCAGCTGGGACTCCACGTTGGTGATCAGGCTCTGCACCTGGGACAGCTGGGAGCTGTAGCGGGCCTCGCTCTCTGTCAGCGTGTTTTCCAGAGAGTATCGCTGTGGTGGGAAAGATCAGGAATGTCAGAGAGCTGCTCCTTATAGGGTTCCTCCATGGGGTTCGAAAAAACTCACAAGCTCCAAGAGCTAAGAAGAGTGTGTGGCCCCAAGGGCATCCCCAAGACTCTGCCTCCCAAGTTCCCATCGCTCACCAGCAGGTCTGAACAATACACACCAGGTTGTGCTGGGCCTGCAGCTCGATCTCCAGGGCATTGACTGTGCGTCTCAGCTCGATGATCTCCGCCTGGTAGGACTGCAGCTGCTCCGAGCTGGATACCACCTGCTTGTTCAGCTCCTCGGTCTGAAACACCCAAGGGGAGAAAGGATCAGACCCTGCCTCCGGGGCCCTGGGGGGCCTCGGGTCCTGAGTGGCCACGTGCTTAGATGCCCACCTGCGTGGCGAACCATTGCTCCACTTCCCTGCGGTTGGTTTCCACCAGGGCCTCATACTGATTCCTGGTCTCGTTCAGGACCTGGTTCAGGTCCACAGCGGGAGCAGCGTCCACCTCCACGTTGAGGCGGTCTCCAAGCTGGCAGCGCAAGGTGTTGACTTCCTAATGGAGAAAAGGGAAGAAATAAACCCACAGAAAGAAGTCTTTCAATAACTTCTTTGAGGCAGTTCAATATAATGGGAAGAGGATTGCATTGCAGCTTAGGAAACATGAGTTGAAGCCCAGCTGTCACCTCTGGAAATTCTGGCCTCTTCTCTGAATCCCTTCCCTCATCTGTATGATACGGCTGCTTCATTAAATGATTGCTAATATTTCTACCCAGTCCAAGATTCTATCATTTCTTTCTTATTTCCCCTTTGCTCAGTGATAAGCCTGGCATGATAATTGGCTTACAATTGTTGCTACTTAAATATAGAGAAACCAGGTTTCATTCCTCCTATTTATTTCATGGGATACTACTAGAGTATGACACATGTTTTCATCATGAAAACGTCTAATGTTTGAGACATGCATCTGATTTCGTAGTATTGCATTCAGCCATGAGATCTGAATCAACCATTATTTGAGTTATTTCATTTCTCCCGTTTTTCCCATCCATCAGTTCATCCATCCATCCATTCATCCATCTATCCATTTATCTAGCTTGAGTTCTAGTTATCTAGGTGAAACAGAGTGTAAGAATGTTTTCTATCTCCTTCCAGTCTTGGTCATTAACCTACCTGGCACCTCTTCAGAAGCTAATAGATAGCATCAAACAGTAGACAGTAGTTTAAAGATATTTGTGTGACCTTTCAGCCATACATGTCTGGTCCCAAGGGGAAGTAGGTCAGCTTACCACACTCCTTTATGTAAAAAAGGTAAGCTGTCACTCATTCCCCAACAAGCCCCAAAGTATGTTTTGAGCAACCAGCAAAATGTTGTTAGGCCTAGGGTGCTTAGCAAATCAAATCCTACCTTATCCTATTCAGGGGGATCACAGAGCTCTCAGTATTGGGATATTGGGGGCTGGGACTCTTACCTGCTCATGGTTCTGCTTGAGGGACAGCAGCTCCTCCTTCAGGGACTCCATCTGGGCCTCCAGGTCAGACCTGCACAGGGTCAGCTCATCCAGAATCCTGCGCAGGCTGTTGATGTCGGACTCCACCAGCTGCCGCAGGGACTGCTCCGTCTGGTACCTGCACACACAGCCAGAGGTCAAAAGAGGTCCAAAAAAAAAAAGTCTTTGTTTCCCGGCCTTTACTTGGCTGACTTAGTCAATTTTATTATATTTTGAAATATTTTGAATTTAAAAAATTAAGGGAGAAAATACTCCTGTACTGAGTGAGAAGGCCTATTTTGTCACTGAGACACACAGAAAAGGTATTGGTGGAATGCCTGTGGATAGTTTAGTCTAACACAAACTAAGTTTGTTCTAAGACTCTCGTTTACAAGTTACTATCAACTAAGCCCTGCTGCTTTTGCCATCTCAAGTGAATCAGTGCCCTTCATAAGCCTGCTCCAGGTTGTCCTGTCATCCTTTCCAGCCTTGCCAAGAAGCAATCTAGTGTTGTGGAAGAAACACTGAATTCAGAGTTAGAGCCAGTATTCTCATTAAATGACTGTAGATAGATACCTTTATCTCTCTGAGGCTTGATTTCCTTAACTGTAAAATGAAGACAAAACTAACACCTTATAGGGTTGGACTGAAGATGATATATGTAAAATTATGTTGTAAAATGTAAGATCCCAGGAAAATGCAAAGGATTCTCATGATTGTAATAATGGTCATACCTAAAAGTATTGATTGATTCTCTGAAAGGCAATGGATTTTGCCTCCTGTTTTTGTGGTTTAATAACTTCTTTTTGGGGGGTTGACAGTGACTAACGTATACAAAGAGACCAATGTGAAAATCACTTTCAAACTTACTCCAGACGTTGGGTTGAAAAGGAGTAAGAATGGATGGTGTCTTACAATCAAACTTAAAGCACAGGGCTGCGCACAGTGGCTCACGCCTGTAATCCCAGCAGTTTGGGAGGCTGAGGCGGGTGGATCACTTGAGGTCAGGAGTTCAAGACCAGCCTGACCAACATGGTAAAACCCGGTCTCCACTAAAAATATAAAAATTAGCTGGGCCTGCTGGCGCATGCCTGTAATCCCAGCTACGAGGAAGGCTGAGGCAGGAAAATCACTTGAATCCGGGAGGCGGAGGTTGCAGTGAGCCAAGATTGCATCACTGCACTCCAGCCTGGATGAGAGAGGGAGACTCCATCTCAAAATAAAAAAATTAAAAAAAAAAACTTAAAACACAGAATCTGAGCACCTATTGAAGAGGCTTTGACATTTAACCTAATCCTAACCCAATGCAAGAATCCTCCCAATAGAAATTTCTGCTTCCACATTCCAGGATAGGGAGCTCATCACTTTGTAATTCAGCCTGTCCGTTACTAGACTGCTCTGATGGTTAGGAAAATCTTACTTGGTTCTGAAGTCATCTGCAGCCAGCTTGGCATTGTCGATCTGCACCACCAGCCTGGCATTCTCAGACTTGCTGCACAGGATCTGGGGATAGGATTAATCATGAAATGGGTTATACTAAGAAATGCCTTGTGCCTTAAAGTGAAATGCTATTTTCTTTCAGCCACATTCCTCCCAAATAGCTTTGAGTCCTTTCAGATTTTCAGCTCTGAGATAAAAGGAGGATTTGATCATAAAACTGATCATTTCAAAACCAGGACAACCAATGTGAATTCATCATGAATTCTATTCTTATCTGCTTCTGGCTTCCTGCAATAATTAGGTTACTGGGTATCCAACCCTTCGGTTGGGTGACCAACCATCCCAGTTAACTTAGGACTGAGGGGTTTCTGGGATGCTAAAATGGGAAAAATCCCAGGCAAGCCAGAACAACTTGGTTATCCAACACATTCCACCTGCTAACTTCTCTCCACTCTCCCCTCATATTGCCCTTGTTCATGCCTTTGCAAAAAGCTTCTTGCTGTACCCAGAATGCCCTCACCCACTAGCAAGACCCCTTGTGTAACCCACATACTTAATCAATAACACTTCTTATGACCTTTGTGTGATCATTTTGTTTCCACATCTATCTCCCCTGTTAGACTGTGAGCTCCTGAAGGAAGGAGACTGTCTTACTCAGTACATTATCCCCCACCCCAGCACTGTGCCTAACACTCTCCAACTCTGGGTAAATAAATGAATGATATTCAAATAGCACAACCCCTTTCTGGCATCTAATTTTCCAGATCTACAGAACAGTGGGCAGTCAATTCCCTCCCAGAATCAAGGGCTTGTACAATTGGATATAAACTCCCACTCATCCTTCAAACCCCACTCAGACATTGCCTCTTCTGGGATCCCTCCCAAACCTACACCAGGTATTCAGTCCCAATTCTCTGTGGACTCTTTACTTATATCTACTTCTCTTCCAGAACAGATGGCCCCATATTGTCATCTGTACACATGGCTGCTCTAGAGGATGGTCCATGTGTCTGTAGATATTGCTGGAGTCAACAGCTCTCTTGTGTTGCCATAAATGCTATATTTTGCTACAGCTTTGAAAGGCTTTAAATATTTGAAGATTTACTTAGGAAATTCTTAGCATAGAAAATAATTCAGGTGCATACTTTTTGAAAATGCGGTAATGCTCTGAAAACAAAACCAGGGTATCATAATCAAACCAAAAAATCAGATATTCTGGTTTGGAGTAAGACGCCATATAAGATTGCTATGACTGATTTTGGTCTAATGCTTCACTCTAACACCAGCCTGCATCCTTCCTTTGTGGCTCTACAACAGATTTTCTAAGACTACTTGATGTCATACCTAAGCCAGTGAATCTATGTCTTTATCATTCTCAGCATTACTGTGAACAGACTTAGATCCATTCACAGTTTAGTATGTCAAATATAGATAAGTAGTTCATTAAGCTGGCAGTGTGGTGCCCACCTCCTCACCTTCTGCTGGAGCTCCTCAATGGTCTTGAAGTAGGACTGGTAGCTGGGGCACAGCAAGGGCTCCTGCTGCTGAGACCGCTCCCGGATGAGGTTCTCCAGCTCCGCGTTGTCCCGCTCCAGCTGACGCACCTTCTCCAGGTAGCTGGCCAGGCGGTCGTTCAGGAACTGCATAGTCTCCTTCTCGCTGCCATTGAAGGAGCCCTCGCAGAACCAGTTGCAGTTGCTCACATTGGCAGGGATGTTGCAGGCCCCGGGCAGGGTGTAGCCGTGGCAGCTGGGGGGCACACAGGGCCGGGAGGAGCAGCTGGTGCGGCAGCTCAGGCTGGGCAGGCAGAAGTTGTAGGGCATGGTGCAGGGAGGCAGTGGAGCTCTGGAAGTCAGTTTCAAAACCTGATTCCTTTTCCCTGGGATAAGCCTTGGTCCTTTCCAGGGCTTTATATTCTGTTAGCAGTGGGTGTGGCAACCATGTCAAGTATTCCTCCTTTTTACCTCCTTTGCTGATTTTTCCATTTGTTATTTAGCCACTTCACCTGAGTCCTATACCTCATTAAATGTTTTACTCTGGCTTCTTGCTAAGTCAGGACTCCTCACAAAACATGCTGATTGGTTAAGTAAGAGCTTCATGGTTTGGCTTCAAAGTGACCAACCTTGCCTGTAGCAGTGCTTATCCATGGGACATTGAGCTAGAGTGACAGCTGGGCCCTGTCCCCAGAGTAGGGGGCACATATGTGCCTCTTTCTCCTAAATGAGGAAAGGCTTGTGTCTCATCCAGTTCATATTCAATTAAGACTCTGTGAGAAAAGCCATGTAAGGAAACCCGTCTAGAAACTAGACTATGTGATAGGGAATCCTGGAAGCTGAAATGAGAAAGGACTTACAAGGCCATTGGTTCAAGGCCCATTTGCAGTTCCATCCAGGCAGATGGAGGCAACTCTACCCTCTTCCTATGGGGCTGCAGGAAGCCACCCACCTCCGTTTCTACTAGTATTCAGTGTTCACAGAACATTAAGAAACCTAAATTTTGGGAGCACCTACTCTGCATGAAGCACTGTGCTCCATGCCTGTGCACAGCGTGACTCTGTCATTGGTGATGGGTCCTGCTTGCTGAGCCTCCACTGTGCACCAGGCACAGTGCCAGGCACCTCATATGCACCAGCTCCTTCAGTCCTCTCAAAATGCTGCAAGGGTTTGTAGATAAGGACCCTAAGCCTCTGAGAGGTCTCCCAAGGTCACAGAGCTCCTACATGATGGAGCCAGGGTTCAAATACAGATCTCTCTAATTCCAATGTCCACACTCTGTCATATTACATGTCTCTCTCTTCCAATCTTTTCAGTACTGAGATGCAATAATGCAAAAAATACAGATTGAGCTCCATTGAGCTCAATCAGTGCTGACAATATCCTAAATTAGAATGGGCCAAAAAATAACAAGCCTGTTTTTTACTTATTAAAGAACCAAAAGTCACTTCTATGCTGAAGGAAGGAAGTTTACTAAGTGAAAATGCCTCATACCCACTAGAAGCTTGAAAAAAAAAAAAAAAGGAAACCCTTGGTTGATCTGAGGGAGAAATACCCAAGCCTAGCTCTCCAAAGGATATGACCCTGAAAATCCACCACTATGTCATGTGCATGAAGTGGCATTTTATGACCATTGGCACATTTTGGCAAGCAGATGCTCTACTCTCATGCATTCCAGATGGAACTATGAAATATGAGGATTTTATGTTTAATCTATCAGTGCTCAAATTCTGAAAGATACTCCTCCAAGTTGTTCCTTTTGGAAGCTACATATTAAGTCTTGCCATACAAGAATTCTTTTCCTACAGGTGACCTGCCATTCCTCAGATCACCCTTCCTTCAAACTTGCCTTCACAGCTTGGGACACATTCTTTTGGTTATCCTCATTGAAGGCCAATCTTCATCTTCTATGGGTGTGTTTATTTTTGGAACCAGCCAGAAGTCATTTGAAACCACACCTAGTGCATAGGGTGAATAACCAAGCTGCATAGCATCTTTAATGGGTCAGAAACAGGTTGTGACTACAAAATAATAATGTGTGTTTTCTTGGGTGACTCTGGAAGTCATTTCCAAGGAGAAGCTTCAAATATGCTTTTATAAAGGACAGCAGCTTTGGGGCAAACATGTGGTCTTCCAGGGTGAATGCATTGAAGGTACTGATATCCTCCCCTACAATCACAATCCACAACTTTCTGCCCCTCCTGCCTGAATCTCTAATTTTTTTTTTTTTTTTTTTTTTTTGGAGACAGAGTCTCACTCTATTGCTCTATTGCCCAGGCTACAGTGCAGTGGTGCAATCTCAGCTCACTGCAACCTCCGCCTCCCAGGTTCAAGCTATTCTCCTGTCTCACCCTCCCTAGTAGCTGGGATTAGAGGCGTGCACCACCTGTAATGTGCCTGGCTAATTTTTGTATTTTTAGTAGAGACAGGGTTTCACTATGTTGGGCAGGCTGGTCTCAATCTCCTGACCTCAGGTGATCCACCCGCCTCAGCCTCCCAAAGTGCTGGGATTACAGGAGTGAGCCACTGCACCCGGCCTGAATCTCTACCTTTAAAATGATTCCACTATCAGTGAGATGTGGCATGGGCATATTGGTTTAAAATCAGTACCAAACCATTAAAGTCCTATTGGATGAGATCAAATAACATAAAGCAAATAGCTGAATTCATTAGCTTTTCTCTAATTACCTTGTGTTCTTCTCTCCTTCTTCTACGTCCCAAGCTTCAAAAGGAAAAATCTGACAATGGCACTTTTTAAAGAAAAGGGAAGGAATAGTGTGTCACAGACTGGTAAATATGTCCACAGGGATCCCTATAACCATTGCTGTAGCTTCTACCTCAGTCACAGTGGAATAATCCAGAGATAAGTATCCTTGTGTCTTTAAAAGTGGAGGTCAGAGTTTAGAAAACACAACTATTCCCACATCTTGAGTAGAAGTAACTATAATTTCTGCACAGCTACTTGGCCATTATGTACTAATAGTTGGAAGAACTTGGGTCTATGGAGAAAAGAGCCAAGTTTCAATTAGCTTCTCACAAAGTCTGGAAGGCAATTGCTTTTTACTTACTCCACTTGCTGTGTACTGTGAATTCTTATCTTTACATGGGTGATGCTATTGTCTCTGTTCAATGGCCCTTCATTAAACATGACAAGTAAGTCAAATCCTAACAAACCGAAAGGTTTTATACATGCCCATGTAATAGCGGCAGATGCTATGGTTGAGGCTTCTGGTCTTAAGATGTGAGCAAATTGCAGTTGAGGTTTAAGGATGCTATTTATTATGGAAGCCCGGGCTATTTCCATAGAAGAGATCACATGCCAACCCACCAGCGATGCTTAACCACGGAGTGGACATAGGATGGGGCTTCTGCTGAGGCCACCTTCCTCATTGTGGGACTTCAAAGGCATTAGGAGGCCTCCCTCCTTCTTCCCAAAGCCATCTTCTCCAATGTCCAGGCTCTGGTGCTTGAAATTGTCACCGTGAGAAATGTAAAATTTATTCTTTTAGAAATACGAAGTTACATTGGGCTACTTGAAAATTAATTATATTTTAATATGTACAAATGAGAAGGAGAGGCCAGGAGCAGTATCACTACATGCACACAGAGCAAGAAGATGGACTTTTTGCCAAAGAGGGATCCCAGAGGGGAATTAGAAAAGCAGAAAGACTGTCCAATAACAACCCCAGCCCATGGTTTTGGGCCAGCCTGTTAGAGCTTCCTAGAAGAGCAGAAGATAGGGCTTCCACAAACTGTTCCATAAAGGCAACTGTTGTCAATTTATCAATCCTCCAGCCTCAGGACATTGAGAGGAGAAATTGAAGGGGTAATTCAGGAAATAAGCCAACAAGTTTGGCCCTGTTCAATGGGGCTTCTGATAAGGGACAAGCAGGAGAGGGGCTGAAGAATGAGCCAGGTCAGCAGTAAGCTACGCTGAGCAAAAACAGATACAAACACCTCAAAATGGAACTCAGGAGGTAGTTCTACAAATCCTCTCCAGAGCCACCATGTTTCTCTTACACTCAGTCTTGGACTCCCAATGGGAATGGAGTCTTGGAGTCTTCAGGGACCAAGCCAAGTCAGAAAAATACAAAGTTCATCTATGCTATGTGTTTTTTTTTAACTTTTATTTTAAGTTGAGGGATACAAGTGCAGGTTTGTTACATAGATAAACTTGTGTCATGGGAGTTTGTTTTACAGATTATTTCATCACCCAGGTATTAAGCCTAGTACCCATTAGTTATTTTTCCTGATCCTCTCCCTCCTCCCACCCTCTACCCTCCAGAAGGCTCCAGTGTGTGTTGTTCCCCTCTATATGTCCACGTGTTCTCATCATTCAGCTCCCACGAGATCTATGCTATGTTTTTGACTACTCTAGACTATCAACTCAGTCTAGAATAGACAAGAGCATGACACAATCCAGGACGATGTAATTTAATGGTGCTAGTCTTCCTGAAAAAGCTGGATCCAGGGCCCACTCAGAGATGGAATGAAAACCTATATATGTGTCCTGCTCTGCAGATCAAGGGAGAGGGCAGATGCTAAAACCTTTTGACAGTACACAGAAGATAAAGCAAAGTCAGCTGAGTACAAATGTGTTGTGTTGAACTTTTGCATTACACTCACTATCACGTTGGTGATTTGAGACAGACATGAAAAAAACATGGAAATACAGCTTCTTCCCTCAGCCTCCCACAGACTCTGTTCTCTTTATAATCACCAGGAGTCTCCCCATTGCTTTAACCAGTAGATTTGTCTGATTCTCACCATCCTTGCCCTGGATGCTGTTGACAACTCTTTCATTAGAGCTCCAACTTCTTTTGACTTCTGTGTCCTTTAAGGTGCTTCTCCACTTCCCTCTCAAACTGCTTGCAACCAGATGTCATCTCTGTCCTCAAGATCTGGCAAAACCAAGGCTGAACCTCACATCAGGGACTTTGGAGAGCCCCAGCTGAAGTCTGTGGTTTCTATCAGTGGTCCTCAAGGTTCTTCTATTCCCTGCTAGCCTCCATTGGACAGTCTTAACAATTCCTATAGCTCTAATTATCATCTTTATTTACCCAGCTCTCCGACATCTCCCTCAAATCTAGTTATTCTTCTCCAGGTCTCTCCAATGGAAACTCATTGTTGTTTCATTTTCTCAGGCTGAAAATCTTCAGACCCATAGTAGGTGTTTGTGATGGTTAATTTAATGTATCAACTTGACTGGGCCAAGGGATGCCCAGATAGCTGGTAAAACATTATTTCTGGGTATGTGTGTAAAGGTGTTTCTAAAAGAGATCAGCATTTGAATCAGGAGAGTGAGTAAAGATCACCCTCACCAATGTGGGCAGGTGTCCTCCAATGTGGGTAGTCAAATAGAACCAAAAAGTAGAAGAAAGGCAAATTATTTCTCTCATTGACCGGTAAGGGAGAAGCAGGAGAGGGTCTGGAGAATAGGCCAGGTCAGTAGTAAGCTATGCTGAGCAAAGACAGACACGGACACCTCAAAACGGAACTCGGGATCTAGTTCCACAAACCCTCTCCAGAGCCATCACTGTTTCTCTTACACTCAGTCCTGCACTCCCAATGGGAATAGAGTTGAGCTGGGACATCCATCTTCTCCTGCCCTCTAACATCAATGCTCCCAGTTCTTGAGCCTTCAGTCTCAAACCAGGACTTACACCACCAGCCTTCCTGATTCTCAGTCCTTTGGGTTTGGATTGGAATTATACCACTGGCTTTCCTGGGCCTCCACCTTGAAGACAGCAGATTATGAAACTTCTCAGCCTCCATAATCATATAAGCTAATTCCTTATAATAAATCTCTTTCTATGTATCTATACATAGCCTACTGTTTCTGTTTCTCTGGATAACCCTAATACAGTGTGTGATCAGTACTAGTTTCCTTCCTTTTCTTTCCATTGTTCCTCTATCTCTACTCAGCTTCCATATTTAAGCCATGCCTCTAAAACCTACCCCTCTTTGGCCTCACTCTCCTCCACTTATCTCAGTCCTTATTGTCTCTCACCTCTTAATTGATCTTCCTTCTATTTCATCCAGCTTCTAGGACTCCTCACAACCCAACCTGTACACAGCTGCCAGATATATCATATGGCAAACTCCCTTACAAGAAAATCTCATGTATAATCATTCGGAGCACTTCCAAATATGGCCGTACCTAACTACCTTGCAGTTTCATCTCCTATAACCACACTTACCCTCTGTTCTAGGCTAGGGATTGGGTTGTCAATTTCTAAACACACCTCATAACTCCTCCAGGCAAAGTTCATGCTCAGGAAAACTTTCCCTCTTCTTTTTTTTTTTTGAGACAGAGTCTCACTCTATCATCCAGGCTGGAGTGCAGTGGCACGATCTTGGCTCACTGCAACCTCCGCCTCCTGGGTTCAAGCTATTCCCCTGCCTCAGCCTCCTGAGTAGCTGGGACTACAGGTGTGTGCCACCATGCCTGGCTAATTTTTTTTTTTTTTTTTTTTTGTATTTTCAATACAGATGGGGTTTCACCGTGTTAGCCAGGATGGTCTCAATCTCCTGACCTCGTGATCCACCTGCCTCAGCCTCCCAAAGTGCTGGGATTACAGGCGTGAGCCACTGCACCTGGCCAAAACTTTCCCTCTTCTATGGCCTAAACACACTCACCTGACCAGACATTTCCCAGCAAACTTTATTTCAGAATTATGCTAATATCATACAGTAATCATTGATTGAAGTTGAAACTATGGGAAGTATATAAAGTTTTAATAACCTTCTCATGAATTTTCATTAGTGTTACTCTTCCTTATTTATTCCACTTACAGTATTCCATGGTTTACATCGTCTTTAATTAGGTGATGATATTGCCTCTGCTGAAGGGCCTGCAGTCAACAAGACAGGCAGACAAAATTTATATCAACAGAACATTTGGGTTTTCAAGGCTTTGATTGAGTGCTCCCTCCTTCTTGGAGCCTCTTCTTTTCATTCTCTCACACATCTGAAATTCGTAATTCTTTATCTGCACCTTTCTTGAGCCACACTGATATTTGTCTATGATGACTGTAGCTTTGTCTCATCCACTCTAAACTGTAAAACATGCTGTGGGCCGAGACTGGGATTCACTTATTTGTGTTTCTCAGTACCGCCCACAGTACCCAGCACACACTATAGATGATTGATTGCAGTTGTGTCAATCAGATAGGATTAAATAAAATGGATAATTGAGACTGGCCTATAAAATTGAAAGCTTTAAAAATTCAGGGATGAGGCAAGTGGGGTGGGGTGTGGGGTAAGATTAATGTTTTGGGGGAGATGTTTAATGAACATTGGCCTTTCTTGGAATTATAGAAAATGAAATGATAAAGAGGCTATGGAAGAACATTATGGATAAGACCAAAGATCTAGGGGAAAGAATAAACTTGAAGAGGGGAAAGGTAAGGACTGCATTTAAAGGGTCTATCTGGAGGACAACATGTCAGGCATAACAAGTGGGCGGCAAGATGAACCAGTTTGGGAAAAATACGTTTTAGTCCAATTAAACATGATGTAATGACCTGATACCAAGTGAAGCTGTCATATGCGCAACAGAAAACCTGGAAACTGAGCTGAGATGAGAGGGAGATGTGGCAGTCATCAGCATAGAGGAGCTAGATCTACACGAACAGGGACGTAGAAAGAGAAAGACAGAGGGCTAAGAATATAGGTGTTTCCTTCATTTGGGACAAAAAGGGGAAGACAGCTAACAAGACAACAGAGAACAGGTAATTAGAGATATTACAAGAAGACCCAGAGTGTGCAGGGTTATGGAAATCAATGAAGGTGTATTTTAAGGGAGGAGTAGGTATCTATATCAGCAAGGCAGCAGCAGCAGAGAGGTTGAGAGGAGAGAATCACTGCTCTTTGAACAGTTTCTGTAGAAGCAGTTTCTGTAGTTTCTTCAGGCAGTTTAGGAGAAAGGGAAGCAGAACATTCTATTCTGATGAGGGTGAGAGCTGGAGATAGCAGTGAAGTCTGGGGAGGCTTTGCAAAATTGCCAAGGGCCCTGTAGTCAAGGCAAGGTAAGCATGGGTATTGAAGGCCAGGTTTCCTGCATGGCCTACCCTGGGTGGGAGTCTCCCAGAAGGACGTCCTTCCCTGTCTACATCAGTGTTTCTGGTGAAGCATAAAGGCTTGGCTCAGTCATTTACTTCATTTTATTCTCCTAATGAAGGGGTATTTTTATGAAACAGCCATGATGAGTAATTTACAATGCATGAATATGAATGAGAAACATTTATTATGCCAGAGAAATGAAGTTTATTGGGAAGTAAATGAAGTCTCCTCCTTGCATTCCAGAGAATGCCAAAGAAAAAAGGAAAACAGGAAATGCAGTAGTACGTTCAGGAAACACCTTAAGTAGTAACTGGAGCTCAGATTACAGGGAGCTGAACATCTTTAGAAACAAACAGGCTCGACCCTCAACAGGAAGGAGTTGTCCAGACATTGGAAGTTGATGATGTGTGTCTTTGCTTGGGTCAGGAAAGCTTTTCAGCATTCTAGAAATAACATAGAGGCAAGATGAGGTTTCTTGATGTCAGCTGAGCTCCAGAAAAGTCAGGACTTGAGGATCCTTCCTGTGGTTGATCTAAATGGCTTTGTAGATGTCTTCAAAGAGGATACAAGCTTTTCAATTACAGCAACCCTTTTGAGAGGTGCCACAGGGTCCACAGGAGTTGCCACTAGCATTGGTGGTGGCGCATGGGTTGCAGGGGAGCCTAGGAGGACAAGGAGGTTTAGAATGGCTTTAGGAGGAGGTTTTAATGCACACAATACCTTGGGCTTAATGACACAACCTATGAATTCTCAGTGGCTGGAGTTAGTTGGAATCAAGTTCTTTTTGTTTTGTTTTGTTTTGTTTTTGAGACAGGGTCTTGCTCTGTTGCCTAGGCTGGAGTGCAGTGGTGCGATCTTGGCTCACTGCAAGTGGGAGCCAAGGCTCACTATGCCTCCCAGGTTCAAGCGATTCTCCTGCCTCAGCCTCCCAAGTAGTTAGGATCACAGGCATGCGTCACCATGCCTGGCTAATTTTTTGTATTTTTGGTAGCGATGGGGTTTCACCATGTTGGCCAGGCTGGTCTTGAACTCCTGACCTCAAGTGATCCACCCACCTCAACCTCCCAAAGTGGATTATAGGCATGAGCCATTGCACCCAGCCAGAATCAAGTTCTGATTACTACCAAACCCTTCTCTCTCTCCCAGAATGCCATGTGCAGAGGTGGAAAAATTGTGCTTTTCAAAAATATTATCTCATACTCTTGAGGTCTCCTGGAACTTAATGTGCCTTACACAAATGTTATTCCTACAACTGGCCAGCTCCTGCCACCACTCCTCCATTGTTAGCCCCCTGAGATAGGGGCTGTTCCCTTACCTTTGGCCTCCCTTTGCTTAGCTATCACAGATCACTGGACACATGCTACACAGTTAATGTGTGTTGCCTGACTAGTTGAAAACATGGCCACCATTTGTGTGCCTACAATATCCCACTGTACACATTCTTCCCAGACATTATTTGCCCCATACTCACTTGCAGTCCTCACTCTCCAGGAGGCTCCGGTACGTGTTGATCTCACACTCCAGCCGGGCACGCACGTCCAGCAGCACCTGGTACTCCTGGTTCTGCCGCTCCAGGTCACAGCGGATCTCTGCCAGCTGAGACTCCACGTTGGTGATCAGGCTCTGCACCTGGGACAGCTGGGAGCTGTAGTGGGCCTCGCTCTCCGTCAGCGTGTTTTCCAGAGAGTCTCGCTGTGGTGGGGAAGATCAGGAATGTCAGAGAGCTGCTCCTTCAAAGGGTTTCTTCACAGGATTACAAGGAAGTCACAAGCTCCAAGAGCTAAGGAGAGTGTGTGGCCCCAAGCACATCCCCGGGACTCTGCCTCCCAAGTTCCCATCGCTCACCAGCAGGTCTGAACAATACACACCAGGTTGTGCTGGGCCTGCAGCTCGATCTCCAGGGCGTTGACTGTGCGTCTCAGCTCGATGATCTCCGCCTGGCAGGACTGCAGCTGCTCTGAGCTGGATACCACCTGCTTGTTCAGCTCCTCGGTCTGAAACACCCAAGTGGGGAAAGGATCAGACCCTGTCTCCAGGGCCCTGGGGCACCTCGGGTCCTGAGTGGCCATGTGCTTAGATGCCCACCTGCGTGGCGAACCATTGCTCCACTTCCCTGCGGTTAATTTCCACCAGAGCCTCATACTGACTCCTGGTCTCGTTCAGGACCTGGTTCAGGTCCACAGTGGGGGCAGTGTCCACCTCCACGTTGAGGCGGTCTCCAAGCTGGGAGCGCAGGGTGTTAACCTCCTGTTGGAGAAAAGGGAAACAATGAACCTACGGCAATGGATCTGCCATTTTCCTGCTCCAGGGAAATGAGCACAATACTGCCCAAAAAGCACTAAAAGGAATATTCTGATCATTCCCAAAGAGTGACACACACATTTTATAGCAATAAACTCCAACAGGGATCACATCAATTGCTGTCCCATGGAAGATGTGCCATCTTCCTGCTCTGGGAAAATGAGCTTGATGCTGCCCAGAAAGCACTAAAAGGGGCCGGGCACAGTGGCTCAAGCCTGTAATCCCAGCACTTTGGGAGGCAGAGGCAGGTGGATCACGAAGTCAGGAGATCGAAACCATCCTAGCCAACATGGTGAAACCCCATCTCTACTAACAATACAAAAATTAGCTGGGCGTGGTGGCATGTGCCTGTAATCCCAGCTACTCAGGAGGCTGAGGCAAGTGAATCACTTGAACCAGGGAGTCGGATGTTACAGTGAGCCTAGATCACGCCACTGCACTCCAGCCTGGTGACAGAGCATGACTCCGTCAAAAAAAAAAAAGCACTAAAAGGAAGATTCTGATCATTCCCAAAGAGTGACACACACATTTTATAGCAATAAACTCCAACAGGGATCACGTCAATTGTTGTCCCATAGAAACGGAAACAACCTCACACCTTCTACAAGACTAAGTCTAAACTCCTTGGCATATGCAAGTCCTTCCTCGCTTCCCATCACATCTTCACTTTCATCCCTTGGAGGTACTGCATGCCCAGCCATACCCAGATACACCCTGCCCTGCCACTTCTGTGTCTTTGTTCAACCTCTTCCCTCAGACTGAAACACCCAAGTACTGGAATCCTCCTCTTTGCATCTGAGAAGAGTTCCCTATCTCCTCTTGGGCAGCCTGGATTATTTCTAGAGCATACTGCTTGTACATCTCATATGGTACTTGTTTCACTCTGTCTTGTTTATATCACTGTGTTTATATGACTGTCTTTCTATACTAGACTGTGAGCTCTTTTAAGAAAAGGGCCATGTCTTATTTCTTTTTTGTCCCTCCATCTCCACCACCAAATTCAGGACCTAGCAGTGATCAGCAGAGAGCAGGGCTCAATGAATGATGTCCCTCCTCAGTAATTCCAACACCTGCCTAACCCTCACCCAGCCGCTGAAGAATGAGCAGCTCACTCCACTCCTTGATATGGATGTAGCACCGTCACTCTCTGAGAACATCTTGAGTTCCTCAGAGAAGGGTCCCAGACCAGGGATCCAGACAGTAATCCTCTCCTGATTCCCAGTGCTAGTAGCTTAGTTCTGAGGCCTGCTTTTGTGAATTTGTTTCATACCTCCTCATGGTTCTTCTTCAAGCAGATCAGCTCCTCCCTCAGGGACTCCACCTGGGACTCCAGGTCAGACTTGCAGAGGGTCAGCTCATCCAGGATCCTGCGTATGCTGTTGATGTCCGACTCCACCAACAGCCTCAGGGACTGCTCCGTCTGGTACCTGCACGTGTCGGAGTGGGAGGATAAGTCAGGAAAGAAAACCACCTTCCCCTCTCATGTGTTGTTTGGGTAGAATTGGCCTGAATCTTCTTGAACTTACAGTTTTCTGCCTCTTCTCTTCCATATGCTTCAGTCAAGCTGTCCATGGATAGGCTGAAGAGGTTCCCTGACTCACCTAACACCACGAGGAGCCCACAGGCACACATGAGATGAAGTCTCTCACTGTGTTCTCGGTTTTGTTAGCTAATATACCACCAAATCAATTCCCAAAGAACAATTCATTTCAATCTCTGAATTTTGTGGTTTAAGAAACACTTCCAAAAAAAACCAGTATAGACCAAAGAGCAGGCAGCACATGAGTCTAGTTCCCTATTTGAAACTAATTTTACATAACCAGCCCTAGGAGGAGAAATAGAGAGAAATGGCTTTCTCCTCTCTTCCAGGCAATAGTAGGTCCCTAGGGCCATGAAAGAACCATAGGGACCTTGAAGTTCAACATACTTGCTTCTGAAGTCGTCAGAGGCCAGCTTGGCATTGTCAATGTTCACCACCAGCCTGGCATTCTCAGCCTTGGCACACAGAATCTGAAAAGAAATTTCTCTCATGAGGTACACTTGAACTTGAAAATGTCTTACTGTTCAAAGAGAGCCAGCTGCTGCTGGCCCCCCATATGGCCAACCCCCTCACCTTCTGCTGGAGCTCCTCAATGGTCTTGAAGTAGGACTGGTAGCTGGGGCACAGCAAGGGCTCCTGCTGCTGGGACCGCTCCTGGATGAGTTTCTCCAGCTCCGCGTTGTCCCGCTCCAGCTGACGCACCTTCTCCAGGTAGCTGGCCAGGCGGTCGTTCAGGAACTGCATAGTCTCCTTCTCGCTGCCATTGAAGGAGCCCTCACAGAACCAGTTGCAGTTGCTCACATTGGCGGGGATGTTGCAGGCCCCAGGCAGGGTGTAGCCGTGGCAGCTGGGGGGCACGCAGGGCCGGGAGGAGCAGCTGGTGCGGCAGCCCAGGCTGGGCAGGCAACAACTGTAAGACATGGTGCTGGAACAGGTAATGGAAAAGCAGGTAAGCTGCTGGAGGTGGATGTGGGCAGGTTTGAGTCTCTCCTTCCTCTGCAGTCCTTTTATACCATTAATTGTGGGTGGGGGCTTGGCATACAGCATAGTTTCCTTTCCTAATGCTTCAGCTAATTTTTCTCCAAAATATGCTAGTTAGATGCTTCTAAAGAGTCCCCCCTCAACCCATAAAATTATTCCATTCAGCTTATGTCACACCAGGCTCTTCCTGGGTGCTAGTGGTTGGTGAAATCAGAGTTTCATCAGATGGCTTCATAGGAGATAGAATCATCACAGCCCCAAAAGGCTGTCTGCATTACTCAGAGGGGAGGACAGCCAGGGACATGGGGTGGAGTTGTTTGGGAATCAGGGATTCCTCACCCAGGAGTTTCCGCCACTGTTCTTTCTCCCCAGAGAGAGAGCTCTGAGAGAGAGCTTTGAGAGTTACTCTTCCAAGTAGCTCTTTCCTCCCACATTCATCCATGTTTCAGCATTCAATTTGTTTTTATAGCAGAAACTCAACCTGTATTCGCCGAAATGATCCTGAGCCTTACTATTCGTTGGGGTTTAGGGAACTTGCCAACACATGGAGCAACTGAAAACAATGGCATGTTCATGGTTGAGAAATGAGAAAGTAAAATGGAAACCAATGGAATGGATGGGAGTATACCTAAAAGAGGGCATCTGCAAATGGCAGCCCACACGTCAAGTTTACCCTGCTGAATTTTTGTAAATAAAGTTTTTGTTTGTTTGTTTTCTGTTTTTTTTTTTTTGAGACAGAGTCTCACTCTGTCGCCCAGGCTGGAGTGCAGTGGCACGATCTCGGCTCACTGCAACCTCCACCTCCCGGGTTCAAGCAATTATCTGCCTCAGCCCCCCGAGTAGCTGGGATTACAGGTGCCCGCCACCACACCCGGCTAATTTTTGTGTTTTTAGCAGAAATGGGGTTTCACCATGTTGGCCAGGCTGCTCTTGAACTCCTGAACTCGTGATCCGCCCGCCTCGGCCTCCCAAAGTGCTGGGATTACAGGCGTGAGCCAATGCGTCCGGCAGTAAATAAAGTTTTAATGGAACACAGCCATGCCCATTTGTTTAGCTATTGTATATGGCTGCTTTTGTGCTACAGTGGCAGAGTTGTGTAGTTGTGACAGAGACTATAGTGTCCACAAAGCCCTAAAATTAAAAAATTTGCCAACTTGTACTAAAGCAACAGCCTCTCTAAAGATGAGCAAGAGTAGAAATATCTAGAAGAAAAAATATGCTGGAAACAGTCTGGAGCAGTGAGAGTTCAGATGGCAGCACTGAAGCATGAATATGAAGCATAATACTGCAGACTCACCAAGAAACGAAAATTGGAGCAAGGGTGCTCAGAGGTATCTTTGTATCCATGGTGGCTTTTTCTCAAATTCTCTGGAAATTTCTATCATCTTATTTCTAGACTTGTTCCTCTTTCTAGAGTATTAACTCTCCTAGAGGTATGACTATGCCAGCCTGAGATGCTTCCAGGACAAGCCACAGTGCCCATGAGAATGCAGATTTACTCTGTTGTCCCTACAAGTAGACACTGTCTCTGATAAGTGTGCTTCTATCACCTCTGGGATCCAGTTACCCTTTGACTCTTGCATAACCTAGGGAGCCTCTCTATTGCCCAATAATCACTCTTCACAGAATAGCCTTCCCTACCTCACTTCTTTTCCCTGTCACTCTACCTTGCCTTTGTTCCGCAGGGAAACAAAGTCATGTTTCAGAAAGAAGTCCCAAAAGATTATTTGTGGAACACAATACAAATCATTTAAAGAAGGCTGCATCTGAATTTCAAAAGCAGCATGAGAGGAGCAGAAAAGCACATCTTCGATTTTATTTATTTGAGTGTTTCCTCTTTTTTTCTTAGTCTATCTAGAGGTTTGTAAATTTTCTGTGTCTTTCAAAAAAACTCTGTTTCATTGATTTTTTGCTATTGTTTTTCTAGTCTCTATTTTTATTTATTTCTGCTCTAAGTTTTATCGTAAGTATCATAATAAAATTTAGAGCAAAAAGTGTTATTATATCCTTCCTGCTGCTAACTTTGAGCTTAGTTTGTTCTTTATCTTTTTTAATTTTTTAATTTTTGTAGGTACATGGTAGGCGTGTGTGTATGTTTAGATATAGGTTTATGTATATACATATATAAAACTTTCCTCTTAGTACTGCTTTTGCTGCATCCCATAAATTTTGATACGTTGTGTTCTCATTTTCATTTGTCTCAAGATATTTTCTAATTTCCTTTTTGATTTCTTCTTTGACCCATTGATTATTTAAATGTTTTTTAATTTCTACATATTTGTGTATTTTTCAGTTTTTTTCTTATTTCCGTTCTAGTTTTCTAGTTTCATTCCATTGTGGTAGGAAAAGATACTTAGTATGATTTCAATCCTCTTAAATTCGTTAAGACTTGTTTTGTGACCCAACATATGATCTATCCTGGACAATGTTCCGCATGCACTGGAGAATATGCATTCTGCTACCATTGGATAGAACGTGTTATTTGTTAGGTCCATTTGTTCTATAGTATTGCTCAAATCTGTTGTTTCCTTGTTGATTTTCTATCTGAATGTTCTATTCATTATCAAAAGTGAGTTACTGAATTCTTCTATTATTGCATTGTCCATTTCTCCCTTTGGTTCTGTCAATGTTTGTTATATATATATTAGGTGCTCTGATGTTGGGTTCATATATGTGTGCAATTGTTATATCTTCCTGGTGAATTTTTTCATTATTATATAATGTTCTTCTTTGCCTTTTGTGACAATTTTTGACTTAAAGACTATTTTGTCTGATATATAAGTACAGCCATCCTGCTGTCTTTTGGTTACCATTTGTACGGAATATTTTTTTTCCCATTCCTTCACTTTCAGCCTATACATTGTCTTTAAATCTAAAGTCAGTCTCTTCTAGATAGTATGTAGATAGTACTTGTTGGTTTTTTGAAAATCCATTCAGCTACTCCATGTCTTTTGATTGGAGAGTTTAATTCATTTACATTTCAATAAATTATTGATAGGGAAAGACTAATATTGCCATTTTGTTAATTCTTTTGTCTTTCTCAGAGTTCTTTTGTCTCTCTTTTCCTATCTTGCTGTCTTCCTTTGTGTTGCATGGATTTTTGTATCGATATGTTTTTATTCTTTTTTCTTTTTCTTTTGTGTATCTTCTATAGGTATTTTTTTGTGATCATCATAGGGCTTATATGAAACAACTTATAACTGTCTGTTTTCAGCTGATAACTTTCACTGCATACAAAAACTACTCTTTTGCTTCTCCCACACACATCTTTTATGTATTGATGTCATTATTTACATCTTGTTATATTGCATATGCATTAACCTATTTTTATAGTTATAGTTATTTTTAATACTTTTATCTTTTAAATTTTATAGTAGAGGGCCAAGTGTGGTGGCTCACACCTATAATCCCAGCACTTTTGGAGGCTGAGGAGGGCAGATCACCTGAGGTCAGGAGTTCGAGAACATCCTGGCCAACATGGAGAAACTCTGTCTGTACTAAAAATATAAATATTAGCTGGGCGTGGTGGCAGGCACCTATAATCCCAGCTACTCAGGAGGCTGAGACAGGAGAATCGCTTGAACCCGGGAGGCGGAGGTTGCAGTGAGCCAAGATCACACCACTGCATACCAGCCTGGGTGACAAGAGTGAAACTCTGTCTCAAAAATAAATAAATAAATAAATAAATAAATAAATAAATAAATAAATAAATAAATTTTATAGTAGAATTAAAAGAGTGATTTACCTACCACCATTATAGTATTACAGTAGTCTATATTTATCAGTATATTTACATTTACCAGCAAGTTTTATACTTTCACATGCATTTATATTACTGTTTAACATCCTTTTGTTCCAACTTAAAGAACTTCCTTTAACATTTTTTGTAAGGCAGGTCCAGCGATGATGAACTACCTCAGCTTTTGTTTATCTATAAAAGTCTGTATCTCTCCTTCAGTTTTGAAGGATAATTGTACTGGGAATGATATTCTTGGTTGGCAGTTTGTTTGTTGGTTGGTTGGTTTGTTTTCAGCACTTTAAATATATTATCCCATGTCCTTCCGGCCTGCAAAGTTTCTGCTAAGAAATGTATTAATTACCTTATGGAGGTTCCCTTGTACATGATGTCACTTTTCTCTTGCTGCTTTCAAAATTCCCTATTTGTCTTTGACTTCTGACAATTCAATTATAATGTGTATCACTTTGATTTATCTGAACATCTTATTTGGGATACACTGGGCTTCCTGGATCTGGATGTCAATGTTCTTTCTCAGGTTTCAGGAGTTTTGAGCCATTATTTTTTTTAATAAGTTTTCTAAACTTTCTCTCTCTCTTCTCCTTCTGGATCTTCCTAATGTGAATGTTGGTCTGCCTGATGATGTCCCATACATCTCTTAAGCTTTCTTTACTCTTTTTTATTCTTTTTTCTTTTTGTTCCTCTGGATAATTTCCAATGGCCTGACTTTGAGTTCACTGATCCTATCTCCTGCTTGATTTAGTGTGCTATTGAATCCCTCTATTGAATTTTTCAATTCAGTTATTGTATTTTTCAGCAGCATGATTTCTGTTTGGTACTTTTTGTATTTTCTGCCTTTTTGTTGAAAATTCTCACTTTGTGTATTGTTCTTCTGGCCTTGCAGAGCATCTTTAATTATGGTTATTTTGTTTTTGTTTTGTTTTGTTGAGACAGAGTCTCGCTGTGTTGCCCAGGATGGAGTGCAGTGGCATGATTTCGGCTCACTGCAACCTCCACCTCCTGGGTTCAAGCATTTCTCATGCCTCAGCCTCCTGAGTAGCTGGGATTACAGTTGCGCACCACTGTGCCCAGCCAATTTTTATATTTTTAGTAGAGATGGGGTTTTGCCCTGTTGGCCAGGCTGGTCTCAAACTCCTGACCTCAAGTGATCTACCCACCTCGGCCTCCCAAAGTGCTGGGATTACAAGCATGAGCCATTATGCCCAGCCTGTGATTATATGGTTATTTTGAATTCTCTATTTTGAATATATGGTTATTTCAAATTCTCTTTCGGGTAAATTGTATATCTCTTTCATTGGGGTCAACTTCAGGAGATTTATCTTGTACCTTTGTTTAGGACATATTTCCCTGTTTCTTCATTATCCTTGGATCTTTGTGCTGGTGTCTGTGCATTAGACAAAACAGCCACCTCTCCCAATCTTCACGGACTGGCCTTGTACTGGAGAAGACCTTCACCAATCAGCCCAGCCAGAGATACTGGGGACCTCTCAAATTTTTGTGCTAGTCCAAACCACCATCTTTGCAGCCTCCAGGCATCTTGAGTATGGCTAGTTTCCATAGCACTCTGGCACAGGTGAGACAGAAGCCCATCCCTGATACTGTCCACAGAAAAGACAGAATATTGGACACAGGTCTAACTCTTTCTCTCTCCAGGGAGAGCCTGGGACCCAGGGTTTTTCACTGGCTCGCTCTGAACTTGGCCGGGGGAGAGGGCTGTGGTGAATATTCATATGCTAGTTAAAATTACCCTCTTTGTTCTCAATGGCTCCTAGACGTCTGGAGTATGCTGGATTCCATCCGCATTCTAAGACAGGCAAGACAGAAGCTAGTGCATTGGCAGCTCTCAGAAAAATCTGAATGTTGAATGTATGGTCCAGTTATTTCCTCCTCTCCCTGCAAAGAAGCTGGGAGGGGGATTTCCTCCTAACCATATGATACTATGCTGAGAAAGCAGGGATTATTGTGATAGAGTATCTTAAAATCTTTCTACCAACTTTGATTTGGCTGGTTTTACACTCATCCAGGGTGCAAGAGCCTCTCAAATTGTTACTAGATTTCTCACAAATAAAATTTATCTGAGTATTATTATTGAATTAGTGTGCCCATGACGGTGAGGAGGGTCCAGGGCTGCTTATTCCCTCATCTTGCTGATGTCACTCTCCAAAAAACACGAATTTGAAATTAAATGACCTGGATTTACATCCTTACCTATGATATGAGCTCAGAGAAGTTCATTCCCTTTTTTGAGTCTTGTTTATCTCATCTCTTGAATTGAAATAATAATAATGCTGCCTACCTCATAGTTTTGTTTTTTTGTTTGTTTGTTTTTGTTTTTGTTTTTTTTTGCAAAAGGTAAGGTATTGTGTGTGAACATGTTTGGGGGAGGGAGTGATGATGTTTATTTCCATAAACTTCATTGTTCCTATTGTTGACCCAGGTGGCTCAGATGAAGAATTTTGTGAAAATTCTACTTCGTTAAGCAGACAAATTGCCCATTGCCCATCCCAACCCAGTGGTGCTCAAACTTCACCCACTTACCTTGTAAGTACTAGGGGCACAGAACTCTATTCATAAATTAACCATCAAAATGCAAATGTTAACATTAACTTAGTGGTTGAAATAGGAAGTTGCAGATAACCATTACCTCTATCTTCTCTGCTAAGTTCCTGATCTTGTGGGTTTGGTTATCTTATTTGGGGTAGTTCTGGAGGAGGACAAGTTCTCCACATGAAATTGTAATATCACCAAAGCCTCTTTTCTGGTACTGGGATTGAAATGTGCTTTTGTTATCCTCTTGGAATCTTCTAGCCTTATAGCTCTGTGCAAGCATTTGTAATAATGATAATAATGGCAGTGTTGTTGTTGATGATGATTCTGCCATTTCATCAAGGCTTATTAGATGCCAAACAAGGCACTAAGCACTTTGGCACATTTCTCATTTGATTCTCCCAACAACTGTATAAAGTTGGCCTATTATTCCCATGTTACAGATAAAGAAATAAACTGGGAAAGGCTCCACATTTGCCCTAGATACAGGCAATAAATGGTGGAGCAGGGATTTGAACAATTCAGGTTTATGACTCCTGATCATGAACACCTAAACACAGTACAAAACCTTTATATTTGGCACAGAGGTTTCTCTGGTTTGTGAGGGAAATATTCATTGCTTCCCATTGCCCCTTACTTCGTAGTTTTTCCTTCTGGTCCCCTCTAGGGCCCTGTTCCCCACCCCTTCATACTCCATCATTCCTCCAAAGGCCTCTCTGCCCAAGCCTTTGAGCACCCAGCTAATCTCTATGGTACCTTCCTGAACTAAGGCCAAGTCTTACTCATTTATTTTTCTCCACAGGGAAATAATCGTCCTTTTGCATAATTGATCCAAACTGGAAACTAGATTGTCTTTTCTGAATATCTAAGCAAATTAAAATGCATAATCACATGACCTAAGTGATTTAGAACTTAGAAGAAAGACTACCCTTCTAACCATGAGTTTTAATCCTGTAAAAGTTCATCTCAGAAGTAAATTCAGTTTCCTACAATCAAAGAACTCTAAAGCTAGAAGGACCTGAATTTATGGAGGAGAAAACTAGTGCCCAGACAGTAAGGTAGTAAGGAAATGAATATCAATCAATCACTTTCTAGTCAGATAGTCTACTAGGTACCTTTGCATATAGTATTTCATCCTCACCCCAGAACCTGAGTGTTCAGGTTCCATTTTTGTCACCATGTAGCAGAGATGAAGAATCTGAAATGTTGGGAGTAAATTTAACTCATTCAAAATGACACAAGTAAGCAGGCTTCAGTCGGCCTGACCCATCATATTTATTGTGAGTTAGAGAGATGAGACACTGACCTAGGCCAGGCTGTGACAAAACATAACAGCTGGGAGAAAATGCAGAAGAGAGATCATGGATTCCAATACCAGCTATGAGCACCAGACAAGACACACCTAGGCTTCCTGCACATCACTTTACTCCTCAGCAAACTGGGAGTTTAAAAAGTAACAAATCCCATCTGGGCGCAGTGGCTCACGCCTGTAATCCCAGCACTTTGGGAGGCCGAGGCAGGCAGATCACGAGGTCAAGAGATGGAGACCATCCTGGCCAACATGGTGAAACCCCGTCTCTACTAAAATACAAAAAATTAGCTGGGTGTGGTGGTGGGCGCCTGTAGTTCCAGCTACCTAGGAGGCTGAGGGAAGAGAATTGCTTGAACCTGGGAGGCAGAGGTTGCAGTGAGCTGAGATCGCACCACTGCACTCCAACCTGGTGACAGAGCAAGACTCCATCTCCAAAAAAAAAAAGTAACAAATCCCACAAGCTTATCATGGCATGGCTTGGCTCCTGGAAGTAACGGGATGTGCTTATATAGAGGAAAATGCTGAGCGCTCCTGGACAGCCTGCTGTTCTTCCTGCAGATGCTGACAGCAGCCTCAGGCCTCAAAAAACTCAAATGATGGCTTTAACTCCAGATGTAAGGATGGAAAAAAAAGTGCCTTAGCTCCATCCCAAAGTAAACATAAAATTTGCAGGGAAACAGAAAGGAAAAGAAACAGCAAAAGTATCCAGGAGATAAGCCTAGGGAAAAGTCAAAGGTCGGAGAGTGGTAGATACTGCCGGCTAAGAGTTTAGACCAAGACAGCTCAGGAGGCAATAAAACAGGTCACCAAAGAGCATCAGACATGCCAAATAGCCCAGACAACTGAAAAAGGAGCTGCCCGCCCACCTATCACAAGAGGAGCCTGGGGCCAAAAAGTATCAAATATGCCGAGCAGACCATACACTTCTGGTGCACAGCTGGGTTTAAAGAAGAAAGAATTTATGGTGTGAAAGACAATACGACAATATGCAAATCCTGCTGTTGAACCTAAATCCAAAAAGAAAAAGAAAATGATGATACTTTTTTAACCTTAAGAAACTTAGCTATACCGGCAATAATAAAAATTGTCAATAATCCTAATAAAAATATGTGGTCTACAAAGTGTTTCCATAAACAGTTTTCCATGCTTCCTTTGGCAAGTTTATAAAGTAAGTAGAGAAGACACGGTTATCTCCACTCTACCTTTGGGGCAACTAAAGCTAGGAGAAGCCACATGTCTTATCCAAAGACACAGAGCTATTAAGGTCGTAAATGTCAGAGCTAGAATCCAGGTTCTGGTAAGTGAGTCTCAACCTAGCTCATTGGAGGCTCATCACCTGTAGAGCTTCTAAAACTCCCAGTGACCAGGCTGAATCCCAGATCAATCAAATCAGACTCCCTGAGAGCAGACTCAAGCCTCAAAAAATTGTTTAAGTTCCCTGGGTGATTTCAAACACAGCCAAGGTTGAGAACCACTGTCCTGCCGTGTGTCTGATGATGATGACAGAGCACCTGGAAATAATTTGAAAGCCACATGGAAATGTTTAAGGGGAGGTATAGCTACAACGATTGAGATTTTTATGGTTTAAAAAACATGGCAGAATTTACAGATCCTATAAATTTTGCCTCCAGCCAGAATTTTTCTTTATTCCAGGATGCCATCTCTAGTCAAAGCACGTTTAGAAAGTTCTGTTTTGTTAATGTCTGTATCTTTTTAATATCCAGTTTGCTGATAACAAACCTTTGTCCTTTGAGGATAGGTTTGACTTTTTTGAAGCTGTTCAAAGAGAAACCTTGTGAGTGACGTAGACAATCAATTTGGATCATTTTTAAAACCACCTCCATAGGATTGTGACTCATAATTGAATCTAAAGGCAGTTCCTGAAGAGACTTGCCAAAAATTAGTGGGAATCTGTGCATAGGGTTCAACAATGTGAATGTACTTAATGCCCCTGAATTGTACATTAAAAATGGCTAAAATGGTAAATTTTATGTTGTACATATTTTACCACAATAAAAATAAAATCAGAGGTCTGGCAAGGTTACGTTTCTCTTTAAAGGGTCTAGAGGAGAATCCTTGCTTTTTCCAAGATCTAGAGATGACCTGCATTCTTTGGCTCATGACCCACTTCCTCCATCTTCAAATCCTGCAAGGACAAGGCAGGTTCTTCTCACATCACATCACTCTGACCTGGGTCCATAGTTTCATCACCTTCTCACTCTTCTGCCTCCCTCTTCCACTTTTAAGAACCCTGAGTCCACCTGATAATCCGAGATAATCTCCCTATCGTAAAGTCAGCTGATTAGCAACTTTAATTCCATCTGCAACTTCGATTTCCTTTTTTATGTAATCTAACATATTCCCAGGTTCCAGGAATTAGAACATGAACATTTTGATGAGGGATGGAGGGGACAATTATTCTGTCTACCACAGGAGCTATTAGCAGTACTTTTGTATTATTGTAAAATAATATACATAAGCAGGATGTGGAATAAAGAAACAAGCAACATGAGAGAGAGCCTCTGGACTGAGCTTGACCTTGGGTTTGGAGGAAATCACAGACACAGGGTGAATCATAGTAGAGACAGAGTTCCAGGTCAGAGGTTTCTCACAAGCCAAGCAGCAAAGCACAAATCCAAATCCATCCTGGAACTTGAGTTTTAAAAAGAAGAATCAAGGGAGAAATTATGGTGGAGAGAATCATCGCTTTATGAAAACAAACAAAAATATATTTTTTATATATATTTATATATATATATATATACATATAAAATTCCGATTCACTTGATCATTTTAGGACACAGGACTATGTTTCACCCAGGTGGAGTCTGATACCCGCTGGGAAAGCCTGGTGTGGTGGGAAAAGTCAGAGACCTCTGATCCCTTCAGATCAAAATGGCCCTCTATGTTTTCGGGAGGTCTATGCTTAAACACTTCCATGGGTCTTCATGAGAGTCAAAGAAAGATGCCCTTTCTTGATAAACACCAATGCCATTGGGTACCAGCATTGTCCCTTTCGGTACTCAGAGTTCCTTCTAGCACCCACCAGCTGTTCACAGTGCCAGGGGACTGGGCCTTATAAGAGCACTACTTGGGGACTAGTTTTTTAACAAATTATCAGTAAGTTGCAGTCAGGAACTGTGTGTTTCTTCATGTGTCTCTACCCATCCCACCACCCAGCGTCTGCACAGAGTAGGTATTCAACAGGTACTGGTTGGATTGAATTGAGAAAGGCCAAAGGATCAAATAAAGAGTTGACGGGGTCTCTAAGACCTGGAGTCGAGGAGGGAGGACAGAAGCTGGAAGCCCAGGCTGATAATGATCAACCCACACAAGGGAAAGGAGGAATTCCTGGGTATAGCAGGGCAGGTCAGAGGGTTTCTTCGCTGGGAAATGCCTGGACCACCAATAACCCAGAATAATACAGCACTGAACCTGAAACTCCTGCTGAAAGAACATGAGTTTTCCAGAGCTTCTTTCCAGCCCGCAGCTCATGCCTCCTCCATTCAGAATAGGATACAAGCAGCTCTGGGAGATGTCCAAGTTAGAAGGGAAATCCAAGAATAGCTAAGGGGAGATAGGGACTGCAGCACTCAGCACCTCCACCCTCCTTCCCACTGGCCTGCCTGCCTCGCTCCTGGGTCCAGGGCACCAGATTCACCATCTTCCCCTGAGGCATGAAACTGCTCTGGTATCCAAGAGTCAGGCCATTATATGGCCTGTCTTTCAAGTGGCTTTTTATAGCGTACTCAGGTGATGAGCACGTTGAAACAAATGAATACAAATGAAAAAGGCATCTGCTTTGCCAAGGAAATGATATTTATTAGGAGGTTAAAAGGGAGGCCCACTGGCACATCAGAGAGTTCTCTGGGTGAGCATAGGAAGGAACAGACCCCCAGGAAGGAAAGGGTGAGCAGGACAGTCTGGAGTAGTTGGGGAGGCTACAGGCTTTGGGTGAGTTTCTTGGCTGCCTTACGCGGGCAACTCCAGCCATGCAAATGATGTTTTCAGGCCCCTTTTGTTGAACCAGAGCCAGGTCACAGCTCTGGAGTCCTGGGCCCTGCATCCTTGCTCCTCTGGCATTCCCTAGGTTCTAGCGCACGAAGGAATTGCAGGGCCCACAGCGGGGGCGTGGGGCACAGGGTGTGCAGGGGGCAGGAGGGACACAAGAGGTACAGGGATTGGAGAGACAGGGTCCGATGGGCTTGCTGCACGCGTTGGTCGTGGCACAGGGATTGCTGGGCAGACTGGAGACAAAAGAATGATGTGGAAAAGTGAGTTAAGGGCAATTTTAAAATCATATGCCAGAGATATCCCCAAGGGTAAGAATGCCTGGGTCAAGGGACTTGACCTGGCCTAGAACAGAAAAGGCACAGACTCCCCTGCTACAAAGATAACTAACTCAAATTGTTAATGGTCTCCCTGCCATAGAGCACCAAGGTAGACAGAAACTCTGAAACTCTGATGTCTACTCTCAAATCCATTCATGCCAAACTGATGACATGGGGTGAGTCATTTACCTTCTCCAAGCCCCAGTTTACTTTCCTGTAGAATGGAGGGAATACTGATCCAGCCCACCTGGTGGTAATTATAAGATCAAATCAGGTAGCCTATGGGAATGTACCCACTAGGCAATACAGTATTGTAAAAAGTAAGGCATTGATCACATATCATGCAGTCATGCATATTATCATACTAGAATGCAAAGACTTGGCAGTGCAATTTCAGTTTGTACATCAAACAACTCTTGCTACCAAACCATTTATGTTTTAAATGATGGCCATATTATGTTGTCTGAGTTCTGTTTGAGCATGTCTAGTGTGAAGGCATAATTTCCTTTCCAAGGTATGCAATATTTGCATGGTGTCTAACTGTTACACTCACACGTGCATCATTTCATCAAACACGTCTGCCCATGTACTCACTTGCAGTCCTCGCTCTCCAGCAGGCTCCGGTATGTGTTGATCTCACACTCCAGCCGGGCACGCACATCCAGCAGCACCTGGTACTCCTGGTTCTGCCGCTCCAGGTCACTGCGGATCTCCGCCAGCTGGGACTCCACGTTGGTGATCAGGCTCTGCACCTGGGACAGCTGGGAGCTGTAGCGGGCCTCACTCTCTGTCAGCGTGTTTTCCAGAGAGTCTCGCTGTGGTGGAGAAGATTGGGAATGTCAGAGAGCTGCTCCTTCAAAGGGTTTCTTCACAGGATTACAAGGAAGTCACAAGCTCCAAGAGCTAAGGAGAGTGTGTGGCCCCAAGCACATCCCCGGGACTCTGCCTCCCAAGTTCCCGTCGCTCACCAGCAGGTCTGAACAATACACACCAGGTTGTGCTGGGCCTGCAGCTCGATCTCCAGGGCGTTGACTGTGCGTCTCAGCTCGATGATCTCCGCCTGGTAGGACTGCAGCTGCTCTGAGCTGGATACCACCTGCTTGTTCAGCTCCTCGGTCTGAAACACCCAAGGGGAGAAAGGATCAGACCCTGCCTCCGGGGCCCTGGGGGGCCTTGGGTCCTGAGGGGCCACGTGCTTAGATGCCCACCTGCGTGGTGAACCATTGCTCCACTTCCCTGCGGTTGGTTTCCACCAGGGCCTCATACTGACTCCTGGTCTCGTTCAGCACCCGATTCAGGTCCACAGTGGGAGCAGCATCCACCTCCACATTGAGGCGGTCTCCAAGCTGGCAGCGCAGGGTATTGACCTCCTATGGATGCAGAAAATACAAGAGTTACTATGCTCAGCAAAGAATGAACTCTAAGGAATGGCATTGCTTGTTGAAACCCTGTTAGTCTATTTTCTCGGAAAAGAAACTTTGAGTGGAGCAGTTTGTGACAGCTCAAGGCACTCCATGTGGCATAGCCCCCTCCCCACCATCTGCTGTGCCATGGCACTTGGCTTCAGAAAAAAATCCCAAAAGTTTGCTTGGATGCCACTGAAGGATGAACTAATTGATATTCAACTTTCCCAGTTTACAATTGGCTGTGAGGACCTCAGAATGCCAAAAAAAATAGGCTGTGCAATTTCAGACCATATATCAAAAAACTCTTGCTGTCAAGTAAGAGGTAAGAGCATGTCATGGCCCCTCCCAAGAGAGAGGAAGAATCTCACAAACACTCTTCACCAATACTTTGAAAGAGTAGAGACTCACATTTATAAGGTTTGATATTTTTTTTCTTGGCCTTTGCCAAAAAAAAAAAAAAAAGACTTTACAAAGCAATAACACTGCAATGCTAGGACTCATTCTACAACTATTGATCAACTGCAAGCACATGGAGCTGCTCCGGGCAACTCAAATAATGTGCTAGTTTAAAGTGAAAGATGTTTCCTGTCTGGGAACATGAACAGGTCTTATCTCTCTCCAATTTTTCTCTTACCGTGATGTTTTCAAAGGAAACCCTCAGTCTTGTACTCATACTCTGCATTCTGCTGCCCCAAATCACTAAAGCAACCCTGAGCCAGAGGCTGAGACAGGTTTGTGCATTTCTCATTTCTAGTCTCACCTGCTCATGGTTGCTCTTGAGGCAGAGCAGCTCCTCCTTCAGGGACTCCACCTGGGCCTCCAGGTCGGACTTGCACAGGGTCAGCTCATCCAGGATCCTGCGCAGACCGTTGATGTCCGACTCCACCAGCTGCCGCAGGGACAGCTCGGTCTGGTACCTGCGCAAGGACAGGGTCAGAGTACTACCTGGTAGATCTTCAAGACTCACAGGAATGATTTTTGATAACCTCATGTGCCTTATCTTTCCACTTTCTGTAATGAATAGGCCCAGGAGACAGAGGTTTCTGGAGGCTCCATCAATACCCAATATTCATCCCAAAACAAACAGATTGATGTGAGTCCTCATCCATTTTTGCATTTCTTTGCTTGGTTCTCCCCAGTCCTCTGCAGAATCCTTCACAACAAGTGGGTAGATCTGTTTTCAGATGGAAATCCCTTTTCTTTAAAGATTAAACAGAAGCAATTGACACTAGTGCAAATTCCGAACAACTCACTTGGTTCTGAAATCATCCGCAGCCAGCTTGGCGTTGTCGATCTGCACCACAAGCCTGGCATTCTCAGACTTGGTACACAGGATCTGGGGAGTGAGAGGTGGCTTAGTGAGGACTGAAAATAAATATGAAATCATCAACTTTTTAAAAATGACTTAAGCCATTTTGAAATAAAAGAGGAAGCAAGAATTATGACAGCACAGAAGCAAGAAACACACTTCTCTATCACAGACAGAATCACAGCAAACTCTCTTGCTTGGAGATGACAGCAATGCCGCTCACCTTCTGCTGGAGCTCCTCAATGGTCTTAAAATAGGACTGGTAACTGGGGCACAGCAAGGGCTCCTGCTGCTGAGACCGCTCCCGGATGAGGTTCTCCAGCTCCGCGTTGTCCCGCTCCAGCTGACGCACTTTCTCCAGGTAGCTGGCCAGGCGGTCGTTCAGGAACTGCATAGTCTCCTTCTCGCTACCATTGAAGGAGCCCTCGCAGAACCAGTTGCAGTTGCTCACATTGGCGGGGATGTTGCAGGCCCCGGGCAGGGTGCAGCTGTGGCAGCTGGGGGGCACGCAGGGCCGGGAGGAGCAGCTGGTGCGGCAGCTCAGGCTGGGCAGGCAGAAGTTGTAGGGCATAGTGCTGGGAGGGAGGGAGGGAGTGCCTGGCTGAAGACAGAGTCTAAATTCTCCAAGCCACAGAGCTGTGGGTCTCCTTCCTCTAGGGAGCATTTATATCCCACTGCAGAGGGTGTGGACACAGTATGTAATGTCTTTTTTCTTTTTATTTCTTCACTTCTTTTCAAACGCCCTTTCCTTCAGTCTGTTATTTGCCTTCCTCTGAAGAGTCCCTTCTCCCATAAAATTCTTTACTTGGGCTTCTTGCTAAGTCAGGACTCCTCCGCAGACAGTCCACCCATGAAATCAGAGTTCTGTGGTAGGCCTTCAAAGAGGCTACACAGTCCAGCCCAAGTATCTGCCCTCATTAATTGAGGTGTTGATCCATCCGATGACATTCTTTTGTGTCACATAATTCTGCAGGCCCATAAACATACTCATGTCCTGGTCCACCTGCCGTTTCTAGGGAGAAACACGGATTGATTTGAGGAAGAAGTTGCATTAAGAGGCCACAGTGGACTGTCTTTCCCTCTGCATTTAGAGAAGAATCTTCAAATGATGGAGCATTCTGTGCCTTGGAAGCCTTAAGGTGGATGATTAGAATCAATGGAGGACACGACTGAAAAGATTAGACAGCGATTTGTGTTTTACGGGTCCGTGTAATACTTCCCCCCCACCACCACATATTACTTAAGAAAATTGTAGAGGAGAGAATTTTAAAGGTAGAGGCTTTGATAACTAGTTGGAGAACAAGAAGTTTCTGGGGTAAGAGATCGTTTTGAAAGAGGCTGAAAAGTGCAAACCGAGAGAGCCATAAAAAACACATTTAAGGCTGGGCACAATGGCTCACGCCTGTAATCTCAATACTTTGGGAGGCCGAGGCCGGCGGATCACGAGGTCTAGAGATAGAGACCATCCTGGCCAACATAGTGAAACCCATCTCTACTAAAAATACAAAAAAATTAGCTGGGCATGGTGGCACCCACCTGTAGTCCCAGCTACTCGGGAAGCTGAGGCAGGAGAATCACTTGAACCTGGGAGGTGAAGGTTGCAGTAAGCCGAGATGGTGCCACTGCACTCCAGCCTGGTGACAGAGCAAGACTCCATCTCAAAATACAAAACAAAACAAAAAAAATGCATTTAAATAATCTAGGAAAGATATTCAGGGGCAGAGAGAAAGGAATAAGGAGGTCTTTGTCAAACATTTCCTAAGGTTATCCATAGTATCCGAACAGAGTAGATGGATATGTTAGGAAAGTCAGGAGATAGCCCAAAGGGGCCTCCACGGCCTGAAATCACTTGTAGTTGATCTTTAAACTTCATATGAATTGACCCTATATTCCATAATATATCCATGTTGGCTTTAATCTTTATATATATATATATATATATATTTTTTTTTTTTTTTCAGATGGAGTCTTGCTCTGTCACCCAGGCTGGAGTGCAGTGGAGCGATCTCGGCTCACTGCAAGCTCCGCCTCCCAGATTCATGCCATTCTCCTGCCTCAGCCTCCTGAGTAGCTAGGACTACAGGTGCCCACCACCACGCCCGGCTAATTTTTTGTATTTTTAGTAGAGATGGAGTTTCACCGTGTTAGCAAGGATGGTCTCAATCTCCTGACCTCGTGATCCACCCGCCTCAGCCTCCCAAAGTGCTGGGATTACAGGCGTGAGCCACCGCGCCCAGCCAGCTTTAATGTTTTTAAAAAGCCCCTTTTAAATTTCCAGTTAAACTTTCAAATACTTTGCTTAATTCTCTAAGAGAAATGGATACATCAGGAAGATGTACCATATTCTGTCCTGGGCTTCCCATCTCCAGCCCGAGTGGAGATGCCACCTGCTTTAAGAACCAAAGGTCTAAAGGTACCAAAGGAGGTCTCTGTGGTTGTGTAATTAAATCCAAGGACCTGGGCACCAGGAAAGAAAATGCTGAGCACGGCATGAGCAAGGGGGTTTTGCAAGGCAAGCTGGAGTCATTTGGGGTTGCTTTGGGAGGTGAAGGAAGGCACTAGAAGATCTGAGGAAGAGGTAGCCAAAGTTCTGAATATATAAAAGTTGCAGCACCCCCATCTCCACTGTGGCTTTGGCTGCCAGCCAGAGCTGCCGTTTTATTGACAATTTATTGGAGTGCTTCTCCCATTGAGCTTTCATGATGGTATTCATGTTGCACTCTGCTTGAGTCTCAGATAAAAGGTCCTTCATCTACACTCCCCAAGACCATTATCACTGCTTATTATAATGCCATTCAGATGAAAAGCCCCACAGCACTACAAAGAAGATCTAGACTTATAATAAAATCAATACTTTCGTTTCCTTACAAGACAATTAAAGGGGGAGAAATAGGCGGGTCTACAGACTGTTACTCCTGAGACTCTCCAGAGGAAGGACGCAAGGCTAGGTGGCAGCTGTCTGTGGGGAGCTTCTGTCTCATTTCATCTGGGCTTGGGATGAATGGAAAGGCTCGTGCATCTGATTGATGAGCACTAGCTTGTAGATGACAGCATAGGCCTTCTGCTTCCTAACTCTTGTCAGCCTGCTCCAAGCACTGGCTTTCCAGCAAGCAGCTATTTCCTCAGCCCTTTCTTCTTCCCCAGTCAGGCAGGCTTTAACCTAAGCCCAAACTAAATGCCAGCAGTATTCTCCAAGCTCTTGATTCCTATCTACTGATTGGCTGGCATAGCCTCATGGAGACTGTAGTCAAAGAAGAGTGTTTAGGCTCTAAGTATGAGAAGATTCAAGGATTGTATTGACAAGAGAGCAAACATAGAATTTTTGTACAATGCAGAGAGATCAGAGAAATGGAAAGAGACGGAGACCAGGAGAGACAACAAGAAAAAGAAGAGACAAGGAAAAAAGTTGGGAGGAATCCTCAGCATCATGCAGCAAATCAGACAAAGTTAGCCCAGCTTCCGAGGGGCTAACCTGGAAAATGCAAAGCTGAGAAGAAGCCAAGACAAAATAAGCCAATAGACTGAGGAGTGGCCCACCGTGCTGAGTGTCCTGCAAGGCGTAAATGGAGTTGACTCATAAAAGATCTATGGACACAGGACTACAGCTTCTGAGGCCTCTGAAAGAAGTGACATTGTTCCAAGCTGTCCAGACCGAAGCATCACCTCTGTGATCAAGCTTGAGATTGTTTGTGGCTGAGAAATATACTGCCATCTACACACAGGCAGTGTAAAGTCTAAAAGGAGCGACACTGCCTGTTCCTGAAGGAATAAGAAGTGGGAAGAGAAGAAAGGAGAAATGAAGCAGGGAGAGTCAGTCCTGCACTGGCTGCAGGTCATGGCCAGTCAGCAGCCACACAGAAGATGTAGGAGAGAACAAGAAACCCCTGTTATCTTCTGGTTACTCCTAGATATTCCTTTTTCTACCTGCTGGTTGCCCTGCAGAATGTGAAATGGCACAAGAATTCAAGATGGGGACCACAGACAGACTAGCTGGTGAGTAAACACAATGCTGCCATCTCTTGTGAATCTAGCCTCTTTCTTGCAGTGTTTTCAAGATCTCAATGGGCTTGAGTGAATTTGCTCCTTGAATTAGTGGGGAAAATGGGACCCCAGGGTTGTAAGATCCCCATGACCTCACACAGGCGAGGGGTAGAATTCATGTATTCTCTTGGTTTCCTAGTTGGAATATTTGCAAATTTTTTTCATTCAAGGAGAAATTGAGCAGTCAATGGGCTATCAAACCCACATTCATTATCCAGTTCAATTTAATTCAGAACACATTGATTAGACAGCTTCTCTATGCTGAGCATATGACTAAACAGAAGAATCATAGTTCTGGTGAAAAAAATGTCTTTTTATGAACAATTCCGGCCAAGATGGGTCCTCAATATGTATGAGAAATAGCCAGAAGTTAAGGAAAGGAGATATTTAGAAGGTGTAAGATGGGCATTTAGAAATATGTTTGTATTCAGTGTAAATAGAAAACGGGTACTGGGTGCAGTGGCTTGCATCTGTAATCTCAGCACTTTGGGAGGCTGAGGTGGGAGAATCACTTGAGCCCATGAGTTCAAGACTAGCCTGGGCAATATAGCAAGACCCCATGTCTACAAAAAAAATTAAAAATGAGTTTCAAAATTAGCCGGACGTGGTGGCACATGCCTGTAATCCCAGACACTTGGGAGGCTGAGGCAGGAAAATCTCTTGAACCCGGGAGGCGGAGGTTGCGGTGAGCGGAGATCACGCCATTGCACTCCAGCCTGGGCAACAAAAGCGAAACTCCATCTAAAAAAATAAAAATAAAATAAAATTTAAAAATGAGCCAGGCTTGGTAGAGCACATTTTAGTTCCAGATGCTCTGGAGGCTGAGGCAGGATGATTGCTTGAGCCCAGGAATTTGAGGTTACAGTGAGCCATGATCACACCTCGGCACTCCAGCCTGGGCGACAGCAAGACCCCATCTAAAAATTAAAAATAAATAAAAAGAAAACTGTACATGTGACATTATGGGCATTAGTCACTTGTTGAACATCTACTGTGTGCTTGGCACAGTCCCAGGGGCAGGGGACATGGTGGGGAGTGGGGGTATGTCATGTCCCTGCCCCCAGGAACTCTGAGTCCTGCTGAGCAGACAGGTCCACAGCTAGCATAATGTAATGTGATTGGGCCTTCCCCCAAAAATATCTCCTTCCCCTACCCACTCCATTTCTTCCTACACCCACCCCTGACCCAAACCCCATTCAGGGCATTCCAATCCAGCTCATGATTTTCAGCCACACGGCGAGGGGATGAAGCCATTTCAGGTTATGCACTTGATCCCAAAGAGTTTTTTGTGCTTCGCTCTCTAAGTGACTCATAAGCAGAATTCAGAGAACTGTTCTCATTAGAATCTTGTTCCCTTTAATAATCTAGTCTTCAGCCAGGCAGGGTAATGAATTGTTTTGGCATCTGGTTCTTGTTGCTTTGGAGACCACAGGAGAGGCGGTGGTGATGGCCCATCGCTTCAGCCCTGTGGCATCCCCACAGGATCCATGGGCATCAAGGTAAGTTTCAAAGCAAATGAAAGAGGCTTTTGCCAGGTGCAGCATAGGAAATCATTCCAGGGATGTGGTGTGGGCAGAAAAAGAAAAGCACCTACAGTAAATCAAGCAAATTGACAGAGGAAATAGAAAGGGGAATAAGGCTGGTGGAGGGAAACGGAGGGAGCACGCAGTCCTGCTGGTGAGTGGACACAGTTGTGCCCCCTTGAGACCAGAGAAACCTCCTGAGGGCAGAGGGCCTTGGAGACCAATGTGAATGACTGAGGCAGGTTGTATAGGATATCCAAGAACCAGGGAGGAAGGAAGGGAAAGGGAGGTTTGGATGCAATAACCAGCATCAAACGGGGGAGCCTCCAGGCAATGGCCAAAGGCCAGAAGCTGAGTCTAAAATGCTGATTGGGGACAGCACCGAGAAGGTCACCCCTAGGGAGATCCCAGACCCTAGGATACCTTTCCCGTAAAATCCATCCAGGATTTCAGAGTGGTCTGAACGTGAAGTTTTATCCACATGTACCTCCAGCAAGGCCCTCACAGTTGGGAACAGGGAAAGAGCAGGGAAAAAGAAATGAGAAGACTTGGGGTTGAGTGCGTGGAGCTGCCCCTCACCTGCTGTGAGGTGCAGAGGGGGCATTTCACCTCCCTACACCTGTACTTCTCCCACTGCACGATGGGGATTGTGATGTCTGTTCCCCTCTCTCAAGGTTGTTTGGGGCCTCCATTTGGATACAACACAAAGTACTTTAACAAGTGTTTTGTAAATGGTGAAACAATGAACATCTATAGGGATTCTGTTTCCCTCCTCCTCTTTCTCAATAGACAAGGTGGTTTTAAAATGGCAGGAAGTGAGTTGAGCTTCTTTGTCAACTCCTAGTTTATTAAAATTGCCAGAGTCCTCAAGCTTCAAGATCCTGTGAGATACTAAAGGACTTTTATTCCTTGTACCACCCTTTGTGGCATAAATTCTCAGAAACGTTTCTTCTAACATAAACATACTCATTTCCTTCAAGGAAAGGAATCAAAACAATGGGGTCATTATGATTCTATCATCCTTTTGACAAAATCTGAGACTTGGCCTCTGTAAAGCACAGTAGTTAAGAGCACAGTTGCTGGAGGCAGGCTGCTTGGATCTGAATCCTGGCTTCACCACCTAATAGCTGTGTGACCTTGGGCATGTTACTTAGCCTCTCTGAGTCTTGGCTACTTGTCTGCAAAATGAGAAAACCATAGCATTGGCTTTCTAGGATTGTTGTAATGATTAAATGAGTTTACCCATATGACTGTAGCTATAATTTAGACCAGCGCCTGGCTCATAGTAAGAGCTTGATGGATATATGGTTCTATGACAATGATGATGATGGTGAAGCTATATGATTTGATGATGATGATGATGATGATTCTGGTGATGGTGATGGTAATGATGACCTCTGTGGTTTCCAGGGAAACTCTTCACACACGACAAACACACAGATGTGCGTGCACACACACACATGTACTGTCTCATCAAAGCTAATCTTTTAATTAGAAATGAGAGAGCACTGGATGTGAACTTAAGAAACACAGGTCAATCACCCTGGGGCCCCACTGACTCACTTTATGTCACCAGCAGAATCCCTTAACCACTGAATGACTCACCTTCTCTCTCTCTCCCTTAAATGGGAAGGACAATGCTTGCCTGTGCCGTCATGGTGCAAGAATAAGTGGGTTTATTTTGTTAGACAGCTTTGAACTTGTTGGATGAAAGGAGCTATTTAAGTACAAAGGAGATGAGGGCAGCTGGGTCAGGTACTAAATTAAGACTAATCGAGATGGCTCTTCATTATTGAGAGCTTCTCTTGGGTAGGTGCCCAAGGGGTGTGTCACGTGTGCCAAAACAGTTTTACCACTTGAGAAAAAGAACAGAGGAGGGGAGGGCGTGGCAGCCTCTGACCCTTCTTGGGCTTCCTATGCTGGAAATCCCAGTGTCTCTCAAGCAGATCAGTCCTATGTACATGAGCAGTGACCAACAAGTAGGACGCTGGGCTTGAGAGCAGTTGGAGGCAGAGCAACAAGATTCTCACTTAAGCTCCCTCCAGCCTTGGGGCTCGGGACTGTGGTCACTCCAGCACCACACCGCTGTATCAGGAAGACCTGGATTAAACCAGAACCAGCTGTACTTGTAAATTTTTCAGCAAACTACAGTGATTCAGAGAATTCACAGAGGGAAAGGGAAGACCAAAACCAGCTCCTAAAGTAGATTTGGTGGTTCCACTTCAATGCCTGTGGTTTCACTGATCAATAAGACATAGAAAGCAGGGACGCACAGAGTTAGGGGGGCTACAGCCATCTCAACCAGCCCCATCAGTTCCCTAAGTGTTCCCCTCAACATCCCCATCAGTGATTCTGAAGCCTCTGCTTGTCTCCAAGGATAGGGAACTCACTGCTTCTCTTCTCTGGCCAGCTGTGATGCTGAATTCTGGAGATGTGCTGATTCTCAGCCACGGCTATCAAAATATGGAGCTTTTGATTCATGTTCTACCATCTGCAAATTCCAAGACAGACAGTTGCCATAAGGACTCACCAATGGGGGTTACTGGGGAGGTTGGATGGGTCAGCTTGTTTGGGCCTTTCTAGACTGATAGAAATAACTATCATGTAACATTTTCAGAGTTTTGCAATGTAAAAGAGAAAGGCTCTATCCTGATCTGATGGTATGAGGGATTCCTCACTGGAGGACATATCAGGACGGCAAGGCCAGCCCTTTCTGTAGAGGGTCTAGCTAGTCAAGGGCTCATTCCTCAAATAAACTTCCTAACCCAGTGTTTCTCAAACTTGAACCAACATCAGAATCACCTGCAAGTCATGCTAAAGCAGAATGCTGGTTCAGTAAGTCAGGGGTGGTGCTCAAGAATGTGCATGTCTAGCAAGTTCTCAGGTAATGCCAGTGCTACCTGCTGGCGGACCACGCTTTAAGAACCACTGTCCTAAACCTTCTCATGTTTAATTTGTTTCCCCCTCAAAGCTTCCAAAGAACGGGCTTTGGATCTGGTTCAAAGAGACTAGGTTTCAAGTCTTGACTCAGTAACCAACTGAGAATAATAACAGCTGCTTCTTCTTTGCAGGGCTGATGTGGTGCCCTGTGACACAATGTCGGCGAAGCCCCAGCCAGTGCCTTGTTCATAATGGGCATGTCATCCTAAAAGCTCAATTTAAGTTACCTGTTCTGGGGCTTCTGATTCATGTTCTACTGTCTACAAATTCCAAGCCAGACAGCTGCCAGGACTTACCAGTGGAGCTTACTGGGGAGCTTGGACGGGTCAGGTTGTTTGGGCCTTTCTAGACTGATGGCGATTACCATCAGTTAATATTTTCAGAGTTTTGCAACGGTCTGTGGTGCCGCAGATTTGAGCTCTTCCTTTACACAAGGACCAGGTGGCTTATCCAGATAAAAGGGAAATTTTACTTAGCGTCTATATTTTAAAAGCTCTATCTGTAAATCTGTCTCCAAATACACTTGGTGAGGTCCAAGGTTGGGTATCTCTCCTCTGTGCCACTTTGCCGCAGTCCCATTTTTAACTCTAGCCTTCACTGGCTTTGCCATCTCCCAGAACCACTCTGGCGAGCCAGCCACAACCCCCGTCTACAGAAGCATGTGGCTCAAGGAGTTCCCAGCAAGGCTCTCAGCATGGGACGGAGATGCTGAGGCTGGACTGCACTGGGCTCATTCTGCTGCAGAAGCGAAGTTTAATAGCAAAATAAAAACAAAAGTGCCTGCCCCATCTCAGAGAGATCAGGAGGCAACAGAAGAGAGAAAATGGAGCACTTGGGACACCTTGAGGGGAAGAAACAAATCCAGCCATAGGGGCTGAGCTGCTGGATTCAAACACCTATCCACAGAGTGGCACTGTCTCTCTTCAGTCTCCTGCCTGGCTGGCCAGGGAGGCAAGGCCCAGGTTAGCAGGCCTGCAGAGCAAAGCCTAACGAGCTGAAGACACCTCCCCTTTCCCAGCACCTCGGGCTGAGGAGTGTGTCAGTATCCAGTTGATGAGCAGGGCCCATGGGTGGCCCGGGAGCAGGGGGCGCAGGCTGCAGGGGCTGGACTAGGAGTGCTGAAGGCTGGGGTTGCACACGGGTTGCAGGGAAATCTGCATAGAGAAAAAAGGTGTTTGAAACATTGGCATGAGAAGTATGTGAAAGACAAAAGTATATTATAGACACTTTAGAATTAAAGTGCAAAAGAGGACCTTAGACCTTAGAGGTCCCTCTAAGCCTGAAAGGGGCAATGACGTGCCCACAGTCCACAGTGGAGCTGGGGCCAGAACTCAGTGTACCTGTGTGCCAGGCCAGGGTCACGTCCCATATGGAAGGAACACAGCAGAGAGAAAGGCAGAAAGGCCAGAGGAACAAGAATGGTCCAGATGTCAGCCACTGATTCCATTTAAACACAGCCCCTCATAGTGTTCCTTAGTGCTTAAAGGGGTATATCAGCCCTCTGATGCTTTTCACAGGGCTATTGTGGAACTAAAATGAAAGAGTCAGTGCACATGCCCTTAGCAATACTTTAAATGCTATGAGCACAAAGAATACTCGTTATTGGAATACTTCTCCTGGAGAGAATTTAGCAAAACCTGAATGTGCTGGGCATTCAGTATTTTAGCCCTCTATGGGAGTAGCCAGCAACTGGGAGCACAACGTGGTCAGCAAAACAAATGCCATGACCTGAAAACTCCTGTACACCCTCACCTACGCCTAGGCAGGCATTAGCTCACCAGGCCTAGTGGTAGCAAGTTTGTCTCCAAAGATGGGATCTGCAATGCCACCCCCACCTGGCCTCCAGAGCTCCTTTTAGGTCATTCCCAAGAGAAGTTATCTGTTTTTGCACACGGTGTTGACATAGACAACAGGGTACGTACTTGCAGTCCTCACTCTCCAGAAGGTTCCGGTATGTGGCAATCTCATTCTGCAGCCGGGCCTTCACATCCAGCAGCACCTGGTACTCCTGGTTCTGCCGCTCCAGGTCAGCCCGGATCTCAGACAGCTGTTCCTCCACATTGTTGATGAGGCTCTGCATCTGGGCCAGCTCTGTGCGGTAGCGGTCCTCGGCTTCACACAGGGAGTTCTGTAGACAGTCCTTCTATAATATCAAAGAAAGGAGGAAGCAAGTTAAAAATCATGGATCTCCAACCTCTTAAGATTGTGACACCCCAAGACATTGCCAGGTCCAGAGAGCAATCTAACTCCCTTTAGCTGTCTTCAGCCAGAATAACTAACACACTTCATGGTAGACCTTTAAGATCAGAGCCCTCTGACCTAAGTTAATGTTGATTCACTCAGCATCCACATCTACAGGGAAGTGCTTCCAAAAGAGTTGAAACCAAGGTTTAAGCTGAGTCCGTGGTTGGTATTCGAGGCCTGTACTGACCCCAGAGAGCTACTCATGGGTAGTGGGAGCCAAGCTGGGTCTCCCATGCGTGCAGAGGGACTCACCAGTGTGTGCTGAGCCTGAAGCTCCACCTCCAGGGCGTTCACCGAGCGTCTCAACTCCAGGATCTCTGACTGGCAGCACTGCAGCTCCTCAGAGCAGGACATGGCCTGCAGGCTGATGCCTTCAGACTGGAGCATAGAGAAACATGGTCACCTACCTGCCCAGATGGAGGCCAATCCCCACTGCTTAGCAGTCCCCCTCACCTGGGCTTGGAACCACTGCTCCACATCCTGGCGATTGGTCTCCACCATGGCCTCGTACTGGCCTCACGTCTCCCCCAGAACTCTACTCAGGTCAATGGTGGGCTCAATGTCCAGCTCTATCCGGAGCTTGTCTCCCAGCTGACCCCTTAGAGTGTGGGCTTCCTGTAGGCATCAGAGGAGTATGACCCGCCTGCAGGGCCCCCAACTGCCCTTCACCCAAACTCTCAACTCCCACTTTCCATCCTCCCCAGTAATTTCCCTGTGCTCCTCTGAAGATAAACCGCTGCCTGCACCAGCCTAGCAGCTTCCAGAAGCTGTGGATGAGAAGCAATCTCCCACCAAAAGCCAGAGCTCACCTGCAAAGCTTCAATCCCAAGCAGAAGGAAGCCTCCGTTTTTTCCCCCCAGATGAGCCTGAATTCACCTCCAGAAAGTCTCAATGCATCACACCAAGGGTCACACACCTGCTCATGGTTCTTCTTGAGGCAAAGCAGCTCCTCCTTCAGGGACTCCAGCTGGGCCTCCAGGTCACACTTGGCGAGGGTGAGGTTGTCTAGCACCCTGCGCAGGCCACAGATGTCAGCCTCCACCAGCTGTTGCAGCGAGCGCTCTCTCTCGTACCTGTAACAGGGAAAGTGCAGGAGTGACAGTTAGAGGGCAGGAAGGGGCACCAGGACATGACTCCCAGCTCGCAGCTGTAAGTCCACTGGCCTGCCCTTTGCCATCTAATTGTGAGTTGGCTTATCCTGTGTAGTGTGCTCAAAGCCCAGAAAGCAACAGGATGTTCCCCACTCAGTCAATACTAAGCACCTGAGATGAACCAAGGGGAGCAGCTGGTACTGAGGATACTGTGATGGACACACAGCCAGCACCTGCCTTTACACACAATGGCCCAAAAGGGAGGTGGCAAAGTAACCAGGCATTTGCAACACAGTGCAATCACTGCAGGCCCCTCTCTACAAGCCCCATACCCAAAGGGACCCTGGATTCCCTATTAGAGTAAAAGCCACATTGCCAGCATGAGAGGAAGGAAATGGCTTTCTTTAGCTCTAGAAGAGTGAGACTTGCACAGTGCCCCGAAGAAAGATGATAAAACACAATGCCCTTCCAGCACCCAGGGTAGACCCTCCTCAGGTGGTGTCAACCCTTTGACTTTCACATGTTTTCATCTTAGGCTATGGAGCATGATTTCTGCTATGAATTATCAGCACTCACAAATTAATCAAGCTGCAGCACAGAAACATATCCTTATTAAGGCAACAGTTTCACAGGAAATTGCTTCAAGAAAGGAAAATTTGGTACAAAATTTAAGGCCAAGTCCCAGCTCTGCCACTCGGTACCCACATGGCTTCTGGCAAGTCACACCAGCACCCCAAGCCTCAGGGTCCCCACCTGTGGAGGAGATTCTATCCCTGCCCGCCTGCTTCACAAGTTGCTTACCAGGTGGATGATGCATTCTAGCACATGTTGTAAACTGTTAATGCTAAACCACTGGAGAGCGGATAGTTTTTCAGGATCTTGAGCTTAATGCCCTTTGTTCTCTTCTGCTATAACTACTGGGTTGGGGTCTGGGTCAATGACATCCGATGCCACATGAGACAGAAGCAGCCAACTTGGCATTGTCCCATCCCCATCCAACCCCAACTCTCACTTGGCTCCTTCCCATCCCTGTCCAACCCCAACTCACTTGGTCCTGAAGTCATCTGCAGCCAATTTGGCATTGTCTATTTGCACAACCAGCCTATTGTTCTCCGATTTGGTGCACAGAATCTGGGGTAAGAAAGTAGGCTCAGTAAGTGACTTACTGATCCCAGAGACACCTATAGCCTCAGGTGAGAGGAAGTTTTATTGGCTGAAGTTGAACCTACAGCATCCGCCTGGACAACACAAACTCCCAAACGTGCAAGAGATGCTTTTGTGGTGTGGGAAGGAAGATGTGCAAGAGACTTCTTGGAAAAGGATGAAGACATAGAGTCAAAGGAACCAGGAGATGGAAGACAGTAGCAAACTGAACATATAACAAAGACTTGCTTTCATTTTGCCAGATATGATGCTTAGCCCAATATAAATAAGAAGATCTGGCCGGACGCAGTGGCTCATGCCTGTAATCCCCGCACTTTGGGAGACCAAGGCAGATGGATCACCTGAGGTCAGGAGTTCAAGACCAGCCTGGGCAACATGGTGAAACACCATCTCTACTAAAAATATAAAAGTTAGCTAGGAGTGGTGGCGCACACTTGTAATCCCAGCTACTCAGGAAGCTGAGACATGAGAATCACTTGAACCTGGGAGGCAGAGTTTGCAGTGAGCTGAGATTGCACCACTGCACTCCAGCCTGGGTGACAGAGCGAGACTTTGTCTCAAAAAAAAAAAAAAAAAAACTAGGCCACAGAACAGAGGACTGGCTATGAATGTTTTAGATAAAGTAGGATCTGTTCTAAAGAAGATCTTTCCTCTGGTTGTCCAACCTCCCCACAGGTCTTCTCTGAATCTAGCCAGGTTTCTGTAACCCCTATTTTGACATTCCTTGTCTTCTTGTCTCCAAAACTAAGATGTAGGCTCTTCAGAAGCTTTAACTGGATAATCAAAGGTGACAATAGATATGCATAAGAGGTTGATGCTGTTGTGTGGATAGACACTGCCTTGGCAAGGATGTTAGGAAATATTCCTTTTGCCCTGTTTACTGCACCAGAAGTTTCAGTATACTGCAACTTTCATAAACTCAGCACGGTTTTTGCATGGTTTTCATGAAAATAGCATGATTTTTGTGACTACGATTTAGGAATTTTATGTGCTGAAGTTAAGTAAGCATGAACTCAGAATCCTAGAGTGATAAATTCTACATCTCATCCTTTACAAATTCCCATTCACCTTCACTCAAGAGATTCTCTTCCCACATTAAAAGAAAAAAAAAATCCACTGCTGACCCAGGGTCAGTAATCTTTTTTTGTAAAGGGTCAGATAGTAAATACTTTAGGCTTTGCAGACCCTACAGTCTCCATTACAATGACTGAACTCTGCCACTGTAGTACAAAAGCAGCTGCAGACAACATACAAATGCATGAGCATGGCCATGAACCAATAAAACTTTATTTGCAAAAGCAGGTGGTGGGCCGGATTTGGCCGACAGGCAGTAAGCAGATTCCTGACCCCTGATCTGGTGCACCGCAAACCTCACCTTCTGCTGGAGCTCCTGGATGGTGCAGAAGTAGGACTGGTAGTTTCGGCACACGCTGGACTCGTGGCACTTGCTCCTCTCATGGAGTTTGGTCTCCAGTTCTGCATTGTCCCACTCCAGCTGGCGCACCTTCTCCAGGTAGTTGGCCAGGCGGTCGTTTAGGAACTGCATGGTCTCCTTCTCGTGGCCGTTCAGGGTGTTTTCGCGGTAGGCCCCACAGATTCCGATGTTGCCAGGAATGTGGCAGGTCCCTGGCAAGGGACAAGTGGTGTGGCAGGTTGGGGGCAGACAGAGGCTGAGGCGGCCCAGGGGAGTCGACCCCACACGGACTCGATTGGCATGTGCCACATTAGCCAAGAGGCACAGAGAGGCAGCGTTGGCCTCTGAAACCTGCCCGCTGAGGAGGGAACTGCAATGGTCAGAAGTCATGGTGCTAAAAGGCAAGATCCTGCTTTGCCCACAGTTGGATCTGCTTGACACCAAAATCTTCCTTCTCCTGTAGACCTTATATAAGCCTTAGTGGGTGTTGGTGCAAGAAAACTGGCATTTTCCTCATTAATATTTATGTCAATTGTTATACAATCACTCTATTAGTCAGTGGTTTTTGTTTCCTATAAAGAGTTAATGAGCTCATGAAAGAGGCCCTAACCTCTTTCTTCCCATCACTGCAGGGTCCTGGAAAACAGAGAAAACAAGGTCTTCTTCAAGCAGCCCACTTTCTGTGGCTGTGAAATCTTTCCCCTTCTGTCAGCTTATGTCTATGAAATAATCAAGAACTAAAGGCTCCTAAAATGTCCTGCAAGTCTCTCTCACTCCCACATTCTTTTCCTACCTCTGAATGTTCCCAATGCAGCAAAACCTAAAATATTAGTCAATCAGGCACATTGAAGAAAGGGAAAAATCATGATTTGTTTGTTTTGATAGATATTTGTAGAGTGCCCAGTGCGGAACAAACGCACATCTATGCTGTCTTGTAAGAAGGAGATTTTAGATTTTAATAAGAAAGATAAAAAAGTAAATGATCTTGATATTATGAAGACAGTAAAAGGAAGTATTTTTTTTTTTTTAAAAGACAGCTGCAAAGATTTCGAGGTGGAAGAGAGCTCACTGAGAGACCGGAAAAAGACTTCATGGAGTAGGGGATTTTCCAAATATGTTTTGAATGATATTTTTTATAAAGGGTTGGGGAATGAGCTTCTCTCATAGAGAACAAAATAAACACAATCAAACATTTGGAAAATGGAAAATAGTCTAGTTGTGTTGGTATTTATAATGGAGACATTATCCCCAAGCCCCGGAAAGTTGCATTGAGTCCAGGTTGTGAAAAGTCTTAAATACCAGGACCATGGTCTTGAGGCAAAGGTGAGTGAAAGGTAGGGATCTGCCCTGGAAGACGACTTTCAAGTATAAGGAAAAATAAATAGCCAGCTTCCTTTTGAAGGAAAGTAGCAGAAAAAAGGTGGAAAGTTCCTTTACACAAATTATTAGAAAACTGAAAATGAAACCTAAGTTCAAAATTAATCTTGGTGTTTGAAAACTAACACAGTTTTTAATACTCCTTGGGTTAAATAAGAAATCTAATTTAAAAATTTTTAAGTATTTTGAACTGAATTAAAATCAATACACAACCTATAAAACAGATGTTGGCAATTAAGACTTTCCCTGTGCATACGTGAAACAGATAAGCGTTTTGGGAGTGAGAAAAAAACGGCTCATAATAAAACTGATGGTTTGCAATTTTCAGAAAATAAAATTATGCTTCTGTGTACTGGAGTCTACAGGCTAATTAAGGCAGGCAGTGATTAACACTTTATGGTGTCTGTTCTCAGGGCCTCACCCACCTTCCCAGGCATCTTTCCTTTCTATTGACCCTTTCACCAGACTGAGTCCCTCATCACCCTTGTTTACAGAAGATACGTACTCAAGAACTTTGATCTTTCATCTTTTGAAATATTTTTGCATTTCTTTGAAATGCATCTACCTTGATTATCCATTGCTTGGGAGACTCTAGAACAAAATTTAAATTTCCTTAATCTTCAGACACACTCAGAGCATCAGAACCTTTATGGCCTCCCCTATTTCTAAAACAAATAAGCCAGTGGCCATTTGTTCAATACACCCTGGAAAAGGGCAGCTAGCCAGCTTCCAGTCTATGCTAACAAAGATGCTAATTTGACCGCATTCCTAAGATGAATGAATTCACCACGAGGGCCCTTGAAGCAGCAAGTGTGTTTCAGCTGGCACTACAACATAGCATCTCCAGGACGAAAGGGACTTCAGGGTCCTCTAGTCTAGTACCCATTTGCATTAAATCCCTTCGATGACCTTCCTCCAACTAGTCATCTAGTCCACCATTTTCCAGGAGAGCTTACACCATCAGTTCCTGTGGCTTACAAACAGCTTCCCAGGCTTTGTGCAAGACACTGGTATCCAGAAAATTAACAGCAGCTAGCTCAGCCTTAAGGCACTCACATTATAGAGAATTTTTAGAAAGTCTTCACAAATCTACCTTCGTGTTACCTCTCCCTATAGCTTTTGTTGGGTCATTCATTCATTCATTCAACAAATAGCTATGAAGTACCTACTCTGTGCCAACCAGGGGCTGAGCTGGAGGCTAGTAATACATTGGCAAGTAAGTCAGAGAGTTGGCCCTTTAGTTCATTTACTCTCCAGTTCTCCCCCATGGTGTCCCATACAGGATAAATCTAATCATTCTGCCATATTCTCAGCTCTTTGTGGCAGATGTGAGATTTCTTACTCCTGGTTCTGCATTCAGCATGGTTCAAAGTCCCCTTGCCATCCCAGGAATGTTTCCCTGGACATGCTCCATGATGTAACAGTTACTATCACTCTTAAGTGCGGGCTGTACAGTGGGATTTCTGATTAGTTTAGATTGAAAGGCTGCCAGTAGATGGCCAGAAAACCTTCTTGCCCAGGACTTTTGTGTAAACCATGCTGGAGCCACTGGCTATTCAGCCATGACAACCAGCCAGCCACCAGTTGGTCCCATATACAGTCAATGAGACGCATGGGGACCCTTCTCTGTAACTCTATACAGATGTGGGTGATATTCTCCAAGGCATGATTTGCCTTATCCTGGTGACTTACTCTGAATGTCTGATATTCCTGAACTCCTGTTATACCAAAGCCCTTCTCAAGGGGATGGGGGATGCAGAGATGAAAAGGAGAAATTTCCACCCTCAAAAAGCTGAGAGCAGAAAAAGAGGTCACGTAACTCAGTGGAGGGAGAAGTGACTGGAGCTTAGAGATATAGAGGGGCCATCAAAGACACTTTGTCTGGAACTTAAGATTGGGAAGACTTGGATGGGCAGGAAAGATGGGAGACAGTTTTCCAGAAAAAGAGGATGAACAGGCCAGGCGCAGTGGCTCGCGCCTGTAATCCTAGCACTTTGGGAAGCCGAGGCAAGCGGATCACGAGATCAAGGATCGAGACCATCCTGGCCAACATGGTGAAACCCCATCTCTACTAAAAATACAAAAATTTGCTGGGTGTGGTGGCACACGCCTGTAGTCCCAGATACTCGGGAGGTTGAGGCAGGAGAATTGCTTGAACCTGGGAGGTGGAGGTTGCAGTGAGCCGAGATCGAGCCACTGTGCTCCAGCCTGGGTGACAAAAAAAAAAAGAGGATGAACACAAGAAAACACTCAGAAGCAGAAGTGGGCTCAAGAGAACTGGGTACAACTTCAGAAATGCAACAGCCAACAACAGGCCTGTCCCAAGTACTGGACCCCCAAAGAAATGAGTTTGAATGACACAAAATGTCAACCCAAAGAGCCAAATTGCATTTCTGAAGCCTGTAAGAGTGAAGTTTGTACTCCTCTATGCTAAAAATATTGTCTGCTTCTATTTTCATAACATCTCCACCAGTGGTCAAACTTTAACCAGCATCAGAATCACCCAGAGGGCTTGCAAAAAATGCAGGTTTTCAGGCCCCACACCACAGTTTCTGATTCAAGCGGTCTGGGGTCAGGCCAGGGAGTCTGCATTTCTAACAAGTTCCCACATGACACTGATGCTGCTGGTCTGGGGACCACCCTTGGAAGACGGAATCACTGCTCCATAGCAATAGACAAGTTTTGTGGTGACTTCATCCTAGGTGAATGAAGCACCAGGTCACAAAACAGGATTTGATGAATTCAAGAGGAGCCAGTGTTTGGATTACTGTACTTCAAATCAGTTAGCATGCAGTTTTCTCCAATGTAATAAGCAAGTTCTGTTTGTTTTCCTAGTTTGCTCTTCTTTGCTGAGGTTTGTTTTAGGAGGATATCTAGGATGAAGGAGAGAGGAGAGACAAAAAGGAAAATATGCACACTGTGTTGCTTATGCCTGTGGGGAAGAGGCCAGTCCACGCGAAAAACAATGTTCATAAAGGACAGATAAAGGTCACATGAAGTAATATCTATTGACATCTATTATGTGAAGGGAACCGAGCTTGGCACTTGGTATACAATATTTTACTTAATTCTCTCTCACACATTCACAAATCTATACACGCAAATTAGATAGACACCTACTATGTGCGGCCTACTGTGTTATTATTTGACCACCTACTATGTGCCACCAAGTATTATACCATATGCTTCCCATATAGTTGTGTCTTTTCATCCTTATAACCACACTACAAAGCAGTTACAAGTATCCCACTGTAGAGTAAAGAAAACAAAGCTCAGAGCAGTTAGGGATGTTGTCTGAACTCACCAAGTTGGAATGAAAAGTATGGGCCTTGAAATGTCAGCCCAGGTCTGCCTGACCCTGAAGCCCAAGTTCTTTCTGCTCTGCCCAGTGACCCAGAAAGGGCCAGATAGTGGACTCTGGACTGAACACAAGGCCAACACTCCTAGACGCCAGCTGTCCAACTGGATTTATTCAACAAATAGCTATGAAGTTCCTGCTCTGGGCCACACAACTTGCCTGAAGAGCTAGAAACAGAACAGAGTCCTCTGGAGGTTTTTGAGCAGATGAAAGAGAGAATCAAAGGAGAAATTTTAGAAAATTAATCCAGTGCCTGTCAACCTAAAATAATCAAAAGGCTCAGGATCTGGTTAAAAAGAGTTTTTTCAAGCATGGCATGTGAGAGCCGTCTTCTGGGGACACACGAACACCGAAGAATGGCAATCAGTACTCCCAGTGCAGGGGGAAAATGAAGATCACTTATATAGGCAAAAATAGAGGTGCTGAACAGAATTACGACGTTTTCCACACAAAGGCTAGTGTACAGATGTAAGATCTGATTGACCGCTATTGATTACACTCTCATGGGGTTGCTTAACATTCTATTGTAAAAAGGTAGCAGTCACAAGGGCCTCCTTCTCCAATGTCATTTACTCTAGGTTTGAATACAGACAAGGGAGTCTGGTTACTATGCAACATGTCAACACACAAGTCAGGAAGCAACTGTCTTTGCAGGAGAGAAGAAGAACAGCTATATCGCATGACCCAGTTTCCAAGGCTTAATTTTTCACTTCGGCATAATAAATTTAGAAAGCCCTGACATTTCATTTTCTTTTTTGTTTGTTTATTTGTTTTGTTTTTGTTGTTGTTATTGTTTTAGACGGAGTCTCGCTCTGTCGCCCAGGCTGGAGTGCAGTGGCGTGATCTCAGCTCACTACAACCTCCGCCTCCCGGGTTCAAGTGATTCTCCTGCCTCCGCCTCTGGCGTAGTTGGGATTACAGGCATGTGCCACCATGCTTGGCTGATTTTGTATTTTTAGTAGAGACGAGGTTTCACCATGTTGGTCAGGCTGGTCTCAAACTCCTGACCTCAGATGATCCACCTGCCTCGGCCTCCCAAAGTGCTAGGATTACACGCGTGAACCACTGCGCCCGGCCCCATTTTCCTTTTACCACTGCCCAGTGTGCACCCTGGAGTGGGAACACTCCATCTTCATTTCGTATGCTCTCTAGCATGCAATACAGTGCCTTGTACATAATATTTACTCAATAAATAGAACACAAAAGAGTGAAGGGCTGGTGGTGTGTGCAGAACAAACCTGGCACAGAAGAGAGCAGGAGGAGGCTCTTACAAGAATCCAGGCAGGATGTGATGGAACCCAAAACCAGCCACCAGCAGTGCTGAAGTAAAGGAAGGCACAAAGGACATAGATGCTGCAGAAGGACTCTACAAGACAGGGAGAATTACTGTATATGGGGTCAAAGGAGGAAGAGAAACCGAAAGTGGCCCCAAGGTCACCCCCAAGTTCCTAGGACAATTGTGTGCTTCAAGGGAGCTGAGAAGTCAAAGGAAAGAGCTGGCTAGAGCGGGAGAAGCTGCATTCAAGTTTGGAGAGGATGAGTGTGAAATATAGCTACCTGGGACTGGCCACTAGGGGGTCACAGACAAAGGCCTGGGGCCAGGGCAGAGCAGCCTGGGTCACTGAGAAACCCTCCTCCTCAGAAGCTAAAACGTATTACACCTGGCAGGCAGGTAAAGCAGGTAAGCTTAGCCCAGGGGCTCATACTTGAATAGGAACGGTGATTCTAACTGGGAGAGTCTGTGTATCACCCCCTAGCCCCAGTGGGGAGGTGATGTTTGGAATATCTAAAACAGATGGCAGGGAAGTTATTTTAGTTAGAGGAAGTGTCATTTGAAAACAAGCATAACCTGTATTTGAAATGAGCTGTCTTTTAGTCATGATACGAGTTTGGTATTTACATTTTTGAAAGTTAAAACATTAAGTGAGAAGGCAAGATATCTTTACATTTATTAAGTGGGAAGGCATGGTTATGAAACACTGAATTAGGTAGAAAAAAGATACATTAAAAATGGTTTAATTTAAACAGGCTGAGAACTTCATGAGCTTCAAGCTGAGCTCATGAAGATTATAAGTGGCCATGAGAACAGATGAAATTGATTTTGTTCTTGGTCAGGAAGACAAAGAGAAGATGCTGGGGGGAAGGAGGGGAGGGTGGGGCACACACCATCAGCCTTAGGTATCACATATCATCGTCTACAAAAAAACTATCCAAATAAAAAATGCTCCTGTTCAGGAAAGTCCAGAAATTCACTTCAATCTTCTTGGCTTCCCAGTGTAGACAGTGGTGGGAGCAGGAGTGGGCCCTTCCCCAGAGCTCTCTCGGTGACTGCAGTGTCCACCCCAGCAGCCTGTAGCTGTTTACCCTTTCTCCTTTCCACTTTGCTGGAATTTGTGAGAAATGGCATTTGGTGTCAAAAAATACATAAGTGCATGGGCCTCATGAGCCGCAACTGATGTTACCACGTGAAGGCTGGGAAGAAATATCACACATCAGCCCACAGGCAGTGCAGGATTGGTGAACTGAAGAGGGACGGGCTAAGCACTAGGTGGCTCAGAACCAGATGTGGCCCCCAGCCAAGGGAGCAGAAGCCTCAGGAGAAGGAAAATAAGAGACACCTGGTTGCAGTTATTGTGGCCAAAGCAAAGCCTATTGTGCCACATTCAGGGCTATATCCATCCAGTCGGTGAGAGTATGTGAGGCAGAGAGGCCAGGGACAGGCACAGAATGTCCAGGCGGGAGAATCACTTGCAAGAAAAGATGTCTGGGATTTGGTACCAGAGGGAGCCCTAAGCTCTCAGGCTAGGATAACGAATGTGAGTAAAACCCCAGGGTCCAGGTGTCCTGACTGCACTGGTTACCCACCTGCCAGCCTCTAGCCTTCATTTTCTATGTACCTGAGTGGCACCTCCTGTCACACCTAGCCATGGGACCTCATAGGTAGAGCTTGTTAAGGGTGTGACCTGGCCAAGAAAGGTGGGGACAGGTCGGATCTCCACAACCCCATCACACTGAGGGTCAGGGAGGGTCATGGCCACTTCTTAAAACATGACTCTTGTGGGTTCCTCATTAGAAGAGCCCACCAAACAGTCTTGTCCTCTGACAGCCCAATGAATGCTTTTTTGGATTCAGTTAGGCTACTTGGAGTGAGAAACAGGCCTAATGACAACAGAAGATGGCTTTTATTATTGCATGTACATGAACAAGGAATATGGCCAAACTTTCCAGCCACCAACGTAGAATCTAGGGCCCCGATGCTGAGAGTGGGTTCTGCTACTATCTCTTCAGCTCCTTTTTCTCTCTGGGAGGAAGAGATTGTACCTGCTGGTTCCTAGGGAGCCCCAATAAACCAATATCCACTGAACACCTTCTAGATGCCAGGAACATTAGATGCATTACCCCTCAACCACAGTGAGAGGGAAATACAACTATCCTACTTCCACAAACAAGGAATAGGTCTCAAGAGAATGCAGTGACCTGGCCAACTTCACTCAGCAAGGTGGGTTCAAATCCCACTTCAGAGTCACCAAGGTGGGATTTGAACCCAAGTTTCCCTGACCCTAGAGAAGATCCACCTCCACCACACTATGCCACCATGAAGAAGGACCAGTTTTTCATTGCTCTTTGCACCAGGGCACATGGACAAGCTGAGACCCAAGAGTTTCATTCTTCTGGACACACTTGGTGCTTGCCGTAAACTGACTAGCATGGCGTGGGAGGCAGCAGCCTCTCTGGGCTGCTCCTCCACCTGCTTATAACTGCATCTGGCTGTGAACCACCTTGGCCAGTGCCAAAGCCACATCTGAGAGGCAGGCAGGGACTTGGAGTGCTCTGATGGCAGCGGCAGCCCTCACCGCCAGCACCTCCAAGACAGCAGCAGAATAGACAACAGAAACATCAGTGGCAGCATCTCTCTAGAGAAAACTAAAGCCTAGAAGTGCCCCAGGACCAAGACCCCAGTCTCCAGTGCCCAATCTGGGCCTCTGCATTTGGGAGAGTGGGCGAGAATTCCATGGCTCCATGAAAGGGGCCAACTGGAGTGAGAGGAAAAACTTGGCAACTTGGCTCAGACAATTCTCAACACGACCTTCCTTTGACGATATTAGAATGCTAAGTGATGTGATTTTGCTCTTGGACAAAATAACAAGAGGCTGAAGATGCCAAAAGCATGGTAGGGACATGTTAGCTCTGAGCTGTTCTGAAAGAATTCAAACTTGGCAACTGGCATCACTTCCTTCCACCAGTCTATAGGGATCCCTGGGAAAGGTGAATACACATCCAACATCAGGAAGGGACCTTCATCCAGAGGCCCCAGAGCACCCCAGGGAGCTCCTGGAAGCAAGATGTCAGAGCCAGTGAGGACACAGGACCTGACGACCAGGACTCTCCGACATCTCACATACAACCAACACCGGGGAGACAGCACTTGGTGCAGGAAGGAGGTTTATTGACCATTTAATGCAGGGAACCCAGTTACATTTTTGGAGATTCTGAAACACTGGAATAGAACTAAAAGTACCAAGAAGAGACACCAGGAAAAATAATTGCTTTCATGGAAGATAATTACAACATTTTAGCAACAACAAAAAATACAGCTTAGAGGCATAGGCAGGGAGCCACTCCTTGGAAGTATCTGCTACCGGTTGATTTAGGGAAAATGCCTCAGTGAGTCTAGTCTTGAAGGAAGACTGGGCAAGGTGAGGGCACTCCTGACCCCAGTGCAACCAGCCTCAATCTCCTAACTCGGGCCTTCAGAATCATCTCCCCATGCTGGCTCCATGGCCAGAGGGAGACCCACCGGTGACAGGGCCACAGCTTGGACAAGAAGTACAGGAGGCAGGCGTGGAACAGGGATTGCAGGGGAGTCTGCAGGGAGAGAAAGAAGAGTTACATTAAAAAGATGTCTCAGTGATTGATGGACAAGGGTAAGATCAGGGTGAAGGCTGGGCCTGCCACCAACAAGGCACACAGACCAGAGAATCTATACCAACAGTTCTCTCATCTGTGTCTTTCTACATCCAGGAATCCTTGGGGAAGATTTGGCTTAGGGACCTGGCTATCATTTAGAGAACATTTTCTCAATAATCCAGTCTGCACAGACCAGGAGAGGTTAATGAGTCACTGAGCAAGAGAGCACAGGAAGGCTTGTTTGTTAAGATGATATCTTCTGCAAGCACTTCCATTACCTCTGAGGAATTGCCTGACAGTCATGTGTGTGGCTTAGGAATTGCCCAGATCACACGTACTTGCAGTCCTCGCTCTCCAGAAGGTTCCGGTATGTGGCAATCTCGTTCTCCAACCGGGCCTTCACGTCCAGCAGCACCTGGTACTCCTGGTTCTGCCGCTCCAGGTCGGCCCGGATCTCAGACAACTGCTCTTCCAAGTTGCTAATGAGGCTCTGCATCTGGGCCAGCTCTGTGCCGTAGCGGTCCTCCGCTTCACACAGGGAGTTCTGCAGACAGTCCTTCTGTAATGGGAAATAATGGGGTAAGAGATCCAGGTGCCCCAAAACTCAGCAGTGAAAATCATGACCAAACTCATCACACATAGGGCAAATTCCAAAATGTCATAGGACATTCTCAGAGCTCTGGAGAAATCACTGTCAACATGACCATGACTTCTCTCTCATGCACACAAATCTAACTTAAGGAACTGTCATGTTCATCCCTGTATCCCCAGTGCTTGACAAAAAGCAGGCACCTCGTAAAATCTTGTGGAGTGAGTGCCTGAACTTCCGCACTGTGTTGTAAAGGAAGTGGACTTGATTTTCTGAAGAAACCATTTCCCTGGGTCACACTGAACTTGACAGCAAGACGTCTCCATCGGGTATAGAGGACCCCAGATCTTGACTTAATGTTGAAGGAACTGATTTGTGAGACTTTAAGAGATGCTACTACCAGGACATGGCATGGGGCATTTGCAGTGCAGTGAGGGTGAAGGACACGTACCAAGGTGTGCTGGGCTTGGCGCTCCACCTCCAGGGCATTCACCGTGCATCTCAGCTCCAGGATCTCCGACTGGCAGCACTGCAGCTCCTCGGAGCAGGACATGGCCTGCAGGCTGATGCCTTCAGACTGGAGCACAGAGAAACACAGTCACCTCCCTGCTCAGATGGAGGCCAGGTACTCCCTGGCTCTGTAACCCCCACTCACCTGGGCTTGGAACCACTGTTCCACATCCTGGTGGTTGGTCTCCACCATGGCCTCGTACTGAGCCCGCATCTCCCCCAACACCCTGTTCAGGTCAATGGTGGGCTCAATGTCCAGCTCGATCCGGAACTTCTCCCCCAGCTGACTCCTCAGAATCTTTACTTCCTGCAGAAATGGAAGCGATAGACAGCCTGCGTAAGGAAACGGCCTTTGATGGAGCAGACAGCACCAGGACTCCGTCCCTGGCAAGCAGTAGGAGGGGAGTCCCACACATAAGCAAATGGGAAAGTCTTGTCCAGAGTGCATTTGGGAGAGCCCACCTGGACACCTTCCTCATGCCCAAGGCAAGTCTGCACTTTCCACAGAGGCCCTCTGGACCCTCAGACCCACCTCAGCCCTGCATCCTTAGGCCAGCTGAGCCCAGGCAATGCTCTGAGAGCCCCAGGGCCGGGGAGCTCCCCTGTCTGCCCAGCGCCCTCCCCAGGAGTCTGAGCAGCCAGGGCCACACCTGCTCGTGGTTGCTCTTGAGGGAGAGCTGCTCCTCCTTCAGGGACTCCTGCTGGGCCTCCAGGTCGGCCTTGGCCAGGGTCGCGTCATCCAGGAGCTTCTGCGTCCCGCACTTGTCCGCCTCCACCAGCTGGTGAAGGGAGCGCTCACTCTCCAGCCTTCCGTCACAGGAGGCACAGGGTCAAAAAGAATGCCCCAATAGCCCCTCTCAGCTGCCCTGGCTTCCTACCTCCCACACCACCTTGGATCCTTATTTGTTCACGTGGGCAGTATACACTATTCTCAACCCTGCAGCGACACGGTTTGTAGTCAGGACATTATGCCCATTGACCAGATGGAAGACTGAGGCTCAGAAACAAAACACGAGTTGTTCAGAATTCCATGCCCAGTTAATAGTAAATGCATGGACTCATCCTAAGTGTTCTGACTTCAAATGCAGCATTTATTCTGCCATAATAGGAGTCATTTGGCCAGGAAAAAGAATGGCTAAAAATAAGCCTCTGGACCTTCAGTTTGCTGCTTTTCCTCTTGGATTCATTATTTCTCGTTGTTTTCTTGCTTTTCCCCTTCATTCAAGCACAACTCTAGCTACCAAGGAGCTTCAATGACAATTCCTCCAGCTGATGGATTTGGCCAAGAGTCAGAGAGTCTAGCAACAACCTATGCATTGACAGTTTATTTTTGTGATGACTCAATTTTACTTCTGATTGAAAAGCAAAATCCTCTTATCTTCTAGATATGGGAGAAAGTGACATAGGTTCTAACCAATCTAGACTACAGCCCTTCTTTTTCTTTCAATGCTTATATTCTCTTTCCTCCTATATAATGACCATTTCTAGCAACAGGCTAATTTAAGGTGTGGAGAGAAATATTCTTCTAGTCAAAAACTGTTTTTGAACACCTACAATATAGACTGAGTAATGGGGCGGGCCCTTGGAAATACAGCAGGAGAGAAGTCACACTGACCCTCCTCATCCTGACTTACTTGATCCTAAAGTCATCAGCAGCCAGCTTCGCGTTGTCAATTTGTACAATCAGCCTGGCATTCTCAGCCTTGCTGCACAGGATCTGAGGAAAACGGAAAGACGGTTCACACACAAAGCACCATACTCTAAGCTCCCACTCCATGTGTGGTATTTACGCTCATGTCCAAGAGAAACCAAGAACCCAAAGCTCTCTGGACCTTATGCAGATTCCTCCTGCGAAGGCTTCTGCCTTCTCAGACCCAGCATGCCCAGGCGATCCCACACCTCACCTTCTGCTGGAGCTCCTCGATTGTACGGAAGTAGGACTGGTAGTCGGGGCACACGGTGGACTCGTGGCACTTGCTCCTCTCGAGGAGTGTGGTCTCCAGCTCTGCATTCTCCTGCTCCAGCTGGCGCACCTTCTCCAGGTAGTTGGCCAGGCGGTCATTCAGGAACTTCATGGTCTCCTTCTCATGGCCATTCAGGGTGTTTTTGCCGTAGGCCCCACAGATTCCGATGTTGCCGGGAATGTGACAGGTCCCTGGCAAGGGACAAGCAGTGTGACTGGTTGGGGGCAGACAGAGGCTGGGGCGGCCCAGGGGAGTCGACCCCACACGGACTCTGTTGGCGTGTGCCACGTTGGCCAAGAGGCACATGGAGGCAGCATTGGCCTCTGCCACAGGCTGGCACCCAACATCGATAGGAGAGACAAAGACATTTCTTGCTCCAGGAGCCATGGTGCAACCCAGAGGGCATGAGGAGGTGCTGTAGAAGGAGGTCATGGTGTAGGGCTGAGGCTGCACAGGAGCTTCAGATCAGCTGGGAAGGCTGAGCCACTGAGACTGAAGCCTCCTCTCCTCCCAACCCTTTTATACCCCATCCTGGGCGGGTGTTGGCTCCAGTGCTTTGACCTCCTGCCTTGATTATCTACCTGTTGTGGTGCCATCATCCTGTTACTCAGCTGCTGAGTTTACCATGAGAAGTTCCTCAGCTCATTAAAGCAATGTTGACAAATCTGAGATGCCTCTTGGCTCTTCCATATCAGGTTAGCTGTTGGTGGGAAGTCAGAGACTCACTGTTTCTGCTCAACAAACACCAGCAGTTGATTCAGGCCCCAATTGCTCTCTCTGGACTATGGTCTCTGTGGATGTGGTCACAATGAAGGCTCAAATCTTTCCGTCAGTAATTTGTGTAGCAGGAGACACAGAGAACCAATGGGACCCACTGGATCTTTCGCCTGTGCAAGACTGAATCAGCCTTTCCTTTGAAGAGAAAATATCAGTTAATAAAACCAATGCATCTACTGATATTTGACGATTGAGAGGCGCCTTTTTTTCTTTCTTCTTTCACATTGCATACTCCCTTGAGAAGCAATAACATCTGGAAGCAATGGCGCTAATTAAGTTTTGGTTGACTAGTCAGAATCAGCTATTCATTCATTTGTTCATTCATTCATTGGTTCAGCATGCTTCCTGAATATCCCCCATAACTCAGGCAGTGTGCTGGTTCCTGGACACGCAATGTTCCCTGTTCATCAGGAGTAAACAATGCCTCTGAAATCTCTGGATGTTCTACACAAACTTGAATGAGAACCATAGATCAACAAGAGTTAGTGAAAGACAGAGGATCTATAGTTCTGGCCAAGGAAGTATCTAGAAAGAAATCACTAACAAAGAAAAATCTTATTTGATCCAGGAAAGGGAGATTGGGCACAGAGCTCAAGCAGTATTCAAATGAAAGGTCCAGAACTAACATTGATTGAGTACTTAGGTGTGCTAGGCATTCTACTGTGTTCTTTCCTATCTAACCCTTACCACCTATGAGGTGGTTACTCATTGCCTCAATGTACAGATGAGAAAACTAGAGTGAAGTACATTTGCACATTTTCTGATTGACAGTTAGTGAACTGGCAAAGGCTCGATTCAGTCTCATGTCTGCTAGGCCCATTCTCTTTTCACTTCATCATGGCCCCCGGTGAGAACAACGGTGTCATTGCCCCGTCAGTGCTGGGCCTAAGGAGAGGGCAAGAAGGGGCTTAGTTACTGGATGAGAAATTGTGGTGAAAAGAAAATTACTGAAGGTCTTTGTGTTCCAGCAAAGGAAAAGATTTAAATACTATGGCAGTGACAACAAGAAAATGCACTTTAAAAAGTTAAACTAGGCCGGGCGCGGTGGCTCACGCCTGTAATCCCTGTACTTTGGGAGGCCAAGGCAGGCGGATCACCTGAGGTCAGGAGTTCGAGACCAGCATGAACAACATGGAGAAAACCGGTCTCTACTAAAAATATAAAATTAGCCGGGCATGGTGGTACATGCCTGTAATCCCAGCTACTCAGGAGGCTGAGGAGGAGAATTGCTTGAACCCGGGAGGCGGAGGTTTCCGTGAGCCAAGATTGCGCCATTGCACTCCAGCCTGAGCAACAAGATTGACACTTTGTCTCAAAAAAGAAAAAAAAAGTTACGCTAGTTTGTAACATATGCATCATTTAAGACAGGGTGCGTCCTGAGAAATGCGTCGTTAAGAGATTTCTTCACTGTGGAAACATTATAGGGGGAACTCACACAAACCTAGATGGTAGAGCCTACTACACACCTAGACTGTATAGCACAGCCTATAGCACCTGGCTACAAACCTGTACAGCATGTTGCTGTACTGAGTATCATAGGCAACTATTATTAACACGATAATATTTGTGTATCTAAACATAGAAAAGGTAATGCATTGCACTACGACATTATAACCACTTCCACATCACTAGAGAATAGGAATTTTCAGCATCATTATAATCTTGTGGGACCACCGCCCGTATATGTGGTCTGTCGTTGACAGAAACATTCTGACTGTATATCCCAAATCCCAGAGATTTCCAGTAGAGCTGGAAAACAAGTCAACCAATGGGGGTGTGGCCAGGAGTCATCCCTCCCAAGTGGTAGAGGGAAACCAGAAGGACCATGGGACAAGCTCTAAAAGAGTATAAATAAACTCTTTAAAAAAAAAAAAATCCCAATTAGTGGGAAAGTAAATGGCTGATACTAGTAGCAAAACCTTAAGTCTTTGAAATTGACATACTGGAAATGAGCCATTATTAAGATTTTAAATGAAAATAATAGGATTTAGACATAAAATAGGAAGCAAAATACAGTAAACAGAAATCGTGTAGCCAAATATGCATCAAATATGCATTCCCTTCAGCTACACTTTTTTCCTCTGAAATACAAGTTTTAGAAAATCTTAGAAGAGGGGTGGGCGCAGGACTTAATGCTGGGAAGCAACAACTTTGGGGCTGAATTTACTTGAATGGATTACAAATTGCATTGTTACACAGCTAAAAAAAACTTTATGTATGAAAAATGATAATAGCCTTACACTGAGTACAAATAATACTTAAAAGCATGTGAAGATGTGAGCATCTGTGATGTTACTTATAAAAAAAAAGTTTAGGTTTTTTTCCGTAAGTTATTGGGGTACAGGTGGTATTTTTTCCATAAGTGGTGGGGTTTTTTTCCATAAGTATTGGGGCACAGGTGGGTTACGTGAGTAAGTTCTTTGGTGGTGATTTGTGAGATTTTGGTGCACCCATCAGCCAAGCAGTATACACTGCATCCTATTTGTAGTCTTTTATCCCTCACCCGCTCCCTTCCCCCGAAGTCCTCAAAGTCCATTGTATCATTCTTATGCCTTTGCATCCTCATAGCTTAGCTCCCACATATCAGTGACAATATATGATGTTTGGTTTTCCATTCCTGAGTTACTTCACTTAGAATAATAGTCTCCAATCTCATCCAGGTCACTACAAGTGCCATTAATTCATCCTTTTTATGGCTGAGTAGTATTTCATCATATATATGTACCACAGTTTCTTTTTTTTTTTTTTTGAGATAGAGCTTCACTCTTGTAACCCAGGCTGGAGTGCAGTGGCACCATCTCGGCTCACTGCAACCTCCACCTCCCAGGTTCAAGAGATTCTCCTGCCTCAGCTTCCCGAGTAGCTGGGATTACAGGTGCCACCACCATGCCCAGCTAATTTTTGTATTTTTAGTAAAGAAGGTGTTTCGCCATGTTGGCCAGGCTGGTCTTGAACTCCTGACCTCAGGTGATCCACCCGCCTTGGCCTCCCAAAGTGCTGGGATTACAGGTGTGAGCCACTGTGCCCAGCCCACAGTGTCTTTATCCACTCACTGATGGATGGGCATTTGGGTTGGTTCTGTGATTTTGCAATTGTGAATTGTGCTGCTACAAATGTGTGTGTGCAAGTATCTTTTTAGCATAATGACTTCTTTTCCTCTGAGTAGATACCCAGTAGTGGGATTGTTGGATCAAATGATAGTTCTACTTTTAGTTCTTTAAGGAATCTCCACACTGTTTTCCATAGTGGCTGTACTAGTTTACGTTCCCACCAGCCATGTAGAAGTGTCCCCTGATCACCACATCCACTCCAACATCTATTGTTTTTTTATTTTTTTGATTATGGCCATTCTTGCAGGAGCAAGGTCGTATCGCATTGTGATTTCGATTTGCATTTCCCTGATCATTAGTGATGTTGAGCATTTTTTTAAAGTTTATATATGTATCTTTTGAAGTATTGAAAGGAAACTAGTACTTTATATTCTTTATCATATCATGTTTTATAATTGTTGAATATGTTCCTGTTTATTTTTCTCTGTCCTGTTGTGTAGCCTTAAGAAGTGTTTCAAAAAAAAAACCAAACATATCTGAATGTATAAAATAAGAGTAAATGCCCTACAAGTTATGATGCCACATTATACATAAAACTGTGTGCATATATTTTTAAACAGCATAAATACATCTTTGCTCTGAGAAAAAGTTGAACATGCATCCCCGTGAAAACCACAAGGGAGTCAGGGGATGATGGTGTTGATGAAACCTGGGCTCTTGGAATTCTCTCAAGGAGAAATAAGGGGTCTGGAATTCTTCCCAAGAGGAAAACCCACTGTGGGTCAGCTGTGGCTCCAGCGGCCCTGAGGTCAGCTATGACTCATTCTTTACTGGGGCAATCCTTAGAGGGCCTCTCCCTGCCAGGCCATCCCTCAGAGGCCTCTGGGTGCAATCTGCATTTTCCATCTTCAAAGACCCCTTTGTTCCTATCTTCCGCCTCAACACATAGCATCACTATAATCCAGAGAATTGAAGCATTAAAATTCTTCCCTTTGATTTGCTAAATAGGAACCCTCTCTTGACCCTATCCTCTGGCAGGATTTTATCCCATTGGCTAAAATCATGGTTCCTTCTGTCTCAGAACATATGACACTTGTTAATTCTTAAGCATCACAGCTGAAGCTTTGCATCCTTTGCGTCCTGACACACCTCTCCAAAGCTTGATATGTGTCTCTGGCTTGGGCTCTGCATGGTCCATTTTGCATAATGACATAGACACTGCCTAGTCCTTCGTACAGCAGAGGGCTCTTCTGATTTTCTTTGGTCTCAAAGGAACAGGCAGTAGGTGGAAGGCATGAGGCAGGTGTCTGGGATGTACTCAGCTGTGTAGGTGGGAAGGAGCCCATCCTTGACATTGCAGATGATCAGATGAGCCTCCTCTTCCTCCCTTTTTTTTTTTTTTTTGAGACAGAGTCTCGCCCTATTACCCAGGCTGCAGTGCAATGCAATGCAATGGCATGATCTCGGCTCACTACGACCTCCACCTCCCGGGTTCAAACGATTCTCCTGCCTCAGCCTCCTTAGTAGCTGGGATTACAGGCACCCGCCACCACACCCAGCTAATTTTTGTATTTTTAGTAGAGATGGGGTTTCACCATGTTGGCCAGACTGGTCTTGAACTCCTGACCTCGTGATCCACCCACCTCAGCCTCCCAAAGTGCTGGGATTACAGGCATGAGCCACCGTGCCCGGCCCTCTTGCTCCTCTTTAAAAAGAGTTTCTGGCCCCTGAAAATAAACATATATTCCAAGTTGCATGAAGGGAGGTATCAGAGATGAAGAGAGAAGACAGAGGTAGTCCTGCAGCCCTCCTTCCTTCACAGGGGCCACCTCTTCTCTCTTGAGGATTAAAAGATTTTGAGCTGTAATCTCTCTTCAGGCAGAGGGGAAACACTGGGTTCAGAACAGCATCACTTGGTGCCACGGTGCAGACGCATCTCTGAGTCTGACCGTTCTGACGCATCTCTGAGTGAGACAGAAGCAGAGGCACTGGGCGGTCCACAGGGTGTGAGTCTAATCTGCAACCACCTGCTCCAGCTGCAGAGGAAAAATTCTGAAGACACCTAAGGAAACAGGAGCTGCCCACACACTGCATCCTGATGTGAATTACGCCAGGAAAACATCTGCAAACCACGACCAGCAGTGTGTCCTGATACCACTGTGCCTGCAAGGCTCTCAGACATGCTGGGTGAAAACAGAGTCTGAGGAAGGATAACCCAAAACACCTTTATCATTTCAAAAGTCCACCTCAGAAGGCTTTGAAAAAAAAAAAAAAGTCACCGTTTTCTTTTCTATTAAATAGGATTTTAAAATCTAGTTACTTGGGAAACTTTGGTTTGATTTTAAGTATTTTTAAATTATTATTCTGCTTTATTCTTTTTTTGTTTTTCTTTTCTTTTTAGATGGAGTTTTGCTCTTGTTGCCCAAGCTGGAGAGCAGTGGTCTGATCTTGGCTCACTGCAACCTCCGTCTCCTGGATTCAAGAGATTCTCCTGCCTCCGCCTCCTGAATAGCTGGGATTACAGGCGTACGCCACCACGTCCGGCTAATTTTTTGTATTTTTAGCAGAGATGGAGTTTCACCATGTTAGCCAGGCTGGTCTCCGACTCCTGACCTCAGGTGATCCACCCACCTCGGCCTCCCAAAGTGCTGGGATTACAGGAGTGAGCCACAGCGCCCTGCCTAGTTTGCTTTATTCTTATCCCAGGTCTTAAGGTCATCAGAGACTAAATACTGAAAAAGTTATCTTCATTTCCCCTCCCCTTTGTTCCCTGATCCTAGAGTTTCTTTATCTACATGCTAAGGCAGGAAATTTCCCCTTATTTACCTCATACCAAGACCTATTACAAAATCCTTTAATGCAGCATAGTAGAGGTTTAAGACAATGAATTTTGGATCCAGCCTGCCTGGGTTCAGATTCTGGTTCTATCATTTATTAGCTGTGTGAACTTGGGCTGGTGACTTGACCTCTCTGTGCCTCAAATTCTGCTTATGCACAATGGAGTGACAATAGCACCTAGCTAATGGATTTAAGTTTTAAAAAAATCCATACCTGTAAATCACGTAAAATAGTGTCTAGCACAGAGTACATGGTAAGCACTAAATAAGTGTTGTGTTTTTTAATGGATTTTACTGTTACTGGTGTGTTTACATGCTTACACCATTCATAATTCAAAAATGCTTATTAAATTACTTATTTTTTACTTATTTAAGTTAGCAAAGATCAGAAGTTTAGTCTTACTAAAAAGCTTTTGCACAGCAAAAGAAACAACAGAGTGAAAATACAACCTACTGAATGGGAGAAAGAATTGTAAATCATATATCTGATAAAGGGTTAGCCTCCAAAATATATAAGGAAGTCCTACAACTCAACTGTAAAAAATAATTTTTTTTAATTTAAAAATGGGCTAAGGATTTCTATAGACATTTCTCTAAAGTAGACGTACAAACGGCCATCAGGTATATGAAAAAATGCTCAAAGTCACTAGCCATAAGGGAAATGCAGATCAAAGCCATGAGACATCACTTCACACCACTCAGGATGGCTACTATCAAAAAAAAAAAAAGACAACTAGTATTGGTGAGGATATAGAGGAGCTGGAACCATTGCACGCTGTTGGGAAAATGCAAAATGACGCAGCCACTATGGAAAACAGTATGGAGATTCCTCAAAGAATTAAAAATAGAATTACCATATGAGCCAACAATCTCACTTCAGGGTATTTATCCAAAAGAATTGAAATTGGGATCTCAAAGAGATGTTAACACTCCTGTGGTCATTGCAGCAGGAGTCACAATAGCCAGAATGTGGAAACTACCTAAATGTCCGTTGACAGATAAATACAAAAAGAAATTGGTATGTGCAAACACTGGAATTCCATTCAGCCTTTAAAAAGGACGAAATTCTGCAATACGCAACGTGAATAAACCTCGAAGACGTTATGCTAAATAAAATAAGCCAATCACAGAAAGACAAATACTGCATGATTCTGCTTATATGAGGTATCTAAAATAGATTCAACCCTGAAGACATTATGCTAAATGAAATAAGCCGATCACAGAAAGACAAATACTGCATAATTCTGCTTATACAAGGTATTTAAAATAGGCAAATTCATAGAATCAAAGAGTGGAATGGTGGTTTCCAGAGGCTGTGGGAAAAGGGGAAATGGAAAGTTACTGTTCAATGAACATAAAGTTCCAGTCAAGCAAGATGTGTAAGGCCTAGAGATCTACTGTACTGCATTGTACCCAGAGTCCATAGTAATTTATTGTACACCTAAAATTTTATTAAGAGGGTAGCTCTCATGTTAGGTGTTCTTTCTATGATAAAGTAAAATAAAACAAAATAGATTAATGTCATGATTGTAGCAAAATAAAGAAAACATGCACTTTCATACACTGTTGAGGGGAAGAATAAGTTGTGCAACCTCTTTACAAAATAGTTCAGCAGTATCTGTTAAAATTACAAATGCTTTTTTTTTTTTTTTTTTGAGACGGAATCTCACTATATTGCCAGGCTAGGATGCAGTGGCATGATCTCAGCTCACTGCAACCTCCACCTCCCGGGTTCAAGCAATTCTCCTGCCTCAGCCTCCTGAGTAGCTAGGACTACAAGCACATGCCACCATGCCCAGCTAATTTTTGTGTTTTTTGTAGAGACGAGGTTTCACCATGTTGGCCTGGATGGTCTCGATCTCCTGACCTCATGATCCACCCGCCTCGGCCTCCCAAAGTGCTGGGATAACAGGTGTGAGCCACCATGCCCACATATACACTATCGACCAATAATTTCCGCCTATAGGAATTTAATCCTATAGACATACTTACATAGACAGAAGTATAAGGATAAAAAATATAAGGGTACCCTATAGAAGTCCTTGGGGTGTTAGGCCAGGAGCCATCTCTGCTGTTTTGTGCCTCCTTCAGCCTATGGATTTCCCCTCAATGTCCCCTCAATCCATTCCTCTGTGTCTCTCAGGGGACCATTTCCTATGGGTGTTAAGCTGTGGATGATCATGGGGCAAAGGTGCAGTTAGTAGAAAGGAGAAAAGCATAATCATGGGAACTTGAAGAGTGAATGATTTAGGAATTAGGGAAAATAATAAATTCTGAATAAGTCATTGTAGAACTATTTATTTGGCCCACTTCATGAATTACGTGCAGTAAAATAGGGAAATACTGACAACCCTGTTTCATTTTCTTCATTAAAAATACAATAGTATTGTGGCTGGGCCTGGTGGCTCACACTTGTAATCCCAGCAGTTTGGGAGGCTGAGGCAGGCAGATCACCTGTCAGGTGTTCAAAACAAGCCTGGCCAACATGTAGCAGTAGTAGTAGTAGCAAAACCCCATCTCTACTAAAATACAAAAGTTAGCTCAGCATGGTGGCACATGCCTGTAGTCCCAGCTACTCTGGAGGTTGAGGCAGGAGAATTGCTGGAACTCGGGAAGTGGAGGTTACAGTGAGCCGAGGTAGCGTTGCTGCACTCCAACCTAAGCAACAGAGAAATACTCCATCTCAAAAAAAAAAAAATCCAGTAGTATTGAATACTCTGATTTTGAAAGGTGATTTTATATTTCTCAGCTCAAGAGATGCCTTCAAGGGGAAGCTTTCTCCAGCTTCACTGAGCATTCAATCAATTCCTCTTCTCTCTACTCACATTGACCCTTAGTTTACCTTGATGTAACCCTCTTCATTCTGTTGTTAGTGTTCTTGAAAGTCCCTTGGAAGCAGGAATTTTGTCTTACTGCTTTTGTCTTGTTCATCTCTGTAATTCCCAGTACATCACCTGACATAACAAAGCACTCAATCGATAAAAACAGAAGTGACTAAATGAGCTCAGCTCTGGAGCAAGTCATACTCAGTATTATCCTCCACAGTATCACGTGCATGGTGATTCTCAGTAACTGTGTGCTGAGGGAATGCCTGCATGCGTACATGAATAGACATAGTATAAAGCCAAACCATAGCATGTTGCACCAATGATACAAAATCCCTGACTTCTAAACTCCGTGGTGCTAAATCAAGTCAGAATTAAGGCAAGACTTGTTTTCATCTAAAAATATATTTATATGAAAAGTCCTACAGAGCATTCAAAGGTAGATCACATTTAACTTTGCATTTAACCCATGTCCTTTTATGAAAAGAAGAGAATTATATAAATTGGCTGTCTGGCTGCCTTAAAGCCCACAGCTGCCTCATCCCACCACTCGTGCAGGCAATCTCTGGAAAGAGAAGAGCGAGCTCATTTACTTTTACATCACTGGGAAGAGCTCTTCTCTGCTAATGACATACTCTGCCTTCAAGAGCCAGTGTTTAACCCTTCTCAGACACTGATATTGACCCTTGAAATGTTCAACACAGACAAAGCACTTAGCAATAGTTGGGTAGCAACGAGCTCAGGATAAGGTAGCTGGTTCAGGAAACTGACTTTTATAACTGTCCTTCTATAAGTCTTGTGCTAAACAAACCCACGTCTGTCTCCTTTCCAAATCACACTGTGTCGGTGACCCTGAGAAACATGGGCATCCGAGGCTCACATTGCAGGATCTCCCTTTAAAAGGCAGCTCAGAGCCACTTGAAGAAACACAGATGAGATACTCATGTGATGTGATACAGTAAGAGTTGATTTGCAGCCAGAGCTCAAATCAACTGGGTCCAAGGGTCTGGGTCTGGGTCCAAGTCCTGGCTCAAACACTTGCTGAATGCATATCTTCTGTCAAGTTATTTAACCTCTGTGAGCTTCATCTTTTAGAAGCGGTTATGATGTCTGCCCTACAAGAGTGCTGTAGTGCGGCACTCTGTTCTCAGAGGGAGGAGACGGCCTTTAACACCAGGCAGGAGGAAACCACTGCTATATACAACTCCATTTGAAAATCATGCAGTTACTTTCAAATGTTTATTTTAACAATCAAAGAGAAAGAAAGCAAAAGCAGGCTCCAGGTGATGTAGATGCTGCTGTTCATAGTAAGGCAAGAAATCTTTATACCAGAATTGCGGTCAAATTCCTCGTTAAAGTGTGAGAGGAGCAAAAAAAATAAAAATAAATCTACCAAGGTACAGTCAGGAGGCTGAGGCTGGCCTGAAGCAGGAGACTCTTCCCTAAAAAGTAGCATCTCCAAGGAGCACATCAACACAACAGGTCCCATGTTCATTTGCTTATCTTCTCAGAAAAAGTCACCCCTGTAGAGGGAGTTTTCTAGCTCAGATCATGAAGGAGAAAAAAAAAAGCCAGTTTCCTGAAAGATTCCTGTTCTTGCTTCATAACATAGCCTAGTCAATTACCTTCAGACAAAATGGCTTGGTAGCATGAAAGGGTCTTCCAGAAGGACACACCTTACCACCAGACCCACATTTAGCACTGCAAGCTGAAGCCCCCAAATGCAACCAGACAGTTCCTTCCCTAGGAAAAGGAGGCTGGCTTGAACCATGCCTTTACTCTGACATCAGCGGTCCATGTCACTTCTCCATTTCCCCAGTTGCTTTTTCTCCGATGAAGCTACAAGACGTGAGGAGTGAGGCTAAACTTCAAGCTATTTTTCCAATGAAAAATAGCTGGTAATCGCATTCAGAAATCAGGACCACAAATGGGCCTAATCTGCATTCCCCCCAAGTCTCCAAATTGAAGTTCTGCAGGGATCATAATGGCCCTTGGAATTACTGAGTGCCTCACAAGACCGAGGTGTGTTCTCCCATCACTTTAACCCTGGTGAACCCAAAGGGGAAAATGGAAACAAGACCACCCATGAAAGTGGGTCCTCTCTCCTTGGATGGACTCAATAGAAAGGAGTTCTGCCCCTCAAAGCAAAGTTTTCTCATTGTTTGGCCTAATGCAAATACTCAAATACAGTTTGCTCTAGGAAGCAAGTTGTTATGTGCACCATTTTGTTTCTGATTAAATTTAGATGCTAGAGGAAATTTATTTACCTGCCCATAAGAAGAAGCCTGAGGTCACGGGTGGCCCTTAAACTTGGCCATGTGGGTCAGCCCCTGCACTCCTTAAACATTATACAATCAGTACTGGCTCCGGGTGAGGTTTCCTTGTGTGCTTTCTCCTTTTCAGGGTATTTTTATTTCTGTTATCTTAGAATCCATGACAGATCTGGGATATAAGTATGAACAATAACATTATCCCTATTTTATCTCAGGAAAAAAAATGCTGAGGCTTAGGCATGTGAAGTGATGATTCAAAAACCCCACAACAAGTCAGAGATAAAGTCAGGACTAGACGTGTTCGTTCTTTCAACAGATATTTATTAAGCATCTATTATGTACCAAGCAGTGGGCTAGGCTCTGGGGATGCAGCAATGAACAATTGTTAATCTTGGGTAAGCATTTTGATTGGGAAAACAACAGATACAGAGGCAAGTTCAGCTGTTGGAGGTGCTAATGAGCAGGACAGAGTGCCAGGGTTGTGAGTCCTTTAGGCTGGTGGCCAAGCAGGAGCTCTCAGAGGAAGGAACATTTCCGCTGACCTGAACATTTATAAGGAGGGGGAAGAGCACCCCAGAGAGAAGGAAGAGCAGGGACAGGTCTCCAGGCATGTCCAAGGAACAGAAAGGCCAGTGTGGCTGAATCATGGTAAGGAAGGTAGAGAGTATGAAGAGAAGAGGTGGAAGCACATCATACTTAGCAAATCTCTACCCATTGAATCAATAGGTTTCAATACTTCAGGAGAAAGTACTAGAAAAAAATGAAGTCATTGTTTAGATTTTAGACTGGGAGAATTAGACAGGGACAGGGGTTATAGCCAGACAAGTCTGGAGAGTCAGAATTTATAGAGAAAAAAGAGAGAAATTTCTTAATCTGAAAGTTCCTTTCACATAGCAAGAAGCTATGGAAGCCATATGTAAGAGGCTGTGTTGCCACAGAAAAGGCAAGCCTGGTCCTTTGTCAAAGCTAGAAACCCTGAAGTAGAGAAAACTCAGGATTTGATACAAGGAAAGTTTCCACTTAATCAGTTTCCAAGATAGGGAGGCAGGAGGATAGGAGAAGGGAATTAGAAAAGACAGGGTCAGGTACAATTCTGATTCTATTTCCCTCTCCCTAGGGCCATAATCCAGGCTGCCAATGTTAGAAACAACCCAAGAAATGTGGGAAATCTCAGACAGTGAAGTCTGTTCTTCACTTCCTTTGTCATAAACTATAAAAATTTCAAGTTAAAGTTGGTGTTCTTGAAGTGCAAGTGCAATTTTAAATCATGCCGTGTTCCTACTCCAAAATGCTTTTCAACCTTATGCCTCTCCAATCCAGATATTCTGAGCCACCATGGGTGGCTGCAATCCAGCCACTGAGGGCATAGAGCTCACCTGGGAAAACCAAGAGCAGGAAAGGAAGGATTTCCATCAAGATTCCACTGTCCCTGGTATCTCATAGCCTTTGGACAGGCCTATACATACAGAAAGTTAGAAGCCAGATTTTCTAAAGGTATAACAAGCATCTCTCTTTGGGTATCCCTCGCCTTAGCCAGCCCCTGTGGGTCCACAGGAATTCAGAATCGGCTTCCGGTGGTGCTGGCTCCACAGGTGGGCCCACAGGTGGTGCAGGGGCCACAGCTTGGGCGAGGAGCACAGGGGGCAGTCACGCAGGAGGGAGACGTGGAGCACGGATTGCAGGGGAGTCTGCAGAGAGACAAGGTGAGGGAAGTGAGAGGCAAGAAATGAATGGGGTCTCAGTGCCATGTGGGGGCATGAGGAAGGAGTCCCCACTGCAAAACAACAGAACATGGACCCAGCTGGACCCTGTGACCATTAGCACCTAGTGAGCACCTCCAGGGTTAGACTAGACAAGTGGTTTCTAAAATGCCTTCCATGATTAAAGTTATCCTATAGAATAAAAATTCCTAGGAAGAATTTAAGAAAAGAAAACCAAGTCCAAAAATCTGCTGGATCTATGGACATATCTCCTGTTTGAGCAGCGACCCTGTGTCTACTCTCATCAGTCCATGGCTACCCCAAGCAGCCCCGGTGGAGACCTGGTAAATATCCTCTAAGTGCATGGTCATTCCCTTCATTCTGTCAACCACATGGAGTGTGCAGGACAGGGCAACGACTCACTGAAAAGGAGTGCACAGAGAGCCTCATTCTACATAGAGACAGCCCTTCTGCTGCCCTGAGGACCTCATCAGAATTGAGTAAATAATTTGGCCAGGAATTGCCCAGATCACACGTACTTGCAGTCCTCGCTTTCCAGAAGGTTCCGGTACGTGGCAATCTCATTCTCCAGCCGGGTCTTCACGTCCAGCAGCACCTGGTACTCCTGGTTTTGCCGCTCCAGGTCGGCCCGGATCTCAGACAGCTGCTCCTCCACGTTGCTGATGAGGCTCTGCATCTGGGCCAGCTCCGTGCCGAAGCGGTCCTCGGCTTCACACAGGGAGTTCTGCAGACAGTCCTTCTGTAGTGGGAAATAAGGGGATAAAATATACAAGGCCCCAAGGGAAACTGCTACATGCCTCAAATTTTGATGGTGATAACAGGTGGGAGAAACTTGGGTAGTGAGACCTCCAAAATAAAATGCTACTAGGCCATGGCACGGGGCATTTGCAGTGCAGTGAGAGTGAAGGACACGTACCAAGGTGTGCTGGGCTTGGCGCTCCACCTCCAGGGCATTCACCGTGCATCTCAGCTCCAGGATCTCCGACTGGCAGCACTGCAGCTCCTCGGAGCAGGACATGTCCTGCAGGCTGATGCCTTCAGACTGGAGCACAGAGAGACACGGTCACCTCCCTGCCCAGATGGAGGCCAGGTACCCCCTGGTTCTATACCCCCCCCACTCACCTGGGCTTGGAACCACTGTTCCACATCCTGGCGGTTGGTCTCCAACATGGCCTCATACTGAGCCCGCATCTCCCCCAGCACCCTGTTCAGGTCAATGGTGGGCTCAATGTCCAGCTCAATCCGGAGCTTCTCCCCCAGCTGACTCCTCAGAATCTTTACTTCCTGCAGAAGGGAGGAAGGGACAGACAGCCTGCATGAGGAAAGGGCCTTTGATGGAGCAGACAGCACCAGGACCCCGCCCCTGGCAAGCAGTAGGAGGGGAGTCCCACACACAAGCAAATGGGAAAGTCTTGCCCAGAGGGCATTCGGGAGAGCCCACCTGCACACCTTCCTCATGCCCAAGGCAAGTCTGCACTTTCCACAGAGGCCCTCTGGACCCTCAGACCCACCTCAGCCCTGCATCCTGATGCCAGCTGAGGCCAGGCAATGCTCTGAGAGCCCGGGGCTGGGGAGCTCCCCTGTCTGCCCAGTGCCCTCCCCAGGAGTTTGAGCGCCCAGGGCCACACCTGCTCGTGGTTGCTCTTGAGGGAGAGCTGCTCCTCCTTCAGGGACTCCTGCTGGGCCTCCAGGTCGGCCTTGGCCAGGGTCGCATCATCCAGGAGCTTCTGTGTCCCACACTTGTCTGCCTCCACCAGCTGGCGCAGGGAGCGCTCACTCTCCAGCCTTTCATCACAGGAGGTACAGGGTCAAAAAGAATGCCCCCAAGAGCCCCTCTCGGCTGCCCTGGCTTCCTACCTCCCACACCACCTTGGATCCTCATTTATTCACTCTGTTTAGCCCTCTGTCCTCAAAGGTGAATTAGACCCAGCCCCTCTTCTCAAAGAGCTCATGGTCTAATGGAGAAATCACAACACTACATTGCACAATATACATTTTTGCCATTGTATTCTGTGGCAACTGCAGTTCAGGAAGATCAACTGACTTGCGTAAGATCATGCATCTTGGGACCCAGTCCAACGCTCATGCCATTGCAGGGGCTGTCAGTTACCAAAGATAAGCAATAACCAGGTGCCTGATCGTGATCTGCGGCTCCTTATCCCTTGCTTTCAGCTGTCTTCCCCTCTCTCATTTTTGCCTAGGTACCTTATACCTGGTACCTTAGGGCTCCCTAATTAAATCTGGACAAAGACTCATCTGTAAGTGACTCCTCTGACTTATATATGAAACCCAATGGCTGTCTTGCTCAGTTCATCCTTCAAATCACCTCATTTTGCTCCTGGTTAATGAACTCAGGCTGCCTTATCCTCCATTTTAGGGAAATAAATGAAGGAAGACAAACATATATGCTTGGATTAATGAGGAGTTTTCCCTTCCATCTTCCATCAGCTTCGATTGTAATGAAAATTTTACTGTAGAGAATCTAGCAAGGAAGAAATGACAATGATTCCCTCACTCAACAAGTATTTGGGCATTGGGATGGAGGGTGGGGAAGGAGTCACCCTGGCCCTCCTCCGCCTGACTTACTTGATCCTAAAGTCATCGGCAGCCAGCTTGGCATTGTCAATTTGTACAATCAGCCTGGCATTCTCGGCCTTGCTGCACAGGATCTGAGGAGAACAGGAAGACAGTTCACACACAAAGCATCATGCCCTAGGCTCCTTCTCCACGTGTGGTGTCTATGATCATGTCCAAGAGAAACCAAGAACCCAAAGTTCTCTGAGCTTTACATGGATTCCTCCTGTCTTGCCTCTGCCATCTCAGACCCAGCACACCCAAGCGATCCCACACCTCACCTTCTGTTGGAGCTCCTCGATGGTGTGGAAGTAAGACTGGTAGTCGGGGCACACGGTGGACTCGTGGCACTTGCTCCTCTCGAGGAGTGTGGCCTCCAGCTCCGCATTCTCCTGCTCCAGCTGGCGCACCTTCTCCAGGTAGTTGGCCAGGCGGTCATTCAGGAACTGCATGGTCTCCTTCTCATGGCCATTCAGGGTGTTTTCACCATAGGCCCCACAGATTCCAATGTTGCCAGGAATGTGGCAGGTCCCTGGCAAGGGACAAGCAGTGTGGCAGGTAGGCGGCAGACAGAGGCTGGGGCGGCCCAGGGGAGTGGACCCCACACGGACTCGGTTGGCATGTGCCACGTTGGCCAAAAGGCACATGGGGGCAATGTTGGCCTCTGCCCCAGGCTGGCACCCAATGTCGATGGGAGAGACAGAGACATTTCTTGCTCCAGGAGCCATGGTGCAACCCAGAGGGCATGAGGAGCTGCTGTAGGAAGAGGTCATGGTGTTGGGCTGAGGCTGCACAGGAGCTTCAGATCAGCTGGGAAAGCTGAACCACTGAGACTGAAGCCTCCTCTCCTCCCAGCCCTTTTATACCCCATCCTGGGCGGGTGTTGGCTCCAATGCTTTGACCTCCTGCCTTGATTATCTACCTGTTGTGGTGCCATCATCCTGTTACTCAGCTGCTGAGTTTACCATGAAAAGTTTCTCAGCTCGTTAAAGGAATGTTGACGAATCTGAGGCCTCTTGGCTCTTTGAAATCAGGTTGGCTGTTGATGGGAGGTCAGAAGCTTTTTATTATCTTTCAAAGAAGCAAAGTTATAGCCATCAGATGCTTAGACCTTGACTGGGTTTGGCCTCTTTATGGATGTGTCCACTCTGGAGACACAAACTTTCCTGTTGGTCAGTGGTGTAGCAGGAGGACTAACCCCGGTGATGACAATGGTTCTCACTTGGGTTAAGACTCAACCAGCCTTCCCTATCCAGGGAAGAAACTGAGTCTTGGAATTGGTGGATGTTATGGCCTTGGGTTATCAAGAAGTCCTACATTTCTTCTTTCTTTAGTTGGTTGCCTTTCAGACTCACTTTGAGGAGCAACAAGACTTAGATGAATCCAGTCACTCAAAACACATCCCCTGGCTACGTCCCATATGCTACGCACCTTGCTGATGCTTGATATATAGTTGGTTAAGCACAAAATAGTTCCTGCCATTGGGGAACAACTGTAACTTGGGTAGACGTGATGTTTCAAACAAGGTATCTGAGAAGCTCATGAAAATGAGGATGACTCCAAAAACCATGGCTTATCTCGACCAAGAAGGGCAAGCTCAAGAAGCCAGAAATAAACAAAGAGAAATGAGCAATAATCTTACTGAACCTCAAATAAGAACTTGGTCATGAAAGTCAAAGGACATTGAGTGATCAGAGCCTCTGTGGGCTCTCTTCATACCTTGCTTCCTTTATTCTAAAGTCAGTCATGAGCCTTCACCCTATGAGCTAGGGGATTGAGCAATGATACCTTTTAATCTTTACTTCCAACCTGGGAGGTGGGTACTCTTAATTTTACAAAATAAATAAACAAGCCATTGAGGACAGTTTTCTAAGATCAACCTCACTATAAAGTATAAAGCCTATTCTCAACATCAGCTTCTTTCAACTCCAGAAACTGTTTCTTCACCTTGACCACCTCCAAATCCTCCACCCCAAGGATAACTACTGTGTCATTGCTAGAACTAAGAAGGATTCAAATTCCTAGAAACCGGGCAAGAAGTTGAAATTAAGATGTAAAACAAAAATCTGACATTGTGTATTTTTCCCTTTGTATCTCAGAAAATACAGATGTGGAGGTATTCATACAATAAAACAGAGTTTCTCCAAGGGCTAAATCAGAAGATGCCAGGGGAAAGTCCTGTCCCTAAAATGGTTATATTACACATTCCACATTCAGATAGTTCTTGGTACTAGGGATCCAAGACACATGGCTGCTGAGATCCCAAAACTTTTCTCCCAAAATTTGTGACAGAAGATACATAGACCCCTGAGACTAAGAAAAACCTAATGTGGAACAATCCAAAGTGATTATAACTAGAATTTTGGGAAAATGAGTTTTTGCCAGTCCCCTGAGCATTGAACAAAAGCTGAACATACACCTCTATAGGGATCAGACGTGCATATGTGAAACACAGGCTATTGGAGTTCTATCAAGAAGAAATACAGAATCTGAGAATTCAGTCCAGATTGGGCTTCTCAGGAAAGTAAGTAGTAGTGAGCGCTGACCTAAGGGTTATTCAGAGCTCACCAATCCATAACCCTTTACAGACAACATCATTGGGAGACATCACCAGGGCAGGCTGTCCCATCCTCCAGAGGCCACTGGGTGCAATCTGCATATGTTACATCTTCAAACACCCTTTTGTTACTCTCCTCCGCCTCATCACATAGCAACAAGCTTCTCTATAAATCAGAGAGCCAGGCTTTTAAAGTCATTTCCTTTGATTTGCTAAGTAGCACCCATCTTTTGGCTTTATCCTCTGCCCAGATTCATTCCATGGACTAAAAGCCACGATTTCGTCCATTCACAATACATGACTCATCACTGCTGAAGCCTTGTGTGTCCAGATGACACCCCTCTCTGCCAACTGGCTTGGGTCCTGGCTTGGGCTTCTACCTTGTACTGTTTTGCATAATGATACTGATGTTGCATGGCTCTTTGTAAAATCGCTTTGTTCCCCTGATTTGTATTTTCTCAAAGGAGGTGAAGGAGCGGGTGGGGATCCTAAGACTCTCTTCCTTCCCAACCCTTTAAAAAGAGTCCCTGTGGCCCCTGGTGACCGAATATGAGGCCAGGTTCAGTAACAAGAAGTGATGAATACAGAGTGTGAGAGATGGGAGCCTGCTGCCCTCCTTCATTCACCTGTGTGCACAACATTCTCTGTGTGGATTCTGACTTTAGACATGCCGATCTCTAGAGGCATGAAGTCTACTGCAAATGGAGGTGAGGAGCTGTGGTCTTGGAATGCCATTTTCACTAATTTTGATACATAGGGGCATATCTCAACCAATGGGAGAGAAAGGTATGGAGCTGTAGGCTAGCACCTGGAGATTGTGCCTAACTCAAAGTTTATCTTTTCTGTGTCATGGCTCCTACTGCTGGAAGATGCAGGGAGGCATCTAGGGAGTTGTGCCCTGTGTGGGAACGTCACCCATCACACATTGCAGTGAATGCAAAGATTTATGACAAGTACTATATGTAGAGTTAGTGCTGCCACATCTCCAGGGTGTTAGAAAATGGTGTCCCAAACAATCCTAGATCAAGAAACCATGAAGACTCTTGAGAGAAGAGGCTGAGCATATAAATGTATTATTCTAGGTATCCAACTCCTGAGGCTTTGATGAATGGAAAAGGTACACTTCTGTTCAAATTAAATATGATTTTATCTATATATGAATGTATGCTCATTTGTGATTAAGAAATACAAACTAAAGAGATATTGTTTTCTTATCAGGTTTTGCTAAGTTGGATAATAGCACACAGTGTTGGCATGAGTGTGGGAAACAAGTCCTATCCTCTCCTGTGGATGACAGTCACGAGCTTCCACCTCTGCACATAGGCACAGAAACCGGGGCCCGTGCGTTGGGACCTGTGAGCCTCACACCTGCCTCTGATGGCATCATTTGCTGCTCCAGGCTTCACTGCAATCGACCCACTTGGAGAGTAGCTCAGGAGGCTCACCCTGCCCTGGCAAGCAATAGTGAGGGAAGAGACTCCAGAAGATGAATTAGAAAGAGTTGGAAAATCTTTGAGAAGCAAGACCCTAAGAAGGGAAGAAAATATAGAATTCTGTTTCAACCAGAATAAAAACAGATCTTTGGCACAGGTCAAAGATCCTCATTGTGGAAAATATTGAACTGCTTTCTGTTGCTCATTACAAACCCATGATTATGAAACATGCTGAGTCTGAAACAGCTCAGTGGCCGTTCTCTGTCACAGATAGATTGAGCTGTGTGGGCTCACTCATGCTCTCTGCAAAGCCTTCTCTGGCTTCCCAGGTAGGCTGCTCTCCCTCTGCTGACACACTCTTCTCACCCTGGGAAACTGTGGCTGTATCAGAGGTGGTAGCTCCCCACCATGGACTTGGGATCTCCAGGACATCAGGGAGTTTGTCTCATTGCTTTTTCCTCTTTCATCTCCATATCCCCAGACTCTGGCACAGAGCCCGGCTACAGAGTAGGTTCTGCATCCATGTGTGTTTAATTATGTAAGCAGGTAATGAGAAACACAGTAGCACCAAGCAAAGATATTTGTATGCTGAAACAATGAAGTAAAATCATAGATTCTTAAGCAATGTGGATAAATACACAACCAGAGATATGCCGGCAAATTAGCTCTCTGGGGGGAAAACCCCTCCAGTTTGTAGTGTAAGCCAATTTCTGTGGTGTAAATACTCCCACAATAGCCAACTTCAAGCAAACAATATGATGTCACTGAATGTGGAGTTGGAAAGAGATGTGAAAAATCGGCTCTTGTGAGTTATAAGAGTTAGCTCCAGCGTACCACTTGATCCCACTTTCTAAAACCAAAATCCTGACAGTACATTTCTTACATAGTAATTTTTTTTATAAATCCTACAGAGAAACCAAAGGTAGATCACATTTGATGACACAGGCAAGAGACCTGCCCCTAGAGAAGAGGAAGGCATTATGGCCATGGTGCCACCCACAACTGCTTCATCTTCTCACCAGTCACTGAGATGCTGTGGTTCCCCCCAGGGCCCCACGGTCCCAGCTGCGAACTCAGGCAGCCTCTGGAAAGGGCAGAACCAGCTAGTTTGATTGCACATCACTGGGAACAACCCTTCTCTGCTGATGCAGGATGCTTCTCTCAAGTCACCTTCAAGTCTTTCTCAGATAGTGACACTGACAAAGGAAAGGTACAAGCCCAAGTGAGGCACTTAGCAAGCATTAGGCAGGGATAAGCCAGCACAGAGGAGATGACATTTGATAAAGAAAACTGTATAGATTTATGTTGGTTTTTATGTTGTGTTGAGAAAAATTACTCTCTGGACATTTTCCTAAGCTGGTCGTGTCAGCCTGTAGGGCAGTGGTTCTCAGAGTTTGGTTTCTTAGCCAGTAGCATCAGCATCTCGCAGGAACTTGTTAGAAATCCACATTCTCAGATGCCCACTCCAGACCTACTGAATGCAGATACACTGGGTGCAGGGGAGGGGGCAGCAATCTGTGTTTTTCCTTGTTTGTTTGTGTGTGTGTTTTGTTTTTGTTTTTTTGAAACAGGGTCTCACTCTATCACCCGGGCTGGAGTGCAGTGGCACAATCTCAGCTCACTGTAGCCTCGACCTCCCAGGCTTAAGCAATCTTCCCACCTCAGCCTCCCCAGTAGAGGGGATTACAGGCACATGCCACCACACCCAGCTAATTTTTGTATTTTTTGTAAAGACAGGGTTTTGCCATGTTGCCCAGGCTGGTCGCGAATGCCTGAGCTCAAGTGGTCTGCCCGCTTCAACTTCCCCAAGTGCTGGAATTACAGGTGTGAGCCACCATGCCCGGCCATAATCTGTGTTTTAACAAGCCATCCAGGTGATTCTAAGGAATGCTCAAACTTGATAACCATCGCTCTAAGAGAAGGGAATAGTCCCAAACACAGTGATTAGAAACGTCTGGGACAAACATGCTTCCCCTCACCTCACATCCCTTTGGAAACCAGTTGAGAACAACTTCTAATTTTGACTATACACCAGAATCCCCCAGGGGGCCATCTCATCCTTACAAGGAGCACACCCTGATCCTCTCTCAGGGTGCACTGTCTATTCTGTTATTTACAAAAAAAAAAAAAAAAAAAAAAAAAGGCCAGGCTTGGCAGCTCATGCCCATAATCCCAGCATTTTGAGAGTCTAAGGCGGGTGGATCAACTGAGGTCAGCAGTTCGAGACCAGCCTGGCCAACATGGCAAAGCCCTATCTCTACTAAAAATACAAAAAAATTAGCCAAGCATGGTGGTGCATGCCTATAATACCAGTTACTCAGGAGGCTAAGACAGAAGAATGGCTTAAACTGAGGAGGTAGAGGTTGCAGTGACCCAAGATAGAACCACTGCACTCAAGCCTGGGTGACAGAGCCAGACCCTGTCTCAAAAAAAGAAAAAAATCCCCTGGGGAGTTTTTAGAACTTCTGATGCCCAAGCCACACCCAGACCGATGGCCACAGAATCCCTGGAGGTGGAGCCCAGCATCACTATTTTGTAAAGCTCTCCAGATGGTTCCAAAGAGCAGCCATGGTTGAGAAGCAATGACTTAGAAGAACAAGAAAAGAAAGGATAGGAAAGGTGATAGAGTCAAAAGCAGCACTTTGGGGTCAGACAGAGTGCAGATTCTGGCTTTACTATGTTCTTTGAAGCCATGGAGGTTTTATTTTTCCTTGTTGGAAATAAGGATTATAAAACCCACCCTGGCAATTATTTGGGAGAATTCACATTCCAGAAAGCAGTCATCAGTTACTAATAAAATTACTTTTAATAAAGCTGTACAAGGTTGCAAGACCTTATCTGCAATTTTGAAATCCAAAAAATTCTGAACACCAAGTTTTCTCATGACTCATTGGTCTTTGTATAGTGTTTATCTCTCTCATGCTCATCAAAACCCACTAAAATGACTTCAGAGACCATTCATAAGTCATAGCCATAGTTTTAAATACACTACACAAGTCAAAAGATACGAAGTAGCAGATATGTAGGCTGAACACGTTTAAAGATCTAATGTACAAGAGGACTCTAGTTAATAAGAGTATTATATTCAGGATTTTTGCTAAATGAGTACATTATAGCTGCTCTTGCCATGGGGGTGGGTGGGGGCAGGAAATGGGTAACTATGTGAGATGATGAATATGTTGTTTCACTATAATAACCATTTTGCTATATATATGTATCCCATAACATCATGCTGTATAGTTTTTTATTTTTATCTTTACTTTTTTTAGAGAGAGAGAGAGTCTCGCTCTAGACTCCAAGCTGGAGTGCAGTGGTGCAATCTCAGCTCACTGCAAACTCCACCTCCCGAGTTCAAGTGATTCTTCTGCCTCAGCCTCCCGAGTAACTGGGATTACAGCCATGCACTACCACGCCCAGCTAATTTTTGTATTTTCAGTAGAGACGGGGTTTCACCATGTTGATTAGGCTGGTCTAGAACTCCTGACCTCAGATGATCCACCCGCCTCAGCCTTCCAAAGTGCTGGGATTACAGGCGTGAGCTACCACACCCAGCCTCATGCTGTCTACTCTAAATATACACAATAAAATTTATTTTTTTTAAAGCATCACACGGGATATTCACTGTAACCCACTGAAATAACCTGAAAACAGTAGTCACACTCTCAATAAGCAACTTCATTTAATTCATTTCCCAGGAACCAGAAGATGCAGCTTCCTAAGCATTAAAGAAAGGAAGTGGCCCCACTGAGCAAACTCCTTGAAAATGAAAACACAAGTCGAAGTTGTGAGAAGCTGCAGAGTCACAAGGTACCCGCCTCTTCTCGAAGGTAAGCCATTTACAAGGTGGGCCTCAGCCGCAGGTGAGTCTCTTTCCCTTGCCTCCGTCTCATCTGCAATGAGAGGAGGGTTCCAACCCACCCTGTGCGCAGAATCTGCTGCTGCCCTGGCAGCCTCTGGTGGGTATGTAGGGTGAGCTCAAGAAAGTGTTGCTATGTGGGGCTTGGGGTGCAGGTCATGTGAGCACTCTTGCACGTGACCTCCAGGTGTGGTACATGGATTACATGGCCTCTTGCAGCAGATGCACATGGAGACAGTTCATCCACAGACCCAGCTTTAGTTTATGTCCCTCCCCCCTTACTAACTCTGACGGGGGGCAAACTAATTATTCTCCGAGCCCCATATCCTTGTCTGCAATAACAGCGTCAGCAATGCCAACCTCACATAGTAAGGACAGTTGTGAAACAAACATCAGTCCCTCATCGTTCTACCTGGAGACACTGCAACACTGATACTCATAAATGAAGACACTACTTGACATCACACATACTTGCAGCCTTTGTTCCCCAGAAGGTTCCAGTACATGGTGATCTCACCCTCCAGTTGGGCCCTGATATCCAGCTGCTCCTGGTACTCCTGGCTCTGCCACTCTAGGTCAGCCTAACTCTTGGACAGCTGCTCTTCTACACTGCTGATGAGGCTCTGCAGCTGGGCCAGCTCCATGCCGTAGTGGTCCTCAGCTTCACACAGGGAGTGCTACAGACAGTCCTTCTGTAATACCAAGGAAAGGGAGAAGCAAGCTAAAATTCGTGGATCTCTGCCCTCAGCCTCTTAAGATTGTGACACCCCAAGACTGTGCCAGGTCCAGGAGCAATCTAACTCCCTTTGGCTGTCTTTAGCCAGAAGAACCAATGCTGTGTTACTTGTCTTCACAGTAGACCTTTAAGATCAGAGCCCCCTCACCTGAGTTAATGTTGATTCACTCACCATCCACATCTGCAAGAAAGTGCCTCCAAAGGAGATGAAACCAAGGTTTAAGCTGACTCCCTGGTTGGTATCTAAGTGAGGCCTGTACTGACCCCAAGGAACTGCTCATGGGCAGTGGGAACCAAGCTGGGGCTCCCATACATGCAGAGGGACTCACCAGCGTGTGCTGAGCCTGAAGCTCCACCTCCAGGGTGTTCACCGAGCAGCTCAGCTCCAGGATCTCCAAATGACAGCACTGCAGCTCCTAGAGCAGGACATGGCCTGCAGGCTGATGCCTTCAGACTGGAGCACAGAGAGACACAATTACCTCCCTGCCCAGGTGGATGCCGAGTCCTCCCTACTCTGCAGCCTCCCTTCATCTGGGCTTGGAACCACTGCTCCACATCCTGGCAGCTGGTCTCCACCACGGCCTCATACTGGCCCCACATCTCCTCTGACTGCTCAGGTCCGCAGTGGGCTCAGTCCCCAACTCAATCCGGAGCTTGTCCTCTGCACTCCTCAGAGTGCAGGCTTCCTATGTACACAAAAAGAGCAGACTCTGCATTCATTCAGCCCTCCACCAAATGTCTTGCCCACCTGAAGCACAGCATGGTGACTGCTCAGGCACTTCACCCCAGGGGAGCAGCAGAGCCACCCCAGCAGCCCCCTTGTCAGCATCTCTCTCCATGTCTGAAATGATCTAATAATTATCTCTATTTTTACTTTATCACAAAGAGTGACACCCATACAGAGTTGCCTCTGTTTCAATCATTATCTGGGAAAAAAAAAAAAAACTTTTTTGAGATATGGCAGCACAAAAGAAAGAAAAGAGCATCGGCCTGGCACAGTGGCTGACCCCTGTAATCCCAGAACTTTGGAAGGCCGAGGCAGGTGGATCACCTGAGGTCAGGAGTTCAAGACCAGCCTGGCCAACATAAGTGAAACCCTGTCTCTACTAAAAATACAAAAAAATTAGCTGGGCATGGTGGCAGGTGCCTGTAATCCCAGCTAGTTCAGAAGGCTGAGGCAAGAGAATTGCCCAGGAGGCGGAGGTTGCAGTGAGCCGAGATGGCGCCATTGCACTGCAGCCTGGGTGACAAAAGCGAAACTCTGTCAAAAAAAAGAAAGAGAGAGAGAGAGAGCAGGAAGGGAAGGGAAGGGAGAGAGAAAGAGAGAGAGAGAAATAAAGAAAGAAGAAGAGAGAAAGAAAGAAAGAAAGAAGAAAAAAAGAAGAAAGAAAGAAAGAAAGAAAGAAAGAGAGAGAGAAAGAAAAGAAAGAAAGAAAGAAAGGAGGGAGGGAGAAAGAAAGAAAGAAAGAAAGAAAGAAAGAAAGAAAGAAAGAAAGAAAGAAAGAAAGAAAGAAAGAAAAGAAAAAAGGAAAGAAAAGCACATCAAAGAAACATGAATTCTAATCCTGGCTCTACCAATTGACAGTGTGACTTGGGGCAGTCACTTCCTTTCTCTGAACTTCCACGTCCTCATCTGTAAAATGACCCCTTTGTGAGTCCAAAAGTCCCTGATGTCTAATCCCTCTCTGAGTCCTTGAATCTATCATTTGAATCATTTCCCACAGATAGGAAGAGACAGGGCTCTAGAATATTTTCTCCACATCTTTTCTGTATCTATTGCTGTTTCTTCTCTCTGAGCCTCAGTTTCCTCATCCCTAAAATGAGAGAGTTGGACTGCCGATCCCTGTATGGTCTTTGCCAGCCCTGCTTTTACAAGATTTTGGGACCATGGGTCTTTAATCCAGGGCAGGGGAAAGGTCAGCCAAAGGGGAGAAGACTCTGCCTGGAGGGGAACAGCGCCCAAGTGCAAACCCAAGGAATGGATCTGTCGCTCTTCCTGGTCAACCCCCTGAAATTGGCCTCAGCCATTTCTTAGTTGCTTCTACCTGCTCACGGTTATTTTTCGAACACAGAAACTCCTCCCTTAGGGACTCTTACTGCACCTCCAGCTCTCCCTGGCGCAGACCCACATCACCCAGGAGCCTGTGCAGGCTGTTTATGTTGGTCTCCACTCATTGGCTGGGCCCAGCCAACTCTGACACTTGTCTAAACGTGGCAGATAAGCATCCAAGCCAGTGGCCTGTCTTTCAGCATGCATGCCTCTCCATTTGCTCTTCTCAGGCCAGAGGCACTTGTACATCTGCTTTGATTGGGGGGATGTTTCTATACTAAATAAAATATGAAAATACTTATTGATCTTTCACTATCCACCAGATACTTTAGTGCACAATGAAAGACAGCAATTTGACAGAGCAGGAGCATCGCCATCTTAGACAAACACCACCATTTTAAGTTTCCCTTGATTAAAAAAAAAGTAGCCTAAATCCAGCCCCAAAATGTCAGTCTAATAGCTAATGTCAGCATAAACAGAAATATTCCAACCCTACGATAACCCCCCTCCAACCAGAAACATGCCAACCCCAAGATAGCTTCCCCTCTAACCAAAGACATTCCAACCCCACAATAAATTTTTCCTCACGTAGAAACATTCCAAACCTATGATAAGCTCCCAGCTTCCTAAACCCTTAAATATCCTTAGTCTGTAAGAGAGAACACTCCTAACTGAAATCAGCCAGAAGCCTCTCTCAGGTTTATTCTCCAAAATAAACCTGTCTTTGACTGTTGAGCCACTTTTCATGTTTCTTTCTTCTTTCTTTAACTCTTACACAATTAATACTACATGCTTAGGTAGAATGTGGTTTGGGTCTCAATGCCATCCTATGCCAGGTGTACCTTTGAGCAAGTTTCTTTCTCTGAGCCTCAACATCCTCATCTGTAAAATGAGGGTAACAATTCTTAGCTCACAAGGTTGTTGTGAAGATGGAATAAACTACATTCAGCACTTTGGTGTAGTCTTAAACATTGTGAACACTCACTAATGCCACTGTGACTGTTGAGACCTAACCCTGTCCTTCAGGAGCTGACTTAATTCTTGATTAGGGCTCAATCTTAATCAAACACATCTTAAATTACCCCTAAAATTCTTTGGGACTGAATCTTTTTATTAATACTTCTTAGGTTGGTGGAAACATTTCCTTGGAGGGATTCTTTTCAAAGGCTGCCCCTCCTTTGCTTCCTCCACAGAGACCTGTACCTGACACGAAAGAGATGGACAGAGTACCAGGGAGCAGCAGTTCCCAGCTCCTGTCAGACTCTCTCTGTCCTAAAGTTGTCACAGCTATTTTCACATTGTCCACCTGGACAGCCAACCAAGCATTCCCTACCCTCCTGGGTGAGATCTGAGAATGAGAAACACCATGCTTCACAAGGATGCTCTCCATGGAATTCTCCCCAGGCCCTAAAATGAATGAAAAAAAATGTGATCTGAGCCACATGGGGACGTTTCCATCTTTCCTTATGGTGGATTTTTAAGCATCAAGTATCCAAGGGTTTGCTCCCATCTGTAACGAAACTAGCTGCGCTCTGGGATACAGATGGGGTTTCACTTCTCACTCTACTGTGGGCTCCATTGGTCAGGTCTGGGCAGCAGTGAGGGGGTTGAAGGGATAGCCCCTTGGACTGAAACCCAGCTCTGCACAGCCAAGACATGCTTCTGGTTCACTCACCCTCCCTTTTTCTCCTCATCCACTTCCTCAAAGGCACCAACACAGTGGTTAAGTGGACCTGTGTCACGCAGCTTGGCAGTTTACCAGCTCTGAGACTTTAGGCATAGCTTCTAACCCCCTGAAGCTTAAAATCTTCCCATCTGTAAAATGGAAAACGTGATTCTATCTGCTTCATCAAATCCTTGTAAGGATTAAATGCAACCAAGCATATATGTTTAGCAAAGCTTCTGACATCTAGTGAGCTCTTAATAAAGGTGCTCTATTCTTTTTAGATAAAATAGAAATAATAATATCCACCTTAGAGGATTGCTGAAATGGTTCAAAGAAAAAAGGTATGTGAAAATTCCCAGTTCAGGTTTGACATTTAGTAGAATCAAGGATGATTTCAGAAATATTATAACCACTGTTGGCAGCAATCTAAAAGGAGATGTGGAAACGGCCACAGAGACAGACTGCTACATCCCAGCTGAATATCAGCACTTAATGGAAAATACTAAATAAATGTGATTAATTTTTTAAAAATGAAGTTAGGTTGTTCATCCTTTCCACCATCTTGTACAGAACAGGAACTCCAAAACAAATAGAAAGATGAGAATGCCACAAGAGACGTTCAGATATGCGGCTGTGGGTTATTCCATGGAAGGCAAAATCCATCCCAGGGGGATTAGCTTCTAGAGAGGATTCCAGGAGGTGGGGAATATCACCTGGGTTTTGAAGCCCAACTAGAATTTGGCCATGCAAAGATGAGAAAGAAAGCACTACACATGTGAACAAACATTTTGTGAGTGACAACGCAGTTTGACAGAAGCATAGGGCAAGTGACAAAGCAGTTTGATAGAAGCACAGGATGTTTGCAGAAGATTAGAAAGAGGTAAGCTACAAAAAAAAGTGAGGCTGAGAACATGGCAGCCTTGAATGCCAGGCTAAAGAGCTGAGGCTTCATTTTGTAGGCACTGTCTGCTCCCCAGCACCCAGCGATGCAATCACTCATTGCTGGTGCTCAATAACTAGTGAGTGAATGGTGGCATGTCCTTAAATAAGGCAGGATCTGGATTGTGAAGAAATAAATCCATATCCCACTCACAGTCCTCTCATTGCAGACATCAGCAATGATGCTTGTTGAATGGAACTGGTTGTAGAACCAAGTGGTTGGGCCCTTGACATCACAGTTTATTTCTGGCACCTTCAATCCATCTTTATGAACATTCATGGACTGTCATCCCCCCAGGCAACCCCTCCAATTCTCCCATCACCAATCCTCAGCCCTCTCTTTCCATGCCACTGACACCAGAGCTCAAGGCCTCATCTTACTTTTTGTTGGAGCTCCTTAATGGTCTCAAAGTGTGAGCAGTAATTGGAGCATATGTCAGGGCACTGCCGTTTGCTCCACTGCTGGCTCTCAGCACCACCCCTGCTTCTCATTCTCCTGCTCCAACTGCTGCAACTTCTGCAAGCAGTTGGCCAGGCACTCACTTAAGAACTGCATGATCCCTTTCCCACTGCTGCTGAGGATGTCTTCACTGAACCAGCCACAGGTGCCCATACTGGCAGGGATGTTCCTGGTCCCTGGCAGAGGACAGGCAGAGTGACTGCTGGCAGGGCCAGGCTGGACTGACTGTGAGCCACAGGTTCTAAGGAGATGGCTACTAGGTTGGTGACTCTCTTACAGGTGGGCCCCAGTCTTAATACTGGGATCTACAGACATTGGGTACAGAGTTTCTAGAGTGGTTTCTGGCCACAGCCTGTCTGGAGCAAGGAGGCTTCAAATGGCTCTTGCCAAAGCTTGAGGAGCAGGGATTTCTGCTTTAACTAGAAGCCATGGTCCTAGACAGTTGAGTTGCAGATTGGTGACAAGGGCCAGGTGCTCAGGTGTGAGTGTTTCCTCACCCAGAGCTTTTATTCACCTGCCATAGGAGCAGATGTGATACACAAGCTTTCCCCCAATGAATCCTCATTTGTTCTGCCATCAGAACAACCCATCAGCAGTTATTCAGTCCTCAGAAGTAGCTCCCCACTTTATGAAAGAAAGGGCTGACTTTGGACTTCTTGTTACTGCCTTCTGTTGTGAAAAGAAATGTTAAATGTTTTCTCTTTAGAGATGCCCCATTGAAAAGTTAGACTTTGTTCCTTGAGTGACTATCTGGCCTCTCTCTAGGAATGGCATTGGCTCTAAGATGAATCGTCCTCTCCACTGACCTTCAATACCCAAAAAAGTAAAATTCTCTGATAAGAGCCTCAGGAATCCCTAAAGAGCAATAGAGCAAAGACTGCTAAGTTATTAGAACTAAAGAAAACTTCCAAGTACTAATTCAACCTTTCGTGCTTCAGAGACCAGAGAAGGACAGTGAGCTCCCCAGGGATGCCAAGCAAGTCAGATACAGAGCCAGGACTGGTCCCAGGGCCCCTAGCACATTCTGTTTCCTCTGCACCAAGATGGACAAGCTTTTTCTGTTAAAAAGACAGATGCTAAATATTTTAGGCTTTGCAAGTCGTATACTCTCTTTGTACTGCAACTACTTAGCTCTGCCATTGTAGCACAAAGCAGACATAGACAACAGGGAAATGAATGGGTGTGGCTATGCTCCAATAAAACTTGATTTACCAAAACAAGTAGCAGTGGGGTTTGACCTGTGAGCTGTAGTTGCCATCCCTGCTTCACACAGCACAGTGAATGAGGCTTAAAAATTGGACCCCTTAAGCATGTGGGAGACCTTCAGTCCGCTCTGGAGCCAGAGGGCTGGGCAGAGGGAGGGCACCTGGGAATGGATGGTGAACTCCAGGACTGGACGCTGAGCCTCAGACACCAGGGCCTTCACTCTACCAGGGCATTTACACCAAGACTGGAAGTTCATCCAATGCTCTTAGAGCAAAGCAAAGCTACCCATATGTTGTTGTTGCTGCTGCTGCTGCTGCTGTTGTTGTTTCTGAAACTTGGGCTTCAGAATGGCTCCAAAATATGACTCAGCTGCCATTGTAATTGGGGAAAGTCAGAAGAGAAGAGAAATTTGTTGCCAAAGCATGTTTTCTTTACTCAACATTCATCAGGCACCTACAATATGCCAGGCATCATGACAGGCATTTTTATATGTACTATATCCCAACAACTCTGTGAAAAAGGTAGAATTACTCCCATTTCTAAAGGGGAGAAGACTGAGATGCATAGAGATTAAGAGTTCTGCCAAAATCACACAGCACATTAGCAGCAGAACTGGGGGTCTAGCCCAGTTTTTCTGAAGCCAAAGGCACTGATCTTCTCCATTAATCCTAGATGCTCATTGGTGACTTTGTTTACATATTATGATTAAGGGACACTGCTATTTAAATACAAATTTGTCTTGATCAGTTGGGCAAAAAGATAGACATCAAATGATCTTAGGAACTTTCTGTTTAGCCGAATTGATATCATTGCATTCAAGTGTTACATTTTATGAAATACAGGCCGGGTGCAGTGGCTCACGCCTGTAATCCCAGCAGTTTGGAAGGCCAAGGTGGGTGAATCACCTGAGGTCAAGAGTTCGAGACCAGCCTGGCCAACATGGTGAAACCCCATTTCTACTAAAAATACAAAAATTAGCCAGGCATGGTGGCATGTGCCTGTGGTCCTAGCTACTCAGGAGGCTGAGGCACAAGAATCACTTGAACCCAGGAGGCAGAGGTTGCAGTGAGCCAAGATCATGCCACTGCACTCCAGCCTGGGCTACGGGGCGAGACTCTCTCTCCAAAAGAAAAAAAAATTATGAAATACAAAAAGAATATTGTTTTATTATTAATGATTTTCCTGGTTATACCCTGGAAGAGGCATATTCTTTTTTTGATCACTCTCTAAAAGGTTTCCTAATATAGTGGTGAAGAAAGATTCAGTCAGTGCAATTCAGAGTCCACACACAGCCCCAACTCCCAGATGCCAAACCCAACTCCTGGATCTTTCGGGAAGCTGTCGCCCTCTGGCCAGTCTTCCTTGAATGGCAGTTCTGCCCATGGGCCCTCACTCTCACCCCCAGAAGAGGGTGCTTTGCACTAGGGCAGTGAGCAGCAGGGGTGAGGCCCAAACTCTTGAATAGCCTTGGGGAAAGTGGTGTCTTTAAAAAGCACACCCTTTTCTTTTCCAATCCCGCTCAGAGAGGATCCCTGATACCTGTGAGGGTTTCTCCAAAACATCAAATATGACAGAGGTTTTATGACTTGACCAGGGTCCTGCCTACATTTCCCTATAAACTCTTCCCCTATAAAGAGTTAATTAGATGCAAATGCTTTGATATGAGGAGAGAGTTCCTCTGAGAATCTCCATGAGTGGTACACTGAGTCCAGTTCCCAGGAGATTCCGGTGCTGGTGGGGGATAAATATCTCCCAAAGTCTATGCCCACGGCTTCTTCATCCATCAAATAAGAGACAGGCTAGGCAGGAGGGTAGCTCGTGACACCTCTGGCTTGAAGTACCATCCAGACACAGAAGATGATGGGCCTCACTTCTAGCAGAGGAGGGTACTCCTGGCCCTGGGCTGTGGGGCTTGGTTTCATATAAAAAGCTTTAACAGTCATCTTGGGAGTCAGACAGGTCTTGGCAAGTGGGAGAGACACACAGGTGTGGGAATGGGGACCGAGTTGGACTGAAACAATATGCACTGGGGAAACGGAGACTCTGGAAGTCCCCAGGGGGTCCAGGGTCCAGGACTTCTGGCCCACAACTCCTGTGCAATCATTCCTGCTGAGGCTCTGGGCTGCAGCTCAAGGTCTTTGCTCTTACTGAGCCCAGTGCTCAAAGAAAGAGGAGATGCTGAGTCTGGTAGTTGCTAGCGATGCTTTTTAAGAGAACTATATTCCCAGGAAGAAGTTTCAGCTTCTCAGAGAAAATGTCTCCCTTCTTTGGGAAATGAAAGAAAAGGAGAGGGGAAATATGTATTAGCCTGAAATAATAATAAACCTAGGGTGCTTGGAGAAAGCATAAAGTGCTTGGAGAGACCTAAGAGGCTTGGCGTCAAAACCCTTGGCTTCAATTTCCACCTGTTGGTTGTGTCTGTGAGCACATCTGTCCACCTCCCTGGGTCTGAGATGACTCTTCTGTAAAACTGGGAAAGCTGAGCCAGATCATCTGGAAGGCTCCTTCTAGTTCTGACAGTCTAAGACAGCTCTGTCCAGTAGAACTTTCTGCAGTGTTGGAAATAGTCCATGTCTGTGTTGTCTTATTTACTACCACTTAGCCACGTGTGACGAGTGCAACTCAGTGCAATTCAGTATATGAAACATTCATATACCGAATGTTTCAGTATATGCAGCCACATGTCGTTATGAACTACCATATTGGACAGAACAGGTCTAGGATTATAGAACCAAAGCTTTGGTCTGTTCTGTGTGTTGTTTATCAAGCTGAGCACATTCCAGAAAAGTTTTGCACCGGGGTTGAAATTAAAGATTGCTGGTTTGCACGCAGTTATGAGAAAATTCAATTAGCCAGAACCCCTCTCTCTTGGCATTTCAGCTCCTTGAAATTTTACCCATCCATCAACCAGGAACCACAGCTTGCTAAGCAGTATGTTCATGTCCCTGCTGTCAGGCTAATGACCTTGTCTGCCAGGGATGCCTGCAGGATCATGTCTGGAGAGCAGCCTGCAGGCAGCTTCAGGATCCAATCCATTTTTCATCATTTCTTGGCAAGGCCAGAGGGAGGATACTTAATAGAAACATCATCTCAGCTCATTAAGGAAGAACTGTGTGTTTGGAGGGTGAGGTTCAGAAAGGTGTTCAAGATTCCTGTCCCCAGCTCTCTCCTCTTTACCTGCCATGGCCAATCCATTGCCAAGTCAGGTCCATCACAGTGTCTCTTAGATTGATTCCTTATTTTTCCATGGTCCCTGACATTGTCTTGCCTGAGACCCTGTTAGCTTCTTCCACAGCCTAACCCCTCCTCTTAGCTATCCTGTCTGTGTTACTTGGTGATACTTTCTAAGATGCCACTCAAGTCATGTCATCTTTGGGCTCAAATCCTGCAGCAGCCCTCCCATTGCCTTCAGGATAGAGTCCAGAATCCAGGCTTTTTGTGGGGTACCCAAGGCCCCCCTACTCTCTGATGCCTTTCTACCATTTGAGCTTCATCCCCATCAGCCTCTCACAGGAACTCACTGCTCCAGCCAGCAAGACCCCTTGAGGCCTTCCAAGCATGACCCCCTGCTCTCCTGAAGATCCCCACACACTTACTTGCCTATCTGGTGCCCTGTAGACCTTCTATTCAACCTCCAAGACCTATTTCAAACGCCACCAGCTACAAGAAGCCTTTCAGATCCTCTCAGCTTAAGACTTTCTCCAAATCTTGACTAGTGTTTACTCTTTCTGGGTAGGAATTTGGCAGTTAGAATGGTTAAAATAACACTGCTGTGAAGCTAGACTTGGGTTTAAGTCTTTGTCCTTGCATGTAACCTTCAACAACTAACTTGACCACTCTATGCCTCCATTTCCATGTCTAAAATGGATACCATGTGTACCTTACAAGGTGGTCATGAAAACTGCATAAGTTAATTTATGTAACATGCTCCACACAGTACTCGGTGCATTATAAGTGCTCAAGAATTAGTAACCTTTGCCATTATTACTATTATTACTGTTACTATTATATGGCCCTTATGAAGAAAGGAGTGGCATCTTATGCACATGGGTCTTAGCTCCTCCTGTAATTACAAGTGTTTGAATGGTGGTGATCACTTGCATTTTTAATACCCCCTGCACCCAGCTGTAGTTTGCAAATAGTGAGGACTGTGAATGCGAATCGGTTGAGCATCTCTAGAGCCCAAAGGCCTCGATTTCAGTCCTGGGTCTGCCACTAACAAGCTGTGTGACTTTGGGCAAGTTTCTTAACTTCTCTGGGCCTCAGTTTCCTCATTTACAAAATGGATGCAATAATGGCATATTTTTCACGGATTGTTGCAAGGATTAAATGAAGCATTACTAACAATGTGTCTGGGAACTCTTCCTTGGATTAGCCAGCCTCTAATGCAGAACCTGCACCCAGTAGCTGCTCAGTGAAGATATTTTGAAAGAATGAATGATCACATTGTACCAGCTGTAATGAGATTTAGGGGTGGGTTTATTATGATATGATTCTCAATTACAGTAATTTGGCCTAGGTTTCTGGCATAATTATCTCCCTCCTCTCTTTATTCTTTTATTACTTGGCTCTAGAGTAATTGATTAGTTTTAACTGGTTTATGGCATGCGGGCCCTTTTAGTGAACACCTCTCAAGCCTCTATGGAAGCAGAAGGAGCATAAAAATAAATACAGAATTTGCCCACGTTCCTCTTAAGCCCAATTGAGTAGGATTGGCTTGTGGATGCAGCAGCGTAAGTGACAAACAGAGACAGACATGTTTGCAAGGCCACTGAGTACAGCTCTATTTGCCAGTTAACTAAGAACACACGCTCTTTGAGGCAGCACAGACAACCAGAAACATCACCAAAGAGAACAGTTCACCCATGGAAAAAAGAGGCAGTTTTGAAGTGATGAGGGCTTAAGTATCCCCTGGAGTATCAGAGCTTGTTGCAGGTGATCCACGGTCCTGCTCAGGGTCTTCCTTGCTGACCGGGGCTGGCCCTGCTCTTCTGGTGGCCACTGAATACCAGGCTGCCCAGCCCCAGGCCCTCCAGGATCCACTGGCACAAAGGGACTTCAGTAGCGGCCCTGGGGGCAGGGTGAGCAAGGCATGCCAACAGTGCGTGGCACACAGACGGTGCGGGGCACGCATGGGGAGGGCACACAGGTGGTGCAGGAAGGAGTGGAGCATGGGTTACAGGGCAGCCTGCAGGAGAAAGTCAAAGAGAAACAGGATTAGTAGAGAAGGCCCACTCGGCCACAGGTCCTGCCAATTCTCCCCTCGGATGCCTCTCAACCCCATCTTCCGTGCTTTCTCTGCCCAGCCTCCCTGGTCCCAACCTCCGCCATCTTTGCCTGAGTCACCTCATGGCCTCCTAACTGATCTCCCCAACCCCACTTGGGCCCCTCCTAACCACTGTCCACTTAGTAGCCAGAGCAATCTTCTACAGTCACAAATCCAATTATGTCCCTCCCCTCCCTAAAACCTTCAGTGGCTTCCATTTGAGCTCAGGATGAAAAGCAGCTTCCTCTGGAAGCCATCATTCTCAGCAAACTAACACAGGAACAGAAAACCAAACACTGCATGTTCTCACTCATAAGTGAGAGTTGAACAATGAGAACACATGGACACAGGGAGGGGAACATCATATACTGGGGCCTGTCGAGAGGTGAGGGGAGCAGGGAGGGAGAAAATTAAAACAAATATCTAATGCATGCAGGGCTTAAAACCTAGATGACGGGTTGATAGGCAACAAACCACCACCATGGCACATGTACACCTATGTAACAAACCTGCACGTTCTGCACATGTATCCCAGAAGTTAAAGTAAAATAAAATAAAATAAAGAAAAGCAGCTTCCTTAATAGGACCTGCATGATCCTGCTCCCACCTCTTGCCCCAGCCTCACCTGATAGCTCCATTGCTCTGGGAGCTGCAGGTACTCTGACCTTCTTCCAGCTCCTGCAGGGACTGTACTGCTCAGGCCACAGGGCTTGTGCCCTGTGCCGTACATCTCTGGAACCCTCTTCCCTCTCCACTCACCTACATTTCTTCTCTTGTTTAAGAGCTCAACTCAACTCTCACGTCCTCCTTGAAGCCTCCCCCACCTCTCTGAGACAAAGCCCCCATGGTACATGTATCTCCTTTCATCGTGAGTAGTAATCATTCTATTATGGTCTGTCTCCCCGGCCAAGCAGTGAGGCCAGCAGCCACAGACCCATGCCCACCCTGCATACCTCACATAGAATAGGCACCTAATAAGAATATTTGGATCAGACAAAACAATAAATGAATGAAGAATTAATACATGGTGAAAGGAAAAAGGATGATCTCAGAGACTGACAGGCATGCACTCAAAACCAGGAACAACACACTGGATGCTGGATGGAAACCCAGTAGCTCAGAGAACCAATGGGAGGCCTGAGGATCATGTGCAACCTGAAATGTGTTCCATTTGCCTGGCACTATATATTTTCTTTAATTTTTTGAAAATACTTAAGAATCAGGAGAATTTAACATTTTTAAAAACCCAGATTCTCAGCTTCCCTGGAACTATTGGAAGATCAGCAATATTGGACCTGCTTCTCACACAGTAGAAGTGGCCCTGAGGGCATGCCATTGCCTGGATTGGACAAGGCAAGAGCTTTCTGCTTTTCTACCATCTCCGTATGACCCACGTCATTCATGCATGTTAATGGCCTGGTCCTTGCAAATGTTTGACACAACACTTGCCCTGAAGTTATAGATTCTGAATGATGGAGAAGCAATGCCAAATGCGGAATAAGAAACAGCTACAACAGTCGTCAGCCCACTGGGTGTCCATGGCCCAGAGGTACCCTGCATTCAGACAGCCACCAAGTCCTGCTGATTCTACCTGCACAGTGTCTAGAGCTGATGCCTCTGCTGCCCTAACTCAGGCCCTCCCTATTGCTTACCTAGGCTGTGGCCAGGGCCTCCTGGACAGTTTCCCTGCCTGGTTCCCCTCCCTCTACTCAGTTCTTCCTGCTGCTATCAGGGCCATCTTCCTGAAGAACAGCTTTGAGCTTGAGAGACATTTACTGAGCATCTACTATGTGCCACGTACAGGGAATAAAATTGTATTATAATGTCTCTGCATTCTAGATGTTTACCATCTAGTGGAGAAGACACACAGTAAATTCTCTCATTTCCTCCTCAAAACAATTTCCACTCACCTATAAATTAAAGCCCTCCCTTCCCAGTATGACCCGTGTTGTTCTCCATAAATGGGCCCCGGCTGATCTTTCCTGTCCTGCTCCCCACCAGGGCTCAATTACACAAGGCTACCTATTGTCCTGCTGACATGCCAAAATCTCCGTTCTGAGAGGAATGGAGCTATGAGGTGAGGCTGGGGTAAGAGGTGGGAGCAGGATTGTGTAGGTACTATTAATAAAGCTGCTTTTCATCCTAAGCTCTGGACAGGCCATGACCTCCAGTCACCTGTCTGCCTATCTCCCTAAACATATGGAAATGACAGGAGGGCAAATGCCCTGTCTTCCTCTATCTTGGTGTCCTCCATAGCACCTGCCCCATGGTGGGCACTTAGAAGGAGCTTGCCAGCTTGGAATGAGATAGAATGGTCTCCGAGGGGCTTGGTTCAGGATGGCAGCATGAACACCACTGCCTGACTTCCTTCAGAGCATACCAGCTTCTTAATGGCTCCATAGTCAGGACAGGGTTCTAAGCTGATGGTCCCTCAAGGGTAGATCCAGTTGCTTCCTATAACCTCCCAGAATCCCTGCCCACGTCTCTCTAAGCCTCAGCTGGGCCTGCGTACTTGCAGTCCTCGTTCTCCAGCAGGCTCCGGTACGTGTTGATCTCGCCCTCCAGCCGGGCCCGGACGTCCAGCAGCACCTGGTACTCCTGGTTCTGCCGCTCCAGGTCAGCCCGGATCTCAGCCAGCTGGGCCTCAACGTTGGTGATCATGCACTGCATCTGGGCCAGCTGGGAGCTGTAGCGGGCCTCACTCTCCGTCAGCGTGTTTTCCAGGGAGTCCCTCTAAGGCAAAGGAAGACATAACCATGAGGAAGGGAGCTGTTTACCATGGCCTGCTTCAGAAAGAACCAAGAAGAGCCAAATCTCCCTTTGATGCTGGAAATGAGCCCTCCCTACACCAGTCACTTTGGAAACGGAAGCCCAGAAAGGTCAAATGACTTGTTCAAGGGTAAACAGCTGGTACATTATGGAACCACAGTTTCTGTTCGTAAATCTGATCCTAAATCCCTCCTTTCTTCTGCAACCTTTGTCTGCCTTCAGGATTGGATCTGAGATTTCCCAAGTACCTCCCTGCCGGCATCATTTAGAACAGGGGTTTTCAAACCTGGCTGCACATTAGCGCCACATGGGAGCCCTCAAAAAATACCCATGGCTGGCCGGTCACAGTAGCTCATGCCTGTAATCCCAGCACTCTGGGAGGCCAAGGCAGGTGGATCACCTGAGGTCAGGAGTTCGAGACCAGCCTGGCCAACATGGTGAAACCCCCACTCTACTAAAAATACAAACATTAGCAGGGCATAGTGGTGCACACCTGTAATCCCAGCTACTTGGGAGGCTGAGGCAGGAAAATCACTTGAACCCAGCGGGGGCAGAGGTTGCAGGGAGCTGAGATCATGCCACTGCTCTCCAGCCTGGGCAACAGAGTGAGACTCCATCTCAAAAAAAAAAAAATAGCTGTGATCAGGTCCCACCTCCAGAGACTCTGGTTCAGTTGGTCCAGAAAAGAACCTGGGCATCAGGATGGGTGATATTGAGATCCATAGGTTTGGAAGGGCAGGCTAAGCACAGAACAAGCCTTCTTGTGGAGTTGAGTTTGACAGTGTCCACCTAACCCATGTCTGATTTGAAACATCCCTTTTTTATCTCTGAGCTGGATCTCGGGAGAAACCTCCCTCCGGGAAAAGTCAACAGGATGAGCATCCATGGTGGCTGAAATCTGAGCCTCCTCTTCCTCTTTCCTGGGGACCTGCACCTATGCTCAGTACCGCCTAGGATCCGGAGGGATGGGTGCCCACCCAGCAGCTCTCACCAGGCTGTGCTGGGCCTGCAGCTCGATCTCCAGCGTGTTGACCGTGCGTCTCAGGTCAATGATGTCTGACTGGTAGTTCTGAAGCTGCTCAGAGCTTGTGGCCACCTGTTGGTTAAGCTCCTCCATCTGCAGTTGGGGGAAGGAGAAGGCTAGAGTCCCTTCCTAGGGATATGGAGGAGGCCATCCCCACCGTGAGAGGCCCACCTGCATATTGAACCATTCCTCCACGTCCCTGCGGTTGGCCTCCACCATGGCCTCGTACTGACACCGCATCTCCTCCAGCACCCTGGTCAGGTCCACCGGGGGTGCAGCGTCCACCTCGATGTTAAGGCGGTCCCCAAGCTGGCATCGAAGGGAACCGACTTCCTGAAAAGGCACAAGACCTCCAGAAAAATGTGACAATGATAGGATCCTGGCTCACCTCCCCAGGGAGACATGAAAAGATGCAACAAAAGTTGCTAAAGATTGAAACATTAGATGGCCCCTAAGGACTGCAGTCCACTCAGCAGCATCCCAGTGCTCTTCAAACTCCAGCTGAATACCCCTGCGATGGGAACCTCACTGCAACACAACACTTCCTATCACTTTGGCAGAAGCCAAGAGCAGCACCCTGGTTTGTTTGATGCATTTGGGCTAAAATGGGAAACCGGTACCCCTAGTATTCCCAGTCTCCCTCCCCACCTGTGTTCATCCTGGGAGGAGGGTAGCAGGAGCCTGGCTTGACTAGTTAAAGGCCCGAGTTAGGGCAGCTGCCTCCCAGGCTTGGCTGCCAAAGAGGGAAAGTTGTCACTGAGTCTGCCAGGATGTGTGATAACTTCTCATTAGTGGCTTCTTGGTGCCGTTCCCAGTTCTCTGATTTGAGCAAGATGAGTCAGGAGCCCGAGGGTGCTCGGTGAGTACGTGGTGACTGATTGTTACTTTACACTTAAGCCTGAGGAAACCCAGCCAAGATTCAGAGGCACTTGTTCATTCAAATCCCAAGTCAAGAGGTTGAGAGTCAACCAGGGAGGGGGGAAAAACACCATGGCTCAGGTGGGCTTGGCAGCACACAGGTGCCCAAAGCAGAGGGCTTCCCCTCCAAGAAACTTCAGGAGATAAGGAAAAATCAGAAAGTAAAGGGCTTCAGCTTGAGCATTTTATATGCAAACAGAAGGGAGGACAAAATAAGGATAGGGGCAAAAAGAGGAGACCACTGCAGCTGTACTCCCTCTCAGAAGAGATGGGACTGCTTCTGAGAGTTGAGCCAGGCAGAGATGGACAGGCCATTCAACGTGAGATCTGGAACATAACTCACCCCGGCACCACTGCACCACTCTACCTCTGCTGTGTGGCTCTCGAGAGAAAAAAATGCAGTTGCCACTAGTGAGTGCTTGGCAGTCACACTAGCCCAGGAAATGCAGAAGGGAAGGGGGCTACACTTCTGAGAGTTGACCAAGTGGCAGGTGTTTCATACCCATGCCTTGGGGATTTCCATGATCCATATCCTGTCCATTAAATCCTCACAATAACCCTGCGTGATCATGTTGTCCCCATTTTACAGAAGAGGAGGCTCAGGAAGATTCCATAAATTGGGCAAAGTCACTAAAACAACATGTGGCAGGCTTGGGAATTTCAACCCACGCCTATCCAACCCCATACCCCACGTTCCTCCCCCTCTGCTTCCCGGGGCCACTTCAGCGGGACTTCCAGCCTCACCTCCTCATGGTTCTTTTTGAGGCACATCAGCTCCTCCTTCAGGGACTCAACCTGGGCCTCCAGGTCAGCCTTGCACAGAGTGAGATCATCCAGGATCCTGCGCAGGCCATTGATGTCGGCCTCCACCAGCTGCCGCATGGCCAGCTCTGCCTCGTACCTGCACAAGGACAGGGTCAGCAACCAAGGGTGAAACAGAATGCAGAACTCAGGGAAGGCCTTAAACTGCCGGCACTTTCCAACCCTCCGTGAAACTAATGGAAAGTTGCCCCAGAGCCTATGAGGACAGGTCCTCCCCAGCTCCAGCCCCCCGACTGAACTCACTTGGCCCTGAAGTCATCGGCAGCCAGTTTGGCATTATCAATGTTCACAACCATCCTGGCATTCTCTGCCTTGGTACACAGAATCTGTAGGCCAAGGCACATGGAGAGGGTTAGTTCAGGATGAGACGAAGCAAGAAGAACCCAAATGAAGAGAAGACAGCAGCAAAGGTAGGATCCAGCAGCCCTGCAGCCATCCCTGCAGAAGGTCCTCTTCCCTGGAACTCTGGGAGATATTTAGCGAATTGCTAGTCCTTGGAGAACTTGAGATGTATTTTTTAAGAACCTGAAGCTTCGTAAATTCAAATTCCCCATTTTGGATGTGCCAAGCAATGTGGAAGGGAAGAATCTCATGTCTGAAGTCACTCATGTGACAGTTAGAAGGGTCTTTGACATTTACTGAAAACTTACCGTGGACCAGGGGCTGTTCCAAGCACTTGACCTGCATCATCTCATCAAATCCTTTTGACAACCCCATTAGATAACGACCATTATTATCCCTGTTTTACAGATGAGAAAACTGAGGCCTGGGGAAGGGATGGGACCCCCAAAGTCATGCAATGAGGCAATGGTAGAACTGAGACTAGATCCCAGATCTCTCCACATGAAAGCCTCAGGCTGAGTGCTCAAATTATAAAATAACCCTATGCCCTAGGGAAGTCTCTTTGTCCTGAACATAGCTTAATAAGCTAACGAGATTCCAATCTGGAATGCCAGCTAGTCCAGTTCCCTTCCCAGAGAGCCTATTCACCTCACCGCTGCCCTCACCTTCTGCTGGAGCTCCTCAATGGTCCTGAAATGAGACTGGTAGTCAGGAGTCATGGTGAGCACCTGGGAGTGAGAGGCCTCTTGGATCCTGCTCTCCAGCTCCGCATTCTCCTGCTCCAGCTGCCGCACCCTCGTCAGGTAGCTGGCCAGGCGGTCGTTAAGGAACTGCATGGTTTCCTTCTCATTGCCATTGAAGGCCCCTTCGCTGTACCAGCTGCCGGGGCCCATGGAGCCGGAGATGCCACTGGCTGCCTGGCAGGAACTGGATAGATAGGTTTTGGAGAGGCAGCTGGCTGGCCGGAAGGTGGTGGGCAGGCAGACCGAAGGCAGGCATGCCATGGGCTGGCAGACATAGCCCAGGCACAGCTCAGGCCGGCAGTTCACGCCGCTGGAACAGACCGAGGCAGGCCGGGGGCAGCTCTTGAGAGAGGCTTGCAAGTTGTTGGTGACACAGCAGGAGGATGTCATGTTGGAGAGGCCCTTTCTCCTCAGCCACAGCTACCTGGATGTCTACAGACCCCATGCCGCCCGGGCCATTTTATGCCCTTGCAGTGAGGGGGCTCATGATAGAAATTCATCATTGGGTGGTGTTGATGTTCACACCCAGCCCCAGAGGAAGCTGCTAATTAATTTGTAATTTGGTTTCCAATAAAAGAGGCCAAACTTATCATTTGGCTAAAGCAGGAGTCTGGGTTCCTGTCATTGATCACCATGAGAGAGCTTCAGGACACATCTTCAAAGGGTCAGCCGCATGCCTGGGCCCTCATTACTAGGGCAGGCCCTCCAGGAGACTGCCACAACCCAGCCTGTGCCTCCACTGGCTTTGCCCACTGCACCCCCGCCTGCTCTAGCCCTGAGAAGCCTGCAGGTCTGTGCAGCAGTGGCTGCCTCTTTTAATGAAAGCATTCCCCATGGGAAGAGGCCTGGCTATTTAACAAGGAAATGTGTGGGTGGTAGAAACTGCTCCGATGCTGGCAGCGGCATAAATCCAGCAGAAAGGAACAGGAACCTCAGAGGCTTCCTAACAGACATCATCTTCCTGCCAAGGGGAAGAAAATAATATCAGTGGGGAGAGAATGAACTCAAGACATAGGCAGCATCACTTCTCAGCCTTTTGGCTAAGATCAAGTGTGGTATCTGTTCTTATCGTCTTAATATCTGATACGTCCTCCATCTGAGGACAACATATTAAATGGATTTTGGGAGCAGGGAGATGGAATAAGAGCTTGCTCTGTTCACTCTACATGTTGACCTGGTATTGCAGTACCTCCAGGAATGCTGCACCCCTTCAAAAGGCAAAAAAAAAAAAAAAAAAAAGACCCAAACAGAAGCCTAAGAATCAGGTACATCTTTCCAGTTGGTCTCTTCCTCTTGGAAAAGTCCATATCATGAACATCTCCAGGTGGCAGCTGCTCTGTCTTGACCCCCTCTGGACCATCCATTCAATTATCACTGCACCATATACACAATTGTCAAGTGCTCAATAATTGTTTGTTGAACAGACTGAGAATAGTTGGAACAGGTTCTACTTTTACTTTCTGTTGTGGCAGATGGGGAAGGCTCACTTCAGGATCTCAGACTATGGAAGCAGTGTGAATCCACTCCCTTGGGAAAGGATGTTCTATAGCCCTGGAATGAGCTAAGCCAGGAGACAGGGAGCATATTTGCCCAACTATAGAAGCCCTGGGCATTCACTTAAGAAGGCAACATGCTAGAGCAGTGGTTTTCAGTCCTGGCTGCAAAAGCTGTGAGCTTCACATTTAGTATGTGTGTGCTATATAGCCACTTTTTTATTCAGTAATCTTCTTGATATAATTTTGGGGTATAAGTACTTGCCTTATGTTTCACATATTCCCAGAAATGTCAGTACAAGAACAGGAAAGGGAAAATGCCACCCAGCTCATTCATTGCATAAGAAAAGGAGAGCGTAGATATACTGCCTCTGACTTGCCATTTGGCCTTGGGAAAGTAATTTTGTCTCTCCAGACCTCAGTTTCTTCATGCCAATCGAGGGGGTCAGATCAAATACTCTCACAATTTGATTCTCTGCAACAACTACAAATTCCAGTACCTTGTCTGGATTACCTATTTAGAGAAGATTATAGCATCAGATGGAAGGAGGTGTGATGGCAATACCAACTACAAGGGATGAGACTCATCAGGCCACCCTTCAGAATCATAGCCAGCACTTGTGGAATGTATACAAATACCAGGCATGGTGCTGAGTGCTTGGCATTAATTTGCCCATTTAATCCTCTCACCCAAAAACTATAATTATTATAATAAGGTGTTATCAGTCACTCTCAGCATCAACCTGACTCAGGAACATGTTAGAAATGTGAGTTTTCACCCTAGAAGAAAGTCTAGGCAATACCATTCAGGACATAGGCATGGGCAAAGACTTCATGACTAAAACAGCAAAAGCAATTGCAACAAAAGCCAAAGTTGACAAATGGGATCTAATTCAACTAAAGAGCTTCTGCACAGCAAAAGAAACTGTTATCAGAGTCAGCAGGCAACCTATAGAATTGGAGAAAATTTTTGCAATCTACCCATCTGACAAAGGTCTAATATCCAGAATCTACAAGGAGCTTAAACAAATTTACAAGAAAATAACAAACAACCCCATCAAAAAGTGGGCAAAGGATATGAACAGGCACTTCTCAAAAGAAGACATTTATGTGGCCAAGAAACATATGAAAAAAAGCTCATCATCACTGGTCATTAGAGAAATGCAAATCAAAACCACAATGAGATACCATCTCATGCCAGTTAGAATGGTGATCATTAACAAGTCTGGTAACAACAGATGCTGGCAAGGCTGTGGAGAAATGGGAAAGCTTTTACACTGTTGGTGGGAGTGTAAATTAGTTCAACCATTGTGGAAGACAGCATGGTGATTCCTCAATGATCTAAAACCAGAAATACCATTTGACCCAGCAATCCCATTACTGGGTATATACCCAAAGGATTATAAATCTTTCTACTATAAAGACACATGCACAAGTATGTTTATTGCAGCACTATTTACAATAGCAAAGACTTGGAACCAACCCAAATGCCCATCAATGACAGACTGGATAAAGAAAATGTGGCACATATATACCATGAAATACTATGCAGCCATAAAAAAGAATGAGTTCGTGTCTTTTGCAGGGACATGGATGAAGCTGGAAACCATCATTCTTAGCAAACCAACACAGGAACAGAAAACCGAACACCACATGTTCTCACTCATAAGTGGGAGTTGAACAATGAGAACACATGGACACAGGGAGGGGAACATCACACACCAGGGCCTGTCGGGGGATGGGGGGCAAGGGGAGAGAGAGCATTAGAACAAATACCTAATGCATGCGGGGCTTAAAACCTAGATGATGGGTTGATAGGTGCAGCAAACCACCATGGCACATGTATACCTATGCAACAAACCTGCACATTCTGCAAATGCATCCCAGAACTTAAAGTAAAATTTTTAAAAAAAAGAGTGTGATGTTCCCCTTCCTGTGTCCATGTGTTCTCATTTGTTGTGGGGTGGGGGGACGGGGGAGAGATAGCATTGGGAGATATACCTAATGCTAGATGACGAGTTAGTGGGTGCAGCACACCAGCATGGCACATGTATACATATGTAACTAACCTGCACATTGTGCACATGTACCCTAAAACTTAAAGTATAATAACAATAAAGAAAGAAAGAAGGCATAGATGTTGCAGTTTTTAAATATTTGCTATTTAATGTTGTTTTATTTAAACAATGTAGATACACTGCTTTGATAAAAATAAAAATAAAATGTAAAAAAAAAAGAAATGCAGTTTTTCAGGCTCATCCCAGACTGGCTGAATCAGAAACTCTGAGGCTGGGGCTGGGATGCAGCAGCCTGTGTTTAGCATGTCCTTCAGGTGGTTTGGAGACCCACTGAGATAGAGGAAGATACAGGCATACCTCAGAGATAGTGCATGTTCAGTTCTAGACCACCACAATAAAGCAAATGTAACCATAAAGTGAGTCACACAAACTTTTTGGTTTTTCTGTGTATGTAAACATTATATTTACACTATACTATAGTCTATTAAGTGTACCATAGCATTATGGCCTAAAAACAATGTATATAACTTAATTTTAAAAATGCTTTATTGCTAAAAATGCTAAGGATCATCTGAGCCTTCAGCAAGTTATAATCTTTTTGCTGGTGGAAGGTCTTGCCTCAATGTTGATGGCTGAGGACTGATCAGGGTGATGATTGCTGCAAGTTAGTGTGGCTGTGGCAATTTCTGAAAATGAGACATCAGTGAAGTTTGCCGCATCAGTTGACTCTTCCTTTCATGAAAGATTTCCCTGTAGCATGTGATGCTGTTTGATAGCATTTTAACAGTAGAAATTCTTTCAAAACTAGGGTCAGTCCTCTCAAACCCTGCCACTGCCTTATTAACTAAATTGATGTAGTATTCCAAATCCTTTGTTGCCATTTCAGTGATGTTCACAGCATCTTCACCAGGAGTAGTTTCCATCTCAAGAAACCACTTTCTTTGTTCATGAATAAGAAGCAGTTCCTCATCCGTTCGTTTTGCCATAACATGGCAACAATTCAGTCACATCTTCAGGCTCCAATTCTAATTTTAATTCTCTTGCTGTTTCCAACACATCTATAGTTACTTCCTCTGCTGAAGTCTTAAGCCCCTCAACATCATACATGAGAGTTGGAATCAACTTCTTCCAAACTCCTGTTAATGTTGATATTTTGACCTCCTCTCTTGAATCACAAATATTGACATATAGAATAGTGAATCCTCTTCAGAAGGTTTTCAATTTACTTTGCCCAGATCCATCAGAGGAATCACTCTGTATGGCAGCTATAGCCTTATGAAATATATTTCTTAGGTAATAAGACTTGAAAGTCAAAATTAGTTTTTGATCCATGGGCTGTGGAATGGATGTTGTGTTGGCAAACACAAAAACATTAATCTCCTTGGACAGCTCCATCAGGGCTCTTGGGTGATCAGATGCATTGTCAATGAGCAGAAATATTTTGAAAGAAACCTTTTATTCTAAGCAGTAGGTCTCAACAGTGGGCTTAAAATATTCAGTAAACCATGTTATAAACAGATGCACTGTCGTCCAGGCTTTGTCGTTCCGTTTGTAGTGCACAGGCAGAAAAGATTTAGCATCATTCTTAAGTGCCCTAGGATATTCAGAATGGTAAATGAGCATTGACTTCCCACTTGAAGTCATCAGCTGCATTAGCTCCTAGCAAGAGAGTCAGCCCATCCTTTGAAGGTTTTGAAGGCAGACTCCTCCTGTCTAGCTATGAAAGATGCCGCCTCCCTAAACTTCATCATTTCTAGCTTTTTATTTAAAGGGAGAAACCTGCAACTTTTCCTTTCACTTGAACTCTTAGAAGCCACGGTAGGGTTATTAATTGGCCTAATTTCAATATTGCTGTGTCTCAGAAAATAGGTAGACCCAAAATAGGGAGAGAGATGGGGGAATGGCCAGTTGGTGGAGCCATCAGAACGCACGCAACGTTTATCAGTTAGGTTCCCCATCTTATCTGGGCATGGTTTGGTGCATCCCAGAACAATTACAACAGTAATATCAAAGATTACTGACCACAGATCACCATAACACATACAATAATGAAAAAGTTTGGCCAGCCGCAGTGGCTCACACCTGTAATCCCAGCACTTTGGGAGGCTGAGGTGGGCAGATCACTTGAGGTCAAGAGTTCGAGACCAGCCTGGCCAACATGACGAAACCCCATCTCTACTGAAATTACAAAAATTAGCCAGGCGTGGTGTGCCTGTAATCCCAGCTACTTGGGAGGCTGAGGCACGAGAATTGCTTGAACCCAGGAGGCAGAGGTTGCAGTGAGCCGAGATCACGCCACTGCACTCCAGCCTGGGCAGACAGCCAGATTCTGTCTCAAAAAAAAAGAAAAAGAAAAAATTTGTATTGTGAGAATTACCAAAATGTGACACAGAGACACATAAGCACATGCTGTTGGAAAAATTAGCACCAACAGACTTGCTCTAGGCAGGATTGGCACAAAACTTTAATTTGTAAAAAAAAAAAAAAAAAAAGAAAGAAAAAAGAAAAAAAAACGATATCTGGGAAGTATAATAAATTGAAACTCAATAAATCGAAGTGTGCCTGCATATATTTTAACAGCTGTCACCAGAATTCATCTTGCAGGAAAAAAAATGTCTTTACTTGGGAAACTACATTAAGAAGATCTTGGGTTAAAAGGTGGGACCCTAATGCCTTGATTTGGCTGGTAAGACATCAGAGGGTGAAAGGAGAGAAGGATTTGAAGTTCACAGGACAATCCTGGAAGGAAGGAATGAGGAGGAGAGAGACAGGAACCAGGAGCAGGGGCTCCAGGATGATGCTGAGAGGCTGTCGCTGTGAGGTGCAGTCCCAAATGCCAGCGTGAGCAGAGTTTTCCGTTGTGAAGGAAAGACCAGGTTTCATATAAAAGCAGATTGAGGCCAGGTGCAGTGGCTCACACCTATAATCCCAGCACTTTGGGATGCCCAGGCGGGCAGATCACGAGGTCAGGAGATCAAGACCATCCTGGCTAACACGGTGAAACCCCGTCTCTACTAAAAATGCAAAAAAATTAGCTGGGCTTGGTGGCGAGCACCTGTAGTCCCAGCTACTTGGGAGGCTGAGGCAGGAGAATGGCGTGAACCCGGGAGGAAGAGCTTGCAGTGAGCCGAGATTGCGCCAGTGTACTCCAGCCTGGGCCACAGAGCGAGACTCCGTCTCAAAAAAAAAAAAAGAGCGGATTGATAAAGGTAGTAGCAGCAGCATCCAAAGTCACAGAAGACCACAGTTCCAGGCAATATGCCAGATCTGGGGTATGTCGTGAAGATGGAGAAGTAGGGTCTAGGAAAGGTAGCCACAGAGAAAGTGGGGCACTGTCAGTTCTCAGGCCCAGGTCTGGCTGATCCAAAGACTTTCCACTGTACCCCAACCTCTCTGGGGCCAGAGCAAACTATCAGGAAAATAAGTTTAGGAAGAGAAGAGAAAGGGATGCAAAGAATCCAGGAGGAAGGGCCTGTTTCAACAAAAGCAGATAGGATGTGTGTCACAGCCTGGGCCAGCACTGTCTCCCTCCATTCATTCCCCCGCAGAAAACCAGAGGCTCCTTCTTTGGAAAAAAAATAAAACTCCAGAGAAAAGACTTACAGAAACTGAACTGAGGTGGTTGTACCATGCAAAAAGCCGGTTTTCCAACCTGCCCATCCACGTAGCACCTTCTATCAGCTTTTTAGTGTCTCGTCATAAAATATAAACAAAAGGATGACCAGATACTTGAAGGAAGCTTCCAATATTAAAGACAAAGTAAAACAAGCAAACAAACAAAACAGTAAAAAAGGAAATTGAAGAAAACAGAAATAATGCAGAATCCAAAACTGTATATATATATATTTTTTAAATAACCTCAGAGTGGGAGAGATGTATATACATATAGCAGTTATAGCCATGAAACAAGAACTAAATGTTATAAAACAGGAGCAAACAGAGAAAAAAAATGACTTTTTGGAGAAAAAAATATAACAAATTTAAAATGCAGTTCAAAAATTTGAAGTCGAAAGAGAGAGAAATGCCAGAACTGAGAAAGTCAAAAGCATAATAGGGACCAGACCTGGGGGTGCTAGGGTCTATGTCAGAGTTGCCCTGAGCCCTCTGCACTCCCAGCTGTGTTGCCAAAAGTTCCTCTACCTGACAAATGACCTCTCAACCCTGGCTGCATGTTCAAATCACCCAGAGAGCTTTCAAAAATCCCAGTACCGAGTCATATCCCAGACCAACTAAAGCAGAATTTTGGGGGGTCAGAGCAGTCATCGGTATTTTTTAAAGCCCTCCAGGTCATTCCAATGTACAGGCAAGGTTGAGAACTTGTAGTTGAATGGAAACAGCGTTATAATTAAAAAGCACAAGCAAATGAAGTAAATAATAATTAGAAGTAGGATTACAGATGATTTAGTTAGCTACATCTTGGAGGAAGCTAGGATGGGTTTAGAAAGGATTTGTGCCACAGAGAATGCCATAAAGAAGGGCGTGACCTATACACAGCAGAGTTAACCGAGCCCAAGTGCTCCAGATAGCATCCACGTGCTGCTGGCCATGAGGCTCCCCGCTGACTTTGCTCAGAGTTGGAATTAGATAATGAAGCATGTAACTGCATATTCACTTTAGCTGGCCTGGTTTACCGGGAAGGAAACGTCAGAAGTGAAACTCTGGCCAGGGAAATGTGGATGCCCAGCCTCATAGCAATCCAGTCGTCCAGCTGGAAGGGAGAGTTGGTGGTGATGAGCCATCTTCAAATGCCCTGCATATGCTGGGCAAAGCATTCTCGGCCTCACTTCACAGCATAAGTGTCATGTTCTCTATTTAACTGAAGCTCAGAAATGGACAATGACCTGCTAAACCTCCCACATGTAGTTAGTGGTGGGTGGGGATTTGAACCCAGGTCCATCTGACTCCACATTCGGAGCCCACGTTTATTGCACTAATGTCAAGGTCCGCTTCAGCCAGTCTACTGACACCACTGAGATAGAAAAGAAAAAAAGTGGCAAGTGAGCATCCTTCCAGTCCCATCCCAAGGCCCCCCTCCTACACAGACCAGTCCTCCCCTGGCAGCTAACACACCCCCTGGCACAGGGACATGCTTTGTAAGGGCTTGTTGAATGAAGTGAATGATCCTGAGGCGACCACCCCTTTCCGGTGCCTAAGCCTCACCAAAATTAGCCAAGGGGTTCCAAAAAGACCAACACGGAGGTGACGCCAGATGCCAGGAGCAAGGTGGGGCTGGGAGCAACCAAAGGCCCAGGCCCTCTTTGCAGGGGGCTAGAAAGGAGAGGATTCTGTGTTCAAATCAGAGGGAACTATAGCAGATGTCCTTAAGGGACAAGGGTCTCTGGCTTGCCTTAGTCAGCATCTTCCAGCCACCTGCTCTCCCTTTGGACGTGGCTACAGCTCTCTTAACATCACTGAAGCTCCTTAGCAGGTGCTCTCAGCATCTTATGAGGAGCACATGCCAACTGGGAACGCACATCCTCGTTTTTTGCTCAGAAACTTTGGTCTTGGCCCTTCTCCCTTTCCCACTGGGATTAAGGGAACTTGCTATTTGCCTTGCCTGTTTGGGGAGGACATTCTGGACACAGATGAGAGCCTTTGGGTCAAGCTGCTGGGAGCTCTCACACCCATCTGAGGAGGGCTCGTTGTACACCTCACCAGATGCCAAGAGCACAGGAGCACATGCACAAGCCTCCTAAGGACAAGAGCCTTAGCATTCGGGATAGAAGCCCTGAAGGCGAGCACACTCTCCATCTCCTGCTTATGATGGGCTGTGGATTGTTAAGGGGGTTGCTGAACTTGGAGGGCTGCATGAAAGGGCTGCAATGGTAGGGGGCTTATGTAAATGCACCCCTAAAAGTACCCTGGGAGGGAGACACCCTATCGCCGGTCTTACAAGGACCACAGACAAGAGGCTGATAAAGTGGCCTAAAACCCTCCCTGTTATGCTGATCTCAGTTTCCATCTCAGTTTTGTCCCTCCCACTCTGGGATCCCCAGGTGACCACGTATACTAAGAGGGATTCCACAGCAGTCTGAAAACACCTGGCACCACACTGGAATCTTGGAGAAAGGTCTTCATCAGGGAAGCCAAGCAAAAGCTCTCACTGTAGGCCTCTACCCACCCCAAACAGGGGCATAGTGACCCTGTCATCCAAAGGGTCATACTTGGTCACACATCTCCCATTCGGCTGCCCAACAGTCACCCCCTGGACACAGCAGAGACACAAGCCAACAACACCAGAATGGTGCAAGTTAGGCATCAGGGGCCTGAGCAAATGCACTTTATTGTTCTGCCAACAAAAGCCCTCTACTGCATTTCAGAATCCACCGGAACAGCACCTAGAAGGAAAACCTGACCCAGGAGGCAGCCTGAGAACAGAGACCCTGGCACCCATTGAAATGATGAGGAGTTGAGACCTTTGGGGGCAGCCGGCCTTTGTGACAGGCTCTGAGAAACTTTAGGGCATGTATTTGCAGAAAGCCTTTTCAGCCAGACCCTGGGCCTGGGCTCTGCGCGAAGAGAGGGGATTGGGCTACAAGGGTTAAGTTTGGGTAGAGGCCAAGTTCAAGCCCTGGAGACAATAGCCATGGCCATCTGGGTCACCCGCTCTCAGAACCGACCCCCTGGGCAGGGCACACAAATGGGGCGGGGGCTGCAGTTTGTGCGGGCTGCACTAGGACCGCAGGAGGCCGCAGGAAGACAGGGAAGGCATGACTTGGAGGGTGAGTAGTCAGGTGCACATGGGTTACAGGGGAGCCTAGAAAAAAGAAAACAAATTACTGTGATTTTCCAGTTGCTGTTTGCAGTAACTCAAAGTAGATCCTAGACTATGCAAACTGGGAAGCACCCTAAAAACCACCTTGATCCTGCCCCCTTGTTTTACCAAAAGGGAAACAGGCCCTGAGAGGAAAGGGGGCTTGCTGGAGTCACGTGATGAGTTTTCAGGAAGACCAGAACTAAGAGAACAGAACTCCAGACTCCGAATGCCAGGCTCTTTCTAGGCACCATGCTGTCTTCCCAGAACTTGGTAGATTGCAGTGAGAAGACAAGAGCACATGCAGTGATACTCACTTGCTGTCCTCACTCTCCAGCAGGCCCCGGTACGTGTTGATCTCACACTCCAGCCGGGCCCGGACGTCCAGCAGCACCTGGTACTCCTGGTTCTGCCGCTCCAGGTCAGCCCGGATCTCGGCCAGCTGGGCCTCCACGTTGGTGATCATGCACTGCATCTGGGCCAGCTGGGAGCTATAGCGGGCCTCCGTCTCTGCCAGGGTGGATTCCAAAGCATCTCTCTGTGAGGGCAAGAGTTGTGTAGGGAGGAAAAAGGCTAGAGGTCAGAGAAGGAGCAAGGAAGGAATCTTCCTTGGAGCTATAGCGGGCCTCCGTCTCTGCCAGGGTGGATTCCAAAGCATCTCTCTGTGAGGTCAAGAGTTGTGTAGGGAGGAAAAAGGCTAGAGGTCAGAGAAGGAGCAAGGAAGGAATCTGGGTCTCAGTGAGGCCTCAGAATCCAAGAACAGAAGCTCGGAGAATCAGAGTTTGAGCTAGGATGAACCACAATCAGACATCTCACTTGAGATGAGCTAATTAGCCCCTGTGGCTTCTTTGATCTAGAAAGTATCTCCCTGTTAGTGTCATCTCTGAGTAACTGATAGTTACTCAGAAGATGTATCTGCTTGCACAAATATAGGACCTACTGCCTGGACATGTCAGTTGCTACAGGTCTCTTGTCCTTTACCACTGGGGGATTTGTGACTGGAGCTGGTCCCTCATTCCCTCTTTTCTGCATAGAGAACCCCTGGTGCTCAAGAACATGGACCCCTGGAGTCCGCCTGTGTGGTCAAAGCATGGAAGCTGGGGAGCTTGTGTGCTCCTCGGCTTGGTCCAGAGGCAGCTCCACCCTGCCTTGGGGCTCACCATGCTGTGCTGAGCCTGCAGCTCAATCTCCAGGGCGTTGACCGTGCGTCTCAGCTCGATGATCTCTGCCTGGCAGGACTGCAACTGCTCTGAGCTGGACACCACCTGCTGGTTCAGCTCCTCACTCTGAAACATACACACACAGAACCTGGTCAGCCACACCAGGGACTTGGCTTCAGAGAGCTACAGAGGCCGGTTAGAATCATGAGCCAAGAAAGACATTCCCGATTCCCCAGTCCCACTCATTTATTTTATACTGGAGGGCATTGTTGCTCAGAGGACAGCAACCTGCCCAAGTGGGTCTGTTTTGACCTTGTCAGCAAGGTCAATTGAAGTGGGTCTGTTTTGACCTTGTCAGCAAGGTCAAAACAGAGATGGGACTCAAAGTTAGATTTCTTGATTCAGAGCCCCAGGGTCACTTCCATGTGAGCCACCACATACCCCTGTTGCACTGACTGTTTCCAGGTACCTACCTGGGTGTCCAACCAGTCTTCAGCATCCCGGCGGTTATTCTCCACCAGGGTTTCATACTGGCACCTCATCTCCTCCAGAACTCGGTTCAGGTCAACAGGTGGGGCAGCGTCCACCTCAACATTGAGGCGGTCACCAAGTTGGCAGCGCAGTGAGTTCACTTCCTATAGCACAGACCAGGATGAGTACTAATTCCCAGAGGGCTGCCTCCAAGGTTCACCTCCTCCTCATGTTCACCTCCTCCCCATGCTCACCCCTCCTAATGCTCACCTCCTCCCCATGCTCATCTGCTCCCCATGCCCACCTCCTCCCCATGCTCACCTCCTCTGCATGCTCACCTGCTCTCTATGCTCACCTGCTCCCCATGCTCACCTCCTCTTCCCTATGCACACCTGCTCCCTCATGTTCACCTCCCCCTATGCTCACCTCATCCCCAATGCTCACCTCCTCCCCATGTTCACCTCCTCCCCCATGCTCACCTGCTGTGCCGTGTTCACCTTTTCCCCCATGCTCACCTCCTCATGGTTCTTCTTCAGGCAGAGCAGCTCCTCCTTCAGGGACTCCACCTGGGCCTCCAGGTCAGACTTGCACAGGGTCAGGTCATCCAGGATCCTGCGCAGGCCGTTGATGTCTGACTCCACCAGCTGCCGCAGGGACACCTCCGTCTCATACCTGCAGGCATAGAACAGGGCACCTGAGTCTGCATTTCCTTTTTGCATCTAAGTCAGGCCTGCCCTCAGACTGTCCAGGTGCTGTGAGTCCTGCTTTTATGCCCCAATGACAGAGTACAGCCAAAACCCTGAGCTCAGGCATCACCTGTGTCCAGTTCTAGCAGCCCCCAACCACATGACAAGCAGGACAACTCACTTGGTCCTGAAGTCATCTGCAGCCAATTTGGCATTGTCAATCTCCACCACCAGCCTGGCATTCTCAGCCTTGCTGCATAGAGTCTGGAGATATGAAGAAGTTATTTCATTGCAAGAAAGGACATTCCACTTGTTGGAGCTCCCTAAAGCTGACAAGGGCTGACTCTGGAAGGAGGAAGTCACCCATCCTAGACCTCTGCTACTCCATGTGCATTGGAGTGTTATGGGCAGGCTCTAGGGATCAACTATGGAAAGTCCAGGGTTTCTTCCAGTGCAGTGTATCTGTGACCTGTTACTCAGGTTAGATAGCTGCATGAAAATGCAACAGGAAAGGCCTGGCATGATGAAATGAGGCTTCTTCCAATCTCCCTGTCTCCCAGGCCTACTGGGGGCCCAGGGCATTTCATTGCCAACAACATACCCCGGGATTCTCTGGTCATAAATGGTCCCTCACAGGAGCCAGCTATAACTTTGGGCCAGGCGAGAAGTGGATATGGGCCCTTGGCAAGAAAGAAACTTCTCTGACAGGCATTTTCTTCCCTGAGTTACTTATGGGAAGCCTGAACTGCACTGCACTAAATACATCAAACCCAATCCCCTGACTTTAAATAAAAGAGGAAATGAAAACTCAGAAGACTCAGAGGATTGGGCAATACCACCAAAGGTCACAGAGTTCATTCATAGACCTGATGTTCAAGCTCTGGCTCCAGTAACTGCCATCTGGGTCGCTTACCCAGCCTGAATCTCAGTGTTCTCAACTGTATAATGGGCTAATGATACCTCCCTCTTAAGGTTATTGGGAGGAGCAAATGAGGCCACAGAGATGAACATGCTTGGTGACTTCCAACATGCCCTATGGGAACAGAACTACCAATGAATGCTGGTGACACAAAGTTCCTGGGAATCCAAAGCCACTCTGAACCTCTTACCTTCTTCTGGAGCTCCTCGATGGTCCGGAAGTAGGACTGGTAGTCAGGGCACATGTAGGGGACCTGCTGCTCACACCACTCACGGATGCGGCTCTCCAGGCTGGCGTTCTCCTGCTCCAGCTGACGCACCTTCTCCAGGTAGCCGGCCAGGCGGTCGTTCAGGGATTGCATGGTCTCCTTCTCATTGCCAGTGAGGATGCCCTCCCCAAACCAGCCCCCACCCCCACTGTAGCTGGTAGCGAAGCCTCCAGCAGGGAGGCAGAGAGCAGGGAGGCAGCTGGTGGCCCTGTAGCTGCTTCTGCCCAGACCCACTGAGCAGGCAGAGAAACTTCTGGCCACAGGGGAGAGACTTGGAAGCTTGCAAGAGCTGCTGGAGTACATTGCGGACACACGAGTGGAGCCCCCACTGGCCCCTCCTGGGCTCTTGAGAGACCCAGAAGAGAAGCCGGCCTTGAGGCATTTGGAAGCCATGGCCCCTGCAACTCAGATGCAATTGATAGGTCTCTGAGGCCAGACACCCCAAAGCAGAGAAGCAGCTCCTTACCCCAGATTTATATCTCTGCCCCAGTGGGCATTGGTTGGCCTTTACAAAGTGTTTTCTCCTCATTAAAGTTAACACCACTTTCTATTAAAACCCCTCATTAACCTGTTATTTAGTTTCCTGTGAAAATTTACCAGTCTCATAAAATAGGAGCCCCATTACTATGTCAAGACTCATCTCCACCACCCCACATCACTGGGAAGACCAAGTCCCTGTCAGTTCTTCAAAGGGACCTGTCATTTGAGCCCAGACCTCAGCCTCCGCATTAAGCAAGCATGGGAGTTCAGCCACTGTCTTGACTTTCTCCAACTTTGACTTCTTTTATTGGCCTGAGGGAGTAGAGGAGGTCTCTGGGGTGCTCCCAGAAGATGGAAGGGTAAACTTGGTTGGTGCAGGAAGGCAGGGGTCTTGCAGCCAGGGAGACACAGAAGGCTCTTGAATTGGCCCAGAAAATATGGCTAAGGTGACCAATTTTCTTGGTTTCCCCAGGAATTTTCTGGCTTTAGTTCCGAAAGTTCCATATGCCAGGGAAACCTCAGTCCTCGGTAAAATGGGACAGCTTATCACCCTAGATACTGCAGAGCCCTGATGGACACTTCCCTACTCTTTCCCTTGCCAGGAAGTCTGTGCAGGTTGTAGAGCCTAAGTTCTAGCCACAATGCCTAGAGATCAGTTAATTGGACACCTGCCCATGATGACATCTAGGAGGGCATGTCTTCCCCAGCCCTGGTTGAGAAATGGAGAAGCCCTTCCTTCTGGCTGCCTGAATTGGAGCTCTTTTCACACAGCCCTATCAATAACCCGGCTGATGGTAGCAACCATCATTCACTGAGCATTTAGTACCCACCAGCCCCCACGCTGATCTGTCTCTATGCATTCTCTTATTCAGTCCTCACACAAACTCATGAGATTGGCATCACCAATAGCCCATTAAATAGAGGAGGCTTGGACTGTTTCAGGAGCCTGTCCCAGATCACAGCTGAAAAAGCATCTGTACAACTGTTCAAGGCATGCTATCTTCTTTAAGGCCTCACACACACCCTCCAACACAGTCGTGGATAGAAAGGTGCTGACTCCTACAGAAGGAGACAATGGTCAGAGTAGAAAATGGCTTACCCAAGGTCCACACAGGCTTCCCAGGGAGGCTAAAGCCCAGGCCTTGCAGCTCCAAACCACAGGCCCACCCCACTGCCTCTAAGGGCCCAGTCCTGGCCAGGCCTTCCCCCGAAGTCTGGCCCCTGCTCCAGCCCTGCTGTGCCCTCCCAGCTCTGAATGCCCAAGGCAGTGACTATTGGTAGATTTCTTGGCCTCCAATTAACTGACGTCTTCTGATTGTCTTGTGTTTCAGCCCTATTTTCCCAGGGAGACTGTAAGCATGGGGGCAAGGATTGACCTTGTACTTTTTTTTTAAATCTCTGTAGTGTTAAGCACAGTGCAGGGCTTCTAGATGTCTATGAATTAATTAATTAATTAAGTGATTTTTCCCACGGTGAATTGTGTTAAGAAAGGAAAGAAAGAATGGGAGGAAACAAAAGAGAGTAGGGAGCGGGGAAAGGAAAACACAGTCAATCTTAACTATTCCTACTTCTTTTTTTTTTTTTTTTGAGATGGAGTCTCACTCTGTTGCCCAGGCTGGAGTGCAGTGGTGCGATCTCAGCTCACTGCAAGCCCCACCTCCAGCGTTCACGCCATTCTCCTGCCTCAGCCTCCTGAGTAGCTGGGACTATAGGTGCCCGCCACCACACCCAGCTAATTTTTCTTTTTTTTTTTTTTTTTGTATTTTTAGTAGAGACGGGGTTTCACCGTGTTAGCCAGGATGGTCTCGATCTCCTGACCTCGTGATCTGCCTGCCTCAGCCTCCCAAAGTGCTGGGATTACAGGCATGAGCCACCACACCCAGCCTACTATTCCTACTTTTGTAAATGAGGAAACTGAGACTCAGAGATGGAAGGGGATCCGGCATCTCTGTGTAGGTGAGCAGCACCTGTCCAGACTAACCAGCCCCTTTGGCCAAGAACAAAGTGTTTTCTGGGCCAAAAGCCATTCTGCCCAAGGGAGATGGATCTCATAAACCAATTTAGTGCTAAAGTTGTGACTAAAAAATTCTTGATAAGATTTTTAGATAACTTTATAAAACATATATGTAATATTTTTCAAGCTGTTTTAAGGTATTTTGTAAATTGGTCTGATCTATTTCTGTTCCTTTTTAGCATGCTTTTCTTAAATGACATGATTATCTAGAACCCCTTATCAGCAAGAACTAACATTGTTTAGCACATTCCTAGTAACTTTCCTTACAGGATCCTTGCACTCTGCTCAGATGTGGTCCAGGCTGTCCCCAGATCATGCCACGGATACACTAAATACGGCCCTAAAATGCCCTTTGCCCTCCTTCCTCCTTTTTCTGCCCATCAAATCCAAATCTGCCCCAAAGCCTTTCCTGGTCACCCCAGCCCTCAGTGATTTCTCCTCTTCCCCAAAACTTGAAACCCTGCCCACACCCGCTCCTGCTATCCCAGTGCAGTTGCTGGGAGCGAGGGGGCGAGGTGTCTCCACAGCTGGACGTGAGCTCCTCGGGAATTGTGCCTGTTATCCACTCTTTGTTCCAGCCGCTTCCGCCACCCCTGCTCCTTCCTAGATAGGCCTGAGCCTTAAGATTGGATTAGCTGTGTATGCCATGTTCCGTTGTTATCTCTTTGTTGATTAATTGATGTGTATATGTGAATGAGAAAGGCAGTCAGATAGCATATCTGGAAAGTACAAAAAGGATCAGAAAAACCATACCGCCTTGAAATAAAACATCATATTCACTCTGCGGAAATGTTATTGAATGTTTTCTATATCTCTCTCCATATCAATGAAATAGGAGCCCAAAGACCTAAGAAGGCTCCTAAGTCAGCCGCCTGCTGTGTGACTTTAGACCAGTCGCCACCTACCCCCACAACACTGTTGAATTCTGGTTTGCTTGTTGGTCAGTGATTTCAATTGCAACTCAGTTAAGGGTGTGTGTGAGGTTGAGATAGGAGGTGTTTCCTAACTGATACATATGCTCTGGACAATGTAATTAAAAGCTAGGCAAGTATGAATAAATAAAGAGCTCACAGCCACACAGGGCTGATTGCGTGCATCAGATGAGGCTATGAGTGTGCCCTGTAAACTGGAGAGTGATCATAAAAAGGGAAAGCACTGTACAACACAAGGTGCTGATGATGTGATTACTTATCAGGTCATGCCCTGTGTGGTTCATCCACAGTGACAAGGCAGCTCAGCTGTTTCCCGGAGACTCGTTCCATTCCTGGACCCCTGCCTGTTTCCGCACAGAGGTACAATGCTCTCTGTGCACGCCTGGTCACACACTGGCCTCAGGCCAGGGTCAGGGGTGCAGACTTAGGCCCTAGAGCATGAGTGGAGCAGTGAGAGGGAAGGGGCAGGGCAGGTGAGAGAACCATGCCAACTGCCCCCCCTGCCCAAAGCTAGGTGCATCCTCTGAGGCTGAGGCCTTTGGGTTCACTCTCCAGCTCCAAGGACACTGCTGGCAGCACAGCCCTCACCATAGCATCCTGCCAGATACAAAGCAAAGCACTTGGCCCATGCAGTGGGGGTTCCTGTTCAACACTCTGAAGCCAGGGACTCTGCATTTGTAGTAAGAGCAACACTGATAGCTACCACTTTTTGGAAGCTACACACACACTGTCTCATCAGAACCTCCTGGCAGCCCCATTTCACAGATGAACCTGCTGAGACCAGAGAGGTCTCATGACATAACCGGGCATATAGCACAGAGTGGCAGAGTCGGGCTCAGTGCAGGATGCTCTGATGCTACCTATGCACGTCTTCTCCTGTTGTCTGATAAGTTTGCTGCACCTCTGGCTTGCTCAGCAAGTGATTGAAGAGTCCCATTTAGCAGCAAGTAGCTGATGACATGAGGCAGAGCCAGGTCATGGATGTCTTGGCCATGACCCAGAGGAGAGCCCAGAGGAGAGTGAGCACAAGAGAGGGGGAGGAGGGAAGAGAGACAGAGACAGAGAGCGAGACAGAGAGAGAGAGAGAGAGAAATTGTACTGAGAAGAGCTCCAGAGCCAGGGTCAGAATAGCCAGGTGATGGCCAGGTCTCTGCCACTCACTGCTCTGTGGCCTGGAACAAGTCACTGCCCTCTCTGGGCCTGTTTTCTCAAGTGAAGACTGGAGCAGGGGCAAAGGAACCAACCGTGAGGCCCTCAGACCTCTCCCAGGCCATGCTTCTCTGATCAGAGGGGTGTCCAGAGCTGGCAGAGTTAGGCCCCACCTGCAGACCTGCCTAACTCAGCCAGTGGAATCCAGGGCTCTGAACTCTGCTCCACAGTGAAGCCTGGCTGTCCTCTCCCCAGACTCCATGTCTGAGCACCCACCCCCACCCCACTGTCCCTGGCACCCTTCAGTTTGGCCCTATGTGCCTTGTTGGGACATGGATTCACCTGCCCTCCACCTTCACCTCCCTGCTCTCCCTGACTGCCCTCCCTGGCATGGCTGGCTGAGGATGGCTGCCTAGTGTTTGGCCCTCTCTGCTTGTTCCTGGGACCCCCTCTCCTTAACCATCCCCAGTATCAGGCAGCAGGGTGACAGCAGCTGGGCAAGAGAGGAGAAGCTGAAAGAAAAAGAGAGATAGCCACCGAATCCAGGTCGGGCTATGGATGAAGACTGGCTCTGGAGCCTTTGCCTCTTCTGGGGCCGCCCTAAGGTGTCTACTCACAGGCAGGGCCAAGCTGAGAGCTATGGCCGCACCCATCCAGACTGGGTCAGTGTCTGTTCTCATTGGCCAGCCTCTGAGGCATCTTTGTTATTAAATACTTCAAATCACCCTGCCACCGCCTCCCACTCAGAGCCCGAGAAGATAGACCTAAATGGAAACCCCACAACTATACTGCAGCCCCTGATCAGACACCCCCATGAACCACACGAGCACATGAGCATCAACAGAGTCAGCCAGGGTTGAGTTTGCTATGCCAGGAGAACACACTTTATTGGGTAAATTTCCAGGAAACCTGGTTTTGCATGGCGTAAAAGCACAGTTAAGTCCGGAAACACAATACGGGGAGTGTTTTGGTAGAAAAACCTGCTAAGCGTAGGGGGACCCCTCTAGAGAAGGGCAGGGTCGTTAAGCCTCCAGGAGCCACAGGGGTGTCCTCCTTCCTGTGGTCAGGGCCCTGCCCTGGTGGACCAAGTGGGCTGTCACAGCGGGCGGGACTGCACGTGCTCCCTGGAGGAGATGACTTTCCCATCTCTGATCTCCTCGGTGATGGTGCGGATCTGAGTGCCAACCTGGGGAGCCGGGGTGCAGGGCACAGAGGGGACACAGGGCACCGGGGGGACAGAAGGAACTCTAATAACAGGCTTGCATGCCGTGGCACAAGGTTGGGGAGGAAGCCTGAGGAAACAAAATCATGCAGGGTGCATTTGGCATCGGAGCACTGGGCTGAGATTCGTGTTAAACAGATCTAGAGGATCAAGCGAGACCGGTGGCCCCGGATCATCTCAGTGCCTCTGAATTCCCCAAGGGTGAGAGGACTGAGCTACAGGAATGAAGAGCAGAAACTGCCAATCAGAAAAGATGGCGGAAAACACGCGGCGTGTGTTGGGTTGGATTCTCCCGCTGTGCATTACCAAAGCCTGGGACTAAATGGAGAATCTCAAGGGGCTTTGGTTTAGTTCCCTTCATCTGGGCGACAACCACTTCTGGGCTTGACGCCCTCCACATGGCACTGAGGGTTCAGTCAAGCCCTACCCCAGCCCAAGGGCCACTCACTTGCAGTCCTCTCCCTCCAGCAGGTGGCGGTAGGTAGCGATCTCGCCCTCCAGCCGGGCCTTGACGTCCAGTAACACCTGGTACTCCTGGTTCTGCCGCTCCAGGTCGCAGCGGATCTCAGACAGCTGGGCCTCCACGTTGCTGATCAGGCACTGCATCTGGGCCAGCTGGGAGCTGTAGCGGGCCTCGGTTTCGGCCAGGGTGGATTCCAAGGAATTCCGCTGCAATGGGAAAGAGGAAGAGCTGCCTATTGGGGAGGAATCCCCTGACCCCAGAAACCCACAGCCCTGGGCATCTGCCTACGGCCTGTGATCACACCCCATGAGAGCCTGCACGCTGAGGCTGGTGCGTCGGGGACCTGCCACAGGCCGTGGCCAGCGACGCAGGCAGGGGCCACTCACCATGCTGTGCTGAGCCTGCAGCTCAATCTCTAGCGCGTTGACCGTACGTCTCAGCTCGATGATCTCCGTCTGGCAGCACTGCAGCTGCTCCGAGCTGGACACCACCTGCTGGTTCAGCTCCTCAGTCTGAAACACATGCCAGGGCCCAGAGCATGGTCAAACCAAGCTACTTCCAAGGGTAACCCCAGCCCAGGAGCCTGTGGTCCCAGGGCACCCCAGCCCCACCTGGGTGTTGAACCAGGCCTCCACATCTCTGCGGTTATTCTCCACCAGGGCCTCGTACTGGCATCTCATATCCTCCAGGATCTTGTTGAGATCCACTGGGGGAGCAGCGTCCACCTCCACATTCAGTCGGTCCCCAAGTTGGCAACGGAGTACACTGACTTCCTGCAGAGAGGAGGCAAGACGGCATGAGGTTGTGAAAAAGATGCTGGATTGCAGGTTTCAATGACCTGAATTCAAACCCTCTTCCCTCAGTCACCAGCTGCATAGCATTAGACAGGATACTTAAATATCTCTGAGCCTTGGTCTCCTTCTCCGTATATACCTACCTCCTTCTATGGGATATTTGTGAGATGATACAAACCCTAGGCAAATTAAATTGCTGTTATCAGGCACTAGAGCCCAAATAGACATGTAGTGTTATGGGCAAAAGTGTAGACCCTCTATGACCTTAGGCAAGCAACTTAACCTCTTTGTGCCTAAGTTTTCTCATCTGTAAAATGGAGCTTGTAACAGTTTATAATTCTTGGGATTATTGTAAGGATGAAATGAAACGAGAATGAAATGCAAGGCCTTTGTATAGTTCCTGCCGCACAGAAAACTGAAAGCCCAGCAGTGGCTTCCTAAGCTGGATGGGAAACACTGGGAAGTCACATGGCACCAGCCTCACCTCCTCGTGATTCTTCTTGAGGCACATCAGCTCCTCCTTCAGGGACTCCACCTGAGCCTCCAGGTCAGCCTTGCACAGGGTCAGCTCATCCAGGATCCTACGCAGGCCGTTGATGTCGGCCTCCACTAGCTGCCGCAGAGACAGCTCTGTCTCATACCTGCACACACAGAACCCTGCCAAGTCTGCAGCAAAGGAAACCACACACCAGCAGGGACCCCTGCCCTACTGTCCAGCTGCAGTGGCTGACGGGATCAGGAGCATGACACTCCTTTCCCCTGAGGTCCAGGGCTCATGCCACATTTTCCCATCCAGCCTTATTCCCACATCACCAGCTCCCAAAGGCAGGGGACAGAGGCAAGGGAGTGGCATGGCAAACCTTCCCTGATCAGGCCCACTCACTTGGTCCGGAAGTCGTCAGCAGCCAGCTTGGCATTATCAATCTGCAGGACCAGCCTGGCATTCTCAGACTTAGTCAGCAGGATCTGGGGAACAAGAGGCTTCCCATAAGCTACAGGAGGCCCAGCAGTGTGGGGGCAGGTAGGGGGATAGCTCAGCTCACAGAGGCCATGCCACTGTGTACCACCAGCCCCTTCACCATTTCCAGCCCTGAGCCACACCCCAGGTGTGGGGGGAGCATCCACCCCACAGGGGCATCCCGAGGATGTCAGTGACCATCAGTCCTGGCGCCTGTAGCCTTCAGAGTGGCACAGCAAGATACACCAGGGTGAGGCAGACCTGAGTTCAGGTTCTGCATCTAACACTGAGCCTGTGTGCTCTTGAGCAAGTTGCTGAACCCCTCAAAATTCAACTTCCACATCTGTCAGATGGGTCCAGTAATACCAATCTCTCCAAGATGAAGAATAAATAAGCCAGGGAATAGGAAAGTGTCAGGCACAGTGCTGTATCCGGTAGGGGCTTGGTACATGTTCCTTCCCTTCCTACAGCAAGGGGAGGGGGGTGAGGAACGGCTGGCAACAAGGTACAAGCAAGAGACCAGCAGAGAAGCCTGGGTCCCCCAGGAAACCAAAGCCCTAGAGAGAAAAGTTTGCCCTACCAGGAGAATTCCCTAAAAGCTACCGTCCCATCTGGAAAGGCCCTGGAATGAGACAGACGCCTCCTAAGAGTTGGGCTGCTCAGCTGGAAAGGGGCCAGGTCTCCCTCACCTTCTGCTGGAAATCTTCGATGGTCTTGAAGTAGGACTGGTAGTCTGGGCAGATGTATGGGATCTGAAACTCGTACCACTCCTGGATGCGGCTCTCCAGCTCCGCGTTCTCCCGCTCCAGCTGACGCACCTTCTCCAGGTAGTTGGCCAGGCGGTCGTTCAGGAACTGCATAGTCTCCTTCTCGCTGCCGTTGAAGGAGCCCTCGCAGAACCAGCCCCCGCTCCCCACAAAGCCAGAGGTGTGGCACTCAGAAGACAGGTAGGAGCCAGGCAAGCAGCTCCCAAGGCCAGAGAGGCCCGACCTAGCAGAAGAGATGTACCCTGCAGCACCGGCGAGACTGGGGACCCTGCAGGAGCCCACAGAACGGATGGAGGACACCCGAGAGATGCCGCCTGCTGTGCCACAGAGGCCCTTGATAGACCCAGTGGAGAAGGTAGGGGTGCAGGTCTGGGTGGCCATGGTGCTAGCAGAGGAAGGTTGCAGCTTAGCAAGGAGCTCAGGTTCTGGACTCTCAAGGCCTCTATGGAGCATTTATGTACACTCACCATTGGGTGTTGGCATGGTACACATCTCTTGCTCTTGGGAAAGCCTGTTCCTACCCCAGATAGCTAATATTAGAATGTGATTTTTGCTACCCATCCGGAACCCCATGCCTTGTAAAAAAAAAAAAAAAATCAAATCGTTGAATTTGGTTTGCTAAGTCAGGACTCTCCACTGTTGTCATTTCCTAGCAGAATATGAGTTTTATTGCCTCTTCAAAGAGTCTCTGCACCAGATCCCATAAATCGGGAGTGGCTGCACGAATGACATTTGGTTCCTGCTTTCTCCACCTCCCTTCCCCTGGGGATCCTCATCTGTCCCTTGTCACTTCCATCCACTGCTGCCACGCCTCATAGCTGCTCACCCCTGCCTGGGCTACTGGGATGGTAAAAGGGAGCAAAGGAACTAAAATTCAGGGAGCACCTGTGATGTACCAGGCTCATTGTTATTTCATTTACACCTCGTAACAACCCTAGGAGGTGGCTGATTTTATCTTCATTTTTACCAGTGTGGAAACTGGGGCTCCGAATGGTTTAATAGCTTGCTCAGTGTGAACAGGAAGTGACTGGCAGAGCTTGGGTCTGAAACTAGGGCTCTCAGACACCAAATCCTACTTCCTTGCCCCACTGCTTCCCCACACAACTGGAGTCAAGTCTGGGTACCCAGAATTTAGGGACAGGAGACATAGTTCAAATCCTGGCTCTGCTACTAATTTGCCCTGTGATACTGAGCACATCATTTCCTCCCTGGGAACCTCAGTGTTTTCACTGGAACAGTAGAGATTGTCCTTCTGTCCCGCCTGCTTCACACAGATATAAGGAGGATCGAACAAGAAGTGAAAGTGTTTTGCAAGCCACTGGGTCCTGCAGAAGTGTTGGTTGGTTAGGTTAGGTTAGGTTAGGTTAGGTTAGGTTAGGTTAGGTTAGGTTAGGTTGACAGTCTTTGATGATGGTTTATGGCTGTGACCAGCAAAGGTTCGTGAGTGTGAGCATTCACATGGCACTGCTGAGAATGGTCTGTCTGCCCACTGGGCACAGCAGGGTGGCAGTGGGAGAAGGAGATGCCCCATAGCCAGTCCCTCAGTCAATGAACACATCATCACAGACTCCTGCTATTATGGAATCTGCATGCTTGGATCACTGGGCAGAGCTGGAGGGCAGTTTCCTTTGTGGCCGTCAGCTTTTTGAACCTCATGGGTAGAATCAGGACCCTAGAACAACCTGCTCTGACCCTCCTGGTCCCTTAACAGGTCACAGAAATGGCCAATGGCAGACTCTTTGGACAGAGGAGGAATACAAAGAAAAAAGCTAAATACTGCCAGATAGTTAAGCAAGCCGAGAGAGAAGAACCTGAGAATTGGGGACCAAAGATAAACCTGGGTCTTCCGCCTTGAAACATGGACTTTCCCAAGGCTTGGGAAACCTGCTCACTCTGCCCCCACACACGCTTGGTTTGCAAAGCTGGCGTTTATGGAAGCATTTATGTGCTTCTAAGGTTGTAATTTGCCAACCTCTTAAAATGTTTTATAAGCTTCTCTCTGAAATTATCCAGGGAGGATTGGCTGTGGTGAACATGCCTCTCCCAGCAAGGTGGACACCTTGACAAGATGTCCAGGAGCAGCTGGCAGTGGACCCCGTGCAGCCCCTCTGGGAGCAAGAGCACAGCATCAGCCCTCCAGAGCACCAGCTGCCCCAGCAATGGCTTCCTCACAGCCACCCAATCTCCCCAGTTCTCCTGGCAGGGCCTAGGATTGGATTGTCATGGGGTTTCCCAACCTCAGCCCTTCGTGCCAGGTCATTCTTTGTTGTTTAGGGCTCTCCTGTGCTTTGTAAAATGTGTGGCAGTATCCCTGGACTCTACCACCAGATGCCAGTAGCCACCCCCTGCCCCAGTGTTGACAACCAAAACTGTCTACAGACATTGCCAAATGTTCCCCGGGTTAGGAGTCAGGGGGCAAAACCACCCCCAGTTGAGAACCATTGGACTATCAGGACCAAGACTGGGGCTCCGACCCAACCTCCCCTAAGCACCCCTGACTTTATTTTCTGGGACAACTAGCGTGGAGTCTGGCTGTCTCTGTTGGGCCCACTCAGGCAAGTCCTCAATACACCCATGCCTCGGTTTCCCTTGTTCATGACACAGCGTGCTTGTCCTGCAAAATGGGCCATAGGGCAGCCCTCACCAAGCCCTTTGCAGAGCTCTTCTCTGTTCGGGATCTCTGGCTGGTAGGCATCTGAAGTTAATATTCTCATTTTCTTTTTTGTTTTAACCCCTGTACTGTATGATCCATATCTGAAGCTGATTCTAGGTTTCTCTCAGGACAACTGAATAAGCAAGGAGTCTGCTAATCCGAATATCTAGATGTCCCCATCATTCTCACCTGAGCATCAGGAGGGACACTGTGGACCAGAGAGGTGCCTCTAGGGTTGTGGGGAGAGGAATGTACCTTCCCTGGAGCAGGTGACCAGCTCGTCAAAGGTAAAAGTCTTTCAGCTGCCCTCAGTGTCTTGCCTTTTTCCTTATTGTTGACTGCACAGCCAACCCCCCGACCCAAGGGAAGGGCCCTGAGCCGGGACTCAGCGAGAACTAAGTTCAAGCTGCTCCATCCCTCTGAGCCTCAGCTTTCACAATAGGTCTGTGGAGGTCATAACACCACAATCACGGGATTGTGAGAACTACATCCAAAGGGGCTGGATAAACAGGAAGTCGTTTCACAGATTTAAGAGACTGAAACTGCTATTAGTACCCATATAGTCAGAACCCCAGTCCAATGCTGTTTCCAGGGCACAAACCACTTGCCCTGGTTTAATGGAATACTAATTCAGAGGCCTAACCCAGCTGTCAAAGAAAAGACAGCTACTCGAAGAGGCATGGTCTAGGATTGTGTCCAGAGCTGCAACAGTCCCCTCAGCTAGAAGTCTCCATCTGGCCTCTGACCCTTACTCTAGAAGCTTCCAAAAGCCCTCACACCACCTGCAGGCTGCAGTGCTGACAGGATGACCTATCCGCCATGATCCCAGCTTGGGGGCAGGAGGAAGAAGGGGAATGCCGCCATAGGAACAGAAAGCATCCTGGCCTTTCCCCACGCCCATCTTGGAAGGCTGCCAAGTTCAACATCAACTCCTGAGTTTCTGGCCCCTTCTTTGGCAGAAAGAAGTCTGCACACTCAAATGAACTTCCATCTGAAAACCAAGGTTCTCCATGGGCAAAGGCCTGAAATATCAAGCCCAAGTCTCCTTCTGCCCAGCTCTGAACAGTCCCTTCCATGCACAAGGCATTGCTGTCACAGTGTGCCCAAGGAGGGAGTGAGTTCTTCAAGCAGGGTGTCTCTTTTTATGCTTCTCTGGGCTTTGGTCAGAACATGCTGGTCACCACTACCCAAAGGCCCCAAAGATAGTGAAGCAAACAAACCAGACAGCAGCCTCTGGGATGGCCAGGCCAACCAGAAATGGGCACAGACAAGAATAAGATCTCTGCAGAAGGCCAATGGTTGTCTCTGTTAGAGCAGCCTGCTGGTTTCAGCTCCATCTTTCTGGTTTTCTCCTACTGCCTCTTCCACCCTTGAGGTCCATACACCCAGATCCTAGAGAATTTCCCACCAGAAGAAGCACCTAAGAAATGTTCATTCCATGTTTTAACCTCTTCAGATCCACCCAGCACCCAACGGTCACCCAGGACCCTGGGAGACCCACAACTCATTCTCATTTCCTCCACATGACTAAATTTTCCTTGGAACGAAGAATGTGTTCAAGTGACAAAGCACCTGGGAGCCCTGGCCCCTCCCCTGAAAAGCAGGGTTCTATATATTCTGTGTCAAATAACCCCATCAACAGCTCATGCCAAATCCACTGTCAACTTACATTAGATTCTAGTGCCGACATGCAACAACAGGTACACAAAGTTGAAGAAAGCCTCACAGAAAGGGGAAACCCTACAATTAAGCCCTTTCTAGCCACCAATGTAATTTTTCCAAAAACTCCAGGAAAAGTCTCGTTTATTCAGTTTTGTTTTTGTTTTTGTTTTTGTTTTTGTTTTTTGAGACAGAGTCTTGCTCTGTCACCCAGGCTGGAGTGCACTGGCAAGATCTCGGCTCACTGCAAGCTCCGCCTTCTGGGTTCACACCATTCTCCTGCCTCTCAGCCTCCCGAGTAGCTGGGAGTACAGGTGCCCGCCACTACGCCTGTCTAATTTTTTGTATTAGAGAGGGGTTTCACCTTGTTGGCCAGGCTGGTCTCAAACTCCTGAGCTTGTGATCCACCCGCCTCGGCCTCCCAAAGTGCTGGGATTACAGGCGTGAGCCACCGTGCCTGGCTGTTTATTCAGTTTTGATGGTGGAAAACTCAGGGCCATTCACAGACCTGATAAAGAAAGGGTTGCCAGATTTAGCAAATTTTTTAAATGTGGTATTAGGAGCATACTTATAGGGTGTGTGTGTGTGTCTGTGTTGTTGTTGTTGTTGTTGTTTGTTTACCTGCAATTCTGATCTGAGTGTCCTGTGTCTGAAACCCTCAGTAAGGAAACATCACTGGTTGAGAGCCTTGGCCACACAAATGCAGCTCTTTCTTCCCTCCTTCCCTGATGGCCTGTCACCATGGCTGGCTGTTCTCAGGGTCAGACACAGAGGGCTTCCCTTGGAGAATCGTGCCTTCCTGTCCTCTCACACCCTGCTGTCAGTGGCTGTCATTCTTGCCCTCCCAAGTCCAAACAGTACTTGGAGATGCAGAAGCTGAATTATCCTGCCTCCCATCCTGGCCACCTCAGTGACATTCCATCCTGATGGCAGCTGCCTTCAACAGGGTGACTCAGACCTTCCTGGACAAGATTTAGCAAGTCTCTCTCTGCTCCATTTCCCACCCCCCAGCTTGTGCCCCAAATGTCCACCTGCCCCCTGCTATCACCCGGCCTCACCAGGTTCAAGACAATCTGAACATGACTCAGTGGTGAAGGAGGTCCCCCCCACTGCCTGGCTGCCCCTCCACAGTGTTGGTCCTGGTCCTGAGCAGTGACTCCTCCTGAGACTCTGGGGCCCTACAAGGAGCATAGGTCCAGCTTCCCAACCTGCTGTTCCTGGCCTGTTCCTGAGCCCCCATCAGGCCTTGACCTTCATCGGGCCTTCAAAGTCCCACTTGACCAGGCCCGGAGTTACTCTAGAAATCTCATCTCCCCCAAAATACAAAAGTATTTTCTCTCCCCCTGGGGTGTGGTTTTTGCACTTGCCCAGGACTTCAAGGTTCTGCTCCAAGCTGCTTTTGCCGTGGCAGATGCCCAGAGAGCCACCCTAACTCCAGCCTTAAGCCATACCTCTCTGGTCCTCTTGTGGCCAAGCTCGGCCTTCCACATCTCAGGGCCCACCACCTTCTCCCCTGGGGCCAGCGCTCCCTGCACAGCTGCACTGGCTGCCAGCTCCCATCTGGAAGAGTCCACAGTCTCCTGCTCAGACTCACCGAGTCCCTAACTCCCCCACCCCACTTTTATGGTTGGAGCATTTCAGAGCGTCCTTTCTCTCCTTGGTGTGCTTGAAGAAGCTGTGATTGTGGGAGATGCACAGCCAGGCCCACTGGGAGAAAAGAGCTGGTACCTCAGTGTCTAGCGTCCCCTTGATTCAAGTATCACTTAGCTGAACCATAAAGCGAATTTTCCAAACACCCTGTTTGATTGGACTTGTAGTCTGCATTTACAGGGGCCGGCATGCAATTGATTTGACTCTCTTCCTACGAACAACAGCGTGTCTGCAAACCAGACTGCGGGCTCCGGGCTGTAATTAACCATGCCTGACACTGTGGATTTTACTTTCAAACTGGTCTGAGATCCTTGGATGAAAGAAGCCACAGTCATTATGACTGTTCATAAAAAGGGATACCAGCTCTTGGCCAAGTCCCCCAAATACCCACCCCCAACAGGTGCCTGTGCAAGTCTCAGCAGCACCCGCCACCTGCTTATTTTCTTTCAAACTCTGCAGGAGGATGGAGGGTGTAAAGAGTGCCCAGCTCTTTTGAAGCCCCCAGAGGAGCTGCTCAAAGGGACACAACCCACATATTCTGCTCTGCTCCAGCCACCAACAGTCCCAGGGACACCATCCAAAAGAGGCCAGTTCCCTGGGCCGCCCCTCAGATGCCCTGACCCAGGCAGGGAGGAAGGAAGGGCCCCCACAGCTGGATAAGAAAAGCTGGAAGTGGCCAGGCGCAGTGGCTCACATCTGTAATCCCAGCACTCTGAGAGGCGGAGGCAGGTGGATCACCTGAGGTCAGGAGTTAGAGACCAACCTGGCCAACATGGTGAAACCCTGTCTCTACTAAAAATACAAAAATTAGCTGAGTGTGGTTGTGCATGTCTGTAATTCCAGCTACTTGGGAGGCTGAGGCAGAAGAATTGCTTGAACCCAGGAGGCAGAGGTTGCAGTGAGCAGAGATCATGCCCCTGCACTCCAGCCTGGGTGACAGAGCAAGACTCTTTCTCAAAAAAAAAAAGAAAAAAAATCTGGAAGAGTCCATCACACCCATCGCCCTGCACCTCCTGCTGTGACTTTGCTTCCTAATCTTCCCCAGAGCTTCCCTTGGCTGGGACAGTGAGAGTCCCCTGCCAGGAAGGCCCAGACACCCCATCTCATACTCAGGATCTTCTATGGATCCTCAAAGCTATCACCCAACACAGAGGGGGAGCAGGCGCCAAGGGGGTCTCAGGCCTGGAATGTGCCTGCAGCCACACCCTGCCTGTCAAGGGTCTTCTGTGGATCCTCAAAACTATCACCCAACACAGAGGGGAACAGGCGCCAAGGGGGTCTCAGGCCTGGAATGTGCCTGCAGCCACACCCTGCTTGTTAAGGGCCCAGCTGGGGACCGGACGGGGCCCTATGTTGAGACCAGGCCCGGCCAGGACTGGGTCTAGGGCCCAGCCACTCCACCCTGTATCCCAGCAGGTGGCCATTGAGGCACTGATCTGCTTTCTGGGGTGAGCCTGCCCCCTGCAGGGCCTGGGCAGGACAGCCATCGCATTGAGGAGGGCAGCAGCCTGGCTCATTCCCCAGGGTGGAGCCAGGAAGAGAGGGAGGTGCCTATTGCTTGGGGTGAGGAGGAAGTGGCTGAAGCACCAGGAGTCACAGAACAGCGCCACGTCTCTCCACCTCTGTGTGCCACCCGCTGCCCTCCTCCCTCCAGAACCCGACCTGGCTCTGAGGTGCCAAGACACCCCAGGAACATCACAGGCTTGATTCCTTCATCCCCTAGGCTTTGGGGTCTGGGAGAGAGCCTCACTTCTCCCCCAGATTCCTGGAGCCGAATGCTTGACCCTTGGCAAAGGACCAGCCCCAGTCTTGGAAAGCACATTGGAACCACAGGTCCCAGCTCTCCCGCTGGGCAGGTCTTTGACCCCGTCCAGACCTCAGTCTTTCCATGTGTAAAATGGGCACAGCTGTGCCAATTCATGGGATTGCTGTAAAGATGAAATGAAAGAAAGGATGAGAGTAAAGGATGCGCTACTGTGTCCCCCTTTCCGTTATCTCTTTCATTCCGGCATCTCTTGTGCTGACATGGCCTCATTCACAATCATTGGCATGGACATTAGCCAGGTGCCAATGGAAAGGGGCTGTTTCCTCATAGCCACAGCACTGGGAATCAGCGGTGTGAGACTGGCATGGGCGTGGCACCTAGGTCAACCCTGGGAAGGGGAGCATTGACCCAGCAGGCCTGATAAATCTGCCCTCACTTGAATGGCCGCCCCACACCTGATAAAGAGTTGAGTCCCAGAGAGAATGAGGCGGATTCCCCACCCACTGCCTCTCCTACCCTTCTGACCAGAGAGCCGGGATGACCACCTGCTACTCCCAACTCAAGAAGGCTCCTGGGGTAGCTTTGGCAGAAACACCTGCTCTCGGCCTGCCCTCTGAGCTTCCCCGGGATTCCTGATGGGGCCACATAGGTCCTCAGATGGGGCCCAGCTTCTCAGTGTCCTTGCTGGGGTCTGGGTGAAAGGCTCCCAGGCCAGAGTCCCCACTGGGCCTAGAGTGCAGCTCATTTCACTGCTCCTGTGGGCAACTACCCTCACCCCCCACCAAGTTTTGCAAAACTAGCTCAGAGAATGAGGGGGCTGCCCCTAAACAGCCATGCCCGGGGTCTCAGGAAGAGGGGCTGCTCTGGGCCCCATAAGCCCTGGGATCTGGACCCCAGGGTGCCTTGGAGCAGCCAGGGTAGCTCAGCATTGAGACCCCAGGCCCCTCTCTCAGTCTAGGGTAGGGGCTCCTGTGCTCTCTGTACAATACTTACTTACCACTTTCATTTCCCATAGCTTGTATCTATTTATTCCCTCATTTCTCCATTCAACACATTTATTGAGCCCTTATAACGTTCTAGGTATGAGGATGAGACTGACGATGAAACCAGCCCTACCCAGAAGGAACGCATAGCTTAGAAAAGAGAACGAGAAAGATCATGACCAGAGGTATCTTGTTTACTGAGCACTTACTATGCACCAGTGACTGTTCTGAGCACTTGACTTTAATTAACCTATGAGGAAGGAAGACTTAGCAGATGAGGAAGTCAGGCCAGGAAGGTTAAGTAACTTGCCCAGGATTACAAATGCAGATCAGGTCCCTGTGGCTCTGGGCTCCACAAACATTGCACTCCAGTCATTGCTGACAGCACAGGGTCTTGCTGGGATCGGTGGGGAAGACCAGAGAAGACCCAGAGCAAACGATGAAACCTGAGCAGAGTTGTGAAGACTGTTGACTGTTCATTGCTGTGGGTGTCTCCTCCTACCTTCCTGTTAACCCGTGGACTCCTTGAAGACAGAGCCTTCTTTTCATCTGCCTCTCTTTCTCCAGGACCCCACACAGTGCTTGGTACACAGTGGTCACTCAATAGATAGCTGCTGACCAAATAGGTTACCAAAAACGTTAAAAGGTGCCGGGAGCAAGGGCATGTCCTGTTTCTCTTTAATGCCTTAGCTCCTCTGGTGCTGTTCCAGGCACGTGAACTTGAGCCGAGCCCCACCTTGTTCTGTAGGAACAAGTGGGTGGCGGGGTCTGGGGTGGGATTTGGAATGGTGGAGGGTAGACACCTTTCTGCTAGTTTAGCAAGCTGGGCCAGGCATGTCTGAGCAACCACTGTGTGAATAAGACAACTGTGTGCAGCCCATACTCAGGCTTGAGGTGGGGGAAGAGAAGGAAGACAAGGAAGGGGGAGACCACACAGGGGAGCAGCAGAGGGGAGGGGAGGGAATATGAAGATGGTGCCAGAGGAAGGGGGCAGATGGCCAGGGTGCCGGAACTCCATCTACCCTCTGCCTTAAGCCCCTTAACGAAAATCAAATGGCACTGGAGGGGCATTTCCCCAGTTTGTTCATTCACCTCTGCCTTTCATCAGCACTGACAGAGCCCACCTGCACTCTATTGGATGAGAGACCCCCCCCCCCCCGCCCGCTTTGAGGAAGGCACAGCCCTGCCTTTCTCACTGTCACTTCAGTGACACTTCAGCGATACTGTCAGTTCTAGGACAGGTGGGCACACACATGTGAACACCCAAGTGTGCCCCACCCCAGCCAGGTGCTGCAGAGGAGGGGGCATCCATCTCAGTCTGAATTTTGAATAAAAAACTGGTAGTCTCCAATAAAATGATGACAGGAGTGTGGAGAGAGAGGAGAGAAGAAGGTTGGGTCAGACAGAGGTCTGTCACCGAACAAAATCCCCAGGGTGCCCAGCCACCTGCCTGCTTCCTCAAGGGCAGTTTGGGATGGCAGGAATTTGGGGTGAGTGAGGGAGGCTAGTGTAGGAGCCAGAGCTGGGGAGAGGCCAGAAGAAGCTGCACCACCAGGACCTGGAGGCAGGCGAGGTGTCTAGGCTTTCCTCAGTGACCAGCAGGGAGCGATTGGGGTGTCTCTAAGCTGAGAAGAAGACTCAGTTTCCAGTAATCACCCCTGCTGGAGTGTGGAGCATGGAGGCAGGGAGGCCAGTGAGGAGGCTGTGGCCACGTGCCCATAGTTAGGACCAGGAAGGACATTATGGCTAATGCAGTGTCCACGGGAAGCATTGTGAAGGGGGTGAGGGACAGAGGAGGCCAGGATGACTCCTGGGCTCCTGGCTCAGCTTTCCAGGTTCTCCGGGATAAAGGGCAAGGAAGGAGCAGATCTGGGAGGATGATGGGAGCTCTTTTGCCTGGGTGGATTGAAGGAGGTGATGTCTGGCTCACTGTTGGCAATGGGAGTCTGAGGCTGGGAGGGGCCTCAGTGGAGATTCGAGTTTGGGCGTTATCAGAACATACAGGCAACTGTAACCATGGTTATGTCCTGGATGACCCACAGGGACAGTGAAGAGGAAAAAGAGAAGAACACCCACACCGGAATCCAGGAGGTGAGTCAACGTGCAAGGAGTGAGCAGAGCAGGAAGAGGTTGCGAATCAGAGCAGGGGCAGCCAAAGCGGCAGGGAGAGAGTGGGGAGCACAGAGAGAAGGGGCCAGGTTAGTGCAGCGGCCAGCCAGGGAGCTGGTCCCAGGAGTGGTTGGGAGTGGCAAGACCTAGGGGTGGGCTGGGGAGGACATTAGGAGTGGATGCCTCAGGCCAACAAGGAGCCATTTGCCTGAGAATAAACCTCTCTGCAGGAAGCAGGGAGGTGGCAGGTGGGGGCTGGGCCTCCTTCTCCCCAGATCACCCCTTCACTGGCCCCTTGCAGCCTGCCCCAGAGGCATCTGTACTTTTTGCCCATGTTTCACGCTCCCTTGACTCTACTATCAGCTGCCATTCTCACTGAACATCCTAATCTGCAAGGCTGTTGAACTGGCTCACGTGCCCCTGCGCTGTCTCTGGTGTGTTCCGTCTGTCCATGTCTGCTGGACACCATCGTCTGTGAGCTGCCTGTGTCCCCTGTGTTTGCCGTTGTTGTGTCTGTGTGCTCAGATGGCCCATGGGCCTATGTCTGTCCTTCCTAGATAGGAAGCTCCCCAGGCTTGTCGTTGTCTGGATTAGCTACTCCGCCCAGCTGTGTCCCCCTCACCCGCTAAACCAGGGCCCTAGCAGGGGCCACCTAAGAAACCAGGCCAGAATCAAAAATATGTTTGCAGAAAGGCAGGAAACTTTATTGAATAATCTTTTCTTTGGGGTAGAGAAGTTGAGAAACCAAAGCGTATCCAGGTCAGAGAGGAGAGAGATCCGACCGGAAGAGAAGAGCACAGAGGGCCCACCATCAGGAGAGAGTCAGGACAGGGGGTCCTGAGAGCAGAGGGACTGAGCCTTGGGTCCAGCAGCCCCTCCTCTCTCCTGCAGGGAACTGCCGGCTCTCTCCTCCTCTGGGTGCTGAAGACAGAGGGAGGGGACGCCAGGCAGATTTAAGGCCTACGGACATCAGAAGTGCGGCGACCAGAGGCATTAGAGGTGGTGGTAACAGAGGCACTAGAAGTCGTGGTAACAGAGGTGCTACGGGGGCTGACGCTTCCTGGGAAACAAGAGACAAGACATGCTCAGGCTGGAGAAGACCCACCTCAGGACAGGGCAGGGCCCCCCTGGAGGGCTCACAAACTCCTCATTAGTCAGGTGGTGCGTGGATGGAGACTCTTTATTGTCCCCAAAGATGGCTCTTCCCAAGACAGCCAAATAGCTCTGTGGGGCAGAGCCATCAGTTTCAAAAGGAAAATCAGTGAGCGAATGACCACTTCCACCCCAGCTCTCCCCCTCCCTACACTGGAGAGCCCAGCACTGGCTCCCTCCCTCCCCGCCAGCTCCCACCCCCATTGGGGCAGTGAATGGGAGGCTAACTCTGCCTCCCCCTACACCACGGGGCTGTTCCCTTACCTGCTGAGGAAGGGAAACCAATCATCCTGGGAGAGAGGACAGAGGTGGCCATGAGCAGAGGGTAACTGAGGGCAGGTGCTTACCTGTTCCTCTGGGGAAGTGCCTCGGCTTATCATTTCAAGCCCCTGGGCTGGACTCTAGTGCCTCCTAGCTGTGCCCCCAGCTCAAGGGACAGCAGCATCAGGTGCCCACTGGGACTGTCTGTCTTTCCTGTCTGTCTGTCTGAGAGGTCTCAAGGGGAGATATTATTAGCCACAAGATTCAGGGTGTTTGTCTTCCCTCTGGATCGCCCAAACCCGCAACCCTCCACCTGAGCCCTGAGCCCACAGGGGTGGCTTGATTTCTGCAAAGGGTCTAAAGGCAGTTAAAGCACCATAGTAATAGCTTTGTTCAGCTGAGCTGTATCCAAGCTCATGTTTTTCCAATATCAGATGTTCCCTCCATGGTCTCTGTTCCCTCCAGTCTAACTTGGAGGCCCAAATTAGAAAGTTTAAAGGTGTTAACCCTGCAGCCTACCAAGGAAATGTCCCCGTAAAGTCAGACAGTGAGGGGTCTCCTCTCTGACATGAGGGGGTGGATCTCTAAGGCCCTGCCTGCTCTGACACCCACGGGTCCTGCAGTCACTATCCTAAGAAAGAGGCTGGAGAGGACCTACTTGGCGTCCTGGCCCTCGAGCAGGCTGCGGTAGGTGGCGATCTCCTGCTCCAGACGTGTCTTGATGTCCAGCAGCATCTTGTACTCTTGGTTCTGGCACTCCATCTCACTGCGGAGCTCGCTCAGCTGGGCCTCGATGCTGCTGATGAGTCCCTGGATCTGCTGCAGCTGCAGGGCATAGCGGCACTCCGTCTCTGCCACCGTGTTCTCCAGCCCCGCTTTCTGGTGGAGCGACAGACAAGAAGTTACAGAGGGAGCCAGGCCAGAGGGAAACCTAGAGGTGGTCGCCACCGGGCAGGAGGCTGCAGGCATACCATGCTCAGCTGGGACTGCAGCTCAATCTCCAGGCCTTGGAGCGTGCGCCTGAGCTCCGTGATCTCTGTCTTGCTGGTCTGAATCATGGCAGTGTTGGTAGACACCTCCTTGTTCAGCTCTGCACTCTGAAATGCAAGCAGGAAGAAGGTGGTGGGGAAGCTCAGCTCGAGCAGCCTGACCAAGAGGCTGTGTCCGCCCGGCCCCCCTGGCTATATGGGATGGGCTATGTGGGGTGGGAGGGCCGGGTACCTTGGTGTGGAACCATTCCTCAGCATCCCGGCGGTTCCTCTCTGCCATGGCCTCGTACTGCTCCCTCATCTCTGCCAGCACGCGGGTCAGGTCAATGCCTGGGGTGGCATCCATCTCCACGTTGACCTGGCCGACCACCTGGTTGCTAAATTCCTTCATCTCCTGTGGGGATGGGAAAGGAAGATGTGTGAGGCTACTCATCCTCCCTCTCCTTGGCTCTGAGTGCTGGCAGAGTGTTCTGGAGAGTGTTTCCAGGTCCCACAGTGGAGGACTGTGTCCAGTTGCAGGGGAGGGCTCCTCCTTCTCACTGGAGGTTGTTGAGCCCAGGGCAGCCTGCAATTCCCGCTCACCTCTTCATGGTTCTTCTTCATGTAGGCTAGCTCTTCATTCAGGCTCTCGATCTGCATCTCCAGGTCAGTCTTAGACAGAGTGAGCTCATCCAGCACCCGGCGCAGGCCGTTGATGTCGGCCTCCACGCTCTGGCGCAGGGCCAGCTCATTCTCATACCTAAAATAGTAAAAAAATGAAATGTTTTTTGAAAAAGCAAGACATAAATGATATGAGACATTCTCCCTACCCCTGCACGAGACTCCAGTACTTCCAGACCTTCACTCCTGGGATGCTCCAGTGTCATTGGTCAGATGAGCTTTTGTCTAAACTAAGAGACTCCTGGGAAAGGAGAGGGAGGGGGAAAAAAAAAACTCACTTGAGCCTGAAGTCGTCCGCAGCCAGCCTGGCATTGTCAATCTCCAGGATGACCCGGTTGTTTTCAATGGTGGCGGTCAGGATCTACAAAATGCAGAAGAAGGTAACCTCTAGGGCATGGGTGTCCAGTCTGTTGGCTTCCCTGGGCCACATTGGAAGAAGAATTGTCTTGGGCAACACATCAAATACGCTAACACTAACGATAGCTGATGGGCTAAAAAGAAATTGGCAAAAATAAAAAATAAAAAAAAACTCAATGTTTTAAGAAAGCTTACAAATTTGTGTTAGGCCTCAATCAAAGCTGTCCTGGGCCACATGCAGCCCACCGGCCACAGGTTAGACAAGCTTGCTCTGGGGGGTCCACGTGCTTGAGGAGGTGGCCTGGGAAAACATGGGCAGGACCTGGTTCCCATGGGGCTCTACCTCTAAACTGTCCTGTGAGCTGGGACAAGGCATTTCCCTCTGGGCCTCCATTGCTCTTCTGTAAAGTGAGGAGTGGGGCTGCATCCCCTCCAATCGTTTCTAACACTTTAATATTCCATGTCTGAGCACCCTGGGGGAGATGCAGGGAGTGCATTTCTGAGGAACGACCTGCTGAGAACATCTTTGGTTCGTCATGTCTTGGCAGCCTCAGACTAGCACCCTCCCTAGGCCACTGTCTTGAGATCCATCCCCTGAAAGTCAGGAGGGACTCGGCTTGGTGCCACATATCTCACAATCACTTTGCTAGAGCTGACTTCCCAGCTGAGTGGAGGGGAAATCCAACAAATATTCCCATCCCTTTGAATTTCTTGTCTAAACGTTTATATTCCAAAGCAGTGAAAGCCTGCTCCACATGGCTGAGACTCAGCCCAGGCTGGTAGATTTCTGCTCCAACAGGCTGGTATCACAGCACAACAGACAGGGCTCAACAAAGGGCACCCAGGCTCGGCACTGCCTAAGCCTCTGCCTCTCTCTCCCCCAACTTGGCCATCGCCAGTTGAGAATACCAGTTTGAATGGGTCCCCTACAAAGTAAACAATTATTCCCAGGGCAATGAATGAACACGTCTCTCTTTCTCTGTTGATTTCATGCATTCTTAATGGCTTTTAAACCTGTCATGTTTCCAGATAACTCAGTAGGTTAGGATTATAGAGATCGAGTCATGAATAACATAACTGTCTGGAAAGCAGTAAAAAAACTGACCTGAGTAATAACAATCATAAAAATGAATAATGAGAGAAAATGCATTTGGGGAGTTGTGGCATGAGAAAGCCCATCAGAGGTAGAGACTCTTGGTAGTCAAACAGTAGGCTTTTCCCCTGCAAGAAGTTTGTGAATTCCGTCCACACCTAGTCCCCCACAACACTGTGTTTCTTGGCCTTGGAGGCTCTGCCCTTCATGGAGGACCCCTCCTCAGCTTCCAAGGGCTCACCTTGTCCCGGAGCTCTTCAATGGTCTTGTAGTAGGGGCTGTAGTCCCGCTCAGGGCTAGCTGGGCTCTGCTTCAGGTGCCAGTCACGGATCTTCACCTCCAGGTCAGCGTTGGCCTCCTCCAGGGCGCGCACCTTCTCCAGGTAGGAAGCCAGGCGGTCGTTGAGGTTCTGCATGGTGATCTTCTCATTGCCAGTGAGGAGGCCGCCATCACAAGCACCAAAGTCAACAAAGCCACCAGCAAAACCCCCACCAAAGCCACCTCCAAGGCCACCTCCATAGCCACCTCCAAGGCCACCTCCATAGCCACCTCCAAAGCCACTACCAGCCCCTCCACCAAAACCACAGCTCACGCCGCCTCCATAGCCCCCAGCTGATCCCCCGGACACAAACCGAGTTGAACAGGTAGAGACACCACGGCCTCCTCCCAGCTGGCAAGAGCCACCCCCGAAACCACCTCCATAGCTGGCAGAGGAGCTCTGCAGGCGGAGGCTCATGGTGAGAGCAGGATTGAGAGCAGGTGCAGATAGAAGCTTGCTTGGCCTGGGCCGAGGACTGTGGCTCTTCCCCAGAGTGGACACCTTTTATACACCTCCATAGGGGCTGGTTATCTTCTCTCCTCCCTTCCCCACCCTCTGACTTGGTGCCAACTACACTTCTGTTTCCCACAAGCTTAGTTATCTCTGATCTCTCCAGGGTGGGTTGTGCCTTTTGGGGGTGGCTTTTTTTTTAATCCTTAACAAAAAGAATGATTCAGAGGGGACAGCATTCTGCCTGAGACTGCCCTTTTGACAAGTGAATTCTGTTTCACCTCCACTTAAGGAGTTCACTGTGCAGGCTCTGAGCCCCACCCAGTATTAGAACGGGACCTGAGATGCGGAGGCCTGCCAGGAGCTTCTGCGAGGAAAGTGGTGGGTGCAGAGTGGCTCTGTGCTTTGCAAGGTCACCGTAGCCCTCGACCTTCCTTTTTTCTATACCTAAAACTTCTGACTGGGATGTCCTGGATCCTTCTTAGCACTTCATCTACTCCAGGGGCCCCAGCAACTCTGATGACAAACTTTGCTTGGTTCGATAGAATCACCTGCCTTGAAAGTATTTAGACTGAGAAAGAAATAGCTCCGAGGCCATCAGAAAAAGTCACAGTGACAGAGACCTTAAGGGATCTTAGGGACCATCAGACACAGCTGTGGAAACTCAGGCATGGAAAGAGGAAGTGGCCCTGTCCATTATCATAGCGAATATTCTCCGAGCCCTCACCATAGGCAGGAACTGGGTGAAGTTACTTTACACTCATCATCTCATTTAACCTTCACAGCAGCCACAGGAGGAGGGTCCTACTATTGCCCCCATTTACACATGAGGAAAATGAACCTTAAGGGCAGAATCAGGACTGAAATCCAAGTCTGGTTCTGTCTGACGCTAAGGTGCATTTTTTAGGTACATTTTTCATACAGTAAAATGTATAGATCACGTGTCCAGCTTGATGTCACGCATGGGTATGCACGACCTGTGTAAACACCACCCAGGACATTCCCAGCATTCCATAAAGGTCCTTGTACCTTTTCCCAGTCAATTACCTGACTCCACACCCCTGGTGTAACCACTCTTCCAACTTCTGTCCCCATAGACAAGTTCAGAGGTCCTCAGCTAGAGGCTGCTTTGCTCTCCAGGGGACGTTTGACAATGTCTAGGAACATTTTGGTTGTCACAACTTGGGGGCACTACTGATAGCTAAACACCAGGTATGCTGCTAAACATCCTATAAGGTGCAGGACTGTCCCCACAGCAAAGAATTATCAGACCCAAAATATCAATAGTGTTGAGGTTGAGATGCCTGGGTCAGTCTGGCCCTCGGGTTGAATCACTCCATTACGCTGACTGCTTTAGGGCACAGTCACATCCAGGAAGACGGCCCTGTAATAATGTGAGCAGGGTCCTTTCTAGTACGCCAGTCATATGAGGTCTGTCCCAGCCAAGAGGCCACATAAGAGGATGTGACACAGGACCCAGGGCCAGGGTCTCAGCTTAGGATCCTGAGATGTGGCTGAGAAACTCAGGGACTATGTAAGAACCCTGCCAGAGGGAGCTTCCCCATTCAGGCTGGGAGAAAAGGACCTCAGATGGCATCTGTGAGGCCAGGATAGAAGGTCCTCCATTCCAGGGCTGACAATGGAGGACCCTGAATGCAGACTCCCAGGCCCCACTCACCAAGGGGCCAGGGTTGCTGTGGATGGCATCTTGGGAGCAGCTTTCTGGCCCACAGCAGCCACAAAGGTCTGGATGATACCAGGCCAGGGGCTGGGTGGGGTGGCACAGGCATGAGGTTCTCCTGGAACCCCCTTCACTGATTCAGCAAGATCAGAAAGGAGAAATCTGAGTCAGGGCTTTCTGGGCCTTTGTTTTCTGGGGTAGAGAAGCGGGCCTGTGCTTCCCGCAGGGGTATCAGCAGGGACAGAGCCAGGGCACGTTGCCAGTGTTCTAACAGCCTTGCGAGGCCAGGGATTCAGGCTAACCCCTGACCCTGCCCGGCCCTCCTGCCCAAGCTGATGGCTCAGCTCTCTCTCTCTCTCTCTCTCTCTCTGAAAAGGGGTGATTCAGCCCAAAGCAGGAGCTCTTGCTCTCTCGGTAGAGGATCAAAACTGACAAGAAGGTGATTAATGGAACCTGCCATGCCTGGGGTAACAATGCCCCAAACCTCCCAGAGCTGACAAGCAGGTTCAGGCCAACGCCTCTTAGAGTAACAATGCTGCAGATCCTCCAAAGCCCCAGTAACACAAACACGGAGTGGCCCGTGACATTCCTTCCTTTGCGGGGTCAGGGCACAGCCTCTGCCCGCTTAGCGGGGACTTGTAATGCCTTGACACAGGACTGCCTTCCTCCAACCCGCAGTGAATCCCAGAGCCCTCTGGGAGGAAGCTAGGCAGAGATCCAACCAGGGACCCATCTTTTTTCCTATTTCCACCCTGGTCCTAATGGAAGAAGGAGAGAGCGCTGGGGCTGAGGCACTGCTACCTCGTCTTAAGCTTTCTGCTTTGTTTTTTGGCAAAAACAACAACAACAACAAAAAGAAACCCAATGACTGCGGTCTCCTCCCAAGAACGTTTCAAGGGAAGGAGCAGCAAAACTGCATTATGAGTACCCCTGCAAGCAAGGCTGGGCTTAACACACTGTCACCAAGTCTCACAACAGGAGAGGGTTTAAGTCAGCCCCATTTTATAGATGAGGCAGCCAAGGTTCAGGGAGGGAAAGTCACTTATCCAAGGATACCAAGAAAGCAAGATTTAGACCTGGCTTCTGGCCTTCTCTACCCTGATGACATCTCAGCAACCTTGCTGTGAATTCAGATGTATGATCTCTGAATGTTCTTAAAACCCTTGTAATTCCCTGAGTAATAAGGGTGCTAGGAGCATCTTAGTTCTAATGTTTAGTCTTTAAGCCCAGTTTCTGACATAGAACTTTTACTCCCTTAGAATCTCCTAGTGAAAGGAGCGTCTTCTGTTCTAATGAGGTGATTCTTGGTGAGCTCCCGGAGGGAGGCTGGTCACCACAAAGACTTTCAGCCCACCCCATCGCTGGTCCTCCGGGAAGGGGAGAGGGGCCGGACATTGAGTTTGTAATTGACTATGGCTATGTGATGAAGCCTCCATACAAATCCTTAAACTATGGAGTTCAGAGAGCTTCCAGGTTGGTGAACAAGAACACATCCATGTCCCAGGAGCATGGTGCACCCCAGCTTCACAAGGACAGATGCTCCTGCTCTCAAGACACCTCTGCACCTCGCCCTGTGTATCTCTTCATCTGGCTGTTCATTTTTATCCTTTAAAATACCCTTTGTCATAAATTGGCAACAATAAGTGCACTGTTTTCCTGGGTTCTGCGAGCTGTGCTACCAAATTATTGAACCCGAGAAGGGGGTCATCAACCCCTTGTGGTGATCTGTAGCCAAGTCAGACAGAAGTTGTGGGTCACCTCGGGACCTACTCTTTGCAGTTGGCATCTGAAGTTGGCTGTGGGGGCAGCCTGGTGGGACTGAGCCCCTAATCTGTGGGGTCCGTGCTAACTACAGTTAGTGTCAAAATAACATTGACTTCTAGGACACCCAGTTGGTTTCAGAGGATTGTTTTGTGGGAGGACACAGAACTGTTCTATGTTGAGCATGGGTATAGATAGGAAAAAGTAGGGGTTTTTTTCTATATTCACATTCTATATATGTTAAAAGATAATAAAAATAACACTAGCTAACATTTATTGAAGCCTCGGTTAAGCACTCCACAGATGTAATCTCATTCGGTCCTCAAAGCCACTCTATTGTTTTTATTATACCCTTTTCTCAGGTGAGAAAGCTGAGGCCCAGAGAGGTTAAACATGTTTCCCAAACTCGAAAGTGCTATCGTGTCCATGGTAAGCCCCTTTCAGGCCAGTGCTGGCACCATCCCCACCCAAGCAAGGTTATCTTCTGTGGCCTTTCCCTTTCTCAGGCCAACCTGTCACCCCAGGCCGGGCCGGTGGACTGTCCTGCTTCCCGCCCGTGGGAGTGCTCATTCAGCACAAAATTGTTGTAGGAACTTTCTCATCCAACCCCCTCATGTCACCTGTGGGGAATCTGAGGCTCAGAATGCCAAGGCCCAGAATACTGAAGTCCAGGAATAAGCGGAATAAGGGGGGAAAAATGCATGAATTTCCAGCTGTACCACCAGCTCATCATGGGCCATACATTGAAATGATTTCTAAGTTTCCTTCAGCAAGTTGCCTTTCTGAGTCTCTGATTCTCAAAGATTTGTCCACAGTCATTAGATTGTTTATCTGCAGAGGTGAGGCTTCAACCCTGTCGCTCAGACTCTAATCTGGAATTCCTTTCTTGGATCAGGCACCTCTCTCCCTGGACTCCATGGGACCTAGAATCCAGGATGACTGACCAACCTCAAAAAGGGTCTCAAGGCTCCTCCACAGGGAAGAGGCCTCTCCTGAAAGGCAACCCTTCCCCAGAGAGTCACCCCAGGCCCTCTGGGCAGCTCCCACTCCTCAGAGATGCCTGCTTGGCACAGCACCACCCAGAAGTCTTTCAAGGCTAAGCCTCAATGCCTTAGGCTCTTGCATTTCTACAGCGCCCAACTTTTTAAAATCCCTTTTACACCACCACTGGCTTCTCAGATACCCAGTGAACTCAGCAAGGGCTTTGGACAGGGTAGACCTGAATTTCAATCCTCCATCCACCACCGACTCACTGTGTAATCTTGGGAAAGTCACTCAACCTCTCAGTGCTTCAGTGGTCACCACTGAAAAATGGGCACTAGATGAGTTAATATTCCAGGCTCCTCAGATACCTGAGACACAGGAGGTGCTGGGCAGGCAGGAGGTTGCTACTGCCTCCCTTTTACAAATGAGGAAATGCAAGCTCAGCATTGCTCAGTGACCTGTCAGAATTCCTCTAAGCCTCCACCCAGCAGGGACACATTGCTTTGCTTCCCTTCCTTTTCTGGTCCCTACAGTCAGCATGGCGCCCACAGCAAGCAGGCAAATGACAGGAGGTGGATTTCCTAATTTACTTCTCCCACTCCATCTCAGGTTGCCTGATGATGGGACCTTTGCTGAATATACCCCCAAATCCTGCTCCTGGCACAGGAAAGCTCAGGATAAATGCCTGAGATGCTGTTTCGGGGACATTTTGTCCCCTGGCTTTAGGTGAGGATTGGCAAACATGAGTGGTGTCCAATGGGGTCACCCCAGCTCCAATTCAGGAGAGCTGCTGGTGGTAATAGAAAAAAAAAATCTCAGGAGAAAAGCTGTCTGCTCCTTATTTCCCCCGTGCTGCCAGCTGCCCATGGAGGGACAGGTGGCCAGGTGGCCACCAGGTGGGCACATGCCCAGCATACTGATGAATGTCTAAGGCAGGAAAAAGCAAAGGAGAAGCAAGTTCACGCATTAAACAAATATTTATTTAGCACTCGCACTGAAAATTCAGCAGTAAAGACAGTGAACATAGTCCCTGCTGTCACAGCCTCCCGTCTGAGGTCCCAGGATACAGATCATCTCATAGAGACCCTCAGGATCATCTTGTCCAGCCAGACTCCCAATTGAAAAGTGGGGAAACTGAAACCCAGAGAGAGGCAGGGGCCAGCCACAGTCCTCAGGGAGATAGCAGCAAGCATGTCTTATGCCTGGTCTAAGAAGCCCAGCCTGAGCAGGGGACACACCCAAGGCCCTAATCTCTGGTCGGAAAGCCGCCCTCTCTCTATGGGGAGAAGGGAGGGGCATCACCCACTGCCTGCTTCTCTGATTGGCTGGAAACCAAGCCTGACCTCAGCCCAGGGCACTCAGAAGGTGTACCCTTGCTGCCCAGAGACTATTAAAGGCTCAGCAGGGCATGAGCCATCCCTGGATGCAGGTGTCTCACTCCAGGGTCAGGTTGGGAACGGGACTTGGCAAGTTCCGAGGATTTCTCTGACAGCCCCTCCAGGCATCCCAGGAGAGCAGAAACAGGTACTTCAGGGAGATAGGAGATTTTCCTCCTACCCCCAAGCCAGAGTCTGGCCCAGAGAGAAGGCACACTGGACGCAGCCCATAGGCGAAGTCATCTTGCCTCTCTGCACCTTTCACAGTCGTTGTTAGTTTTGGAAACTAAAGGCTGAGAAAACCCTTTGCTGGCTGTTTGGGAGGCCTGAGACCTCTTGACAGAGGCCCGAAGGCCAGTGAGGCAGAAGCAGCAGCCAGGCCACCAGCTTCTACTGGCAGGAGCCGAAGAGAGGTGGGAAGGAGACTGGCTGTTCCCAGGACGTGGGGGATCTGGCAGCTAGCTAATGGTTTGGATGTCAGGGTGAACTTAAACCACAGCATGAGAGACTAAGGTTAGACGTGAGGACAATCTTTCTGACGTTAATGACTGTATGGCATTTGGCATGCTGCCCGCAGAGGTTAAGAAATGGGTTTCTGTCGGGCGCAGCAGTTCACTCCTATAATCCCAGCTACTCGGGAGGCTAAGGCAGGAGGATCACTTGAGGCCAGGAGCTGAGACCAGCCTGGGCAACAGAGCGAGACCTGGCCTCTTATAAAAAATTTAAAAACAAAAGATGGGTTTTAGATTTTTAGTTAGCATATCTCTTAAGAAAAGTGTTGCAGCTTCTGTCACCTCACGACTTAAAGGGCAAAGCGAGGGTCTGGAATCAGAGCGACCAGTCCCAGACCCAGCTTCACCATTTCCTGGCTTGTGACCTCATTCAGGTTACTAAACTTCTCCAGGCCTCAGTTTCCTCTTCTGAAACTGACGCTGAAGGCTGATACTAACTTAAAGAGCTATTGGAAGAATTAATGAGATGCCATCCCGGAATGCCCAACCCAGGGCCTGACATATCATAGACACTCACTAAATTCCATTTCCTTCCTCCAGCCCCAGGAAGTCTCACCTGTGTGCGTTCTCAGGAGACACATTCTTAATTAAATCTCCCCTAGAAAGAGCAGGCACCACTTTACCTCCAACCAGGGGTTTGTGGGGAAGAGGCTTTGCACAACAAGACACATGGGGACCCTCTCAGAGGGCTTGACCCTTCCCCCAAAAGATCGGATTCTCCAAAGACAGAAGCACCTCCAATCTGCTCTTCCCAGTGAGACCAAGAAACCGGTTCTCCCTCCCCACCCCCAATTCTCACCCCAGTTCCTGAGCCAGCCCAGCCTCTGCACCCAGAGTTCTGTGCTTCCTCATTTTCTGCCCTCGGTTTGGGACGATAAATGCAAGAGCTCAGAGAAAACAGCCTGAGACCAGAGGCCACAAACAATGTGTGCATGGATGCTACCGCTCTAGAAGGACTCTGGTGGAGATGCTGGGGATGGGGGAGCAGGAGCAGGATTTGGATTAAGGAGGGTAAGAGGGGTTGATGATGCTTTCAACTTAATCTTGGGAAAATCTCGAGGGCTTCCTGGAGCTGGTGTCTTTCCCTCTGGGCAATATAAGTGCCTTTTGGGAGGAGGCATCAGCTTCAGGGGGGATGGGGCCAGCTCTGCAGGGGAGTCAAATTGGGAACTGGCTCGGCCACTCTGGAGGTGTTATGCCTGGCTAGAAAGGATGGGAGATTGGAGCAGCACATGTGGTGAGGGTCAGAAGCAAGGAGCAGGGTCCTGGCAGCAGGCTGTGAAAAGGGCCCTGGGGTCCTAGAGCAAGCCCTGGTCTTGGAGTCCTACAGACACAGGCCCAGGCCCAGCCCTGCTACTTATCATCCATCCACAAGGCCCGGGGCAAGTTATTCTTCTCTCTGCCTCCAGTGACCTCATCTCTAAGGTGGGAATAATAAATCCTGACCACCTACAGTGGTGAGGATTAAATGAGCCCCATGGGTGAGCGTGCCTGGCATCATGCCAGCCATGGGATGGCGAACAAAGACAATCAACGCGATCAGTCACTTGGTAAATATTCATAATTATTAGATGTGTTGAGTTCTGTGCTGGGTACACCAAACTCTTTTTAGGGAACCTCCCCACCCTCACTTCCCTGGTCACCCCATGGTGACCCAGAAGAGCAAATTACCTGAGTAGCACTATGTTTGTCCCAGCCACTGGTGCCCTGGGTACCCAAAAGAATTGTGGCCACGCAGGGAAGAGGCCAAAGTGGGGGGAGATATCACCATGTGGACCCTGGGTCTCCTCAGAGATCAGAGGCCAACCAGGACCCCATCAAGAAAAACTGGACATACTGCCAAGAGATATTTGCAAAAGGAAAAGTAATTCTTTATTACATGAACAGACACTGTACAAATGAGCTTGTTACACAATACAGCTGCATCTCCTTGCTCCAAAGAAGGTGGGGAGAGGCAGAGGGGGAATAGAGCGCATGCAAAGCCCTGAAATAAAAGACCGAGGGACCCTTTTCAGCTCTCTGAAGGCAGGGACTGGAGTTTGCATGTGCAGGCCCTCTGGCCAGTCCTCCACTTGGCCTGATGAGAGTGGGGAGTGGCAAGGGACGTTTCTCCTGCAATAGACACTTAGATTTCTCTCTTGTGGGAAGAAACCACCTGTCCATCCACTGACTCTTCTACATTGATGTGGAAATTGCTGCTGCTACCACCACCTCCTGAAGAGGCTAGAGAGAGAAGGAGTAGGCTTTAGAGTGGGGGAACCTCCCCGCTCTGCCACGGTGGCCAGGACCTTGGCGGGGCTCTGGGAAAACTAGACAGCACCCCTGAGAATGGCCACTGGCCAATCCCTCAAGAGCTGCCAGAGATCTGGTGTTGAATTCCTCATCACAGAGATGGGCAGTGGCAATGGCAGGTATGCCCGGCAGGGAGCAACAATGTCAGGGTTTTTCAAGCTGCACATGAAGGGGGATGAATTGTGGGCATCTTAGCGGAAGTGTATGAAGATGGGGCCTGGGGGAGAGACATGCCCTGAATGAAGCCTACTCAACCTGGAAGTTTCTCAATAAATCACCAGCTGCAATCTCACCTGGGGCTGACAGAAGTTCCCACTGGGGAAGAGGCATCTAATGAATGGGAATGTTCCCACCTAATGGGATGTTTGGGCTCTTTCTCCTTCCTCCCTATTCCGAAGGGGGTGGTGGCTTCAACATCTCCCCTCCCCACCCCACACCAGAAGAGTAAAGCCTTCCTACCTTCCCTGATGGCAATGCCAGCCATCCTGAAAGAAAGAGGGAAGCTGATTTAAGCAAAGGGCACAAGCTCAAGTGTCCGTAAGGGAAGCTCATGTAGATAGCTATGCAGTGTTCTTCAGACCCTACACCACCACCACCCACACATCTGACTCCTCTAGGGGTGGGACATCCTGCTAGCCCATCCAGGCCTGCTATCCCCAAGTAGACAGATTTTGTTTTGTTTTGTTTTGTTTTTTGAGACGGAATCTCACTCTGTCGCCCAGGCTGGAGTGCAGTGGCACGATCTCAGCCCACTGAAACCTCCGCCTCCCGGGTTCAAGTGATTCTTGTGCCTCAGCCTCCCGAGTAGCTGGGATTACAGGCACCCGCCACCACGCCCAGCTAATTTTTGTATTTTTAGTAGAGACGGGGTTTCACCATATTGGCCATGCTGGTCTCGAACTCCTGACCTCAAGTGATCCACCCGCCTTGGACTCCCAAAGTGCTGGGATTACAGGCATGAGCCACTGAGCTGGTCAAGATTCTGAACTACAAGAATACCCATCTATCTCATGCAGAGAATGGAATGAGCACTAGATCTTAACTACCACTAGCCCAGCCTCTATCATTTACAGAAGAAACACGGATCCAGAGAGAGGAAGTGACCTGTCCCAGGTAACAGCCAAGGACCAGAGTGAGGAGTCCAGATCCTCCCTCCTTGCTCAGTTCTCTTTTCACAGTCCCTCAAGGCTGCTTAGGGACACCCTGCCATTCCCTTAGGATGACCCTGCACCCTAGCCACAAGCAGCCCTCATCACTCCTTCCCCTGTGCCCAGGCGCCTACTTGGCATCCTGGCCCTCGAGCAGGCTGCGGTAAGTAGCGATCTCCTGCTCCAGCCGTGTCTTTATGTCAAGCAGCATCTTGTACTCCTGGTTCTGAGCCTCCATCTCGCATCGGAGCTCACTCAGCTGGGCCTCCAGGCCACCAATGAGCCCCTGGATCTGCTGCAGCTGCGTGGCATAGCGGCACTCTGTCTCGGCCAGTGAGTTCTCCAGCCCAGCTTTCTGGGGGAGTGACAGATGCATAGACACATCAGGCTAGAAAGGAAGCCACTGAGGGCAAGCAGGGAGGGGGCACTGAATGGAGTTCAGGGAACCACCTCTTGAGGGGGCTTGAGAACTCCAAGGCTTAAATAGCCAGGAAGAGTGGGAGCTTCTACCACCCGAGAGGCTGGGATGGGGCGCGAGTGGCCGTACCATGCTGAGCTGGGACTGCAGCTCGATCTCCAGCTCCTGCATCGTGCGTCTCAGGTCTGTGATCTCCGTCTTGCTGGTCTGGATCATTTCTGTGTTGGAGGCCACCTCTTTGTTCAGCTCCTCAGTCTGTAGGTCATGCACAACAGAAGTGAGCCCCGGGGCCTCCTCGGAGACTCAGGGACCTGGGGCAGGAAGGGCAGGGCAGGATATAAGGCCCACCTTGCTGAAGAACCAGGCCTCGACATCCCGGCGGTTCTTCTCCGCCATGGCCTCGTACTGCTCCCTCATCTCTGCCAGCACACGGGTCAGGTCCACACCCGGTGCTGCGTCCATCTCCACATTGACCTGGCCGGCCAGCTGGCTGCTGAACTCCTTCATCTCCTGCAGGATGGGAGGGACCCACTTAGAGACGGAGAGCAGAAGAGAGACCTGAGAGTCTGGCGTCACACATGCCAATCCTGGCTCTGCCCGTAACACACCCCAACCGCTGTTCCCCATTGCACATGAAGAGGTTTGGTCACATGGACCCCTCAGCTCTAAGGAGTTCTCTGCTGCTCTAGGTCCTACCAAGGGAGGACCCCGAGACTGTAGGGCCCTGATGTGAGCTCACAAAGCCAATCAGGAAGTCAACCATTCATACGGGCCACCTGGGCTGGCTGTGGGCCTGGGCTACCAGACACTGCCCCTTCCTCTCCATGAGGACACCTGGTTTTGTGGGGTAGGTGTGTTTCTGAACCACTAAGCCCCAGGCCAACTATGAGGAAGTACCAACAGCCCCACTCTGCCTCCCACTGACTTAATCTCGTGAAAATCTGGGAGGGCTTCCTGGAGCCACTGTCTTTCCCTCTGGGCAATTTAAGTGAGTTTTGGGAAGAGGTTCCCCACCTCTCTCGGGTTCAGGGGTGATGGGGGCCAGCTCTCACCTCTTCGTGGTTCTTCTTCAGGTAGGCTAGCTCCTCATTCAGGCCCTCGATCTGCATCTCCAGGTCAGTCCTGGCCAGGGTCAGCTCATCCAGGACTCGGCGCAAGCCGTTGATGTCAGCCTCAACGCCCTGGCGCAGGGCCAGCTCATTCTCATACCTGAGGAGAGGGAGGCCAAAGAAGGAAGTGGGAGGGGTCTTGGCTGCCTGAGTCAGAGCCAGGAGAAGGCCAAGTAAAGTGGGCAATGCAGGAAGAGGAGAGAGACGGGGGAGCGCACTTGAGCCTGAAGTCGTCCGCAGCCAGCCTGGCATTGTCGATCTCCAGGATGACCCGGGAGTTGTCGATGGTGGTGGCCATGATCTGCAGGAGACAGAGTCGGTGTCTAGAGGACTCCTCTCTCTCCCCTGCTGCTCTCTGCTCTGCACCCAAGGCCAGCCCCTCATTGAAAATCACCCCTCACTGACAATCACCCCTCTGACACCACCAACAAAAATCTGTACGGCTTCTGGGGTGGGCAAAGTCCAGCCTCACTTTCAGTGTCCATTTCTTGTTTTGTCCCATCCAGCCTCCTTGAGACACCTGAGGAGCTGCCTTCCTTATCTCCAGGGCACGAAAGACCAAGGAGGCAGTATTGCCTGTGGGAATTGGTTGCCCAGGAGAGTGGGGCAGTGGGGTGCAGCCAGCTCTGACAATAGCTCTCTCAGAGACACTCCACCAGCCCCACTGTGGACAACTCATGGTCACTGCCTCCTGCACACCTTGGACACAGCCATGGATCTACAGAACATTCCAGCCAGTAGCAACCTGGAGGGCAGTTAAGAAGGCATTTTACGAATGAGGAACCCAGTCTTAGGGAGTAAAATGGTGAGTGAGTGGGTGGCAGAATGTGTAATGAGTTCCCAGGTCTCCTAAGACCCAACAGTACTTTTGGCACAAAAGACCTCTTTATAGGAAAAGACAAGAGGTTCTAGCATCTGGAACTCATGAGGCCACACTCCAATCCCATTCTTGCAAAAGAGGTAAAGGAATACTTTATGCAGAAGCCTGCAGGGTGCATGAGGTAGGGAGGGCGAGTTGCTCTTTTTTTTTAATTATTTTTATTTAATTAGATACAGGTTCCACTCTGTCACCTAGGCCGGAGTGCAGTGGCACAGTCATAGCTCACTGCAGCCTCTAAATCCTGGACACGAGCAATCCTATCACCTTGGCCCCCCAAAGCACTGGGATTACAGGTGTGAGCTACTGCCTCTGGCTCTTTATAATTGCCCCCACCTGTGCCCCTGTTGGTCCTAACCAGATTCCCAAGACCCCTCTCTCCCTCCCCCAGCACCACCAAGTTGAGAAGATGTGCACTGGCCTCTGCACCTGGACAGCAGGTGCATTCCAAATTTGCTGAGATTACATACCAGACAGTCATTGCCTGGGCAGGAAAGGATTTCCTTGAGTCAGCAGTAACACTGACATTAGAGCTGTGTACAGGGTACCAGCCACCTGCTCCCCTCTCTTTGACATCCGAGGACTCACCTTGTCCCGGAGCTCTTCAATGGTCTTGAAGTATTGGCTGTAGTCGCATTCTGGGCTGGTTGGGGTCTGCTTCTGGTACCAGTCATGGATCTTCACCTCCAGGTCAGCATTGGCCTCCTCCAGGGCACGTACCTTGTCCAGGTAGGAGGCCAGGCGGTCATTGAGGTTCTGCATGGTAATTTTCTCATTGCCAGAGAGGAGACCACCATCGCCACCACCAAAGCCACCACCAAAACCCCCACCAACGCCCCCTCCAAAGCCTCCACCGAAAACACTACCAGCCCCTCCACCAAAGCCACAGACCCTCATGCCACCCCCATATCCTCCTCCTGACCCTGAAGAGACAAACCTAGCAGAAGAAGCTGAGATACTTCGGCTTCCACCTCCCCCAGAGAGACTCCCCCCACCAAAGCCACCTCCCCCAGCCAGGAGGGAACCCCCTCGGGTTGAGCCACCCCCAAAGGTGGAGGAAGAAGTTTGCAGAAATGTGGTGGTCATGGCCAGGTAGCTGGAGCCCGTGAGTTCTCAGCAAACCCAAGAGATGCTGGCAGGAGGTACCAGGCCAGGCTGCACGCTGGGGCTCCTTATATACCCTTCAGAGGGTGTTGTGGGACCTCGTCTCCTCCCCTAAAGCAAAGCCAACTCCTTCTGCCTTCCTGACAAACACAGCTGCCTGCACACCTTGAGTGGGTCATGTGAAGTTTTTCTCTTCTATTTTTTTTTAATGCAACAAAAGAGATGATTCAGAATTAATAGTGTTTTTCCCCAGGGCACGGTTTTAACACTTGGATTACAGGTTCATCTCTCCATGCCAGAAGAGAGCAGCAGGGAGCGAACTCTCATCACAGCACAGCTACCAAGGCCTCTGCCTGTACTGAGAGCAGCTCAGGCCAACTGTGCCCTCAGCTGGACTTCACTTCCCCGAGCCCTGAGCCTCTCCCCAAGAGGACAGCTCCGTGTTCTTAGTTTGGGAGTCCACTGGCCGATCATTATGCTGTGTTATCCAACTCAAAACCCTGTGAGTGAGTGAGTGAGTGAATGAGTGAGTGAGTGAGTGAGTGAGAGACTGCAGGGCTCAGGGAGAGTGGAGGCCCTGGGGATGGGAATGCAGGGCCCCTGGGGGCAGGTGGAGGACAGGAGCCAGGGACCTTGAGTAGTGTTCCAGCTGAGGTGACCAGAGGAGCCAGCATCCATCCCCTTACCTGGTGCTGCAGATGGACTCCCCTCCTCCCACCTCTACTCCCCTCCTGCCATCCTCCAGCCTGTGTTCCTGGCACCCTCACAAAAGCCCAGCAGGCTTGGGACTGACAAGGGGATGACTGATGATCCCGACACCTGCCAACTGCACGGCGCTGAACCTTTGCTCGTTTCTGGGATGTGTTGGGGCAAACCTCCGCTGATAAGGCTGGGGCAAGTTCCAGGAAGCCCCTGCCTTCTCCAGGAGAGGCATGTCGCTGCTTAGCAGGGCCAGATTAGCCCCCATCTGTCCTGTCAAGTGCTGGCTGGGGACGGGCCGCTGCAGAAGGCTCTATGTGCCTGAATGCTGTGGAAGGGAAGAGAAGGGAGACTGGCAGGCAGGCTGGAAGACACCGGAGATCTTGAAGACCAAGGCATTGCTTCACACAGACGGGGAGTTGAACACTCAGGAGAGCCCTTTTCTCTGCCACCAGCTCAGGGACACCTTTCCAGGGACACCTGATACCTGTGGGCAGTGCCACTTGGAGGTGTGGCTCAGCCCTCTGGACCTGGCCCCAGGGCTTACAGAAACTCAGGAGGAGGATTCCTAGCCCAGGTTGCAGCATGGTGAAGTGGACAGGGCTCTGGAGTCCCTCAGGCCCGGGTTTGAATCCTGGCTTTATCAATTATCATGGTAAGACTGTGAGGCCTGGGTTCAAATCCTGACCCTACCAATTACCATGGTAAGACTGTGGACATTTACCTTTTTAAGTCTCTGTTTCCCTGTGGCAAGGGGCGCTCTCAACTCTCACTTCCAGGGAAGCCCTGTGGCCCAAGAGCCCCCATCCTGCCCCCTCCTGGATCCCCACCCAGGTGCCAGACATGCAGGGGCCAGGGTGCATGACCGGCACCTGCGCCTGAGTGCCCTCACCAGGAGGGGCTTTGTCGTTGGGCATCAGAACATGCCCTGTGAGCCTGAGCATGTTCTTAGGCTCAACGGCATCGACCTTCCATAGCCAGCTCCTATGGGGCAACGCAGGTTGTTCTTAGGTTCTTATTTTGCTATAATAGCATAATCCTTTACTTCTACCCTGCACTTTGTGATTTACAAAGCACTTTTGCATCCATCACCTCCTCTCATCCTCACAACAGAGGGTGACCCCCACCCAAGATTCAGAAAGAATGAAATTGAAACTTGGAGAGGTGAAGCAACTTGTGCCAGGTGGCACCACTGGTAAGGGGCAAAGCCAGGACTCAAACAGGTCCTCACACCCTCAACCAAACAGGGCACAGGGAAAGAGTCCTTCCTGCAGACCCCAAATTCCTGCATCTGAGCTGGGCTGGCAAGGGGAACTGCCAGCCAGCAAGGCTGGGGGTGGGTTCCTTCTCATCCATCTTCGCAGTGAGCCTGGCCTCCAATGCTGGGCACAGACAGTGTGGTATTGTCTCATGGGTGGGAGGGTATTGTCTTTTCCTCCGAAAGAAAAATAATCAAACTCAGATCATCCAGAGCTCATTAAAAGCCTCTGCAGACATTGTGGCCCCAGCAATTAACTCAAGAACAATTACTCGCCTTTCACCCCAGGGTGAGGAAGGGCTGGACCCCAGCCAGATCCCCTTCTGCACCTGACTCTCCTCCAGCAGCCCCTCGAGGTGGCTTTCTCTATACTCTCAGGCCCAGGCCAGGGGCGGCAGCTGCCCCCCTCACTGCCCCACGCACAAATCCCTGGTTTCAGTCCAAACCGCTACTGTGAGCTCCAGATCTGGGTGGGGCCCGGAGCCTCCTCATTAGCACCAGGTGGGATGGCCTTGCGAAGATAAAGCTCTGTCTGGCCCCAGCCCAGGCTGTAGCCCCGGGCCCTGCCCCAGGCAGCCTGCCCAGGATGCTGTGCCAGTTTCTGACCTTTGCCCACTGCAGCCAGATGGGGCCATCTGTGGAGCTGGCCTTTTCTCCTTAGAATGAGGCAGTGCAGCCCAGTGGAAAGAGACTCAGCCTCTCTGAGCCTGGTTCCTGATTTAAACTTAGGCCATTAACACAGACTCCCCTCAGGGCCATAGTGAGCATTTGAGGGCACAAGGAGAATGAAGTCTCCAACAACCTTAGAACCCTCCCACACCTCTCCTGTTCCCCAGGGAAATGCCAGGGAGAGGGGGTGTGTCCTGGAGCCCAGAGACTTACCTTTAAACCCCTCTTTTCCCATTTACCAGCTGTGCGGCTTTGGGTAATGCCGCCTCCTCTCTCTGAGCCTTAGTCTACCAATCAGGAAAATGGAAATAACTCCAGCTCAGCCTGACTCTCAGTTGGAGCAAGATGACTCACAGGAAATGCTCAACAGACTGAAGTGGCCACGATGACCAGCAGGATGTAAAGGCACTCCCCTCAACTTCCCCACTCCCCTCTCCCTCCTATCCCAGGTCTCCAGGCTGAGACAGAAAAGTGTCCCCAGTCCAGCCCCACCCTGCACTGTGCACACACAAAGGCAGGCTTCATTCCTGACACTCAGGCCTGAGACCTGACAGTCACCTGCCCCACCTGTGTGGGCCCAGACCCCGCCCCGCAGCCACATTCCAGGGGCCCCTGAGGCAGAGGGAAGGTTTCAGCTGTGACAAGGGAGGCTTTCATGGGCAGGGACAAGCGCCTCTGGGCAGTCCCAGCTGGGGGTGCAGCCAGGCCTCTCCCTCCAGCTCCAAGGCTTCCTGAGAAGTTAAGTTGGGGGTGGTGGTTTGTGGGTGCTGGAGGCCAGAACAGGACAGCTAGGGAGGGGGCAGAAGGGGGTCCCAGTCCAGGCTACAGCAGCGGGGCTCTGGGGTTACATGTTCATAACCAACCTTGAAACAGCTCCTCCTTCGGGATTGCCATGGCCGTGATGGGGTCTCCAGCCTCCTTAGCAGGGTGCTGAGTACATTTGGCAGCATGCGGGCGTGGAACTAGTGTCCCTCACTTGCCCCCATCACTCATAGGGTTGGGCCTGCAGCCCTCACCTCTCCACCAGGAAGAAGTGGGACTTCTTTTGGGGCCTCTTCCTTACCTTGAATTGGCCTCAGTTCTTGGCAGCTGAGATGTAAACCACAGGAGCAGGGCCATACCTACCCAAGGGCAGAGTTGTACCAGGAAGCTGGGACTTCGTTCTTTTGCTGGCCCAGGGCAGGCCCCAGGCAAGCCAGGGTTGGGGTCTCTGTGGGAGGTCTGGGTCACTGCTGGGTCCCATTCTGGGCTCTGGGCCCAGGTATGGGCTGGTGGGCGTTAAAGGGCTTATGCAGGGCTGCCCCAAAAATGGGTGAATGTGTTAGTGCATGCACACACACAACACACACTGACAGGTACAGCCTCCCCAGCCTTGCTCCAAGCGGGATGCCTGGCCCCAAACCCCCAGTTTCAGTGAGGTGGAGAAATGTGTCGGGAGGAACTGCCCCTAGGGATCCCCGGCCTGAGCCTTCATAGGGCACAAGACTGGAATGTCAGCAAGACCGGCACAAGTGGCGTCAACTCCAGGAGACCACCTGGCAGGGGCTGGCACCATGGGCTAAGAATCAGGCAACTTAGGTTCTAGTCCTGGCTCTACCATGTAGTTGCTGTGTGGCCTTGGACAAGTTACTGAACCTCTCTGAGCCTATTTCCTGATCTATAACATGCAGCTCATACTACCTTTTAGGGCTGTTTTTAATTCAATGGCACATAGTAGGTGTTCAATAAACATTAATTTCACACAGATACCTCAACGCCCTGGGGAGTAGAGTAGAAAGAAAACTAAATCTAGAAGCAAAAACAATTTCAAATCCCACCTTTGCCATGCATTAGAGCAGTTACATATAGAAAAAAACACTTCACCTCTCTGAGCCTTAGTTTACTTTTGTAAAATGGAAGCAATGCTTATTTCATGAGGTTATTTTAAGGAACGGGTTAAATAAATGAAGACTTCTGTAAACAGGAATTACCATTACAGGCAAAGTATGTGAGTACCCTCCCCTCCCTTTCCTGGGACAGAGTGAACTTTGGTTCAAATAAAACCTAAACAGGGCCAAGGCAGGACCCATCTCTCCATGGGCTCAAATAACAAACCGAACGACCTATTCTCTCCATGGGCTGAAATAATAAACCAAACGTCCTTCCTCCCTTGGACCATAAATTTTTATTGGCAGGTCAGGAGAAGAGCCGGGGGTAAGGGTCCCTTCCTTCCCATCCCTCTACCCAGAAGACACCCTCCAAAGGACAGCAGAAGCCCCAGAGCCTGCTGCCTCAGAGGACCTTGGAGGCAGACAAATTGTTGTAGTGATCTTCCTGTCCCTCGAGCAGGCTGCGGTAGGTGGCAATCTCCTGCTCCAGCCGCGACTTGATGTCCATGAGCCGCTGGTACTCCTGATTCTGCCGCTCACTATCAGCTCGCACATCGCCCAGCTGGGCTTCAATACCGCTGATCAGCGCCTGGATATGCGCCAGCTGGGCTCCAAAGCGCGCCTCCGTTTCTGCCAGTGTGTCTTCCAAGGCAGCTTTCTGAGGATAGGGAGAGGGGGTTGTGACTCAGCAGAGCCTGGTTCCCGGAGAGGGCATGGGCACAGCCACCGGCCAGGCTGCCCTAGGCTGCAAGGGTATAAGTGTGAATTGCACAGGGAAGCGGCGGCGGTGGGGGGACACATACCATGCTCAGCTGTGACTGCAGCTCAATCTCAAGACCCTGAAGGGTGCGCCGCAGGTCAGTAACCTCGGACCTGCTCATCTGGAGCTGCTCCGTGTGGCCAGCGACCTCCCGGTTCAATTCTTCAGTCTGCAGAGAGAGGAAGAAGAGGGAATAAGCATTGAGTCAGACCTTCGCGTAGGGAACACAAAGCCCTCCCCTTCCTAACCCCCAAAGGGTGCCTGCTTCCCTCTACCTACCCGGCTGGTGAACCAGGCTTCAGCATCCTTCCGGTTCTGCTCGGCCATGACCTCATATTGGCTTCGCATGTCACTCAGGATCTTGGCGAGATCGGTGCCCGGAGCGGAATCCACCTCCACACTGACCTGGCCTCCCACTTGGCCCCTCAGCGTACTGATTTCCTGTAAAGATACAGCAGAGATGGGCATGTCAGGGCCCAGACCCCACTGGGCCTGGCCCAGGTCACTTCCCCACCCTTCAGGCTAAAGGGGCTTAGTTTTCAGGTGCAGGCCTAGTAACTAGCACTGGGGGACAGACTGGGTCATCACTGATTCCTCTTGGAACCCTGGGATCCATGATCCCACACCCAGGGCCATGGTGAGGGTGCACCAAGTGTTACCACGGTCAGAGAATACAGAATAAAAGAGTCTTCAGCCCTGGGAGGTTAGGGAAGGATGGAAGAAAGGCCCAGCTTCAAACCCACCTCCTCATGGTTCTTCTTCAGGTAGGCCAGCTCTTCCTTCAGGCCTTCGATCTGCATCTCCAGGTCGGTCCTGGCCAGGGTCAGCTCATCCAGCACCCTGCGCAGGCCGTTGATGTCGGCCTCCACGCTCATGCGCAGAGCCTGTTCCGTCTCAAACCTTTCAAAGGAAATAGTTGCAGCCAGGCAGAGCTTCCTCAGCATCTCTGAAGACTTCCCTACCTCCCCAGAGTTCAGGAGTCCATAGGGGGGTTAGCTTCAGGCCATCTAGGCTAGGTGAGGGCAGATTCTAAACCCCCCAACCCCTACCCCAGTCCTGGCTTCTGCAGCCCCCAGGACAGAGACACTCACTTGGTTCGGAAGTCATCTGCAGCCAGACGGGCATTGTCGATCTGCAGGACAATCCTGGAGTTCTCAATGGTGGCACCAAGAATCTGGAAGGCAGAGGCAGAGGTTGGTACCAGTTCAACACACAGGCACTGCCCACTCACTTTCTTCCCAGAAGAGAGAGGGGAGCAAATGAATATACCCCGGCACCCTAGAGACCAAAGCCCTAGCCAGCATCTGCCGCCCATTGGCCCGCTCTCTGGGAGGCCTTGCAAACAGTCCATGCCCAGAAGCTGGGGCAGGAAGAAAACTGGAGCCAGGGGGACTTGGGTGGGGGAGGGCAGGAAGGCAAGCCTGGGGAGGAAATCTCTGAGACCTGTGTGCAATGAAACTCTAAATGGCCTGAAGGGGGTCTATAAACCAGATGGGGGGTAGATTTTGTCTATACCTGCCCCCCCCACTATGCGAAGCATATTTTGCCCCCAGGGAAGAGAATCCCATTTGTTGAGTATCAATTATGTGCCAGGCACTTTGAATCTCATCTTTTATAGCTTCTGGAACCTCACTGCTAGGTCAGTGGGTACTCCTATCTTACAGAGGTGGAAACTAAAGTTTAGGATGATGCCTCATCCAAGTTCACCCCAACCTGAGGTCTTACTGACCTAAGAGGCGCATTCACAACAGCCAGCTTATCATTGAATAAGGTAATTGTGTTCTGTTTTTCAAAGAGCAGGTCATCACTCATTAGTCAAGGCACCAGGTGGTGATTGTATAGTTTTGTGTTTTGGGGGGGTTTTTTGGTTTTGTTTTTTGGGGTTTTTTTGAGACAGAGTCTCGCTCTGTCACCCAGGCTGGAGTGCAGCGTCGCGATCTCGGCTCACTGCAAGCCCCGCCTCCCGGGTTCACGCCATTCTCCTGCCTCAGCCTCCTGAGTAGCTGGGACTACAGGCGCCCTCCACCACGCCCAGCTAATTTTTTTTTGTATTTTTAGTAGAGACGGGGTTTCACCGTGTTAGCCAGGATGGTCTGGATCTCCTGACCTCGTGATCCGCCCGCCTCCGCCTCCCAAAGTGCTGGGATTACAGGCATGAGCCACCGCGCCCGGCCGATTGTGTAGTTTTTTAATGCAACAGAATAGGCTACAAAATATCAGAGGGGATTTCTCTTAGTATGGTGAGAATTGTGTCACCCATTTGTGTGTGTGCATGTGCACGCACACACACACACAGAGGTGAGAAAAAGAATGCGTAAGGGTGCGTAGTAAAATGTACTTATTGTCGCAATTTTTTTTTTTTTTTGATACAGGGTCTCGCTGTGTTGCCCCAGGCTGGAGTGCAGTGGCACTGATCACGTACAGCTCGCTGCAAGGCACACGCCACCATGCCAAGCTAATTCCTTTTTTTTTTTTTTTTTTTTTTTTTTTGAGACGGACTCTCGCTCTGTGGCCGAGACTGAAGTGCAATGGCGCAATCTCGGCTCACTGCAGCCTCCGCCTCTTGGGTTCCAGCAATTCTCCTGCCTCAGCCTCCCAGGTAGCTGGGATTACAGGCATGCACCACCACGCCCAGCTAATTTTTGTATTTTTAGTAGAGACAGGATTTTACCATGTTTGCCAGGCTGATCTCGAACTCCTGGGGCTCAAGCAATCCTCCCACCTTGGCCACCCAAAGTGCTGGGGTTACAGGCGTGAGCCACAGTGCCCAGCCCCTGTAGGTCACAATTTTACAAGTGTGTAAAGCACTGTTTTTGTTGGCTGTTGACATCTCTAGCGCTTCCTCCTGGTCTGTGGGTCTGGGTCTATGCCACGAGTACAGCACTGGAAAATATTTTGGGGATCTGTTTGTTGGGAGACCCAGCGTGTGCGGCTGTAAATGTTCCATGGCTTCTGATACATTTCTTTACGACTCGAAAAATTTCTCCTTCCCTCTGGGTGGAGACCAAGCCCTACCCCTCAGGCCCCTTAGGGTTCCCCTGTAAGAGCGTGTGACGCAGATCCGTTCTTTCCCCGACAAGGAGCTGCCACTGTACTGGGTCCTCCCCAGCAGAGGTTTACCAAGCCTCCCTCCTTTACCCCGCCCAGGGGCCACGACCGGCTCTCCCATTCTTCCTAAACGAATGGGCCCCAGGGCGGGAGAGTGGGAGGAGGCCAAAGCCTGAGAGGGATGAACACTAGACCCTTCCGGCCAGAGAAACGGAATGCAGGAGGCCCTACGCTGCGGTGGCAGAGGGGGCAAGACTGGCCCCGGGTGGACCAGATCACCAAAGCCAAACTCTCGCATCTTCCTGCGGCAGCGCGGCCCCTGGCCTAGACCTCTGGGCACTCTACAGCCGGGTCCCATCTCCTCCCACTCTTCAGGCCTCGCTGACCCGCGTCCCTTCTTCGTCCCGGGGCTCCAACCTTGCCCCCGCCACCTCCAGAGGCCCCACCCACTTATCTGCCCTGCCCAGTTCTCCTCCCCTTTCCACCACCCCGGCCTCTGCATCCAGCCCCGAGGTCCTGCCCCGCACGTCTCCTGTCCCCCTTTACTCGGCCCCACCTGTGGACCTTCCCACGTCCTAACGGGCTCCTGCCCGCCGCCCCGCCTGGAACCTCGCCCGGCCCGCGGGGCTGGGTTTCCGCGGCAGGTGCACTGCACTTCCCGCGGCCGGGCCTCCGCCCACCTTGTCCCGCAGGTCCTGGATGGTCGTGTAGTAGTGGCTGTAGTCGCGGGAGGGCCCAGGCCCCTGCTTCTGGTACCAGTCGCGGATCTTCACCTCTAGCTCGCCGTTGGCCGCCTCCAGGGCGCGCACCTTGTCCAGGTAGGAGGCCAGGCGGTCGTTGAGGTTCTGCATGGTTAGCTTCTCGTTGCCCGCCAGCAGCCCGTCGGACGCGGTCAGGACGCCGCCGTAGCCGCCGCCGTAGGCCCCCGAGGAGGACGAGGACACAAAGCGGGCGGAGGACACGGATACGCCGCGGCCGCCGGAGCCCCCGTGAATGCTGGGCGCGCGAAAGGCGACCCCCGGCCCAAAACGCACGGAGCCGCCGCCCAGGCCTCCGAAGGACGACGTGGCCGACGACTGGCGATAGCTGTAGGAAGTCATGGCGAGGCGGAGCACGGACGGAGCAACCCTGGTCTCAGAAGCTGCGATTCGCGGGAGGAGCGGCGAGGCCCTCACCTGGCGCCTTTTATGCCCGCGGCCGGTGGAGGGGGGAAGGGAGGAATGGTGTCAGGGGCGGATATCTGAGCCCTGAGGAATTTGCAGGCTCCTGAGAGCAAATATGGGCTCTCTCCCCATTGGTCAATTCCCTCCCCTCCCAGAGACCAGAGGCCCCTGCCCTCCAGAGGTGCCCCGCCCCGGTCCGCGCAGAAGCTCCGACCCGCACTCCCCCACTCTCTCTCTGCAGACCCTGTTCTGGCCTTTCCCCCGTCAGGGACATACCTGGACACCCCTGTCCCTGGAAGCCACATTCTGAGCCTCACCCTTTAAGATCACCCAGAGTTTGACACCACTGGGAATTACAGTCCCTCTGGGGTCATATTCCTACACACCCCTGACCCAGTGATTTTGTTTTTGTTTTTTTGGAGACGAGTCTCTGTCGCCCAGACTGGAGTGCAGTGGTGTGATCTCGGCCCACTGCAGCCTCCATCTCCCGGGTTCAAGCGATTCTCCTGCCTCAGCCTCCGGAGTAGCTGGGATTACAGGCACGCGCCACCACGCCCAGCTAATTTTTGTATTTTTAGTAGAGACAGGGTTTCACCATGTTGACCAGGCTGGTCTCAAACTCCTGACCTCAAGTGATCCACCCGCCTGGGCCGCCCAAAGTGCTGGGATTACAGGCGTGAGCCCCTGCGCCCAGCCCCAGTGATTAACCATTCAGAGTGCTCCCTGTTAAGAGCCCCTTGCTTGCGATCCTAACCAGCCCGCCCCCCACAAAGTGCATTCACAGATTCCTGCCCTCCACTGGAGATTACAGCCTCTCAGAACCAGCTTCTTGGGAACACCCATGCCCAACTCCCCTTTTGTCCCCTCTGACAAAGGCACCAGTTCCGGATCAGGGCACATCCGGGCATTTTGAGCTGCACGAACCCAGCCCTCTCAAGACAAAGCTGCCTCACCCTGCTGTCGCCATTCAGTGCCCCAGGTGACAACAGTCTCCTGAGAACAGCTGCAGGGAGCGGTTCTGGCAGCTGACACCTTTCCAACACTAAGCTCCAGCCTGATCCTCACTCTGGAACCCTCAAAGCCCACTCGTCCCTGGCCACCAGGATGATCCCCTCCCTTCCATCCCCCAAAGCATGCGTTCATTCAACCACAGGAGTATTGGGCTGCTTTAATATTTCCAAAATGAGGAAGCAGAGCCTGGGAGAGGCCAGTAACTTGCCCATGAGGCATTTAGCATCTGCCACTGAAAGGCAAACATAGGATGAATCCCTGCCCTCCTTGTCAGAGGGCTGCTGAATGCATGTCCTCATCCTTGTATAAAGATGAGTGCTTGAATGAGCTGGGCAGAGCGACACAAAGTGCCCGGCACAAGGTAAAGGTTTTGACAATAGAGGCAGGGCCTTCCTCCCCACACAGCCCCACCCCTTGCTCTGTTCAACAATTCCACCCACCGTTTTGGATCTCTTTGGAGGGCCATGCCCCCTGCCAGGCACTACAGGGCGCTGCAACAACCTCACCCCAGTTCCTGTCCCCAGTGACCCCCGTCCCCAGAACTGTCCCCATGGTTCCTTCTTGTCCTTATGGCAAAGCATTCACCCAGGCTTGGAACAGAGGCCCTCCTGAGAAGGTATTAAGGGAGACAGGCCAGTCCCTGCCCATCTCTGGGTCTCAGTTTTCCCTCATGAAAAGAGGGGTGGCCCAGCTCAGCCCTCTTCTCTGTGTATTATCACCTGGGTCACCTGTGACTGGTGGAGACTTGTCTCCAGCCTCGGAAACCTAAGTTCCCAGCAAACTACCTGTTAGCTGCCAACTCATCCTTGAACTGGGGCAGGAAACCCCGTAAATACACACCCCTAACCCACCAGGAACCGCTCTGAGCCCTCAGGAAGGCCAGTCTGAGGCTGTTTAACTAGTGAATCAGTTGCAGAAAGACTGAAGGTCTTTGGAGAGCCCAAGAGGGAGAAAGGGGAGTCCAAGACCAGCCATAAAAGCCAGCACCCTGTGACTGGTCAGCTCTGAGTCATTCCCTTATCAGGCACTGATGAGGAGGCCTGCTCCTTGTTAGCGGGAAGGGAGATTGGCCAGATAGTTGCCATGCACACAAAGCCCCAATAGGCAGCTCTGTTTTTCTGGCCTGATAGGGGGGTCTGGGGAGGGACTTTGTATTAAAGGGCAAAGAATAGAATCAACAGTTCCATTCGTAAGATTAAGGTGTTCTGAGCTCCCTAACCTTCAGAGGCACTTGGAGTCCCAGCCCCCTACTCTAAGACCATAAACAGAAGGACAGTTGACTACAGGGTAGCACAGTTTAGAGCCTTTTCAGATCTCACTGGATCCTCACAGCAGCCCAGTGGAAAAGGTATTCTTATCTCCATTTTACAGATAAGGAAACAGAGGCTTGGTGAGAGGCAGTAATTTGCCAAAGGTCCACCGCTAGGAGTATCAGATTCTGGCCTCCAGCTTCTTGACCATCAGCCAAGAGTAACGGAGGCCCTGCTCTCCCTTCCAAGGAAGTCTCGGCCCCCAAAACAACTCCTTTGGGTGCCTTCCCTCAAAATCTTATCATGCCAGTGCCAAGGGCAGTCAACCCCAGACTGAACTGTTGGCTGGGCTAGGGAGAATACCTTGTTCCCTCTCTCTGGCCAGAAACAGTGCCTGGCCATGAGGTATGTGGCCTTTGGCACTTTCTGATTCATCAAGGACTCAGGAGAACAGTCTGTAGAGGCTGCCCTACCCAGAGATGGAACTGGAGGTCAAGCTGCTGCTCCCATTTAGGAAACAGTGCTCACAACCAGGAGGCTCCCATCAGCCTCTGGCTTCAGGAGGGCAGAACCTGGTCAGAGGAGCATCCATCCAATGTTCATGTCTCCAGTCTCAGGTCTGGGGTCTGCAGAAGAGGGGTACAGAGGGTCAGAAGTGATGGGTATGGAATGGTGAGCTCAAAGGAATCCCAGGGAGGATCCTGCCCAGCCTTCCCCAACTGGATTCTACAGAACCCCAGCACTATGAGATCCCTGCAGGAAAAAAGATCCCTGTCAAATAAGATCGGAAACTCTGCTCTCTCTGACTCTCTTTTGGAGTTTCACAAGGCACAGTACCAGAAGCCCTGGAAACCTCATTTCCTCATTTGTAAAATAGAGATGATGATGATGAGGAGGAGGAGGAGGATACCTATTTCAGAGGGTTGCTTCAAGTGATAAATGTAATGGTGCTTGTAAAAGGTTTATCACACCTGGCAAATAGCACTCAAACAGCATTATTATTATTATTATATAATGTTATTTTTATATAGTATTTGTTACTATAATTTTGGCTACAAGTGTTATTATTTAACTTTCTTTAACCAGTATTTCCCAAGTGCACTGGACCATGGAATCTTTAAATATCTATTAATAACCCATGAATTACAGAAAAAGCCAGTCCAGCCCCAGGATGCTCAGAAAGGTAAAGTGACTTTCCTGGGGTCGCATGATGATTCAACCGACTGAACTGAGGCAGATCTGGGATTCATTTCTAACTCCTAACACTGAGGCTGAGGCCCCCTCTGCCTCTCCACTTGGACATACACATGAAGCTTCTTATCCTTCAGCAGATGCAGGTGGTTCCCAGAGTGGAGAGGTTAAAGGTAGGGGGGTTTTCATCATCCCAGGAGAAATGGGATAGTCATTGGAGACCACAGGAAAGAAGCTGGGGGTGAGAGACCTAGTCCTTGGATAGAATGGAATGGTGTGATAATGACAACAAGAATAATGATGACCAAGGTGATAATAATACAGTAGATAATCATAGCCAACATCTACTGGGCCAGGCTCCATGCTAAACACTCTGAATATATTATCTCAATGAATCATGTTAATTAAGTATTATTGTCCCCATTTAACAGTCAAGAAAATTGAGGCTCAAAACGGTTAATATCTTGTCCAAGGTCACACAAGTAAGTAGTGGACTGGGTATTTGGGCCAAAATCTTTCACTCCCTCAAGCCACAGTCCCAATTGCTAATGCTGCCCTCCTCTCATGGGAAAGGGATCAAGGTGCCTTCTTCTGCTGCCCTGGAGAAAGAGCCACCAAGTTGGGGAAGGCATTGTATCATCTGCCAAGATCCCAACTTGCCCTGCCTGCTCTGATGCACAATTATTTGTTTGGTCAGTCAGTGGGCCATTCAAGCAAGTTTCCTCCAAGTTGAGCCTAGCAGAGGAGACAGACTCGTGTCCATGAGCAAAGCAGAAGGCTCTGTTCATAATCTGGAGGAGAGGAAAGGTAAATGTGTGGAAAACTTCATGAGCTTGCATGTCCTGTCAATTAGTAGCTCCTTACCTGAACGGCCTCCGCTTCCCCAGGGACCACCAGCACAAGGAACTTCCTCACCCGCTCCTCCATTCATTCAGTGAACATGCATCAAGCGCAGCTTCTGTGCTACGCATGCTGCCAGGGGCTGGGGCACAGAAGTAAATACAAATATTTCCTGCCTCTAAGAGGCTGACAATCTGGTAGGGGGGTGTATAGAAGTGTATTAGCTTTGGTGAAATGTGGTAGGTTCAATAGCTACATCAATTTTGACTCCTTCCTAAAACCCTGCTATGATATGACAGTTAAGGAGTATTTTAAGAGAATGGAAGAAGAGGTGAGGCACAGTGGCACACGCCTGTAATCCCAGCGCTTTGGAAGGCCGAGGCGGGCAGACTGCTTGAGCTCAAGAGTTTGAGACTGGCCTAGGGAACATGGCGAACTCCTGTCTCTACCAAAAATGCAAACAATTAGCTGGGCATGGTTGTGTGCACCTGTAGTACCAGCTACACAGGACGCTGGGGTGAGAGGATCACCTGAGCTTGGGAGGTGGAGGCTGTAGTGAGCCAAGATTGCGTCACTGCACTCCAGCCTGGGTGACAGAGTAAGACCCAGCTGGAAGGGAGGAAGAAAGGAAGGAAGGAAGGAAGGAAGGGAGGGAGGGAGGGAGGGAGGGAGGGAGGAAGGGAGGGAAGGAGGAGGGGAGGGAAAGAAGGAGGGAAGGAGGAAAGGAAGGAGGGAGGGTCAAAGATGAGAAATGTCAACAAAAGCTTTAAAGCTCAAAAATGGTAACACAGAAGATGAGAGAAAGCTGAGACCCAGGGTTTGGGGGATTAGGAAGGGGTCAACAGAGGAGAGAGCAGGAAGCCCGTGAGAGGCAAGCACATTCTCAACATACTCTAAAGAAGCTCAAGAATTGGGGCACCACAGACATGGAGAGGAAAAGTGGAAGAGGGACCGTAAGCAGGGCTGGCTGGAAGTTTCTGTCAACAGTACCAGGCCCCCTCCCAGACCCCTACCCAACTAAGGCAGCCAGGGGACCACCTCTCCCCAATTCAGGAGAAGACAGGAGATTTACTTTTCCTGATTAGACTGGCCTGCTCACAACGTTTGATGATGTCAAGTGTAGAGAAGCCATGAGTAAATGAACCTCCTCAAACACATTGGTGGGAGGTGGGTTGTAGTAACCACTTTGCAGAGCGATTTGACAATGTCATCATTTTTTTTAACATTCATGCACTTCTTGAGCCATCAGTTCCACTCTTCGTGTTCATCCGAAAGAAACCCTGGCCCGTGTATTGAGGAAGTCATATAAAAGGATGCCCTATGCAGCATTGTTTGCTACAGTGCAAAGACACAAACAATCACTAATGGCGGGGAGGCGTTCAGTAACTATGTAACATCCTGCTGTGGAGGACTAGAAATTAAATGGAATGAGTAATGACAATGAATAGTGACACTGAAAACCCTAAAGAACTAGTTATTGGGCCGGACATGGTGGCTCACGCCTGTAATCCCAGCACTTTGGGAGGCCAAGGTGGGTGGATCACCTGAGGTCAGGAGTTCGAGACCACCCTGGCCAACATGGTGAAACCCCGTCTCCACTAAAAGTACAAAAATTAGCCAGTCGTGGCGGCGGGTGCCTGTAATCTCAGCTACTCGGGAGGCTAAGGCAGGAGAATTGCTTGAACCCGGGAGGCAGAGCTTGCAGTGAGCTGAGATCGAGCCATTACACTCCAGCCTGGGTGACAAGAGTGAAACTCCATCTCAAAAGAAAAAAAAAAAAAAACTAGTTGTTGGGTACAGTAAATCTAGTTGGAGAGCAACACACTTAATATGATAAATTCATGTCAACATACATTCAAAAGATGACTTATTGCTAAGGTCCATATGAATATGTATGAATATATGCATAGGTAAGGAAGGAATCTGATTGAAGGATGGTAGCCAATAGGAACCTAAGCTTAATCTCTATGGTTTTAAGTTTTATAAGAATGTATTTAGTATTTCTTGTTAATTAAAGTAAATAATTTCTTAAGTAACACTAAACCACAGACATTTAGAACTAGCCAAATTTCATATAGTCAATACCCTCTTCCCCTCCCTGCACTCACCACTGACATCATTGTCTCTGCTCATCCACACCAACCCTAGCCTTGAATTGAGAAATGAGAGAGGAAGTTTTGGAAGAGGGAGAACTAGATGTGAGGAGAAAAGAGACCCTGGAAAGGGTTTCCATCCTCGTGCCCCCACCCCTGGGTCCGCCAGGCTAGTTTTACTTCTTTATGAAACAAGAAGGCAAAACGGACAAGAAGAACTTTGGAAGAGTCTGAGTACAGGGAGAGCTCCTTGCAGCCGATGACTTACACCTGAGGAAAGCCCTCCCACTCTGGTTCTCCAAGGATCCATCGTCTGGAAGCATCTGAAGTTGGCCCCCCTGGGTGTTCTCACAACAGACAACAAGGCTCTCCCAGGTGGTGGCGTGGATCTGTGGGGCTACAGCTGGTGGCAGAGCAGAGGGTATTCTATGCAAGACAGCAGCCACCTTGTGGGCACATGCGAGGCATTCCCCTGGGGACTTTCTGAAATAACTGGAAGATCTTTAGGGGGTGCTGGAGTGGGAGCCACCATGTGGGCCATCAGGCTAGAGCTATTGACCCAGTATTGAGGTATGCCTCAAACCAATCAATGTGATCAAGTATGTAGACACTGGGAATTATGTCTGCCTGGGGGCATTGAGAGCTATTTAATTACAGAGGCATGACCCTTGAGCAAGAAGCTGACAGACCAGTAGGTATTTCTCAGGCAGAAGAGTAAAGAGAATGGGGGCCTGGAAGAGATGAGTAACCGGGCCCAGCTTGGGAGACTACTGGCAATTCAATATGGTTGGGCCATGGCAGGAGGGGAGGGAAGGGGGTCGTTGAGGACAAGGTCAGCTGTGGGGGAGCTGTAAGCAAGACAATGGAAAGTCATTTTCATCAGGGATGGGATGTGGGTTTTGTGTGGCAAATGGGTTGATGTGTCAAGGGAAGCAGGGATGACCAGGGATAAAGAACCCAGTTTAGGGTGTTTTAAAATAGTCCATGCTAGAGATGAGAGGGTCTGAATCTAGCCATAGTGGTGGGCTAGAGAGTAAAGGACAGAGACAAGACCTGCTGTTATGACCTGATGACAAATGGGAGTGATGAAAGAGAGGGACCCTGCACAAAGCACTGCTGTGTGCCAGAGATGCTGGCCAAGTCCTGGACGGTCTCAGCTGAGCAAGATCCCTGCCACTACCATCCCCCAGCCCTGGGACCCATGCCGTCTCTTGGGGAGCCTTGCTCTTGCCCAGATGGGGAAGAATCCTATTCACTGTCTTGAAGGGCCCAGCAGCCAGGACAGGGCAGCGCCGGCCATGTCATGAGCAGCCCAAAGCCGCACTCGGGTCAGGAGGCTGATGCTCTCGGGACTTGAGCCTCCGCACAGCCCAGGTCTGGCCATTTCTGCTGCATCTCAATGGCTTCCTGAGACGTGGAAACCCAGGAAAGGGGGAGGGCAGGGCAAGTAAGCTAGGTCAGGATGGCCCCTGGTGTTCCTCTCCAAGTCCTCAGGGGAGGAAAAACCAGCCCGACCAGAACCAGGGCAGATGGTGTGGGTGGGGAGGGACAGCTGAGTCCTGCAAGGAATAGTCCCAGGTCCAGGGGCCAGCTTCCCCGAGGTGCCACATTCCACAGCCTGGGAAGACAGGGGCCTGCCTCCTCCTCACTCCCTCTCCCTGGAGGTGAGTACGTGAGCAGGCTCACGCTCACTCCACACAGGGAGGCCCCCCCACCGATCTTAGCCAGGGGTGTCTCTCTCAGCTTTTGTCCTGCCCTACTCAATTTGGGCCTCATTTGACGCCTCTGCCCCACTTCAAGCTGTGGCCCATTCCATCTGGACTGGGGCAAGGAGAGTGCCAGACACAGGACAGAGAGAAAGAAAATGTCCGGGTGCCTGCCCGGATTCCCAGCACCCAGGAGAGGGCACCTGGGTGCTTCCCTGCTGCCTTCTGGCTGACAAACTTCCCTCCCATCAGGATCCTGGTGGGCTGTGGTGGCGATGCTGCCTCCTTCAAGAACAGACTCTGGGCAGTCCCAGATGAGCAAGACCCCTCCACAGGCAAAATCTTTCCTTTCAAAACCCATCTGATCCCACGACTCCTGAGGGGAAGCTTCAGCTCTGTACTCCCCCTCACCTGGGAAGGTTCCCGTCCAGAAACTCAAATTGTCCTCCTCGGATGCAGGGGTCTTGGACACTGCAAGCATTTTCACTGAACACCCGCTGTATGCTGGAGGCCACCTCCACCCGGCGTTGGCCAGAGCATCCTCCCTGCCTACCTGCCCCCTCCCTTTACCTGGATGGCAGCCATGCCAGCTCCTCTCAGTTCCATTGGCATGGGTTTCTTCTCCCTGATATGTCCACCCTGACCCGCTCAGGCTGGGTCAGCATTCCCACCCCCACCCACTTGCCCAGCACTTACCACAGCTCTGTCTCCCCATCTAGACTTGGAGCTTCTGTATCTAGCCCCAGGGCTGACTCCAGCACTAGTAAACATTTAATGATTATTTGCCAGAACAGAGCCTTCTCCTGAAGCCCTTTTATTTTTTTTCATTTAACACCAATTATGGTCCACCTTCTGTGTGCCAGGCACCTTCTAGACTCTGGGCTTCAAGAGCAGGGCAGTCTAAAGCTGCCTGCCCTCCTGGGGCTTTCATCTGGGGTAGGGGGCAGAGTAGCAAAGCCAGGGAGGGGGTCAGCAGGGAAGGCCATTGAGGGGTGGTCAGGGAAGGCCTCTCTGAGGAGGTGACACATGAACAGAGACCTGAATGAGGCAAAGGAGCCCTCAGATCCCCAGGGAAGATTATTCCAAGCCAAGGGCACAGCAAAGCCAAAATCCCTAAGGAAGAGGGAGCTTGGTCTGTTCAGGCAACACCAAGAAGTCCCAGTGGTTAAGAGGGGTGAGCCAGAATGACAGTGTGCAGGAGATGAGCCCAGGGGAGGCCAGGACAGAGCACTCGGTGTCTGCGGTCTAATGGAGGCGCTGGCTTTTATCTTGAGAGTAATGGTGCTTTGAGCAGAGGAGCACTGGGACGCCCTCCCCACCCCTGGCTGCTCCCTGTGGAATAGACCGTGGGGCCCAAAGAGCTGGAGATCTAATAAGAGGCTCTAATGGAGTTCAGGTGAGAGACACTGGGGGCTTGTTCTGGGGAGACATCAGAGGACTTCAGGAACAGTGGCCTGGTGCAAGGGATATCCCGAGGGCAGAGCCAGCAGGTCAGGCTGACGATTCATGGGGAGGACAAGGGAAGGAGAGAATCTTGCATGGCTCCTGGTTGAGGTGTGAGCCTCCTATTTGCACTGAGGTCAGGAAGCTGGTCTGGGACGGTGGTTTATCTAATCCACCTCCAGGAAAGGAATCACACCGGGGCCCTCCTAGATCTGTGTTGGAACGCGTCCTGGCAGAATTAGGTTCTACTAACCAAGCAATGACTGTACCCCGATCTCTGCCAGCGCTGATGCCTGCTGAGGGAGGGGAAGGACAAGGGCTGTGTCCACCTGGGCCCTGCCTTCACAGACGGAGCCCACAGTTAGGGGTTGGTATGAAAGAGGCGACTTTCTTTTTTTTTTTTTTTTTTTTCTTTTTTTTTTTTGAGACAGAGTCTTACTCCATCACCCAAGCTGGAATGCAGTGGCGCAATCTTGGCTCAGTGCAACTTCTGCCTCTTGGGTTCAAGTGATTCTCCTGCCTCAGCCTCCTGAATAGCTGGGATTACAGGTGCCTGCCATCACACCTGGCTAATTTTTATATTGTTAGTAGAGGCAGCGTTTCACCATGTTGGCCAGGCTGGTCTCAAACTCCTGACCTCAAGTGATCCACCCACCTCAGCCTTCCAAACTGCTGGGATTACTGGCGTGAGCCACTGCGCCCAGCCAAGAGACAGATGATTTCTAATGAAGATCTGTGTTTTCTACATTTTCAAAAAAGCAGCAGTGAGCATGTCTCACCTCTAGCATGGGTTGAGGGGAGTGCTTATTATTTTCAATTCTGACTCATTCCAGGCTCCACTGGCTTTAGGCTGGCAAGCGGGGCCTTGCAGACTTGGGGGAGGGGTGGTCAGGTTAGTGAGTTTCTGGACCAGGTGAGCAGGGGGTTGGGGCAGAAGGGGCATTCCTAACAGCAGCTGGAAGGAGCTTCAGAGCTGCTCTGGAGACAGGATGCTGAGGCCCTGCTCATCCCGGCTCCAACCGGCTGCAGGATAAACATTCATCAGGCAGAAACCACAGAGAATCACATAGCGAGATGGGCTGCCAGGAGCTGGGAATACCAGGAATGCCCAGGCCTGGGGACTAAGGGGGAGATGAGGGAGAACGGGGGAGATCCCCTTTGCCCCAAGGAAGAGCAGCTGACGCCTGATCCCATGAGAGGGGCCTGGTATCTGAAGCGCTTTTTGAAGTCAGTTGAAAAGGAACACTATCCCACCTCAAAGACACACACACAGAGTATTAACAGAAGACAAAGCCTCACCGGCTCCCTTAGGCATCTCACGTGCATTCCAGGCAGGAACTACCCAGTGCCAGCATCAGCCCTCAGCAGGCTGCCCAATTACCAGCCCAAGGCCTACCAGCCGTGCCAGCACCAGGGAGGCACGGGGGATGCACCAAGGAACCACAGTGCCAGGAAGCATCTTCTGCCCTCCCCTGGCTCAGTCCTGCCAAGACCCTTCCCCCTCCAGTGGAATGTGCTGGAGTTGGAGAGGAAAGTGCTTCCTCCAAAGTCCTTGCCTGGGATTAGGGCTGGAGCCTGTGGGGATGAGAAGATCCACCAGAGATATCTGTCCTCGCTGAGTAAACATACAATGAGGACCTGGTACACAGAAACCGAACAAACACATCCCAACAGGGATATCCATGTCTGGGGCTTCAGAAGAAAGGGCTGGAGCATGGGGAGAAGAGAGGAGGCTTCACGAACCCCAAGTTTCCCATTCCTGCCATGTCCATGTTACCTCATCCTTATCCTCACCTTGACTGCTAAGAAACATAGTAAGCATCTTCTTGGCCGTGCACAGTGGCTCACACCTGTAATCCCAGCACTTTGGGAGGCCAAGGCAGGTGGATCACCTGAGGTCGGGAGTTCAAGACCAGCCTGACCAACATGGCGAAACCCCATCTCTACTAAAACTACAAAAATTAGCTGGGCATGGTGGTGAGTGCCTGTAATCCCAGCTACTAGGGAGGCTGAGGCAGGAAGAATTGCTTGAGCCTGGGAAGCAGAGCTTGCAGTGAGCCGAGATAGAGCCACTGCACTCCAGCCTGGGCAACAGAGCAAGACTCTGTCTCAAAAAAAAAAAGAAAAAGAAAAAGAAACATAATAAGCATCTAAAAGCCCAGCAAGATGATTTAGACAAAACTCCTACACTTGTAGGATGGGGGCATAGAAATCTTCTAGCCCAGAGATCTTCAAGCCTCGCCTGCTAAGCCCTAAGCAGAGAGGTGGGAGCTGAGCGGATCTGCTGTGACCACCCACACTCACACACACTTACACACCTCACACAGTATTCACACCTACTCACACATGCACACACATGCATACACATGCTCACACATACACTCACACACTCCCAGGCCTTCTCACACATGCATTCACACTGGTTTTATATACTCAGCTTTCTGTGAGATTTTGCTTCAGCAAAGATTCTCCCTCTTTTAAAGCCCAAACACGTGCTTCAGCCTACCTCCAGCAGTTTATATAGGTCAGAAAACTGAGAGAGAGTGGGGCCTCAGCCTGCCTAAAGTCCCACAGCTGGTGTCCTGCTCAGCAGAAACCAGCAGGCAGGTGCCCTGGAGCCAGGATGTCTGTCCCCAGGGGACGACCTGAGCTCGGGGAAGAGAAAGAGGTAAACACTGTAGGCTCCTGACAAAGGCAGGAGGCAGGCCAGGGTCAGAGGAGGGACATAGACCCGGGGCTGCTGGAGCTCAGATGGAGGGCACCCTGAGTGAGGGATCAAGGCCTGGGTAAGCAGGGAGGGCGCCCTGGAGGAGGGGGCCCTTCACAGCCCCAGGGTGAGCCACAGTAAATGGTGCCTAGAGTAAGGACATGGAGGTGGCGGATAGTGGGAAGTTCCAGTAAAAAAGAAATCTTATAAAAACAGGCTAAATGTATTGGCCTCTTCCTCTATGCCTAACTCTGTTCGAGTATGTGGCATCCATGAACTTGTTTAAATCATCGAAGCTCCCCTATGCTGTGGACACTGTCATCACTCCCATTTTGCCAACTAGGAAACTGAGAGCTACTTGCTTAAGCTGAGTTTGGTAAGGCACCGGGCTGGGATTTGAACTCACAAGGTCTGGGCCTGCACCTTGCGGTCTAACCACTGTGTCAAAGGAAAACCAGGGAGCAGAGGCTGCAGAGCTGGTTCGAATCAGACAACAAAGGGCCTAGCAGGTCAAGCCACTAGATTTGATTTTTTATTTTTTTCCTGCAGAAGCCAACAGTGATTGTTTGAGCCAGGAGATGATACATGCAAAGTACCAGGTGAGTCAGACAGCAGGTTTCCTGAGGCTGGAAACACAGGGCTATCACCCAGCTGGGTCAACAGCCCTGTCCCAGCACCCCCTCACTCCTTCCCTCTGCTGCCCCACCATCATCGCCTTATCACCTCAAGACCAAAGGACCACAGCCGCCTCCCCCAGAGCTGACCTACCCCGGCAACTCACCCCAGCACCAGGCTCATCTGTCTCAAGCCAGCTTTGATCAAATCCCTGCTCACAAATTCTCACAGTCAGCCTGTTCTTTACAGCAGCAACTCGCCATGTGGTCCTTCCACCCCCAGGACAGAACCCATGGAGAGGCGAGCCAGGGTTACTGAATCGAGTCTTTGTGGATGAACCTGCACCTTTAATAAGTCTGAATTTTTAATAAGTTCTCCAGGTGATTCTGAGGCTCACTATAGTGTGAGAACCACTAGCCTAACGCATGAGATCCATGAGATATGGGAGAGGCACAAAGATGGAGGGCCCCCTGAGTGAGGGAGCGAGGCCCGGGTAAGCTGAAAGTGGGTAAGCTGAAAGCAAGATAAAGTGGCTGAAAGAAGCCTAGCCGTGGGCCGTTTACCTGCTAACAGAGGAAGTCCACGTTAGCATAACTAAAAAGTAACACACCTAGTTTTCTGCTTTCTGTCTGGGTGACCCTGGGCACAGGTGATCAAAGCCTCACTTGGCACAGCTGCCAAATTGCCAAGAACTGTAAAGGTCTAAAATTTTACTCTTTTTGCAAGTTAAAAAGTTGTCCTGCCATAGTTTTATGGATGCTGGCAGAAGACACGAGACCCTGGGTCAGAGACAACGACTTTATTACTCATGGCACAGCAAGAAACTTGAGCTTTATGTTGCAAAGAGCTGTGGGTTCAAATCCCAGCTCTGTGCCTTACTAAACTAAGCTTAAGCAAGTAGCCCTCCACCCCAAGTACCATGAGGACAACACAAAGCTTGACTCGAGTGGATGCTACACTACATATACAATGGGTTTTGTATCACAGCTGAGGAGTTCCACACTTGGGGGAACCAAATTTTTTATAATGGGCTGCAAGAAAACCTGTTTGATCTTTGCTCCAGAGAGAAATATTGTTATTATTATACAGAACAGTAAAAAAAAAAAAAAAAAAAGCTGCCTCTTTTCCAGAGGAAGATGTCATCTCTGTCTTCCAAGGAAGTTTACTAGCACATCCTTGAAAAGGCAGACCAGAACAAAAGCTGTCAGTGCCTCTGATTGCAAGATGTGCAGAAATACAAGAGATCCACAGACAATTGCCTCCCCAAACAAATGGGTGTATCAATATTCATCTCTCTTGAAGGTAACAAGTTTTAAATCAGATAATGTGAGAGAAAGTTCGTGGAAAAATGAGGACAATTACAATATAAGGAGATAAGAACATGGAGGCAAATAACTAGAGTGAAAGTGGAAAGTAATAAACTGGGAACCTCTTGCAACACAATTTATGGAGACAATAAAGCAGGAAGATATTCTCAACCCTTATCACCGACCCAAGGTTAATATCTTTAATATATATAAAGGGCTCCTACAAATAACTAAGTAAGAAACCAAGAACCCTGCAGGAAAAAGGGCAAAGAATATGAGCAAACAGTTCCCAGAAAAGGAGCTACAAGTTGCATTTAGACTTATGAAAACGTTCAACCTTACTTGAGAAGAGAAATGCAAATTTAGAGTACCATGAAATCCCATGATTTACATGTCAGATTGGTAAAGATAAAAAGGTTTGCTGGCCGGGCGCTGTGGCTCACGCCTGTAATCCCAGCACTTCAGGAGACCAAGGTGGGCGGATCAAGAGGTCAAGAGCTCGAGACCATCCTGGCTAACAGGGTGAAACCCTGTCTCTACTAAAAATACAAGAAATAAGCCAGGCGTGGTGGTGGGTGCCTGTAGTCCCAGCTACTTGGGAAGCTGAGGCAGGAGAATGGCGGGAACTCAGGAGGCGGAGCTTGCAGTAAGCCGAGATGGCACCACTGCACTCCAGCCTGGGTGACAGAGCAAGACTCTGTCTCAAAATAAAATAAAGTAAAAAGGTTTGCTAAATTACTATTTGTTGGGAATATGGGGAACTGGACACACCACACATTGCTGGTAGTATAAGGTCTATGAACAGTCATTTCCAATATGTATCAAAATCTTAAGCCAGGTATGGTGGCATGCACCTGTAGTCCCAGCTACTCAGGAGGCTGAGGTGGGAAGATTGCTTGAGTCCAGGAGTTCAAGGCTGCAGTTAGCTGAGATTGTGCCACTGCACTCCAGCCTGGGAAACAGAGCAAGACCCTGTCTCAAAAAAAAATTTTTTTTAATATAATTCTTTGACCTATCAATTTCTTTCACAGGTGTTTATCTTTCAGACGTACTTCTGCACATGTGCCAAATGACATGAAGTACTAGGAGGCTCACTGCAGTATTATTTATAATAGCAAAAGACCAGAAATGCCTAAATGTTCATTATATGATACATACAATAAATACATATGATAAGTATGCAATAGAATACTGTGCCACCATCAAAAAGAATGAGTCAGCTCTGTATAGTATTGATAGGAAAGATGTTCAAAGTATTTTATTAAATGAAAATGTAAGATGGTACAGTAATATAGACAGTTTGCTATTATTTTTATGTGTGTGCCAGGGAAGAAGATATGCACATCTATGTTGGTAAATGCATTGGGTTCTTTAGAAGGATACACAAGCAAGTGAGATAGCAGGGGATGCTTCTGGGAACGGAGCTGGGAGACTGAATTCAAAGAACGGAGAGACTAATGTTTTGCTGAATATCCTTTGTACTTTTAAAATTTTGTACTGAATTATATATCTATCACTTCTTCCCAAATATATATATATTTATACTGAATTTTGCATGTATTTCTTCTTCCAAAATGTATATATATATAATGCATGTACTACTTCTTCCCAAATATATTTATATATATATAATATATAATGCAGAATTATATATTATATATAATACATAATATATATAACATGTAATAATTATGTATTACACATTATATAATATATTACATGTAATAATTATGTATTACACATTATATAATATATATTACATATATTTGGAAAGAATACATGCATTATATATATATTTGGGAAGAAATAATACATGCATAATTCAGTACAAAATTATATATCTGTAAAAAAACAAAACCTAACTTGGGCATTCAGATCTGCCAAGAAGTTTGAGGTGGTGCTGGGACCCCAGGCCTGGGCCCTGCAGGAGCTCACAGCCTCAGCCTCTCTGGATCTACTGGCTGCCGATGGGCACTCTGAGCAGTTTCTTGCTTTTCCCAAAGCCATGCCCAGGAAACACCATTCATTCCCTCATTCACTCGTGTGCTGTGCGTGGGCTCTGAGCCAGGCCCTATGCCACATGCAGAATTCAGAGACGAAACAGACTCAGGCCCAGCCCCCAACAAGCTCCCAGCAGATGGGAGAGGGGAGAATGGGGGAGGGAAAGATCTACACAAATAGCTACAAAAGAGAGGCCCAGCAGTATAGCGTAGCAGGCAAGATTAATCAGTGACCATGTAGCAAGGCAGTGACAGGCCTGGCCTTTGAAAAGAGCCACGCCTTGGGGTGAGAGCCACTCATTAGCCAGGCCCAGGTATTCACCTCCCTAAGCTCCAGTTTCCTCCCCTATAAAACATGGACCATAATCACACCAGTGTGGCATGTGGTTTAGAGCCCAGGCCTTGGAGCCAGGGTGGCCTGGGTTTGATTCACAGAGCCACCATTTTATTTCAAAGCCATGTCATGCAACGGCCGTTACCTCACCTGTCAGAACCTCAGTGTCCCCGCCTCTGAAATGAGGCTAATAACACCAACCTCAGAGGGCTTGTGGGGGAATAAATGAAAAATCAGGTGTGAAGCACAGTATCTGGCACTCCATAAAATCAAGAGCTATTACCAGCAACATGAAGGTTAAATGGCATGTGTCAGTCATCACCGCAGGGGACAACCACTCAGCAGGTGTGGGCTGGGAGGAGCTTTCTGTTCTGTTTTTTGGGTTTTTTGTTTGTTGAGATGGGGTCTTGCTCTGTCACCCAGGGTAGAGTGCAGTGGCGCAATCCTAGCTCATTGCAGCCTCAAACTCCTGGGCTCAAGTGATCCTCCTGCCTCAGCCTCCTCAGTAGCTAGGGCTACAAACATGCACTACCATGCCTGGGCCAATTTTTTTTTTAAGAGACCTGTTCTTGCTATGTTGCCCAGGCTGGTCTTGAACTCCTGGGCTTAAGCAATCTGCCTGCCTCGGCCTCCCAAAGTGCTGAGGTTACAGGTATGAGCCACCATACCTGGCCAGGTATGGGTTTTTATAAAAGATTTTGTGAGAGGATAGGCACAGTGGCTCACACCTATAATCTCAGCACTTTGGGAGGTCGAGGCAGGTAGACTGCTTGAGTCCAAGAGTTCAAGATCAGCCTAGGTAACATCTCTACAAAAAATGATCAGGGCATGGTGGTATGTGCCTGTAGTTCCAGCTACTCGGGAGGCTGAGGTGGAAGGATTACCTGAGCCCAGGAGGTTGAGGCTGCAGTGAGCCATGATCACACCACTGCACTCCAGCCTGGGTGACAGAGTGAGACCTTGTCTCAAAAAAAAAAAAAAAGATTTTTGTGGGAGTCGCTCACTGCTCCCTGTGCGGTGGGGTGGAGGGAAGGGGAAAGTGTTCTTCCAAAAAGCTGAGATTTGAAGAATGAGGAGTGGGAAGAAAAGGGCTCGGGTGGTGGGTGTTTCTGGCACAGGGAAAGCTGTGGGAAATGGCCTGGCCAGGTGAGACAATGCGGGGAGTTCAGGGAGGGAGCAGTTCAGTGTGTTGGAGGCGTAACACTGGGAGAGTTGGAGGCCTGGAGGCTGGGGAAGGCAGGGGAGGGGACAAGTGCTGCCTGCGGGCCTGTTGGCAGTGGGGGTGTGGGTGGATAAGAGACGGGCCAATGGAGGGCCTCACGGAGGGGACAACTGCGAGGGTCCGACTCACCATGCAGGTCCTGAATAAAGCCGTGCTGGGCCTGGAGAAGTGTGGGTCGGGGAGGGATGGACACTGAACAGCAAGGCTCACCTCACATCCAGGAGGCCCCCCGCCAGCCCCGCCATGCCACAGGCACTGACGGTTGCCACTAAGCCTCAGAGGCCAACTGCATTTATTTGGAAATGGAGCAAGGCACTGGCCATGTCCAGGCTGGCTTTCCAGCCCTGTCCCCCAAAATCACAGTCTTCCTGCAATTACTCACAGGTGCTGGCCAATAGTGCTTAGGTTCTCAAATGCCTGCTTCTACTCAGGCTATCCTATCCACCTGCAGGGTCCTTCCCCTCAGCCGTCACAGGTTGAAACTGTGCCTCTTCACCATTGCCTGGAGTAGACAGAATAATGGCCCTCCAAAGATACGCCAATCGGAACCTGTGAGCATGTACCTTCCATGGCAGAAAGAGACTTTGCAGATGTGATTACATTAAGGATCTTGGAATGGGGGTTGGGTTATCCTGGATTATCCGATTGAGTCCAAAGTAATCACAAGGGTCCTTGTAAGAGAGAGGCGAGATGGTCAAGGTCACAGAGAGGAGCTGGGACCATGGAAGCAGAGGTCAAAGTGAGGCACTTTGAAGGAGGAAGATCCCACAAGCCAAGGAAGGCAGGCAGCCCCTGGAGGCTGGAAGAGGCCAGGAGACAGACTCTCCCGTAGAGCCCCTAGAAAAAAAGCATTTCTGATGACACCTTGATTTTAGCCCATAAGGCCCATTTCAGATTTCTGACTTCCAGGCCTAGAAGATAGTAAGTTTGTGTTGTTTTAAGCCACTGAGTTTGCCACCACTTGTTACAGCAGCAACGTGGAACTCATACATCACCTCTTCCTTCAGGCCTTTGTGATCCCTGGCACTCGCTCTTCCTCCTCTGAGCCCCTCTGGTGCTTTACCTGACCCTCTCCCAGGCACTGTCCTCTTCCTATATGGGTGAGAATTCATTGGCTCTTATCCCCTCTACCAGCCAGTGAGCTCCTTGAGGCTGGGGTCTGGCTCATATTTGTGCCCCCTTGCCCAACCACTGGTTGGGCTGATAATTCTCCCTGGATCCTTAGATCTACTCTCCACCTTCCTCTGTCCTGCTCTGTACCTGGAAGGATGATCCCTGTGTCACTGGCTCCCTTCCCTCCAACTGCCCCATTGGAATCAGCCATCCATCAGTAGGCAGCAGCGGAAGATGGAGAACAGGAAGAAAGGGGCCTGTGTATCTATCCCCCCACCTCTCCTTGCCCAGCCACGGTTCTGGCTGCAGCTGCTCGCTCTAAGGCTCCTGCAGGGCAGCCCTCCCCTGGCCACACCCCCTCAAACTCCCTTTTCCCATCCCTCCGCTTCCCACTGCTCTGCTCTGGGCTGTCTGATCCCTGCTGCTCCTGTCCACACCTCCAGAAATAGTTCCCTTTCTACACTCGGTCAACCCTGAGAGTCCGTCATATTCTGTGGGGCCCCTGGTGGATGCAGATGTGGCTGATCATCTACGTGGACAGCCAGGTGCAACACGCCTGGTAGATGTGTGAACACTGCTTCGGTCTGTCTGTCTTAGATGATGGCTGGCTGGGAGGGGCACTCCCCATCCCCAGCACACAGGCAGGAAGAAGGGCGTTGGCACTGACCAGGAGAGGCTGTGAGCAGGACAAAAAAGCAGCCAGACCCTCACCCCGTCTCTCCCCACACAGACCCACATGCTGACAGGTCCCAGGACACATTTCTCCTGCCCACCCTCACCCCTAGGGAGCTCCGGGCAGCGCAGAGGCTGGGCAAGTGGGACTGGCAGGGTGCCATGCCTTGGTCCCAGAGGGCTGCCTCCCTTCCTGGTAGGTCTGTGCCTGGTGCTGCCAGGCCTGGCCCGGCCTCCACACTCCTTCCCCTTCACACCACAATCTGAGCTGGCGAGTGACTCATCCCACCATCCTCCTACGTGCCCCGTCCCTGACTCCACCAAACTTGGCCTCTCTTGGCTCCATCTCTGCACTGGCTCACAGCAGCAAAAGCATGTCCACCCCCACGCCCTGCACCGCAGACTAAGGCAGCTCACTGCACCTCAACGAGGAAGAGCCAGGCTCTGACATTCCCAGCTTGGATCTCCAAGGAGGTGGCTGTACTGACACGTGGACAGAGCCCCATGGCCCCCACACTGACACACTGGATCAGGCAACTCTGCTGTCTCTTGACATCCATGATGTCCACTCCTTACAACAACCTTCCAAGGGTTACTGCCCATTTTACAGATGAGGAAACTGAGGCTCGGGGAGGTTACATGACATGGCAGGTGGTAGTGGAGCTGACTCCAAAGGCTCCTGCCTTCCTCTATAGCATCTCCCCCTCTACCCTGAGCCAAACTCCGGGAAGCCATGAGTTGTGTAGGAAAGGGCTTGGGCACTGACTTGGCGGTCCAAAGCCCTGAGGCCAGGCTCCGCCTTTCATCAGCTGGCTGACTTCGGGCAAGCCCTCGGCCTCTGTGAAACTGTTTTCCAGTCCATAACAGGAACAGGGATCCTGCCCTGCCCACCTCACCGGGCATTCAGAGGCTCAGAGAGAAGAAGCAGCGTCTGCAAAGTGAAGTCTGGGGAAGGTGGTTGTGGGGTGCCTCAGCAGCCCGCCACCGGAGCCCGGAGAGAGGCGGTGATGTCCGCTTTGGAGCCAACCTCGGCTCTGGACAGGGCAGGCTGCCGGCCACAAGGCCCCGTCTTTGCAAGCTCCCCAGGCGGGGTGCAGCTTCCTTTGTCCCTAGGCGGGGTGCAGCTTCCTTTGTCCTCAGACTGAACATCTCCCTCCGCCACCGGTGCGGGAGGAGCCCAGGACCTCGCCAACTCGGCTTCACAGCGCCTCCTGGGGGCCGCGAGGGGACTCGCCAACCTGCCTGCAGGCGGGCTCCCTCCTACCGCCTCCCTCTGCACCCCTGACCCTGCTCAGTGCTGTGTGAGAGGAACGGTCAGAGGGAGCCTGTCTGGGCAAAGGCAGGCCCCACACTCCAGGCTGCTCCCTGGCCTCCCTACAGCAACAAAGGGACGTTGAGCTGAGAGCAATACAAGAGAAAGAGCCCTAGGAGGGCTGGAAGTCCAAATGCCTGCATTCTACCTTTGTGGCCCTGGGCATGTGTCTTCCCCTCTCTGGGCCACAAAAGAGTGGAGGAGGCCACCTCTCTAAGGAAAGAGAGCTCCCCGCCCAGCGCTAAAACTGTGGTTTCTCTGACGCTCAATTTCCTGGCGTGTAACATGGCCACAAGGGGCCGCTGCAGCCACAGCTGTGAAGGAAACAGTTCACACCGTGCTATATCGTTCATGGATAGTTCATGGGGTTTTATAGGCTCTTGTTCATTTCCATAAAGTCTTCCTTGGACTTGGCAAACTTTTCCTCTGAAAATTCCAAAGTGTAACCAAGAAGGGAAAGGAAGAGAAGAGAACCAAGAGAAGGGAAAAGAGGATTTTATTTGGTTCGTGTTTGGACCTAAGAGAAAACCAGAAAGATTGCCCCTGCGGCTGAGGGGAGCCACAATATTGGCGAGAGATAGGAGAGGCCCCTCAGGGAGAAGAAAGCTTGGGGAATGCAGATCTCTCTTTAAGATTGATGACTTTCAGTATCATAAATCGGTAGAGCCAGAGAGTCCTCAGCCCTCGCCCCATTCCTTTATCAGTCACGCTCGCGCAAGCACTGGCCTCTGCCTCTCCTTGCAGAAGTGACTTGTTTACATGTTAGTACAGCTAGTTCCTGCCTGACTGAACCACTGTCATCTGAGAATTGAGGGTCAAAGTTGGATCTTCCCAGCTCAGAGGAGAAGCCTTCTCTAAACAAAGGAGGGGCTCAGCTGGGTAGGTTGTTGCAAAGAGAACTCACTTCAGAGCCAAGGCAGCCAGGCCCTGTCACTTAAAAGCTATGTGACCTTGTGCAAGTCATTGAACCTGTCTAAGACTCAGGATACTGAGACAGCAAGACCTTCCTCAAATTGCCGAGGTGAGAATTAATGAAATAGTCTGTCTAACGTGCCTGGGACCTACCAGAAGCTCAGCCAGTGGAGTCATTAAATTTTGTCTTTATTATTAGCAATACAGTTCTCGTAGCACACATTGCAAAGGATCGTGTACCCAGCTCAGGGGCACAAGGTGTGTGATTGCGAGGACATCAGAGAAAACAAGGTGCGATGAACTGGCGGTAGGCATTTGTTGGGACAATGACAGGGCCCTGGCCTGATCAAGGGAAGGATCAGGGGGAGAAGGAGATACTGGGGGGCTGGGAGGTGGGGATGAAGGAGGGGCACTGTCCCCACAACTCCTCATGCTCGGCTTCTGCAGTCCCGAGTACAGACCCAAGTCTGTTTCTCCTTGTCCCATTCTGCCTAAGGGCTGGAGCTTCTCAGAAACTCTGACAGGACATGTGTCCATCTTCAGTGGGGACCCTCCCCCTCCTAGAAGTCCCCCGTCCAGCTGGGGAGGACAGGTCAGGGTGAGGGCAGCAGCCACCCAGCAGCCTCCATCAGAGATCATCAGCATTTCCCACCATGAATTCAGCAGCGCATCTCGTGGTCAAATCCATAGGTGATTTCTGGGTTCTGTAGCCTCCTCTTATAAACTTACAAAGCACTTTAAGCAAACAAAAGCTTTGGCCAGGTGCAGTGACCCACGCCTGTAGTCCCAGCACCTTGGGAGGCCAAGGCCAAAAGCTTTGAGAAGTCCTGCAAAAAAAAAAAAAAGGTTTGGTTTGTTTATCTCCATGTTTTCCACTGGATTTGATCACAAGAGTTTTGTTTGGGGTTATTTTATATTAATTAACACCCCTGGGAACATACACTGGAAAATCCAGGGGCCCAAAGAACTCAAGATAGGGTTCCAGTTAAGAACTATTATGTTCCAGACCAGCCTGGCCAACATGGTGAAACCCCATATCTACTAAAAATACAAAAAATTAGCCGTGTGTGGTGGCATGTGCCTGTAATCCCAGCTACTTAGGAGACTGAGGTGGGTGGATCACCTGAGGTCAGGAGTTCGAGATCAGCCTGGCCAACATAGTGAAACCTCGTCTCTACTAAAAATACAAAAAATTAGCCAGGTGTGGTGGCGGGTGCCTATAATCCCAGCTACTCAGGAGGCTGAGACGGGAGGATCACTTGAACCAGGAGGTCAAGGCTGCAGTGAGCTGAGATCGCACCACTGCACTCTAGCCTGGGTGACAAAGCGAGACTCCACCTAAAATTTAAAAAAAAAAAAAAAAACTAGTATGAAGGGAATGCTCTCAACGAGCATCCCCTGCCCCAACTTTTTGTACCTCAAACATGACTATTTGCTGTGGATTCTGAATTTGCTTTGTTTCCTTTGTATTTTGCAGTTTTCCATTAGGGCTGACAGAAGTTCCTTTGGGAAAACCCCAGCATGTGTTAGTCATGCCGAGGGGAATGGAGGGAAGGAACTCGCTTTGTTCTCATTTTGGCCTGAGAGGAGGGAGAACAGTAGGACCCCTGGGGCTTGGGGGCTGGCATGGCCTGAGATGGATGTGAGACCCAGGGGCAGAGAAAATGCTAAGAGCTTTTTGGACCATGGATTTTCCATGACTCAGAAAGTCAGTGGAGCCCGCCCTCCCTGGTGCCCTCGTTCCTTCATTGCCACTGCATTTGTTCCACACACTGAGGAGTCTGGTGAGGAAACTGAGGCCCAGAGACAAGAAATACCTGGGACAGAGACTCACTGTTCATGGGTAGCTGCTTGCTTTCCAAGAAGACATTTCCAGAGCTTTCCTGCTCGTGGGAGGTGTCTGTAATTGTTTTAGACAGCATGAGGTGAAGAGGGTGGGCTTGCGGGTCAGACCCACTCAGATCCTTTGTCAGCTGAGTTATGTCATTTCTCTGAGCCTCAGTTTCCCATCTGGGAAGCTGGGGGTAGTGAGAAATAAGGAAGATGACTTCTGTACATGCTTGCCACCGTCCCAGGACAGACGAGGCCCAGCTGCCATACAGAGGAGGTGACAGCATGGAGCGGGGTCAGGGGTGCAGAAGGAGGCGCTAGGAGGAAGGGACAAATGAGGATAGAGGCTGTTGTCCATAGAGCACACTCCTTGGAGGGAGGAGGGACCCAACTCAGACACAGCTCACTCAGGTCAGGGGCAGGAGCCTCTGAGGTGGGTGGGGGGGTGTGACGGGCTGGTGGGAGCTCGTAAGCAGGGACATGCCCCTGCCCTGGAGGTTACTCAGTGGGGCTGGGAGTTTCGCAGGTGGTGCTTCTCAGTCCAGCGCTGCTTCCGTGGGTTAGGATGAAGACCCATCTTCTTGCCTTGTCCTCCTCCACGAGGGGCTTATCCAGAACAAAAGCTGTTGGCAGTTCCTGGCCAACAGGTTCTCCTCCTCCACTGCAGGGCTAGAAAAAGGTGAAAACAAAAGGGACATGTGCTTCTCTGTGGCTCTCGGGGTACAGTTCAGTCTCCCCACCATGAGCAAGTCCTCCACGACTGACCGCCTACTCCCACCAGCACCTCGTCATCCCTCTTCAGCCCCTCCTCACCCTCTGCACAGTAGCCCCAGGAAGTTCAAGTTCCAGCTCCTCCAGTGGGCCACTTTCAGTCACACCTCCAGGCCTTCACTGATGCAGTTCCCCCTACCCAGAACTGCCCACCCCCAACACACACAAACACACACACACACACACACAAACACACATGCACACCACCTCCATTGAATATCACCTCCACCAAATATCACCTCCACCAAATATCAAATATCAAATCCAACATCTTCCTGGTGTGTTGACCCAACACTTTCTCCAAAGAATGTTCCCTGCCTCCCAAGACTGTGTTAGTTGTTTCTGCTGTGTGGCCCAGAGTCCCTGGGCTTCCCCCTAATGGAATGCAGCATACTGTATGGAGGTGGCTGTTACCTGTTGGTCTCTCCGACAAGACTCTATGGGGGCAGACTCTGCCTGGGTCACTGTAGTAGCCCCAGCTACTAGCCCCATGCCTGGCACAGAGTAGGCCCTCAGTGATTACCCATTGAATGAAGGGGTCAATGACAGGCAGAGTCTCCACTTGGGGCTCCCAATGAGCAGAGAACTTGGGGAAGCTAACCTTCCTCCCCACACACACCCCACCTTTGAATCTCAAGCTTGACTCTTATGGGTTTGGTGTTGATTCACTTCCCTGAGGTTTCCCTCCATCTTGACAAATGCTCCTTCTGACAACCCCAACATGACTGAGTCATGGTGAGGGCAAGAGATGAAAGGAATCATGTTTGAGAGTTTGGCCTGAGTTCGGGTGAGGATGGCATGTCTCTGAGGCTGAGGGTGCTGGTAGCAGCAAAGACAGACTGAGGGATTCCCGGGTGGGAAGAAAGCTCAGGAATATCAAAGCCATCGGAGGACACATGAGTGTCACACCCAGCATGTGGGTGCAGAGCCGTCCTTAGGGACTGTCTGTCCTTGCAGGGTTATTCACCCAGGACCCCTCTGCACCCACACTCTGCTTCTGATACTCATGTGTTCTCCGACAGCTTTGATCTTCCTGGGGAGAGATCAAGGTAACTCTTGGAGAAAATTGAGGCCACAGCGCAATCTTAAAAAGTGTTAAAAATTGTTAGAGGCCAGATAGGTCGTGCTAAGAGCAGGAGGTAGGGAGCCAGATCAACACTGGTGTGGGTGACTTGGGCAAGGAACTTTTCTTCTCTGAGCCTCAGTTTCCTCATCTGTAAATGGAAGCAACAAGAGCAACCTCACACAGTTGTGAGAAATCAACAAAATGACATATGGAAGCTTCCTGGCCCATGCCTATCCTAGGAAGCTTCCCTAGCCACCATGGCCAGCTCAGGAGACCCCATCTGAAAGTACAGCCCATCCCTCTCATCACCGATGGCACTCACTCAGCACTGGCCTGTCTGCCTGTCTGCCTCTGGCACCAGACTGTGAGCCCATGGGGGCAGAGACCTTGTCTGTTCTGCTCACAATTCCATCTATTCCCAATCCCTGCCACAGAATAGGCACCCAGTGAAGATCTGTTGAATGAATGAATGAATGAATGAATGAATGAATGACTTGAAGAGGGGATGAAAATAGACAGGAACTCCAATACGAGATTTTCAAAAACAGGCAGGTGAGGACCCACCAGGCCTTACCTCTCCTCACGATCTTTTAACTTCTTGTCGTACTATTTCTCCTGGGTTTTATTTTGTTGTTGTTGCATCATTTCTTGAACTTTCTTTCTGGTTTCACAAGAATTCCCTCAGACAATCCCAGTGGATCTCAGTCTAGTAAGAGGAACAGAGAAAGGAACTGATTTTATTCCTGTTTGGGCCTGAGATGGGGAGTGCTTCAGAGCCTGAAGCCAAGAGGCTGCAGCAGCAGCAGCAGCCTCCACAACCAAGCAGGACACTCCAAGGGGCGGGGACTCGAGATCAAAGCTCTAGAGATTTGGGTAGATATTTGCGGACTGTTAGAATGATATGAATAATAATAGAGACCCTCCTCTGTCATCCTCCTCCCTGCACCGTTTGCTCATTCACCCATTCCTTCCTTTGACAAGCACAGACCCAGGGCCTTCTAGGGGGAATCTGAGATCCCAGGAAAGAATCTACCTGTGCCAGGTCACTCGTCTTATTCTCAGCTCTTCATACAGTCATTGCTTCCCACGTAAGCCTTTTTTCTTTCCTTTTTTTTTCTTTTCTTTTTCTTTTTTTTTTTTTAATTTAGAGACAGTCTCATTCTGTTGCCCTGGCTGGAGTACAGTGGTATGATCATGGTTCACAGCAGCCTCAAACTTCTGGGCTCAAGTGATCCTCCCACCTCAGCCTCCCAAGTAACCCAGTAATTAGGACAACAGGTGCATGCCACCATGCCTGTCCAATATTTTTTTCTTTTTTTGGTAGATGCGGGGTCTTGCTCTGTTGCCCAGGCTGATCTCAAATTTCTGGCTTCAAGTGATCCTCCTACCTCAGCCTCTCAAAGTGCTGGGAATACAGACATGAGCCGCCACACCCAGCCCACATAAGGTATTTTTGACAAGCCTCTGCTTATGGGATTTGCTAGCCTCTGTATTCTTTTGGGGCTCAATAATTGCTCAAGGCCATAGAGAACAGGAAACAGAGCACCAGCTTTGGAGCCAGGCCAAACTGGAATTATATCTTTGCTTGATCATTTACAAGCTATGTGACCTTGGACAAGTTACTTAACCTCTCTAACTTAGAATTTCCTCATCTATAAAATGGGCTTCATAATCCCAGTGTCCTTGGATCAGACTTCCTAGATTCAGTTCCTGTCTCCACTGCTTAGGAGCTGTGTGACCTTTTCAGCAAGTCATTTAATCTCGCTAAAAATGTTTCCTCATGTGTAAAATGAAAACAAGGACAGCATCATGAGATTGCTGTGAAGATTAGATACAGGGTTTATTCCCTTATCTTATATAAAATGCTTAGCGAAGTGCCTGGAACATTATTAAGTGCGCAATCAGTGTTAGTCCTTGCTCCTTCCTTGTGGACAATTGTTCTTACACTTAGTCGCCCAGCTCCTTTGTAAAGGAATTCTCCCTCTAGTGTCTGTGCCTCCTGGCTATAGAAGCCAGAAATTAGCCTTCCAGCCTCCCTTGCAGCTGGAGCACAGACACATGATCAGTCACACACATCACAGAAGCCTGTAAGCTGGGAGCTAATGTCCTAAAAAAGGAGGCACCTGGTGGAATCCATGCTGGAAGGAATAACTGCAGACCTCCAGTTTCTAGAAGCAGCAGCGCCACAAGTTTGGTGATAGCGCCAAGTGGAATGGGCTACTGAATCTGCACCTGCAGATAGTGGCAAGGGTGGGCTTGCTCCGGGCTGTGCTGCCTTCAAACCTGTTCCCTGCGAGTTCTTCCTGGAGAGTCTATGGCTTACCTAACATCCTTTAACAAACTGGCTTCAGAGTGTGGCTTCTGATCTTTGCAGGCAAAAACCCTGATGGCTACAGAATTTAGTAACAAGTGTGATTACTGGCATGAGACTTCTAAAAGATCTCCGTTTGGGTGTCCAAAAGACAATGTAAATTTAGCATGTCTGAAACTGACTCCCCATCTTTCATACCAGCCAACTTCCATCCCACAACTCCTATCATCCAGTTGCTCAGACAAAAGACTCAGAGACCTCCTTGACTTCTTTCTTTTACAATATGCAGTCCTTCAAGAACTCCTGGCAGTGCTTTCTTCAGATGATGCTCAGAATCCAGCCACCTCTGACCGTCTTCACTCTGAGTGCCAGGGGCTCTTCACCTCCCTGCACACTGGGCTCTCTGTTTCTGCTCCTAGCCTCGCAGCCTCTCATCAAGTGGCCTGTCACTCCTCTGCTCAAGGCACTGTGTGTTAGGATGATCATCAGCACTAGCTGCTGTGCCTGGAGTGGTCCCCACACACGCTTGACTGCCTCCCTCACTCCGTCAAGTTGATACAGAAGGGCTGGGCTCCTGGCTAAACCCTACCCTTAAGCCTGGAACCTCGGCCCTAAAGGACCCCATTTTCCCCAAAAATGTTACCTTTTTGGCCTGCCTGCCCACATGCTGTGCCCATAAAAGACTTCAGCTGGCAGAGCAACACAAGCGGCTGAGCACTGAGGATATAAGCAGCTGAGCGGCGAGCAGAAAAGCAACTGAGCATCGGAGACTGTGGATAGATCTGGCTAACTTCAGATGGTGCAGCTTTGGAGAGGGGCCCTGCCGGAGACGGTGGGGCTTCAGGGAAAGATCACCATCCCATCACCTTTCCATCCTCCCTTTCCACTGAGAGCCACCCAACACCCAGTAAAGTATTTTGCATTCGTCACCTTTCAAACAGTTTATGTGACCTGATTCTTCTTCCTGGACGCCAGACAAGAACCTGGGTGCCAAGAAGGCAGGGGCTGCCACCCTGAACCTCCATTGAACTGGTTGGTATTTGGCCATCCCCTGACAGCACAGCTGAAAGAATAGGGACGCTGCTGCAGGGCCCGAACAGAGCCTGCTCCTGCCAGAGAGGAGCAACCGGCTGGTTCCAGCGTTCATTTGCTCCGGTTCCCACACTTGCTCACACACTCACTCCCACAAGGAGTGGCCAGCAACAGGCTGAGTGAAACAAAGTGCTCCTTAGCTGGGCGTGATGGTGTGTGCCTGTAATCCCAACATAAGAAACCCCATCTCTACTAAAAATACAAAATTAGACGGGCTTGGTGGCCCGTGCCTGTAATCCCAGCGACTCGGGAGGCTGAGGCAGGAGAATCACTTGAACCCGGGAGACGGAGGTTGCAGTGACCTGAAATCTCACCACTGCACTCCAGCCTGGGCAACAGGGCGAGACTCAGTCTCAAAAAAAAACAAAACAAAAACAAAAAACAAAGTGCTCCAGTTCCCGCCCATGAAGGGCGTCAGGGCAACTATTCCATCGCAAAGTCATTGCTTATGTTTTACCTTCTCAGTGAACCCAACCTTGGCCATCCTATTTAACATTGCTCTCCTCCCCACCCTGCCATAGCACTCCAATCTCCCTTGATATTCCCTACTTCTTTGCGCACTTACCACCTTCAAGTATAGTATTATTTATTTCTTTATTACATTTGTTGCTCTTGCCCAACCCTTACCTATAATGCAAGCTCTATAGAGGCAGAAATCTTTGTCTCTTTTGTTCATTGATATATCCCAAGCACCTAGGACAGTGCCTGGCATAAAAGGAGCTTGATACATATTTATCCAGTGAAGTTTGTTGAATGAATGACATGAGAATCACTTTGGTTATCTGGCCTAGATGGGCCAGTGAAAATCTGGCTATGATTAAAATGAGCTTCTAGAAGCCCACAGCATGTGAATTAAATTGGAGTGGGCTTGTTTCTTTTAACTGTACTGAAGAGCTTAGAGAAGGAGTAATACACTTGAAGTTCTAAGTTCCTGATTCTGTAGACAGTCAGAGGACCAGGGACTGTCCACAATTATTCTTTAAAAATATCTCATTTCTTGTAGCTACAATGCTGAAGTAGTTAATAAACTCAAAATTGACTTCTCCAAGTTGAAATCACAACCTTGCCAAGTCTCTTATATAAAAGTTAGAGCACTGATCAGGAAAGAGGGACACCCACAGAATTGGAACAGGAAGGTATTAGAGAATTTAATAGACTCCAAACTCCAAATTATCTTCACACTCTACCCTACCACCCTTCATTGCTTTCAGAATTATAAATAAGCCAGATGCCAGCATACCTGGGGGAAGAGGCCAATTACAAAGACAAAGCTTAGAGAAAAAGATTTACACACCAGGAGAATTTCAAGCTGCTGCTAACCTGTATGAGCAGAAATGTGAAGACTGGGATTGGGAATGAATTTTTGAACCAGCTCAGTTAATGTGCAAGCATTCACCAGAGACTGGAAGTTCAGCTACTAGCTTAAATATCTGGAAGTGGATCAGAATGGTTGCTCAGTTGGATGACAGAAACTGAACTCAATAAAGGCTTATTTGAAATAAAGTTATTTCTAGAAAATCCTTTTTGTAATAAAGAAAAAGGAATCTGACTGCCTAGGGAGACAGGAATGTTGGGGTAGAATTATTGCGTGGAATCCATTCACTCATTCACCAACTGTGAGAGCCCAGAAGACACTGTGCAGACTCTGGCTTTTAAGAAATACGTGGATCGGGGGAACACAGCATCTTTGAAAAACACAGTTAACAGTTGTTCTCTGAGGATGTGGATGAAATATGCTGCAGTTGAATTAGGCCTCCTGATTTGAATGGAGATGACATCTCAGGTACAACACGGCAAAGGTGAAGAGCTGGACTAGGATAAAATCTGTAGGAGTCTGTGATGGTGGGTCTCTAGGACAAAAATACATGAGCAGACCACCAGTCAGGGTTCAGTTTTTTGGTTTTTGGTTTTTGGTTTTTGGTTTTTTGTTTTTGTTTTTTTTTTTGAGATGGAGTCTCACTCTGTCGCCCAGACTGGAGTGCAGGGGTGCAATCTCAGCTCACTGCAACCTCCGCGTCCCAGGTTCAAGCGATTCTCCTGCCTCAGCCTCCCGAGTAGCTGGGATTACAGGCACCCACCACCATGCCCAGCTAATTTTTGAATTTTTAGTAGAGATGGGGTTTCACCATGTTGACCAGCCTGGTCTCAAACTCCTGACCTCAGGTAATCTGCCCGCCTTGGCCTCCTAAAGTGTGGGAATCATGGACATGAGCCACCGTGCCCGGCTAGGGTTCAGCTTTAAGTAACAGAAACCAATCTCACTTTCTTAACAGAAATAAATTTAATACAAGGCATTAGGTGCTTGCAAAATCATTAGAAGGCTGAAGAAACAGACTCTATATTGGGCTTCTGGGCATGGCTTCCATATTAACACCACAGAAGTGGACCCCAAGGGAACTCTTGGTCTGCCACAATCAGAAAACTTGGGAATCAGGAAGCCACTACCAGACATGTTGGCCCCAGGACCATACAGTATACCTGGCAGACCTACACAAAGAAAAAGCATTTAACTTTTCCCCCTCTACTTCTCTCTCCACTCAACTCATGACTCACAGAGTGCATCTGATTGGAAAAACCTAAGCTATGGCTGTAGGGGAATCTGGAAAAGGGTAGATTTTAGATTACCAGCCTCTTGAGTATAGGAAAGCTCATCAGAAGGATGTTGAAACAGATAGGAGTGAGTCAGTCTTCCATATCTGCCACATTCACTACCCCGCCCCCACAAAAGAAAACTTTAGGTCAGTAAGAGACCTGTCTTGAGCCCCATGATTCCAATTCCAAAATCGGAATTGGCTCATAGACCCAGAGAACTCTGAATGAAGGGGAGGCTTTGAGGAAGGGCCCTGCAGTAACATCACAAGCATGCACTATACGTCCACTGAGAGCCACCCTATGCTCAATAAAATCTTCTGCATTCATCACCTTTCAAACAGTTCATGTGACCTGATTCTTCCTGGACACCAGACAAGAACCTGGGTGTCCAGAAGGCAGGGGTTGCCACCCTGACCTTCCCATAGGAATCTGTGGGTATTTACAAGAATAGCTGACTCCTGAGGGAAGGAAAATACCCAGGCCTTTAGGGATGATTGGACGCTGGCTCCAAACCAATTCTAATCTCTGAAAATGCAGAGCAATACTGTGGTTCCCCAGTTAGAATGGAAGCTCATGTGAGTGTAGGTTGTATCTGTCATCTTGTCACTATTCTTTTCCAGGGAGATCTAAAAACTACATTTACCAGCCTCCCTTGCCACTAAGATGAGCTGAGCAATTTAGGTTCTACTAGTCAGACGCACCCATGTGGACTTGGTTTAGAAGGGAAGTAGGTGAGGAAATGAGGTTCACCTGGGACATCCAGCTTACTGGTATGGACAGCAGAAGCAGCGTGGCTCTGCAACTCCAGCTGAGTCCAGAATTAGTGCAGAATGGACTCAGAAGGCTCCAATCTGACTTGGTGGTTTCATGGTCTTGGCAGAGGCAACAACTCCTTTGGCAGATCCACTCTGCTTTGTCATTTGGAGGGTTCTGGAAAAATCACCCTAGATTCTGTTTCTCCAGCCCTCCTAATGATTCTCTAAGGTATCTAGAGCTCTTGAAAATCCCTTACTTGTTAAAATAGGCAAAGTAGTTTCTGGTAGTTGCAATTGAGAATCTAACCAATATAGAGATCAGATGACAAATGGAGTTTTAGCCCAAGTTTGCTTCTCATGAGCCCAGTGGTATCCCAGACCAATCCTGTGGTTATTTCCCAGTGTCTGGAGTGGACTAGACATAGTCAGTAAAAGGATCCTGATCCTTACCAGTAAGGATTACGTGGTTTAGAAAAAGGACCAGCAACACTACATCTCTAAGGGAATGACAGAGATTAGTGCCACATGAAAGATTTGATGGGCCAGGAGTGGTGGCTCATGCCTGTAATCCCTGCACTTTGGAAGGGCAAGATGGGGAGAGAACACAGGAATGTAAGATCAGCCCTGGCAATAGAGTGAGATCCCTGTCTCTAGTTTAAAAAAAAAAAAAAAAAAAAAAAAAACCTCAAAAATTAGTCTGGCGTGGTGGCACACGCTTGTAGTCCCAGCTACTTGGGAGCCTGAGGTAGGAGGATTGCTTGAACCTGGGAGGTCAAGGCTTCAGTGAACTGTGATTGTACCACTGCCCACCGGCCTGGGCAACAGAGAGAGACCCTGTCTCAAAAAAAAAATGATAAATTTAGGGTTAACTTGCCTAGTTTTTCTGTGCAGAACATGAACAGATGTTAGAGAATAGCCATGAATTATTTTACAATTTATCACATGGTTGTTCCAACAGCAGTCGTTGATCCAGATTGTGTCCCTTTTCTAAAGCAGATCACCATTGACCCTGGCACCTGCTGTGGGAAATTCTTTTTTCTTTATCCCAATAAACAAAGAGTACCAGAATAAATATGCTTTCACCTGCAGAGAAAGCAACACGGTCATTCCCCTTATCCATGGTTTCGCTTTCCACAGCTTCAGTTACCTGTGGTCAACTGTCATCCAAAAATATTAAATGGAAAATTCCAGAAATAAACAATTTGTCAGTTTTGAAGTGTGCTGCCCTGAAGAGCATGATGAAATCTCACACTGCCCCACTCTGTCCAGCCCAGGACAGGAATCATCCCTTTGTCCAGCTCTCCATGCTCTATGCACCACCCACCCACTAGTCGTCGCTTAGTAGCTGTCTCAGTTGTCAGATCAACTGTTGCAGTATTGCCGTGCTTGTGTTCCCTTATTTTACTTAATTACGACCCCAAAGTGCAAGAGCAGTGATGCTGATAATTCAGATTTGCCAAAGGGAAGCCACAAAGTGCTTTTTTTTTTTTCTTAAAAGGAGTTTTGCTCTTGTTTCCCAGGCTGGAGCACAATGGCGTGATCTCGGTTTACCTCAACCTCTGCCTCCCGGGTTCAAGCGATTCTCCTGCCTCAGCCTCCCAAGTACCTGAGATTACAGGCATGCGCCACCATGCCTGGCTAATTTTGTATTTTTGGAAGAGACAGTGTTTCTCCATACTGGTCAGGCTGGTCTCAAACTCCTGACCTCAGGTGATCCTCCAGCCTTGGCCTCCCAAAGTGCTGGGATCACAGGCATGAGCCACCGCGCCCAGCCAGCAAAATGCTTTCTTTAAGAGAAAAGATGACAGTTCAAAACTTACTACGGAAAGAAAAAAACCATACGCTGAGGTTGCTAAGATCTACAGTATGATAAGATATTTTGAAAGAGAGAGACCACATTCAAATAATTTTTATTACAGTATATTGTTATAACGATTCTATTTTATTAGTTATTGTTGTTAATCTCTTGGTCTGCCTAATTTATAAAGTAAACTGTATCTTAAGTATGAATGTGTAGGAAAAAGCATAGTGTAGATAGATTTAGGTGCTATCCACAGTTTTGGGCATCCAGTCAGGATCTTTGAATGTATTCCCTGTGAAATAATGAGCAACTACTGGGCATCTTTTCCAGGATGTGCAGAGAATCAAACTTGGAGGGTATGCAAACAGAAAAATTCCCCAAATCACACTCAAGGATTGCTCTAGGAACACACCACTGCTGTCACTTCTGGCCACCAAAATTGAAGCTCAAACTATGGATGATGGGCACTGCATGTCTTTGCCAGAGCCGCTGCTATTGCTTCCTCAAAAAATCACATATCTCTGCCCAACCTTGTTCCTGCCATAAAAAATTCCACTCAGCACCTCCTTTAAATCAAAATCAAAGTCCTTCACTCCAATGGGGTGCCATGGTTAAAAAAAAAAAAAAAACGTCTTGTGCGGGCGCACCTGAGTGGCAGGGCTGTCAGGGGCCCATGCCCTAGATGCAGGTGAGCTCGGAAAAGCAAGTTTCTGACCTCTCCCTTGGGGAGCTTCACACTTAAGGTGGAGAATTTCCCAAATTGAGGTAGAGAAAAGATACATAAAATGGGCCAGGCCTTGTGGCTCACACCTGTAATCCCAGCACTTTGGGAGGCCGAGGCAAGTGGATCACCTGAGATCAAGAGTTCAAGACCAGTCTGGCCAACATGGTGAAACCCCCGTCTTTACTAAAAATACAAAAATTAGCTCAGCGTGGTGGCAGGTGCCTGTAGTTCCAGCTACTCAGGAGACTGAGGCAGAAAATCGCTTGAACCCGGGAGGTAGAGGTTGGATTGAGCTGAGATCGTGCCACTGCATTTCAGCCTGGACGACAGAGTGAGACTCCGTCTCAAAAAATAATAATAATAATAAATAAAATAAATAAAAAGATATGTAAAATGGTAGATGAGGAAGACAGCAGGTAGCAGAAAAAGAACCAGAGAAGAGTAAACAGTTGCATATTAACAGCGGAGCGCTAGAAAAGAGATCACAGACTCTCACTGCTCAGGTGTCTTGCTAGAGCCACCTTTGACCCAGAGACACTGATGACCTGCCTGCTCCCATATCCACAAATTCCAGGATCTTGAATCCCCCTGGGTTTCTGTGTCACTTCATTCCCTAAGTGTACTCTTACATAACCCCTCTGCCAGTGATTTGAGCCAGCCTGTGGCAATTTGTGTTTTCCAAAAATGACCACATCAATATATCCCATTGCATATGCTGTTCTTCAACGTGACATGGACACACCTCCATCTAGAGACGGGGTCTGTATTTGCTTTCTATTTCTGCTTAACAAATTACTGCAAACTCAGCAGCTTAAAATAGCACCCATGTATTAGCTGACAGTTCCACAGGCGTAATTGGATTCTCTCTGCAGGATATCACAAGGGTGAAATCAAGATGTCAGCCAGGCTAAGCTCTCATCTGAATTCTCATCTGGGGGTAATCTGCTTCCAAATTCTTCTTTGATCTTGGAAAACTTCAGGTCTTTGCAGCTGGAGGACTGCAATCTCCTTTTTCTTGCTGGCTCTCAGCTCCTAGAGCCCATCCACATTCCTTGTTCCATGACCCCCTTTCATCTTCAACCAGCAAGGGCACATTGAAATCTTCCCAGACTTCAAATCTCTGACTTCTGTGACCAGCCAGGCAAAACTCTTGGATTTTAAAGGGTTCATGTGATGAAATCAGGTCTGCCAGATAATCTCCCTCTCTTAAAGTCAACACATTTCAGAACTTAATTACCAAAATCCCTTCACAGTAGCACCTAGGTTAGTGTTTGATTGAATAACCGGAAGAAGATATGTGTACAGCAGGGCCAGAAATCTTGGGAAAGTATCTCAGAATTCTGCCTACCACAGGTCTATTCCCTTTCCCTTGAATCTAGGCAGGCCTGTGACTACAGAAGAAGTGGCACTGTGTGACTTCCCCTTCCAGGTGATAAAGTCAAACAGCCTCTTTCTGGCGGTTTTTCACTTGGGACATGTGTCTTGGGAGCCCTGAGCCAGCATATAAGAAGTCGGGCTACCCTGAAGCTACCGTGCTGGAGGGATCACATTGAGACTCTCCATAGAGATAGAGAGAGATGTCCAAGGAGCCCCAGCGAGCCCAGGTATGTAAGTGACTAAGACTTCAAATGACTCCAGCCCCCAGCCTGTAAGCAGCAATGAAACCAAGAGGAGCAGAGACAAGCAGTCCCCACCAAGCCCTGTCAAAATTGCAGATTCATGAGCAAAATGAATTTTGTCATTTTAAGCCTCTATACTTTGGGGTAGCTTAATAAGCAGCTATAGTGTCTGGTACATAGGCTGAGGGGGGCTATTTGTCCCTAGTAATAAAAAGGATTTTTGACTATCAGAATCTTTAGAGAATATTGTTGGCTGATGTCTTGTGGAATGTCCCTTACTTTGCCTTGAAGGACTTTATATTTTTTATATTTTTTACTTGAAATCTTGCAAGCAAAGACCACATCATTTTTGTCTTGTTTTCCTCCATAGCTAACACACAACGTGACAATAGACTATGGTAGATTGTTTGCAAAAAATTGCTTCAGTTATTGCCCTCCCTATATCCATGCCCATTGCCATGTGACTTTGCAGTTCCTCCCCTCAAGAGAAGTCTATTTCCCCTGCTCTTGAATCTGGGCTAGGTTGCGACTTGCTTGGCCAATATAATACAGCCAAAGTGACTTCTCTGAACCTAAACCTCAAGATGCCTTGCATGTTTCTGCTCATGACCTTGGAACACATGCACAAGCTAGTTGGCTGGAGGATGGGAGTCACAGACCCCATTCATCCTCATCACCCCAGCCAGCATCCAGCCAACTACCAGAGGAAGAGCCACCTGGCTGACTTGCAGCGAACCATAGATGCATAAAGGGAACCAGAGCTTCCCAGACTAAACTGCAAAACTGTTAAGCTAAATGAATGGTTGTTATTTTCAGCCACTAAATGTGGGTTCCTTTGTTACAAGCAAAAGTTAACTAATAGAAAAGTGAACCCACACTCTTTATAACAGATTGATTATCCCTTTACTCTGTCACCAAGGATGGAATGCAATGATGCAATCATAGCTCACTGAAGCCTCCAACTCCTGGGCCCAAGCAATCCTCCCACCTCAGTCTCTTGAGTAGCTGGGACCACAGGTGCCTGCAACCATGCCTGTCTAATTTTTGTTTTGTTTTGTTTTTAGTTTTTTGTAAAGACAGGTCTCACTATGTTGCTCAAGCTAGTCTTGAACTCCTGGCCTCAAGTGATCCTCCTGTCTCAGCCTCCCAAAGTGCTAGGATTACAAACATGAGCTACTGTGTCCCACCCACCCTATCCCTTCTTAATCCCAAAGAACAAATGGGTCAAAGTCTGAGTTTGATTTGCAGTAGGGAAGCTTTATTATAGTCAAGATCGTGCAGGGTGTGAGAGCACCCCAGGCCAGAGAGAGGAAAGAGGTCTGTCTCCCCAACCCTGAAGGCATCAAAGCCAAGCAGGGTTGGAAGCCAATGGAAAGCCAGAGGCACATATGCCAAGTCAGTTCAGTCCCAAACGGGCACAGGGGCTTGTTGCCAGCTATTCCTGATGTCAGGATCCAATAAGCAGGCTTCATCGGGAGTCTGCCCATCTGGGGATGCTCAGCTGGGGCTGGGCAGGAGAAGTTTACAGAGGCTCTAGTATCGCGAAAGGAAGCCTGTGGAGAGATGGAAGGGAGATGAGGGGGAGAAGGGAGGACTGTAAGCAGGAGCAGAGAGGTTGGGACTTGGGGGAAGATGGGGAAACTCGAAGCAAGGACACTAGAGCTCAAAGAGCTGGACAATCCTGAGGTAGAAGGACCCTGGGGTCTCCCAATCTACTGGTCCCCATCTAATTCCTGAATCTCTGTTGCAGCAAACCTGACAGATGCACCCCCAAGTCTGAGGATGGGGGGCTTATGAGGCAGCCCCCTCCATTCAACAGATTTGTTAGTCAATTTTTTGTATATTGAGGCAAAAGATGGCCCCAGCCTCACTCCTAGATGTATATCCATGGACCTGCAGTGCCACTGGACTCACAAAACCACATTAGACACCCTGCAGGGCAGCTCCCAAGCACCTCAAGTCTTCTCTGAGCTAAACATTCCCAGTTATATTACCCAGGCTTTTCCTATAATTTCATATTACATTTTTATTTTATAAAATTCAATGTGTACATGGGAAAATGTTCCCTGATCTAGAGACCAACTCACCTGTGTGAGCCTTTCTTACATTTAGATTATGTTCATCCTTTTGGCAGTTGCATCATGTAATACTTGTGCAAGCCAACCACTGACTAAAATCCCTGAGTCTCTTTTCCACCTGAACTGTTGCTGATCCAGGTCCCCCATCCTCATGAAGGTTGAAAGTACTGGCTGTGAAGCCCCACAGAGCTGAACCCTTCATTTGTGATTGTATGACTTTGAGCAAATTATTTTCTCTGAACCTCATTTTCCTTAAAATGGGGATTATAATAAAACCTACCTCATAGCGTGTGTCATGATAATGCACAATTTTCAACCCATCTCCTACACTACTGAGACTCAGCCATGTGTAGATTTGGTCCTAGCCTCATCCTAGGCTCTGTCAAAAATAATGATCAATTCAGAACCAAGGGTAGGTCTCTGACACCTCACTAGAGATTTCCCTAACATCTAGCTCTATTCAGAATCTGTGTTCCCCAGAGATTCAAAAATACTCAAAAAAAAAAAAAGGTGAGACCTTGACTCTCCACCCCACAACCTAGGATTGTCCCTTACCTTTTGTCTCATCTTGGTCACCAGATTTTGAGGAAGAAGACTAGGAATGGGATGATTTTCCGCTTCCTCCTCCGTAGCCGCCACCACTTCCACTCGCTTCTTCACCGCCTCCGTAGCTGCCTCCACTTTCACCTCCAAAACCACTTCCTCCACCATGGCTGCCTCCACTTCCTCCCCTGGACCCACTTCCTCCACCATAGCCACCCCCACTTCCTCCTCCAGAGCCACTTCCTCCTCCATAGTTGCCCCCACTTCCTCCACTATGACCACCTCCACTTCCTCCGCTATGGCCACCTCCACTTCCTCCACCATAGCCACCTCCACTACCTCCTCCAGAACCACTTCCTCCACCGTAGCTGCCTCCACTTCCTCCCCTGGACCCACTTCCTCCACCATAGCCACCTCCACTTCCTCCTCCACCATAGCTGCCTCCACTTCCTCCCCTGGATCCTCTTCCATAACTGCCTCCACTTCCTCCTCGACCTCCAAGGCCAATTTTTCCAGCTCCGGAGGATTCACTAAGAAAGAAAGAAAACAAGAGAGTTAAAATGAGCGGCCCCCATACACATATATGAGGATGGACCTGGACAGAGTCAGGACCCAAACATGAATCTTTCTGTTTTCCTTCCTGGGAGGCAGAGGACAGAGTCTGGGCGGGCACCACAGCTGGGAGAGGAGAGCCTCCAGCTGAGACTGTGGAGCCCTCCCCTCCCTGGAGCAGGGAGGCAGCCCGTTCTCTCAGTGTCACCATCCTCCTTTCCCAAAGCCCAAATGCACTGAGGTCCCCCCGGCCCCCAGGATGAAGAAGTCCTCAACCCATAAGACCCTGTGTATAAGAACTTCCCCCAGCTGCCTCTATCCAGAGGGACAGAAGTAGTATCAGAGGCCTAGGGACCCCCAGGGGTTCCACCAAATCCTGGGGGACCTACAAGTCTTCCTGGCCTCCCTCAAGGAGGTTGTGGTAGGTCTCGATTTCCTTCTCCAGCCGCATCTTAATGCTGAGCAGAAGGCTGTATTCCTGATTCTGGCACTCGATCTCTTGCCGGACGTCAGTGATCTGGGCCTCCAAGTTACTGATCTGCTCCTGGATCATCTGCAGCTGGCCACAGTAGCGGTTCTTCGTGTCTTCCAAGCTCTTCTCCAGAGCTGCTTTCTAAGGGTTAGGAGAAGGCTTTAAGAGGGATGCTACATCATAACTCCTCTTCTTCCCACTCCTGGGCTGCAAAGACTTCCTGTGCCCCACCTTGGCAAAGGGTCTATAGCAGAACTACCAACCTTGCTGAGCTGAGACTGCAGCTCAATCTCCAACTCCTGGACACCGTGCCGGAGCTGGGTCACCTCCTTGGCACTGGACTGCACCTCCTGACCACTACTGGATACCTCATGCTCGATCTGGGTTATCTGCAAAACCAAAGGCTCAGTAAGCATCAGGCTGTGCCAGGAGCTTCAGTGAGTGAGATTCTGCCCCATTCACCAGGATCTTCACCTCCAGGGCCAAGGCTGATCTGAAGCCAATGACAAGTCATTCTGAGTTCTGGGTACCCTCCAGCCATGGAGGGTTGTCCAGTCCTCTCAACATGACATTCCCTCTCAACAAAGTTGCAAGACCCTTCACGCTTTGTCTCACAACCATCTTTCTAATCTAACCTTATTCCAAACTTCCCCCACCTTTCAAACATACACACACACACACACACACACACACACACACACACACACACACAGCACAGACCATGCCTTCATGTATGTGCCAGACTCTGGCTGGGCACTGGAGACTCAAGGACGAAGGGAACCACCAAGGAGCTCAGTACAGTATGGGAGACACACTGTATCCCTCTGCTATAGTCTTACATTACATAGCATTAGATTAAATTGTTCACATTCTGCTTTTGTTCACACACATCTAATAAACTGTGAGCTTCTCAAGGGCAGCAGTCTTGTTTGGCTCATATCAGACATCAATACCTCTGAGACATCAATACTTTACATATAACATGGCACTGAGAAGCTACTTTGTAATGATGTTTGTATGCAGTGAATGAAGATGGATGAATGACTTCCATTGGAAGATGGATAAATGACAGCTGCACTGAGAGATGCAGAGATAGGAGGATGAAGGAATGGGAGGTGGGAGGGATGGAGATAGGAATAGATGGAGGGGAGGAGGATGAATGGGCAGCCCACTCTGCTCACCTGAGTCTCATATTGATTCTCGATGTCCTTTCTGTTCTTAGCAATGAGCTGCTCATACTCCTGACGCATGTCATTGAGGGTCTTGGTGAGATCTTTGCCAGGAGCAACGTTTATCTCCACATTGACATCTCCACTGTTCTGCCCAGTCAGCTGACTCATCTCCTGCCAGGGAAGAAGGGGAGATGAGGTCACGGATAAAGTCCTCTGCACCACCTTTCAGAATTCTCCCTCTGGTCCCCCCAGGGTACAAAAAGGGGACACAGTTGTGAAGCCAAAGCCCAACCACTACCATAGGTGATGCCAAGGAGAAGTTGAAAGTGTCCTCAAGAGCAAAGGAGAGGGTGTCTCCCAGGTAATGTTCCAAAGCTCCCCTGCTGTCTCTGCATTTCTGCTCCTCCCTCTTCCCGGTAAGCCATAAGCCCCAGCAACCTACCTCCTTATGATTCTTCTTGAGGGCCATCAGCTCCTCCTGCAGAGTCTCATACTGCATCTCCAGGTCAGACTTCTCCATGGTCAGATTGTCCAGCACCTGCCGCAGGCCATTGATGTCAGCATCCACTCCTTGCCGCAGGTTTTGCTCCATCTCAAACCTGCAGACCAGCCAGGGTTAGAAAACAATCAAGAGGGAACCAGGCCCTACCAGGACCTCCAGAGCACTGAGGTTCAGGGGTAAGGGCTGATGACAGGAGAGGAGAAGAGGAGCAGGACTCACTTTATCCTGAAGTCATCCAGTGTCATGCGAGTGTTGTCAATGTCCAGGAGAGTTTTGTTGTTGCCCACTGTCAGGTCCACAATCTGAAAAAAAAAGGACACAGCCATGATATCATGCTGTGGACCACTGCTGAGAGGGCAAGAGGCCAGGCAAAGCCACAGGAGGTGAGGATTCCATCCAGGAAGATTCTCAAGAGGAATGAGGAACTTCCAACAGCTGGGACATGGCACAGACCCCTTCCAGCCTTCAGCGAAGATGTTTGGTGTGGCCTTCATTCATTCATTCAACAAATATTTGAAGATCTACTGCAAAGGGCATTGTAGGATTTAGAGATTACTGACATCCTGTTCCTCAGGGAGCCCACCATTGACTACAAAGTCAAAAGTGTCCTAAAAGAGTTCAAGGAAAGGAGAGGTGGCTTATGGCAATGGGAGATCAAGAAAGACTTCAGGAAGGAGGTGGCTGGCAATTGAATTGGGCCCTGAAGGATGGCTAAGATGTAACATTAATAAATAAATGGAAGAGGTTTAGAGTAGAAGAAACAGCACATTCAGAGACATGCAGGAGTTAAAACAAGAGGAATCACTGAGAATACTGAAGAGCCAGACCGTGAGCTCCACCAGAACTAGGTCTAGCACATCACTATGTCTACCCAGAGCAACCCTGAGGGTAGGCACTCACTGAACTGAGTGGCTGAATAAATGGATAGATAGATAGACATGTGGGTGGAGGGAGGAAGGGATAGATGGAAGGATGGATGGATAGATAGCTTCCATTCCCAGATTTCTGGATCCTCTCCAACACTTGAATAACCAACATGTACAGTCAGGTCCAAAATACCTTAAAAGATCAAGATACACTCCTAAAGAAGCCCAGGAGAAGTACAAAGGAAGAGAAAGTATTGACTTAGACCAAACCTAAAGGAGGTTCCACATCCAGTCCCAGCTCAGCTCACGTTAACCCAGGTCTCCTCTCTGCTCTGCCCAAACTCTGAAAGTTGAGGAAATGGAAGTGAACACTCAGAGCACAGGCCAAAGTCCTATCCTGGGATCCCCAGAAACCAAACACAAGTTTGTTTCTGATGAAAGCGTACATTTCCAAAAGGTGGATTCCCTGGCTATTATCTGAGCTTAGAGTTTAGCATTTTAACTTTTTTGGAAGATAAAGAATGAAAGAGAAAGAGACCAAGACAGAGACAGTTTCCTGCACCTACCTGGTCCTTGAGATCATCAATAGTGTTATAATAAGGGGAGTAGTTCTTCTGGATAGCAGCAGGTCCCTTCTTGTCGTACCAATCCTGGATCTTATTCTCCAGGTCGTTGTTGGCCTCCTCTAGAGCCTGCACCTTATCCAAGTAAGAGGCCAGCCGAGAATTGAGTTCCTGCATGGTGCTCTTCTCATTAGCAGTCAGAATACCACCATCACCTCCTCCAGCACCACCTCCAAAGCCCCCAAACCCCCCAAACCCACTCCCATAGCCACCACCAAAGCCACCTCCAGAACCACCACCAAAGCCACCTCCAAAACCCCCAGAACTACTATAGCCTCCTCCAGAAGCACCACCAAAACCTCTGGAACCACCCCCAAAGCCACCGCCTAAACTACTGGCACTAAAACCACCCCCAGATCCTCCGCCGTAGCTGTAGCCAAAACTGCCACCGCCTCCCCTCCCACAGACACGAGAGCTTCCCCCACCATAGCCACTAGAAGAGCTGAATCGGCCCCCTCCTCCACCGCCCCCTGAGGAGCTGAAGCGGCTGTAGGAAGACCTTATGCTGCCCCCGCTGCCCAGGCCGCCCCCGCCACCCCCGCCGCTGCGGCTCAAGTAGGACGAGGAGAACTGTCTGCAGCTCATGACACAGCTGGTAGCTCACGGGTTGAGAAGCAGTGATAGGAGTGCTACCGGCTCCCAAGTGCAGGGTACAGAGCTGTCCCTGGGGCTGCCTACTTATACCCCCAGCTGAAGGTGGCACGCCTGGGTGTGCCCTTGTTCTGTGCCAGCCTCCCCCCACAGACCCGAGGGAGGTCTGGGATACGGAGGCAGCCGGGCTGCCCCAGGCTCAGCGTCCTTTGGTGACTGCCTGGGGGCGGCCCAGCCTCTCTCCATTGTGTGGGATAATTTGATGACATTAGGCTGTCAGGGCCACCATAAATCAGCTGTACTGCCACAGGGGTGACCTAGATCCTGGAGTCTGGTCTCTGGCTGGCCCCAACAGCAGGTCTGAGACTTAGCCCCTTCGGGATAGAAACTCCCAAGAGCAGAGTCACCTCCTCTATTGATGGTCATTACTGTCTGCATCCCTCATGCCTCCTTGCTCCCACCTTGTGCCCACTGTGAGCTGAGCTGGAACTAGGGTACTAAGGAGTTATCATAGAGGAGGGGGAGGCACAGCCCCTGCCCTTGTGGAGCCCCAAATGGATGAAAACCAATCCTTGCTCTCAGGATCCTCGAGGCTTTCTGCAGAGTCTGAGGCTCTGCCCTTGGGAGACTCCAGTTTGATGAGGAGGCAACTGGCATGGCCAAAAGATGGAGACGGGCACCGAGACCATGCCCGCCAGCACTAAAGGACAGCGTGCAGAGTTCACACAAAGGGCTGGAAGAAGAAAGTGGACCAAATAAACAAGGTGGTGCTGACACTAGCTGACCTCTGAGCAGGAATGCAAGTGGCTCGACTGTCCTGGTCCTTTTGCAGGGCCCAGCAGGGAGTGTGGAATTGACCTTGGTTGAGTGCCTACCCCATACAGAACTCTGGAGGGGATACAGAGATGTGTGACTTATCCCTGCTCCTGGCAGAAACTTGGATGTATATTCTGGTCACCAAGGCCAGAAGAGAATGGTAAAGAACACGCTGGTCTCCGGTGTGCCTACCTGAGCTCCATCCAGCTCCATGCTCATGAGCTGTGTGACTTTGATAAGTTACTTAAATACTCTGTGCCTCAGTTTCCTCCTTTGAAAAAGGTTGATATGAGTAGTTTGTCCATCTCCTAGTAAGAGACTTGTGAGAAGTGCTCAAAAAATGTTCGGCTGCCTCTGATCATTCAGCCCCCTAACTCCCCGTCAACTCTGCCCTCACCCAGACCTTAGCCATGAGCTTCTAACTGCCCTCCCTGCCTCTCCCATTCCCTCTGACTCTTCCTGCACAGCAGCCAGAATGACCTTTCTAATCCATGTCTGACAACATCACTTCACCAGTTTCCCTCCACCCTCAAGATAAGGTCCACATTCCTGGCACTTAGGCCCATCCCCATCTTTCCATTCCTGCCCCATCTCCCACCATCCCCCAGGCCCCCTAGAAAATCATACAATGCTTCCCAAATGCCCTTCTTCCCTCTAAGAATACTCGGCACTTGCAGTGACCTCTGATTGAAATGTCCCACTCCATCTTTTCTACACAGAAAACTACCCATCTTCAGTGATCCCTCTGACTGCCTCCTCCTCTGTCTTCCTGTACTCTCGCCCCCTGGGTTTGTACTGTGCTCTGTTATAGTGTCTCACACTTATCTCCATGGCTCTATGAAGCACTTGATGAAGAATAAAAGTTCATGTACTGAAAAAATAGAAGAAACCTCTCTCTGCGGGCAGCCAGAGCTCCTCTAAGCCTGCCCCTGCTCATCTCGTACTTGCCCCAGTGCCCAGCGCCACGTCTGATCCAAGTAGGATCCCAACACATATGAGATGGAGGAAAGATACCAGTCATTCCAGAAAGATGCTCATTGCTGAAAAGGAGCTAAAGGTAAGGAAATCTCTTTGCCAGGATGGTCAGCAAGGGCCTGAAAGAGGCAATGCCTGCATGTGTAGGCGGCATAGATGACTGGTATTTCTTGAGGGGCTTTTAAGTGATGCTCAACGACTGTTAAATAATACTGAAGTGGCCGGACACGGTGACCCATGCCCGTAATCCCAGCACTTTGGGAAGCCGAGGTGGGCAGATTGCCTGAGCTCAGGAGTTTGAGATCAGGCTGGGCAACATGGCAAAGCCCCGTCTCTACTAAAAATACAAAAAATTAGCCAGGCGTGGTGGCACACACCTGTAATCCCAGCTACTCAGGAGGTTGAGGCATGAGAACAACTTGAGCCCAGGAGGCACAAGTTGCAGTGAGGTGAGATCTGCGCCACTGTGCTCCAGCCTGGGCGACAGAGCAAGACTCCGTCTCAAATAATAATAATCATCCTAAACATAATAATACTGAAGCACTTGGAGGAAGATTTCCTTTTTCCATGTTTGTTTGTTTGTTTGTTTTGAGACAGAGTCTCACTCTGTCATCCAAGCTGGAATGCAGTGGCATGATCACAGCTCACTGCAGCCTTGACCTCCTGGGCTCAAGCCATCCTCCAGCCTCAGCCTCCCAAGTAGGTGGGACTACAGGCACACACCACCATGCTCAGCTAATTTTTTTTTTCATAAACATGAGATTTCGCTATGTTGCCCAGGCTGATCTTGAACTCCTGGGCTCAAATGATCCTCCTATCTCAGCCTCCAAAGTGCTGGGATTACAGGCATGAGCCACTGCACCTGGCCTCTTTTTCTATTTTTCAATCTTCTGATTAGTCAAGGATGAAATCTCATTTGGACACTATGGCTTCTCTAACGACCCACACACTTGTCAATCACCCTGTTCAAAAAAAGAGAGCCAACTTTGGGCTCAGAACCTTTAGAAAGTAACAGCATCTAGTTAGAAGTTAAGTATTTCTGTATGTCATTTCCTTCTGCTTCTGGCAAGTGATTATGATTTTCCTTTTTTGTAGTAATGTAAGATTTCCTTTATAAATATATTTATTGAAATGAAAGGTGAGTTAATTTACCAAAATGTGTTAAATAAATATTTAAATGGGTGTTACAGAATATGTTACATTAAAAATTAAACAGGTAGTTTAAGTTTTGAAAATTAAAAGAGAATATAATTCTCTTTTATTCAATATTCAGAGAATACTGAAGGCATTTTATGATAGTTAATACATGGAAGACTCTTAGATCAAGGCTAGTGGGTATAATTGATTCCCTTTCTACTTTCTCAAATGGTTTTAAACCATTCAAGGTTTTTGCCAAGCTCTGCTGGGAAGCCCAGAATCTGCCGCAATGTGTTCCAAGGCCTGGAAAGTTACCCTCTTCCCCATGCCCATGCTGATGCCGCCACTCTGGTTGGGATGTAAGCCCCAGGTCCTGGGTCCCTGAGCTGGGTAGGGAAGTCAGTGGTGCTGTGGATGGGCCACCCTGGAGAGAGCCAGCAGAGTGGCACTTTCAGAACCCTGCTCTGTCATCTGCAAATGTATCTGTTTGGGGGATCCTAAGAACAGCTGAGACCCACCTGACTGAGCAGAAGCTCCCAGCTGGGGCTCCCCTGGCCAGCTAAGCCTCTTGACAGATGGCCCTGGTTTCCAGCCCTGGTGCCAAACCCCAACCCCTGTCCTCACCCACCTTCTCCACTTCCCACCCTCCAGCCCTGTCTTAAGCCTCACTCAGCCCGAAGCAGCAGGCTTCGTCCCTCAGAACTCCTCCCAGCTGCCAGGGAAAGAAAGCTGTGCATGAGGACCACTGTGGGGTGGACAGCACAGTAGCTCCCCAGCCAGGCAAGGCTGGGCCACGTGCCAGTTTCACCCTCCCTTTCCCTGTGGTCCTCAAAGTTGGCCTCAGTTTCCTCATGAGAAGCCCCTTCATGCACTGTTGCCAAGGGCCATAAAGACAGAGGGCTTCCACCTGTAATCCCAGCACTTTGGGAGGCTGAGGTGGGCAGATCACGAGGTCAGGAGATCAAGACCATCCTGGCTAACACGGTGAAACCCTGTCTCTACTAAAAATACAAAAAATTAGCTGGGTGTGGTGGCAGGCGCCTGTAGTCCCAGCTACTTGGGAAGCTGAGGCAGGAGAATGGCGTGAACCCGGGAGGCAGAGGTTGCAATGAGCAGAGATCACGCCACTGCACTCCAGCCACTGCACTCCAGGGTGACAGAGCGAGACTCTGTCTCAAAAAAAAAAGAAAGAGGGCTCCCTAGATGAATGCCCAACTGCTGCCCACATGTAGCCCCTGCCACATTGGCCCTCCTCCCCCTACATCTGGCCTTGTTCCAATACAAAGAGGATCTTGCTGTGCTTGCAGCTCCTGCGGTCCAGATAGGAGGTCTTGTTCCAGCTGCAGCAGGGCAGCATCTCTTCCCTTCTCCCAAGCTCTCTGCCTGGCATGGGAACCAGACTGGGCAAGATGGGGCCAGGGATGAGGAAGGCCAACAGCCATGGCCTGAGTGAGTGATTTCTTCTAGGTCATGTGGCATGGCTCACTCTTCCAGCCTCTCAGGGCTCAGGGTCTGCCCTCTGAGCCCCACCTTCAACACCTCCCATGGGAATCCTCCAAAGAATGAACCAGGAATGGAAACCATGGAGCCCATGGCACCCCGGCACCTGAGACCCAGCGAGAATCAACACTGCCTCTCTACAGCCAGTGTGCAAGGCTGCAAGGCTGCAAGCTAGACCCAGTGCCAGCAACCCAAATGCAGGCCCTCCCCTTGGGGAGTGGATGGAGTAGGAGAGAAGGGGCTGCAAGGACCCAGAGAGGCAGACAGAGGGACAGAGAGAGAACCAAAGATCCCACTTGCAAGGTGTCCCCAGAGGCAAAGGTATCGTCCACTGGGGACATAGGGACCTGGAGACAGCTCAAGGACAGCTTTGCTCTGGTTGTGGGAGCCCTCTTGCTTGCCTGCAAGCAGCCTCCCACACCCCCAACTTACTACCCATTGCTGTCTGTCATTGATCCCCAGGTGGGGCCAGGGAGGGACCTGAGTCAGCATGTAGCTGGCTGCTGGGAGAGGGAGCACCCGCTGAGTCACGGCTCCTCCCCTGGAGCCTCCATGAGCCATCTAGGCAGGTGTGCACTGCCCACTGGCGCAGGGCTGTGGGTACCTGCACCTGTCTGTCAACACTGATTCTTTCTCATACAACAGGCACTTGCCATCACCCTTCCCAATTCAGACCCTATCAGACCACAGTGAGGGGATGGAGTGGGCCCACATACGTGCCTCCACCTGAGTCTAGGCACCCCAGGCTTGTGTCTGCTGGGACACACCTAGCAGTGAGGATGAGAGCACCGGCTTCGAAGCCAGGCAGGTCATGGTGTAAAGCCAGATTCTTCCACTTATTTGGGGAAAGTTGCTTCCCCTCTGTGAACCTGTTTCCTCATTCCAAATTCGGATTCATCCTTTATTGAGCACCTACTATGTGCCAGGCATTGGGCTGAGTGCTGGGGGTAAAGTAATGAGCAAGCCCTTATCTTGATGGACAGTTATGGGATAAAATAGACCTGCAGAAATGAACATGTAATTCACAACTGAGGTGAGCACGGTTGGTGGGGAATGGAGAGCACATAATAAAGGTGTGGCATGGTCTGGGGTACCAGTGACCTTCTCCCTGAGAAAGAGACACTTGAGTGAAGGGGGAGGAGAAGTGAGCCAGGAGAAGGACAAAGGGGAGGGGCATACAGCATGTGCAAATGTCCTGAGGTGGGAACAAGCAAAGTGACTGCCAGGGCAGGAGTCCTGTGTGGCTAAAGGGCAGTGGGTTAAGTCAAGCAAAAGATTTCAGTGGGGAAAAAAAAATAGTTCTGAGCTTGGCCAGCCACAGTGGCTCACACCTGTAATCCCAGCACTTTGGAAAGCCAAGGCGGTCGGATCACCTGAGGTCAGGAGTTCAAGACTAGCCTGGCCAACATGGTGAAACCCTGTCTCTACTAAAAATACAAAAATCAGCTGGGCGTGGTGGCGGGCACCTGTAATCCCAGCTACTTGGGAGGCTGAGGCAGGAGAATCGCTGGAACCTGGGAGGTTGAGGTTGTAGTGAGCCCAGATCACACCACTGCACTCCAGCCTGGGTGACAGAGTGAGACTTGGTCTCAAAGAAACAAACAAAAAAAAAAAGTTCTGGCCTCATGAAGTTGTTGTGAGGCTTAAAAGAACTCATATTGTAAAACTGCTGGTGTGGGTCTGGTACATGGTGGGACATCATCCTGACTGTCGGTGGCACTGTGCCTGCTCCCAACTTCCCCATGGACCATCTGGGCAACTTGGGTTCTCAGCTCCCTTGCTTATTATTAGCCCATCCTTCTGGCCTATTGAGCCCCCATTAGGATCAAAGACCTGTGCCTGTGGGGCCTGGGGAGGACATTGAATGTTTGGAGGATCATAGTTCCTTCCGTCAAGGAACCTCCAGTGTTGCAGGCAAGACCCTCGTTGCTTTGCCTGCACTGTCGAATTTAATCTTCACCAACTGTTTTAGGAGGTATGCATTAATTTTTAAATCATTTTACAGGTAAGGAAATTGAGGCTCAGAGAGGGTATCTTGGCCACAGTCACAGAGCTAAACAAGGCAGAATGGAGCCAGGGCTTGCCCTCCAGTGATCAGGAGCTACAGTGGACACAGGCTCAGAGCTCCTGCTCTCTGTCCCAAACCCCACACATGCACTGGGTCCCTCTCTACCTTCTTCCTCATGTTGTCTCTTTTCTTATTCAGTCTGTCTCAATTCACCCCATCTCCCCTACACCTACAACAGTTAAGTTTCGATAAGTATGTGTGAATGAATGAATGAATGAATGAATGAATGCCCCTCCCTGCCTAGTACTGGCCCAGGGCCCTCACTATCCTCTCTATCCCTGACTCTGTCTCTCTGACTCTCTCCCTCTCCCTTTCTCTCTCTCTCTCAACTCTATATCCATTTGTTTCTCTCTATTTCTGTGTGTCTATTTTTGCCCTCTCTCTCAAGCCAAGTCACCCCTAAAGTTCATCAGAGCACCTTAAAGGAAAAAGACTTCCTTTCCCAAGCCTGGCCTTACAGTGGCACAGAGGGAAGCCCTGTCAGGAAAGCCTGTGCTCAGCAAACGGCAATGGAGGAGGAGCTGGTGACTGCCCTGCACTTGCCTGAGGCCGGTCCATCGCCCTGGAAGTCCCTGGCATCCCCTGGTCCCCTTTGTGGCAGCCTCCAAGCTCAGTGAGGTGGGCCAGGGAAATTCCTGGGGTCCCACAAGGACATCGGGACCCCCCAGCCCCTGGGGATCAGGCCTCCTTGGGGCTGCCTCCTCTGACATCTTCCTGTAGGAATAGTCGCCTACATTACCCAAGCCAGGTTGTCTGTGGCTTTGGGGAAGTGCCATTTGCCTGATTAGGAAGGTACATATGCCAGTTGCTGCCTATAGAGTTCCCTGGACACATTAGAGATCTTTTCACCATTAAAAAAAAAAAAAAAAAAAAGCTCCCAAAAATAAAGGGGATTGAGAATTTCAAGGTCGGTTCCACCCCATAAAACAAAAACCATGGAGTAAGCTACGAAAAATGCACACTGATCCCATAAGTCTCTCAGTTTTATCTCATCCCTGAGAAAGAACGGAACAGGAATGAAGCCACCCAGGACGTGGCAAAGCCTGAGCATGGACAGGACTTTGCCACTTTCAGCCTTAGGACCTGGAGCAAGCCAGTCTCCCTACGGTGAGGTTGGAGGAGTCTTCCCGGTGGCTCACCTAGGACTGCCGGGTTCTGAGTGCTGGGAGGGTGGAGAGAGGGTTTAGAGGGAGGCGGAGCCAGAGAGGGCACCTGATCAGCCCCAGGACTCAGAGATGCAATCCCAGCTGCCTCCACTAGACTGTGCTATCGAGTCACTTTGCTCGTCTATTGTTTAGCTGAGCGGAGGCCAAGGGAAGGCGGTCACCATTGTCGAAGCTGCTGGGCTCACTCATATTTTGAGTTGGATGCTTGTGGCTGCCAGGCTCTGTGAACAAGAGCCCTGTTCATCAGCAGGATCCAAACACTGGCCCTACCCTCCCCAGTGAGGTATTGTGGGGAAATCCCGGGAGGAGGGGAGTCCATGTGAGACCCCGGTGGCCACTGCCCTGCTGCCCTCTTCCTCTGGAGCCTGACAGCACAGGGTGGGACTACCTCCCAGCCTCCCTGCTTGACTTCCTCCTCTCCTGGTTCTGAGCCTGCTTTCAGCCAGGTGGTGCCAGCCGCCATTCTTACCCGCAAGCAAGCCCAGGTCTCCTGTGTATTCCCTTCAAACAGTAACGGCAACCACTCAGAGAGGAGGCTCGCCCCACCTCACCCCAGTCTAAGAGACCTCACGTTTCTATATTCCTCTAAAGCAAATCTCCTTTGGGCACAGACTTTAATCTGGTTCCACCTCCAAGGTAGAGAGATGTCTGGGGATTCTTAGGAAGTTGAGGGCGTTCTGGGCTTCAGTCCCCACTGGTGACTCTTGCCATATTTTGCTCTTTGTCCAGGCCCATGTGACCTCTCAAATGTGGGCCATTCCCGAGATTCTTTGCCACACTTGGGCAGGAGGTTCATTGCCCAACTAGGAACCTTAGGAACCAGAGTCCAACACCCCTGGGAGTATCACAAAGCCCCTCCCCACACTAGGGTCCTGTACCCCCTAGGGCCCTCAAACCCACCTCTTCTCATTCTCTGAGGAAGCACCCTCAAACCTTCCTCTTTCCTGAGTTGTCCCCTGTACCCCTGAAACTCTAGTACTTCACCTCCAGGATGGCCCATCCTCACCCAGGGATCACCTAAGGTCAACCCTTTTTGATGACAAAACTTAGGTTAAAAGATATCCCAGAGTTTCAGAAGTACAAAGCAGTCCTCTTTCTCCTGGGGTGGAGGTAGGAACAAGAGAAACCAACATCTCTTCATTCCTTTTCCTAATAACTCACCCCATTACCATTTATAGGGTGCTGACTATGTGCCAAACACAATGCCAAATTCATTGCCTGCATGAGGTCATTCACTCCTGTATCAGCCCTTATGCAGTAAAGATATTTATTCCCTACCTTGTGAAAGAGGAATGTGGGGTTCAGTACCTTGCCCAAACTCTTCAAGGCTATTCAGCATAGGAGCCAGGACTCCAACCCAAGTAGTCTGATTCAAAAGCTCAGGCTTTCAGATCCCTTGCCCAAATTTAGTCGTTTTTCAGTCTCTCCCCTACCCTTGACTCCCCCTACAAGTTTTCTTCAGGCAGCCAAATGAATGAGCTGTTGAAACTGACACAGGACTAGTCAACTCTTTCCTAGCTTGGGGCAATGAGCCCCACCCACCTCTGGAATCTTCACCACTTACTAGGGTGAGGCTCCTTGCCTTCCCACTCCTTTTCTAGCCCCCCAAAGAGAAGGAAAGGCATTCCCCACCCAGGGGAGTCTCCTACAGTCCTGGCTCTTAAGGTATAGTCACTCATTGGATTCTTGTATCAACCTCAAGAGGCAGGGCTCAGCATCCTTACTATACAAGTAAAGACACTGAGACTCAGACTTTCCAAGCTCACATCTGTTACAGAACAGAGCCAGGGTTAGAAACCAGTCTATTCTCAAACCCTCTAAAAATGCTCTCATCGTGAATGGATAATCACCATGCCCTAGAGATAGTTTACCCAGTATCGCCAGCACAGCCATGCCTTGAGCCAGCACTATGCCAGGCCCTGTGCTGGAGGCCTTAAATGCATTCTTCCAGTGAATTCTCCCAACAAGCCCATGAGGTAGATACTATCATTATGCCCCTTTTACAGAAATGGCAGCTGAGGCTGGGAGCTGGTCATCAACTTGCCCTAGGTTAACCAAGTGTAAGAAGGATTAGATCCAGCACCAGAGGCAAGAGCAGGTGGGGTGGAGGGAGACAAGACTGTCAGGAGAGCTTGAGTTCCTACTTCGGTTCATGGACCTCCGGTAAGGAGCTCTAGGAGACCCATGAACCCCATGACATTGTATGCAAATGTATGTATGCTTATTTGAAGGTAGGGGGCAGAAGGAAAGATCTATAGCTTTCAATATTCTCCAAGGAATCCCTGATCACAAAAACATCAGGAATCCTTAACCTAACATAGTGCCTGACATAGAGGCACTCAATATCTGGTGAATGAATGGACACACATGAAAATGAGTGAGTAAATGAATGAATATCCCTCCGTACCCTAGGAGACACCACATATGACCTGGTACACACATCTATCTGTGTCTTCTGAGATGGCGAAAGATATCCTGGGACCTGAGCCCAACCCACCCCCAGGACTTTTCTCCCAGTCCCAGGGGCCATAGCCAGGTGCTATGACAAGCTCCAAAGAGATGCTTCTCCCACTTTCTCCCCACCCCCACTCCTAACAATGACCAGAGAGAGGCGAGAATTATGCAACTCAGATAATGAAGCTGTATTGATTGCCAGGAGGGGGTGAGGGTGAAGCAGGGTCCAGCTGTGAAGTGCTTGGGCAGGAGAGGGGATCTTCCAGTGGGATCTGTGTCCACACGGGGGGCCTCCTAGGCCTGAGCGGGGCTGGGCAGCCTCAGTTCTTGGTGCGAAGGACCTGCTCGTGGGTGGACACCACCTTGCCATCGTGCACATCCATGACCTTGGTGCGGATTTGGCGGCTGGAGGAGGTCACTGGGGAAGAGGTGGGAAGAGGACGTTACCAGAGGTGGACAGACAATGGACTAATCAGGAGTAAGGAGGCCAAGAAGGTGAGGAAACTCAAACTGGCTCCCCATTGCCCTCTCCCCTGATTACTGCTTCACTCCCTGCTGTTGCCCAAGCACTGATACCATCAACACATTTCTTTCAGACGAGGGCTCCCAAAGGTCAGAGACAGAGTCTTTGCCCTCAGATTAGAGCTTCCTAAGAGCTCACACCTGGCTGGTTCCATCCATATTCACCCAATGGAGTGGTCTCAGTGGGAAGAGCCCTGTAGGGCCCTGTTCATGGTGCTGACCACAACAGCAATAGGATCTGCCACAGACACCACGTAGAAGCAAGAGGTGGGGGCTGCCTCTCCTAGCCCTAAGGAGGGTTTAGAAAATAGCTTCTTCCACCCAAGGAGGTTCACAAGGGAAACTGGGTGACAGCACTAGAGCTCAGCCCCTCACGGAGCCCCTAGCCAATGCCTAGACCTGCTTGGGGTACAGAGGGTGGCCTGGAGCCCAGGCCTGCAGAGGAGGAGGGTCTTACCATCTCTGGATGACTGCGATCCAGAGGAGAACTGGGAGGAGGAGAGGCTGTGAAAATAGAAAAGGACAGGATCATTAGATACATGGTGGGGCCGTGAGAGTGCCATGGGGGGGGCGGACTAAGGGGAGGGCCAAGACTCACTGGGCGTCCTCGCCCTCCAGCAGGCGGCGGTAGGTGGCGATCTCCTGCTCCAGCCGCGTCTTCACGTCCAGCAGGATCTTGTACTCCTGGTTCTGCTGCTCCATCTCGCAGCGGAGCTGGGCCAGCTGCTCCTCCACGCTGCCAATCATCTCCTGGATCTGGGCCAGCTGCATGCAGTAGCGACCTTTGGTCTCCTCCAGGCTGTTCTCCAGGGATGCTTTCTGTGAGGGAGGGAAAGGGAATCAACGATTAGTGAGTGTGGCCGTTCTCTCCCTGCCAGTCCTGGGTGCACCACCCTTCCTGGCACTATTCCTACCATGCTGAGCTGGGACTGCAGCTCAATCTCCAGGTTCTGCATGGTGCGCCGGAGCTCCGAGATCTCGCTCTTGCCGCTCTGCACCAGCTCGCTGTTGGTGGCCACCTCGCGGTTCAGCTCCTCTGTCTGCAAAAAAGAGAATGCCATTCACACCAGAAGGCCCCAGAAGGCAGGTGGTCTGGGTTCCTTCCACCTCAAATGACACCCACCTTGGTGAAGAACCATTCCTCGGCATCCTTGCGGTTCTTCTCTGCCATCTTCTCATACTGGTCACGCATCTCGTTCAGAATGCGGCTCAGGTCCACGCCAGGTGCAGCGTCCATCTCCACATTGACATCTCCACCCACCTGGCCTCTCAGGGCATTCATCTCCTGCACAGCCAGGGACAGTCCACAGTCAGGAGTTCCACCATGGCAGCGGATTGGTGTTCCTTAGGCCTGAATACTGCCCTCCCACCATCACAATTCTATCTCGACTCTCCCTTCTCTCTCTCTCTCTCAATCTCTCTCTCTCTCTCTCTTTTTTTTTTTTTTTTTTTTTTTTTTTTTGGACAGGGTCTAGCCTTGTTGCCCAGGCTGGACTCAAACTCCTGTGTTCAAGTGATCCTCCTGTCTCAGCCTCCCAAGTAGCTGGGACTATGGGCACGCACCACTGTACCCAGCCTCCCTGCATTTCTTTTAAGCTGACTTTTCCATATAGTTCTCACCTCCTCGTGGTTCTTCTTCAGGTAGGCCAGCTCCTCCTTCAGGCTCTCAATCTGCATCTCCAGGTCAGCTCTGGCCAGGGTCAGTTCGTCCAGCACCCTGCGCAGGCCATTGATGTCGGCTTCCACACTCATGCGCAGGTTCAACTCTGTCTCATACCTGGAATGACCCCAGAGAAAAGGTATGAGACACCCATCCTGATCACAGCGAGGGCTTTGTTCTCTTCTCCCTGCAGCTTCTCCCAGAGCTGGTGCCTTGTGGGTGGTTTAAGGAGCCAATCTTGAAAATGGCGTGGTTGAACACAGTGCCCATTGATTGCTCAGATATGAACATTCCTGCGGGCTGGGGATAAGGCAGTTCATCTTGCTGCAGAAATCAGGAGGGGGTTGCACTTCTAGCTTCAGCCAACAAATAATGCAGAAGTCCTCCAACTATGATTCCTTCCTATACTTCAAGGGCAGCTGGGGAAGTGGAAAGTGCCTCTCCCTAAAGCAGCGGTTCTGAAACCTGGCTGTGGACCAGAATCACCCAGGTAACCTGCTATAAATAGCTGAATCAAAACTCCAAGGGTGGGGCCCAAGAGTCTTATTCTTTTATAAGCACCCCAGGGAGTTTTCATGCACCTATCCTGGTACTGGCTAGTTCTATTTGGGAAACACTGCTCCAAAAATGCCCTACTCTGGGGACACTGGATGTTCTGGCCCACCATTTCAAACTCACTTGGTGCGGAAGTCATCCGCGGCCAGACGGGCATTGTCAATCTGCAGAAGGACATTGGCATTGTCCACTGTGGCTGTGAGAATCTGCAGGATGGAAAAGGCACAGGTAATTTGTCAAATGGACTTCACAAGCTGGACTTCACTGTAGCCTACATTAAGCTCTTGCTTCATGTTCTTGCCTGAATCCCCCTTTTCCCCCACAAAACTTGACCATAGCAGCCCAAAGGAAAACAGATGCCCCAGGCCTGTCCTAAGACTTTGCTAACTCATGGTCAACAGAGGGGGTAGATGCAGCCCCGGGCTTAGAATCGAAAGCCCAGGAGTTCTGGTCCCAATTCTGCCAGTGTCTTGCTGCAAAACCTAATGGGTCTTGGGGCTTCAAGTTCCCCACCTCCAGGTGAGGAGAATAATCTGAGGCTCCCTAGCCCTCCTTCCTGAGCTGACCTCTCTTCTGTCTGCATCAGCCAGCCCTGCCAGTCCTCTGCAGATATGCACATTCCTTTTCAAGCTCACAGGCCATGGGACTTCAAGTGGAACTTTCTCAAGAGATAAAACCCAACTAACACAGGGGATTAGAAAAGAGGACTCAGGGGAAGAATAAGAAGATATATTGGCCCCTGAGTCTGGTTGGATTTCCCCACCTCATCATTGAATTTCCCTAATCCATGCAAGTCATTAGAGCCCAACAGACTCCAGCAGGGAGGGCTCCCAAGTAATGTGGGAGCAGGGAGGAGGGGGCTAGAGTCAGGGCACAAGCCTGCCAGGCTCTCTCTGTGCAGGGCACATCAAGGGACCACACTAATTGTCTCTGCAGGCTCTCCATGCCCGCCTGGCTGTGGGGAGGGACCAGCCTGTACCAAGGCTTATGGGCGGCGGCAGCCACAGCCCAGACTAGTGAGCTAATGAGTGGTTTGGATGTCTTGCCTGGTCCCGTTAGAGCCTCACTCCTCCCCTGTGCTGGAGAACAAGTAGCTGCCTCCTGTGCTGGAAGGTAGGGCACAAGGGCCCCAGCCTTGGCTCTGCCATTAATTTGCTATGTGACCTGCAGCTGGTCACAGCACCTCTCGAAGCTTCAACTGCTTCCTCTAAAAAATGTAAGGATAGGAATCACTGATCTCACATGGTCTGAGGATTTGAGATCAGAAGGGGATGAGGAGGCTGGGGAAGGGAAAGCATCTTCTCACTGATCAGTCTTAGGGCATCCAAGACCTCGAAAGAAGGGATCTGGGGTGGACTCTGTCCTATAGAGAAATCTTAAGGTCTCAGGGGCCTGGGGCATGAATTGTTCCCAGAAGGAGCTAGCTGGAATGGTGCCTTCTGCTGCCCATTCACCCACCTTGTTCCTCAGGTCCTCAATGGTCTTGAAGTAGGGACTGTAGTCTTTGATCTCAGCAGGCCGCTGCCTCTGGTACCAGTCACGGATCTTCACTTCCAGGTCGGCGTTGGCCTCCTCCAGAGCACGCACCTTGTCCAGGTAGGAGGCCAGGCGGTCATTGAGGTTCTGCATGGTCACCTTCTCACTGCCCACCAGAAGCCCATCACCACCAGCAAAGCCACCACCAAAGCCACCACCCAAGCCAGCACCAAGGCCACCACCATATCCTCCCCCAAAGCCACTACCAAAGCTGCTGCTGCTGCTGCTGAAGCCACCGCCATAGCCGCCCCCCAGCCCGCAGGCTCCCCCAGAGGAGAAGCGGGAGGATGAGACAGACAGGCCGCCCCCGTAGGTGCTGGGGGCGCGGCAGGACCCTCCGGCCAGGACGGAGGAGATGCGGCTGGAGCCGCCCCCGATGCCGCCCCCGATGCCGCAGGAGCCCTTCATGGAGCTGGAGGAGGTGAACTGGCGGCTGCAGGTGGTCATGGTGCAGAGGAGGGAGGTGAGCGAGCGAGCAGTTGGCTGAGTGAAGAGAAGGTGCTCGGGTAAATTGGAAAGGGATGCGAGTGCTTTATACTCGTGGGTAGGGGGCGGGTCTGGCACTTTCCATTCCCCTTGGCTTTCATCACCCACAGGCTAGCGCCAACTCCCAGCCAGGTCCCTCCTCTCATCCGCCTCATCATGTCTGTCATATTTTACTGGAAACTCATTGTTTGGAGTGTTTTGGGCTTTCTTGTCCCGCCAGGCGTGATTCACAGGGGGAGGTGTGGGCCTGCAGGCTACACTTTCCCATCGGACCCTGGGAGTCCCAGCCCTCAGGAACCCGCGCACTGGGCTTAGCCAGGGTGACAGAGAGCAGGGCCTCTGCACCTTAAACCTAGTTACCTGCTAGCTCTCCATGAACTGAATGGGCCTTTAACATCCACGTAGAGGAAGCCTGCTGCTGCAGGGGATGGATACCCGGCTGGAAAGCACCGGCATGGCAAGGTCACCTTGGGCACAGACAGGCCTCCCTCACCATGACCCTCTATTAGAGACAAGGAGGTCTGGGGGGCCCTCCCAGGCCTGACCTCCCATGCTGTGCTGAGAAGTCTGTCCCATCCCTGAAATACACCCAGCTAGTCAGGTGTATCGTGGTTCCCACCCCAACATCCCCATCAAAGAGAAATCCAGGCAGCTCTCCCCAGCCCTGAGCACAGACCCTAATCTCCTCCCTATGGTGAGGATCTCACATCCACCACACCATAGGGCAGGTGGCCTCATGGAGGCCAGGAAACAGCCTGGAGTCAGGTGGGTCCTGGCTCTGCCATTTACGCCTCTGTGACCCAGGGCTTGGCACTTCTCTGAGCCTCAGTGTTCTCATCTGCAAAGTGGGAGTCATACCATCTATTCTGCTTAGTGCAGTCAGCTCTGAGAATCCAATGCGACAATGTATGTGAAAGGGTTTTGTAAACCGAGTATGGCAAGAAGCCTCGTTGGCATTGTTATAGCCCAGGCTTAGCCCCAAAGTGGCTGGAGCTGCATCCAGGAACAGGCCTAGGGGGGCCTTTTATTCTTCCAGCCCCAGATATCTTCTCAGACCCCCAGAACATCCCTAGTGTGGGCAGCTCAGGCGCCCTCGTTTGAGCCCCTTGTGGAACTGGCCCAGGAGATGTTCTGGGGAGGAGTAGAGGCTGGAGTGGAGCTGGGCTGTGCCAAGGGCAAGGCTGAGGTGGACACGAGGGTCCCTGACTCCTGAAGCCCCAAGGGTCAGGGGACATTTCTAGGAGTCCACTTGGTCCTGCTTTGGAGGTGTGTATATCAAAACTTCAGCAATCTCCCAGACAACCTCCCAAAGCAAACCCTTCCGGCCCCCACCCCACCCTCCCATCAGCCCCTAGGCTCCACAGACCCCGGCAGGCATGTTGAGAGGAATGTGATCGTGTCTGGGGCTGCCTGACGCATCCTATCTCCTCAGACAGGCCCCAACAGCCCCTGCTGGAGGCTCCAATGCTCTTCCTGGGATCAACTGCTCCTAGAAGAGAAGCAGGACCCTCTGTCACCCCCAACCCCACCTTGACTGTCACCAAAGAAGAAGCCAGAGAAGGGAGCCCCCCACTACTGTGGCCTAGGAGCTTGGAAGACAATGCTGAGACAGACATCTGAGCTGTGGGCTCCCCAAATCTGCCAGCAAAGGACTCTCAAGGATGTGAGTAAGCCAGGGCCCCACCCCGCTCCACCCGCCCCTGACAGACACTCCTAATCTCCCTGCAGAGAATGGTCCCCCCACCCTGGCCCAGCCCTACAATTTCCCCAGAGAGAGGCAACAGGGGTTTTGGCTGAGGGACAGATGCTTTTGTTGGGAGGCATGTTGCTGTTGGCTGTGGGGCAAGGGGAGGCTGTGCTCACTGGAGAAAAATGCTGTGTCCAGAGGGATCTGGGAGCGGGAATGGGGTGCAGAGCCCAGTACCGGCTTCCTCTGTGCCCCACCACCCCCACCCACCACCACCACCACCATGTCTCCTTCTTATGCAGGGATCAGGAATAGAAGCTCCGGAGCCCGGGACATAGGAACAGCTCTACTTTCCCTTTCATTTCATTCAATAAAACCCAAAAGAAACTCCTTCCTCCCCCTCCTCCGAGGGGAATCCAAAAGATAAAGATGGCAGGGAACCAATGACAGATCAGTCAATCACATAATCTTAAAAGGCACTTCTGCAGTCCCACCCCAACCCCACGCACCAACACCAGAACCCTAGCATGGAATATAAGCCTGATCCCCCACACCCGGTCTTAGAACCGTGACCCAACCTGGAGCCTGAGGCCAACCCCTGCAGACAAGGACTCAGTGACCAAGGAGCTGCAAACAACCCAGCCAAGCAGGGAGCAGACTTAGAGGACACCACACTCCCCTCCCCTCCCTGATGCCAAAGAAGCATGGTACTCAGACATTTTAAGGGAGGGCATTTTCTGGGGCATCAGGGGTTAAAGGGTTGTCAGTCCTGACTGCTGAGGCCCAGAGTACCCCCCACCTCTGGACTTCTAGGCAGACTTTGTGTGAGCACCATTACCTGACCCTCCCTCCAGCCTGCCCCAAAAGGAGGGGGGTAAAGGAGGAGCCCCGGGCAGGACCTCTTGTGGTTAGTGAGTCTCCCTGCACCACCCTGCATGGGGGAGCCCTCTGCCAATCCAAACAGGTGAAGCTGGCAGGGCCAGGCAGCACCTCCAGAGCCCACACTGTGTGCTGAGGACTGTGCTGGGGACCAGGAGATGGCATCCTAAGGAAGGAGGAAACCTCAGGACAGCCCCCGCCCTTGGAGTGCATGGCCTACTGGAAGAGACGATCCCTGCCTTTAGGAAGGTCCCAGCATGAAAGAGAAGCAGGAATGCACATCAACATTACTTAACATACAAACAAATGGAAGAAAAGCACAGACAAGTAAGATTGGTTTCCCAGGGCTGCCATAACAAATTACCACAAATTTGATGGCTTAAAACAACTGGCTGGGCACAGTGGCTCACGAATATAATCCCAGCACTTTGGGAGGCCAAGGCAGGTGGATCACCTGAGGCCAGGAGTTCAAGACCAGCCTGGCCAATATGGTGAAACCCCATCTCTACTAAAAATGCAAAAATTAGCCAGGTGTGGTGGCAGGTGCCTGTAGTCCCAACTACTCGAGAGGCTGAGGCAGAAGAATCACTTGAATCCGGGAGGCAGAGGTTGCAGTGAGCCAAGATCACGCCACTGCACTCCAGCGTGGGCAACAGAGCAAGACTCCGTCTCAAAAAAAAACAACAGAAATGTATTCTCTCTGGAATACATTCTGGAAACCATAAGCCCTGAATCAAGGTGTTGGCAGGGCCACACTCCCTCTGAAGACTCTGGGGAAGAGCCCTTCCTTGCCTCTTCCAGCTTCTGGTGCCTCCCTGAGTTCCTCGGCTTGTGGCAGCGTCGCCCTATCTCTGCCTTCATCTTCATACAGTCTTCATCTCTGTCTTTTTCAGTCTCTTGTAGGACACTCATTGGATTTAGCAATCACTCTAATCCAGTAGGATCTCATCTCAAACCTTACCTTACTTACATCTGCAAAACCCCTATTTCCAAATAAGGGCACATTCTGAGGTCCCAGGTGGACCCGATTTGGAGGAACCCTATTTGACCCACTATACCGCATAACAGACTGGGTGCTTGTCACCTTGCAAAGCAATAGTAAAAACTGGGTGGAGAGATAGATGGTTGAGATGAGATGTGGGGGCGGCCCAATCTGGAAGGCTTCTGGGAACAGCCTTTAGCGTGACACGTCAAGTCACCAGGGACTGGATGGCAGGGAGCCACGGAACTCTCAGGTCTTGGGTCCGTACTTGACATCATCCACTTTTTTTTTTTTTTTTTTTTTACACAGGGTCTCCCTCTGTTGCCCAGACTGGAGTGCAGTGGTGGGATCACAGCTCACTGCAGCCTCAATCTCCTGGGCCCAAGGGATCCTCCCACCTCAGCTTCCCAAGTAGCCAGGACTGCCACCATGCCCAGCGAGTTTTTACTTTTTTGTAGAGACAAGGTCTCACCATGTTGCCAGGCTGGTCTCAAACTCTTGGGCTCAAACGATTCTCCCACCTCAGCCTCTCAAACTGCTGGCATTACAGGCATGAGCCACCACACCCAGCTTCTTTTTTTAAAAAATGTTTATTTTGAAATAATGTTAGACTTGGCTGGGTACAGTGGCTCACACCTGTAATCCCAGCACTTTGGGAGGCCAAAATGGCAGATCACTTGAGGCCAGGAGTTTGAGACCAGCCTGGCCAACATGGCAAAACCCCATCTCTACTAAAAAATACAAAAAGTTAGCTGAGCGTCATGGCAAGCGCCTGTAATCTCAGCTACTCGGGAAGCTGAGGCAGGAGAATTGACTGAACCTGGGAGGCAGAGATTGCAGTGACCCAAGATCGCACCACTGCACTCCAGCCTGGGCAACAGAGCAAGACTCTGTCTCCCAAAAAAAAAAAAATGAAATAATGTTAGCCTTTAAGAAAAAGTTACAAAATAGGACAGAGAGTTCCTGTGTATCCTGTGTATCCTTCATCCAGCTTCCCCTAATGTGAACATACTACATAAGAATCATACAATTTTTGAAACCATAAATTAACATTGACACAATACTTTTTCCCCCCACAAGATGGAGTTTTGCTCTTGTTGCCCAGGCTGGAGTGCAGTGGTGCAATCTCGGCTCACTGCAACATCCGCCTCCCAGGATCAAGCGATTCTCCTGCCTCAGCCTCCCAAGTAGCTAGGACTACAGGCGCTCACCATGAAGCCCGGGTAATTTTTTGTAATTTTAGTAGAGACGGGGTTGAGCCATGTTGGCCTGGCTGGTCCCAAACTCCTGACCTCAGGTGATCCACCCGCCTCGGCCTCCCAAAGTGCTGAGATTACAGGCATGAGCCACTGCACCCAGCCAACACAATACTATTAATGAGCTGCAGGCTTTATTGGAACTTCCACCAGTTTTTCCACACATGTTCCATTTCTGCTGCGGGGTCCAATTTCAGTCTCCACATTGCATTTAGCTATCACGTCTCCTTAGTCTCCTCCTATCCATGACAGCTCCTCAGTCTTTTCTTCCTTTCATGACCTTGACACTTTTGAAGAGTACTGGGGTGATCAATTATTTTGCAGAATATCCCTCAGTTTGGGTTTTTCTGATGTTTTCTCATGATCACATTGAGGTTATGCACTTTGGCAAGAAAACCACAGAAATGAGGTTGCATCCCGTCAGGCATGTTGGACAGATATGTCATGTGTCTTACCGCTGGCACCATCAGGCATGTTGGACAGATATGTTGTGTGTCTTACTTACCGCTGGCGCCGTCAGCCTTGTTCACTTGGCTAAGGTGGTGCTGCTGGATTTCTCTACTGTCATGTTTCTGTTTCTCCCATTGAAATTAATAAATACCTTGAAGAAGGTACTTAGAAACTATGCAAAAATCACGTTTCTCCTTAAAATCTGACCCACTAAATTTTGCCTCCATCAGTGGAGGGAACGAGCTCACCTCAACCTGAGTTTAAGAGCCTCATTTGAAGGAACTCCTTGAGGGACTGTGGCCTGCAGGAGAGACTTTGGGAGATCCAAGCCCAGAGAAAGAACTCTTTCCTGCTCTGTTGTCCCCCCCCAAAACCAAACTGGGCCACCTCAAACCCGAGATCTCTGTGCCCCAAGACAGCAGTCCGCAACCTTTTTGGCACCAGGGACCGGTTTCATGGAAGACCATTTCTCCTTGGATCTAGGGGGTCGGGGGTGGGGACGGTTTCAGGATGAAACTGTTCCTCCTCAGATCACCAGGCATTAGTTAGATTCTCATGAGGAGTGCACAACCTAGATCCCTCGCGTGCACAGTTCACGGTAGGGTTTATGCTCTTATGAGAATCTAATGCCACTGCTGATCTGACAGGAGGCGGAGTTCAGGCAACAGGAGGTGGAGCTCAGGCTGCAATGCTCACTCACCAGCAGCTCACCTCCTGCTGTGCGGGTCCTAACAGGCCACAGCTGGTAGAGTCTGTGGCCCAGGAGTTGGGGACCCCTTCCCTGAGACACTCCCATGCCGGCTTCCCTTCACAACGTATTATTGTGGAGAAATAGCACATATTTCTCTCACGATTGTCAAGAGCCTTGCTAGGCCCCCGCCAGCCCTGGGGAAAGAAGTGGGGAATCTGGTTCCTCTCATGTCACAGATGGGAAGTCTTGAGTCTAGAAAGGCCCAGAGTCAAGTAACAAATTGGAGCCCCCATTGTGATTCCCAGGCCCCCAGAACCTGCCAGGGGCTGAGCTTCTCCTTTCCTCCTGGCAGAGTCCTGCACCCCTCCCTCTCCTCTCGGCCCCTCTGCACCCTCCCCTGGAGTACCCCCACCTCTGGACTTCTAGGCAGCCTTTGTGTGAGCAGCATTACCTGACCCTCCCTCCAGACTGCCCCAGAAGTAGTGGGGTAAAGGAGGAGCCCAGGGCAGGGCCTCTTGTGGTTAGTGAGTCTCCCTCTACCACCCTGAATGGGGGAGCCCCGTGCCAATCCAAACAGGTGAAGCGGGCAGGGCCAGGCAGCCCCCCCAGAGCCCCACCCCCTTCACCTTGCCCATCCCTCTCCCCGCCAAGCCTCAGAAAACTGTGTGGAGAGTGGGTAAAGCTCCTAGAGCTCAGGGCTATCACTTGCAGAGACAGTGGGCTGGGGAGGGAGAAGCCTCAGCTGCCAGAAGGGCAGGGCTTACTTGGAGGCCATAAGTCGGCTAGCAGGCAGGATTGCAGCACAAGGGAGCAGGAGCCTAGAGCACCTCCCGAGGCCCCAGGGTCCCCTTTTCCCCAGAGAGCAGGAGCCTAGAGCACCTCCCGAGGCCCCGGGATACCCTTTTCCCCAGACAGCTATGCCGCCTGCTGATTTCCCAGGCCAGCCTGCCCATCTGGGCTGACACAAGAGATGGGCTGAGCCAGCATTTCAGTGTCTGTGTCCTTGTCTGAGCCTCCAAGCTGTGCCACAAGGCTGACAACAGAGCTTGGCCAGCCCATATCATAGAATAAGAAAGCTCAGAGGTGGAGGAGTTCCCCCAAGGCCCACAGCAAGCCACCTGCTCAGTCAGGGTTCCACCCCAGCTCAGCTGGCTGCAAGCCTCACTTTTTAATGACAGGTCCTCTGCTGCTAGAAAGCCCCCAAAAGTCAGAGCCAAAAACAGCCTCTAGACCAGGCTCTTAACTTTACAGATAGAAAATGTGAGTCCCAGACAGGGGAAGGAACATGTCCAAGGTCACACAGCAGAAGTGTCACCCAGGGTTCTGAGCTAGGCAGGGTAAGAATATGCCTGGGGTGAAAAGGGCTGTGCCTGCACCCCAGAGTCATGTTCAGGTTGTTAAAAATGCAGACAGTCAGGTGGCCAAAGGCAAGGAATAGATTAGTTTACAACCCTGCCGCTAGCTCCCAGTTCAGGCAAAATGCAGCTTAAATGCTCCAGCCCATCACTCATGAGACCCCACTGTAAACTGGGTCCCCTCCCCAACAGGCCTGTCCCCTTGCTGGTCCCTACATCTCCATCCATTTCCAATCTCTGCCTGAATTTCCACATATGTCCTCTCTTCCTACCCAAACCCCTCATGTTCTTTAAGGCCAAGCCTCAGTTCCACATATGGTTTATGCAGATTCCTGCAGACTGTGTGGCACAAAGTAGGTGCTCAATGAAGGAAGGAAGCACAGAGGGAGGGAGGATGGAGAGTAAGAGGAGGGAGGACAGAAGGAGGACAGAGGGAGGGAGGAGGGAGAGCAGGAGGAAGGGAAAGGGAAGAGGGTAAGGGAATGTAGAAGAGGGATGGATGGATGGATGGATGGATGGACATATAGACGGATGGATGGATGGATGGATGGCAGGTGGACAGATGGATAGATGAGTGGAAGGAAGAGAAGAACGAGGGAAAGTGGAGGGATGAACGGCTGGGGAGTGATCAGACAGGGAAGTAGATGAATGGATGAATGGAAGGAAGGGAATAATAATGGGTAAAAGGATAGAGGGATGAACAGGAGGTGGGTGGATGGTGGGTAGGCAGGTGGGTGAAGGATGGTGGGGCACTGAGAAAGGACAGCCAGCCCAGCTGGGGGCAGAGGGGGCCAGCATCCTAGAGGAGCTCTTAACTGATCTGAACCTTGAAGATGAGTAGATGCTGAGCAAGCAGCGGAAGTGAGGATAGACATCCCATTTGCCCAAGGAAGCACCCAGGCAAAGTGCAGACGTGTGAAAGACTGGTCTGATGGAAACTGCAAGCAGTTATGTATTGTTAGAGTTCACAGCTCAAGGCTGGGCCTGCCCGATGAAACTGAGAGCCTTAGGCCAGGTGGTGATAAAGGTGCTGGGAAGCTCAGACTTTATCCTGATGACACTGGAGCCACTGAAGGGTCCTAAGCTGGTGAGTGATGCTGTCGGATGTTTCACAAAGGCCACCCTGGTCTCCATGCAGAACATACTTTGCCGTGGTGTGGGGGACCAGTAGGGAGAATTTGCCATATCCAGGTAAGGGATGTTGTTGGCTCAGACCTCTCCTCTCCCAGGAAGCCCCACCCCATCAGCTCAGGTCACCTGGCTTTCTCCCCATCTCTCAGACCTCCCACTGCCTCTGTGATCTGTGCCCCCACCCTTGATTATACCTCCCCATAGTGCCTTAGGGGGCCACAAAGTGTTTTTCACATAGTCAGTCCTCAGTGTTACTCTGGTCTGATGCAGGAGACACAACCCTTGCCCGTGGGCTGTCCAGTCTGATGGAGGAGGGTTGCAGAGCCCAGAGTTTTCCCTGTGCCATAGGCTGAGGGGAGCCAGGAGCACAGGAGCCACAAGGTGGGGTGGATTAGCACACAGAAGTTTTCTTGGAAAGGGTGCGCTTTGACTCAGGTTTTGAAAGAAGGAAGAACCCTGGAGGGTGGAGTGGGGAGAGGGCGTGGCTGTGGGAACTCCAGCACAGTGGTGAGTTGCGGGGAGAGTCAGCACCTGGGAGTCGGAATGTCTGTGTCAGGAGTCCTGAGCTCTGGTCGGCAGGACAGAGGGAAAGGGAAAGAGGAAGGGAAGGGGTCGCCGAGTAGTTCTAGCCTCATGGATAGAAAGAGTCATTTCCCACAGTCAGAGATGTGGGAACAGATTCAGCATCTTGCACCCCACCTCCCTCCCCCAGACGGGATACCGCATGGGATCAAGGAAGGAGCAGGGCCTCCCGATCAGAAAGACCAGCTTTCAAGTCTTGGCTCCATCACTGACGAGCCATGTGACCTTGGACAGGCCATTGCAGCCGTCCAAGCTTTGGTTTTCCATCAAATAGGAATAGAACCAGTTCAGCCTGGCAGGATTATTGAGAGGAGTGGGTAAGTCAGCGCAGGTGGCCAGCATGGTACTGGGCACAGAGGAAGTGTTTGGTAAAAGTTCACTTAAATTAAGCCCAAGTTAGACCAAAGGGAGTGGGGGATGCAAATGGAGAACAGGTGTCAAGGTTCAGCCAAAGACCTTGAGGCAGAGAACAGAGAAGAGTCCAGGATGTTACTGGAGCTCCTGTTGCAGGAGCTGGGAGCTGCTGAGGTCAGCCGGCCAGGTGATGGGCTGGTGAGTCTGCAAGGGCCTGGCCAGGGTGGAGGCTGTGGGAATAGGGCAGGCCTGGAAACTGATGAGGAAGAGTCAGCGGATGGTTTAGGTGTGAGGGGAGAAGGCCTGGGAGCTTCCAGCAGGGCCCACATTCTGTGGCTGGAATGAGGGGATGGGGAAGCAGCCTCTCAGGTTTCAATGAGGCCATCCTGGTTGTCAGTGCAATATTTGCAAAAAAATGACCATTTCTGTCTCCCAGTTCCAAAAGAGGGCATGGATGGCTTATGATAAAAGACATATTTATAATAAAACTAAAAATATCCAGCAAGGATAGAAGAAAAATAAATCAAGAATTAGGTAACAGGATATATTGATGGGCACATTTTGGTTGCAAGCAACGGAAACTCAGCTTGAATTAGCTTCTAAAAGAGGCAATTCAGGGCTGGGCATGGTGGCTCACACCTGTAATTCCAGCGCTTTGGGAGGCTGAGATAGGAGGATCACTTGAGCCCAGGAGTTCAAGACAAGCCTGGGCAACATAGTGAGATACCATCTCTACAAAAATAAATAAATAAAATAATTAGCCAGGCATGGAGGCATACACCAGTAGTCCCAGCAACTCAGAAGACTGAGGTGGAAGGATTGCTTAAGCCCCAGCAGGTCAAGGCTGCAGTGAGCCATGACCACAGCACTGCACTCCAGCCTGGGTGGCAAAGTGAGACTCCATCTTAAAAAAAAAAAAAAAAAGACAATCAATAAAACAATAAATCAAGCCCCAATTTATAACATTTATTTTTTTCGTGTTGTAAATACCCCCACTGTGGCCAATTTCAAGCAACCAACAGGGAGTCACTTAACACAGGGTTGGGAAGAGACGTGCAGTAGCTCACTGCCTTATAGCATGTCCACCATATGGATAAAATGGTCATAAGTACCTCAAGAGCACAGATATTAGTACAATGTAGTAAAATAATTTGGAAGGAATGAGTTTTCAGTATGCATTACCTTTGTTCTCAATATAATTCATTTAATTTTAAGTTCGTATAATTTAATTTTTGATGAGGGCCATATTTAACAATCACCTTGCAAAATTCCTGAAATTTTAATGTCCAGCTCTCAAGAGCCAGCATGAGCCAGCTCCAGCGTGCCAATGAGCCTCGAGGTTTAGGCCATAAGCAAGAGACTAGGAGGGACAAAGGGAAAGCTTCTGGATAAAACAAAGTGAAAGAGGGAAAACCAGATTGGGGGAGGATATTGGTGAGGGAAGGGGAAGAAGAGTTGGTGGGCCCCCACGGTCAGGGAGACAGCCTAGGTGGACAGGAGCAGAGGCAGCATCCAGAGGCTGTGCAGCCTTCACAAGGCAGACCAGGCACTGTCTGCCTCCCAGGGAGCCACATGGGAGCCCCATGGGGGTATCCAAGTCTGTGCTGCCTCGTTATCTCAATTATCTCATCAGTGTTCTGTTGGTTGTTCTCTCTGTCAGCATCTAGCGAGGACTGTTCTACTGCAGCACTCAGTGTGCATCTGTCCTTTGACTGTCCCAGCTTGAGTGATGTCTGTGTGTCCCAAGACTTTGGTTACTCCCCATCTAACTTAACCCATATGAGCAACACCCCCTTCAAAGAACTGGAGGAGTGATTGGGGGAAAGGAAATGATGGTGCTGGGGGTGTTGGAGGTACTGGAGGTAGTGGTGGTGGTGGTGGTGGTGGTGGTGATGGAGATGGAGATGGTGGTAATGATGGTGGTGATTGTGGTGGTCATGGTGGTGATGGTGGTAGTGGTAATGGTGGTGATGATGTGGTGGTGGTAGTGGGGGTGGGGGTGGTGATGGTGGTAATGATGGCAGTGATTATGGTGGTGATGGCAGTGATGGTGGTAGTGGTGATGGTGGTGGTGATGGTGGTGGTGGTGGTAGTGGTGGTGGGGGTGGTGATTTCAGTGGTGGTGGTGGTGGTGGTAGTGGTGGTGGGGGTGGTGATTTCAGTGGTGGTGGTGGTGGTGGTGCAGGGGCGAGTGGTGATGGTGGGGGTGATGGTGGTGGGGCGTATTGGTGTGGTGCTGGTGATTGTGGTGGTGATGGTAGGGATGGTGGTAGTGGTGATGGTAGTGATGGTGGTGGTGGGGCTGTGGGGGTGGTGATGGTGGGGATGATGGTGGTGGGGGTATTGGTGTGGTGCTGGTGATTGTGGTGGTGATGGTAAGGATAGTGGTAGTGATAATGTTGGTGATGGTGGTGGGGAGGTGGTGATTTCGGTGGTGGGGGTGTTGGTGGTGGTGGTGGTGATGGTAGTAGTGTTAATGGTGGGGGTGATGGTGGTGGGGGGTATTGGTGTGGTGCTGGTGATTGTGGTGGTGATGGTAGGGATAGTGGTAGTGGTAATGGTGGTGGTGGTGGTGGTGGTGGTGGTGGCGGTGGTGATGGTGGTGGTGATGGTGGTAATTATGGTAATTATGGTATTGGTGGTGGTGGTGGTGATTATGGTGGTGATGGTAGGGATGGTGGTAGTGTTAATGGTGGGGGTAATGGTGGTGGGGGTATTGGTGTGGTGCTAGTGGTTGTGGTGGTGATGGTAGGGATAATGGTGGTGGTGGTGGTGGTGGTGATGGTGGTAATTATGGTAATTATGGTATTGGTGGTGGTGTTGGTGATTGTAGTGGCAATGGTAGTGATGGTGGTAGTGGTAATGGTGGTGATGATGATGGTGGTGGTGGTGATGGTGGTAATAATGGCAGTGATTATGGTGGTGATGGTAGTGGTAATGGTGGTGGTGATGGTAGTGATGGTGGTAGTGATAATTGTGATGGTGGTGATTATAGTGATGGTGGGGGTGGTAATGGTGGTGGTGGGGGTGGTAATGGTGGTGGTGGGGGTGTTGGTGGTTGTGATGGTGATAGTGGTAGTGATAATGTTGGTGGTGATGGTGGTGGGGGGATATTGGTAGTGGTGGTGGTGGTAATGATAGTGATGATTATGGTGGTGATGGTGGTGGTGGTCATGGTGGTGGGAGTGGTGATGATGAGGGTGGTGATGGTGGTGCTGGTGGTGTTAGAGAAGGTAAGTATGACAATGAAACCCCTGAGTCAAGTCTCTTGTTCTGTAGAACAGAACAGAACCAGTTTAAGCAGTCATCACCTTGAGCTAGCTTAGGGGTAAAACATACCCTCTTACAGTCTCATTCCACCAAAGTTAACATGTATTGAGGACTTACCAGGGGCCAGGTCTTAACTTCATCATGTCTTCTAATCCTCAGAGCAACACTAAGGCAGGTAGGGAGTGGGGCTGGGGTTCAAGCCCAGGCAGATCTGCTCCTGGGGGTGGGTGGGGGGTGGTTATTCTCACTGTAGAGAACTCACTAAGGCTGCAATTCTTGTGGCCATGTGGGCAGATAGGGCAAACACCAGCCACTGTTTAAGCCTCTGTAGGTCCACAGCCCAGTCCCCACCCACTTACCTAGAAGAGGAGGAGAGAGAGAGGAAGCGTCAGCCAAGGCCCAGCTATTGAGAAAGAGCTCAGCCAGTAGGGGTACTGCCCATCCCCTCACACATCAAAGGCACCTCTAGGGGAAGGAGGACAAAAAGCACCATTGCCTGTGTAGGTGCTGTAAATAAGTATCTTATTTAAGGCCAAGGTGGCTCCTGACTTATCACTGAATCCCCACCCTGCCCCCACCCCAAACCCAGCACAACACCTGGCCCAGAACAGCCTCTAAGTGGACTTGGACTGAATTCACTGGCCTACTGCTAGCACCCACCTTCTCTGCAAGCCTGATCAAGTCAAACAAGACCAGGGATCTTCTCACCAGGGAAGATCTATGCAGAGGCGGCACAGGGTTGGGGGTGCAGGGCATTCTGACACCCCACCTACTGGTCACGCACCCTTGAGTAAGTCGCTCAGCCTCCCTGAGCCTCAATTTCCTCACCTGTAAAATGGGATGAGTCAGGTGTGTGGAGATAGCGAGGAGGCCTTGCAGGGAGCATGCAGGGAGAAGGCATTTGCTCCAGCTCATCTTTAGGAAGCAGAACACAGCTGCCTGTCTGCAGCCTTGCTGCCAGAATCAAATCAGGCAATAAAGGGTTGGGCAACATTAAAAATTGTCAAACAGGAGAGGGAAGCAACAAAAAATGTTTATTGGGTACATACTGTGTGTTTTATCCACCCTTTATCTCCTCTATTCCTCAAATGAACTCCTTCAGATAAATACTAATACCCTAAATGTACGGATGAGGAAAATGAAACTCACAGAGACCAGGGGCGGGTGGAGGATCCCTCCAAGTTCACGCTGGAAGTTCAGCTTCAGGTTAGCCTCTGCCCTCCCCCCAGCTATTCGACACTACCTCCTGCAAAGGACTGTGATCTGATCTTTTTAAAAAATGTTTTCTCTTGGTTATCAGTTTTAATTTGTATAGTTATATTATTATCTAAGCATAAAGTAAATTAAAAATCTATTTTATGATCACATAAAATTGACAGGCCAGAATATTAGTGCATGCAATCTGTTTCTAATTAGGAAGTCGATGTGGTATTCAACAAATTAATTGATTCTTTGGTTCTTAAATTGTTGTTTAGTTTCTTTATTCATATACACACACACACACAATTTTATGCACATGTATTAAAATGTGTGTGCACTCTTTTTGTTCCTTTCCTGTTTTTCTTGGCTCCCCTTTTCCCCTCAACCACTGCCACCCACATCAGCCTTCAACCCCACCCCCACAGTAATCTATGTTCATAACTCTGTATGTATCTTTTCATATTGTTGGTGCTTATATAATCTCACAGACACATGCACATGCATTTACATAAATGAGGGATGAGGGGTTGGCTGTTTATTTCACATAAGTGAAATCAATATCCTACATGTACATTTCTGCATTCCACATTTCTCTCTCTCCAATCCCTGGAGGAATCCCTCCTTGCCATCCAATAAATAGCTCCAATTTATTGACTATAATGGCTGCTTAATACTCCAGGGTAGCAGTGGACCATTATTTATTCCACCTGTCCACTATCAACTTTTAAAAATGTGTTTGCCACCTTCTGTCACTACAAATAAACAGCAGTAAATATCTTTGCACATATGCCTTTTTATACTGGTCTGTTATTTCTATTAATTTAAAATTAAGTGAAGTCCCTTAAATAATTTGAAAGTCATCTTTGCTGTATAATCACATATAACAAAGCTGGAAAAGAACCTGGTAGAATAAAAGGTCTGGTGACAGAACAATGGATGAGTGTTTTCATTTTCTATATTTCCTTTTGTTTCGTCACACTATTCATATGGTAGATAAAAGCTAGAGACGTATGGGATTTTTTCTGTTGTTTTTTGTTGTTGTTGTTTGAGACAGGGTCTCACTCTGTCACCCAGGCTAGAGTGCAGTGGCACACTCTCGGCTCACTGCAACCTCCACCTCCTTGATTCAAGCGATTCTCCCACCTCAGCCTCCCAAGTAGTGGGGCTATGGGCACGCACCACCACGCCTGTCTAATTTTTGTATTTTTTGGTAGAGATGGAGTTTCACCATGTTGGCCAGACTGCTCTCAAACACCTGACCTGAGGTGATCCTCCCTCCTAGGCCTCCCAAAGTGCTGGGATTACAGGCGTGAGCCACAGCACCAGGCCGACGCATGAGTTTTATGTGTAACAATCCTAACATGGTAGGAGAAAGAGGGACCCTTGCAATCAACAGTGTGTTAACTAGGGGTGAAGTCAGAAATGGCGTCTCCTGGATAGCTGCCACTATTGCTTTAACACCCCTTGATCTGCTCAAAGCCCTTCGGGGGTCTTGGACTGTTGGGGATTCCAGGATGCAGACAGCACATCAGAGGAGGGGCCAGATAAGGAGCTCCACTGCCTCATGCCTCAGTTCTGTAGATGGGGCTCCATCCCTCCAGGGCTCAAGAAGATATTTGCTTTCACATCCATGCCAGCTTGTCAATACCTACCCATGGAGACCTCCCTGTGCCAACACAATGAGAAGCACATGGAACCCAGAGAAGCCTGCCCTCAAGAAATTCTTCTGAGCAAGTTCTGTGGAGTCCTGAAAGAGCAGAGACTTCTAAACCAAACCTCCACGGCCTGACTCCACAAGTCTTTACTGAGTGTCCTTTATGGGCTGGGTACCATCCAGGGGCTGTTGGTAACTAGCAAAACAAAAGTTTCATTACTGTTTATGTTTCGGGGAGCAGACAGAAGGTCTTAAACAACAAGCTACAGCAGTGAAAAGACAAGCACAAGAAATTGCTTATCTCATACACTAGGAGGGACACTGAGCTTATTAGAGCTCTCAGAAACAATGGACCCAAAGAAAGCAGAGCTTTACAAGCATACCACTCATTCATTTACAACAGCAGATGCACTTTATGGGCTGCCATTAATTCTCACTCTAGTCATTGTTTTTGCACCTCATGCAATTATCTAAAACAATATTTGCCGAACTTTGACAGTAAGTCAAGCATAAGGAATCTGAAGGTACCTTCAAATTAGACAGATTTCAAGGAACACTGGGAGTTCTCAACCTTCTCAGCTCAGGTGCCAGGATCTTAGGAAGTGGGAAAGACCAGGCAAGAGCAAAAGGCAGTCTGATTTGGGGCTTGAATCATAGTTTGAGAAATCCAGGCAGCAAGCCATTTCCAGATGGAAATTCTGGTTCCCTTATTGAAGGGAAAACTCATATTTCTGCACAATATTGTCCTTCTGTTTAAAAGGGGCTCATGATTTGTTTCTACAAGATAACAGCAATGAAGAAGAGATAAGTGATTTCTGCTCTCCGGGAGTTTTGCTAAGTGACTGTGAGACCCCAAGAAAGTTTTTTTTTTAATTTTCCTTTAACTACTGTAAACCTGAATTTCTGCATCTGTCAGGTAGAGGCCTTTCGTGATGAGCTTTCCAAGGATCTGCTCCTGGGGGTTAGGCACTCGGAAGATACGGGTACAGACAACTTCTTTAAAATAGCACCCATGCCCAGGCTGGGCATGGTGGCTTACGCCTGTAATCCCAGCACTCTGGGAGGCCAAGGCAGGCAGATCACTTGAGGCCAGGAGTTTGAGACTAGTCTGGCCAACATGGTGAAATCCTGTCTCTACTAAAAATACAAAAAAAAAAAAAAAAAATTAGCTGAGTGTGGTGGCACACACCTGTAGTCCCAGCTACTCAGGAGGCTGAGGTATGAGAATTGCTTGAACCTGGGAAACAAAGGTTGCAGTGAGCTGAGATCGCACCATTGCATTCCAGCCTGGGTGACAGTGAGACTTTGTCTCAAAAAATAAATAAATAAATAAATAAAATAAAATAAAATAGCACCGCATGCCCAGTTGGAGGGTATTCTACATCCTCTGTTCTGACATCTCATTAATGAACAACTCATGAAAGTGTGTGCCAGCCCAGGAGTTGTTTAGTAACCCAGGCCAGGACTATGTCTCTGTGTAAGGGTCCTTCCACAACATCATCTTTAAAAGAATCAGCTGAATCAATTTACCAAAGAGGTTTTTAAAGATAATACTCACAGTTGATGAGCATGTTTTGAAATAGGCACTCCCATTCCCTGCTGGCAAGATATGCAAATTGGCACAATTTCTCTTTAAATCAATTTGGCCATTCAAATCGAGAATCTTAAAACATCTGTATCTTCTCATCTAGTATACATCTAGGAATCTAGCCTAAGGAAATAATCAAAAATATTTGTGGGAGCTGAGGCAGGAGAATCGCTTGAACTCGGGCAGCAGAGGTTGCAGTGAGCCAAGATCATGACATTGCACTATCCAGCCTGGGCGACACAGTGAGACTCTGTCTCAAAAAAAAAAAAAAAAGAATGAAAAATGGTATAGACATTTAGTGTAATTGTTGTTGTAATTATAGTTGGTAAGATATGTTTACTTCATTTTTACTTCATTTATACATATATATGTATAAGTACATAAATATATATGCATAAATGTATTTTATTTATACATATATGCATAAATGTATATATGTATAAATGTGTATATATATGTACACAGTCACGGATTACTTTACAACAGGAACGCATTCTGAGAAATGCATTATTAAATAATTTTGTCATTGTGTGAACACCATACAGTGTACTTACAAAGACCTACATGGTATAACCTACTTCATACCAAGGCTAGATGGTATAGCCTATTGCTCCTAGGCTATAAACTTGAACAGCAGGTTACTGTGCTGAATACTATAGGCAATTGTAACTCAGTGGTTGGTATTTGTGTATCTAAACCTATCTAAACACAGAAAAAGTACAGTAAAAATGTAGTATTATAATCTTATGGGACCACTCGTGTGTATGTGTGTGTATATATATATATATATATATATATATATATATATATATACCATCCATCACTGAAAAACAACATGTTGTTATATGGTGCATGAGTGTATATATAGAGAGACAGAGAGAAAAACTTGTAAAAATACTATCAGTGGTTACCTTTGGTATCGAGATTTGGGGTTCGCTCTGAGTCATAGGCTCACCCTAGGGCTTGGGAGACAGGGTGACCAGAAAAAGGGAAACACATTCGCTAAACTACCAATAATGCCAACAATGATTGTGCATTATAGAGTAATGAATCAGGCTCAGCAGCCTTGAAAGATGAATATGGTTTTGTCATGTAAAGCAGAGACTTCAGATTAAACTCAGGTTAAACTTGCAGTTTATCTTCACCTCCTAAACACTACTAAAATTACTATAAATGGATAAAACCCATGGGGTCAAAGAGATCAGGAAACTAGATTATAGCAATCAAGTTTTGGAATCTGGAAAACAAAGACAAATAAAGCCCAGCGCTTGCCCAGAGAGAAGCCAAGAGGCAAAGCATATTTACACTCTGGAACTTTTTAACTCTGAATTTTTAAGAACTCTGGAAACTCTCTGGAATAGGGGGCACCAGGTACCTCTGACAGTGAGGAACAAGTGAACTAGAAATGGGAGGGTGAGCTAGAGATCTGTATAAAAAGCAGAGAGGCGGCCGGGCACGGTGGCTCATGCCTATAATCCCAGCACTTTGGGAGACCGAGGCAGGTGGATCACGAGGTCGGGAGATTGAGGCCATCCTGGCTAACACGGTGAAACCCCGTCTCTACTAAAAATACAAAAAATTAGCCAGGTGTGGCGGTGGGCACCTGTAGTCCCAGCTACTCAGGAGATTGAGGCAGGAGAATGGTGTGAACCCGAGAGGCGGAGCTTGCAGTGAGCCGAGATGGTGCTACTGCACTCCAGCCTGGGGGACAGAGCGAGACACCATCTCGGAAAAAAAAAAAAAGCAGAGAGGCCCCTGTAGCTCCTCTCTCCCCTCCTTGTCTGATCCCAACCACTCCACGATTACTCCAGGAGAAACTAGATGTTTATGCTGGAGAATTTCCCCAGAGGGACTCTGAATCCTGAGACACCAAGAAGGGCCAATAAACTATAATCAATTAGTAACAGAGTAGCTGAGACTGAGACCTTCTCTGCCCCCTTCCCGCACTCAGCTTCCAGAAAGCTGGTAGCTTTTACAATCCAGACAGAAAATTAGAGGTATTCCTTCTGGGGAAGACCCTACCCAAGAAAAGTCCTACAGATAACTGTTCCCCATTGAAACGCTTATTCTCCACCAGATTACTCTATACTGAGACCTATCAGTGGCAAGCTCCCATGCTATCCACACACATATACACATATTCCAATTAGTTTCTCAGTGACTTACTCTTAAATATGAACGACTACCAAGGACCACTAGACATCTGAGAAAAGCCTCTGGCATGAAAGATGGAGGCAAGACAAACAGCAAGAAAGGAACTGAGGAAACTGAGCCGATGACAGAAATAGAAGCATTGCTGGAGCCAGGACTAATAGGCTCAAAGAGATAGAGAAACTATTGCATCTTGAAACAAGAACAAGAGACTGTTGAAAAAACATGCAGAGCTATGAGATATGAAAAATATAAAAGACTGCTGTTGTTTTTAAGACAGGATCTCACTCTGTTGCCCAGGCTAGAATGCGATGGTGTGATCTCAGCTCACTGCAGCCTCGACTTCCCAGTCTCAAGTGATCCGCCCACCTCAGATTCCCTAGCAGCTGGGACTACAGGCACAAGCCACCACATCCAGCTAATTTTTGTATGTTTTGTAGAGACAGGGTCTCACTATGTTGCCCAGGCTGGTCTCGAACTCCTGGGCTCAAGCAATCCAACCACCTTGGCCTCCAAAACTGCTGGGATTACAGGCATGAGTTGCTGTGCCCGGCCAAATACAGCAGATTTTTTAAAACTCTGAATAATGGAGTTAGAGGTCAAAGTTAAAGAATTTCTCAGAAAACAGCAACAACAACAACAAAGAAAAGACAAGATGGAAAATAAAACAGAATACCCAGGAAAAAGAGCCATTTCAGAAAGAGAGAAAATGGAGGGAGGAAATCATGAAACACGAAAATTTGCCAGAATTGAACAACATGAGCTCCCACATTAGAAGTTTCTGCTAGAGTCCAGCCGGTGGATGAAGTTACAGCTGCATCAATTCAACACATGGTATTTCAGCCTGCTGGAGAGAAAGAGAAGAACTGAAAAGCTTCTAGGGAGGAGAGTGGGAACAGGATAATAAGAAATGATCTCGAGTCAACGTGGCATAAGACTTCTCAACAGCAACACCAGAAGCCAAGAAACAGTGAAACTGTACCTTCAGACGCTGAGTGCAAATGATTTCCAAGCTAGAATTCTATACCCAGCCAAACTATCAGTCAAGAGTGAAGATAAACTGAAGATCTTTTTGACACAAATGGTCTCAAAAAATTTAACCCCGATAACTCCCTTTCCAGGAAACTACTTGAGGATGTGCTTCACTAAAACAAAGGGAAAAATAAAAACAGGAAGGAGGAAGACATTGGATCCAGAAAACAAGGAATGCAACACAGGAAAAAGAAGGAATTTCAGGATGATGGTGAAGAGAGATTCCAGGATCACAGCTGAGCAGAAGACCCAGACAGCACCCAGAACAGACAAGAGCAGGACAGAAGGCCCTAGGAGACACATCTTCATGAGGATGAAATTGATAGAACACCCAGGGTTCTAAAATACTGAGGAGATTTATACTTCCAGCAGTGAATCAGGAAACAAATTAATGATCAATACATAGAAAGTTTAGGCAAATTGAAAAGGAGATATTTATTCCAAGGAAATTTAATATAGCATAAAATGTAACATAGTATAATATATGGTTTGACTATGAATAACATTTAAATAGTCTTAATAATGTAAACATTTATCTAACAAAAATATGAATATATTGAGAAGGTGGGAAGAAGATATTTAAAAAAGAAGTGGGCAGGCACAATGCTGTATAACAGATCTACATCCTCATCCTTCACAGCCAGAAGTCAAGCGATTAAAAACTGAAACACAAAAATCAAACAGTAACAAGGTAAAGCCTGTTATTTAGAAGTAAGGAGACAAATCCCAAAAGAAACAGCTGAAGTTGAAAGGGGGAGGCGGGAACAGAGCTGTGATATCCAGTCTGGGGATGGCTTTTTCATTAAAAAAAAAAAAAAGAAGAAAGAAAGTCTTATTCACAATAGCAAAGACTTGGAACCAACCCAAATGTCCATCAATGATAGACTGGATTAAGAAAATGTGGCACATATACACATTGGAATACTATGCAGCCATAAAAAAGGGTGAGTTCATGTCCTTTGCAGGGACATGGATGAAGCTGGAAACCATCATTCTAAGCAAACTATCACAAGGACAGAAACCCAAACATCACATGTTCTCACTCATAGGTGGGAGTTGAACAATGAGAACACATGGGCACAGGGTGGGGAACATCACACATCGGGGCCTGTCGGGGGTGGGGGGCTGTGGGGGGATAGCATTAGGAGAAATACCTAATGTAAATGATGAGTTGATGGGTGCAGCAAACCAACATGGCACTTGTATACCTATGTAACAAACCTGCACATTGTGCACATGTACCCTAGAACTTAAAGAATAAAAAAAAAAAAAAAAAAAGTCTTGGCTGGGCGCCATGGCTCACGCCTGTAATCCCAACACTTTGGGAGGCCAAGACAGGCAGATCACGAGGTCAGGAGATCGAGACCATCCTGGCTAATAAGGTGAAACCCTGTCTCTACTAAAAATACAAAAAACAATTAGCCAGGCATGGTGGCAGGTGACTGTAGTCTCAGCTACTCAGGAGGCTGAGGCAGAAGAATGGCATGAACCCTTGAGGTGAAGCTTGCAGTGAACCGAGATCACGCCACTGCACTCCAGCCTGGGCGACAGAGCAAGACTCCGTCTAAAAAAAAAAAAGTCTTATGATGTTGTACATACATAACATTTTTTTAATTTAAATAGTTAAAACATGGAAGGCATCCAGGAAGAAGGAACGGCAACTGAGAGGTATGGGCCATATCTCAGTCAGGTAGGGGTGACTCAGGGGTTTGGAGCTGGGAGGGGCAGGAGGACACCAAGCTGAGTTGAGACTGAAGGCTGAGTGCTGCAGGGGAATGGGATCCATCGCAGGCTGTTAAGCAGGGGGGTCCTGATCTCACCCTTGTTCTTGATCTTGACCACATTCTGGTGGAAATCATTCAGTGGAAATTTAATGTGGATGAGATTGACTCTCAAAGGGGACCCAGTTAGGCTGTGCCCAGGTCTAGGGAGAGAGGAAGAAGATCTAAACATGGCAATGGCCATGGGGCAGCAGGTGTTTCCTAGGGTGCTCATCAGCACGCAATTCACCAGCTGATGGAAATGAGGAAGGAGGAGTTGATGGGGTGTGAGGAGAAGCAGGCTGGGAGAAGGAGGATTTCAGGTCTGACGAGGACACTGTTCTTAAGGAAGAAAGAACTCCCTTCCACCCTCCAGCGTAGAAACTGTGTGCAGATGTGGGAGAGCCCATGGGTAGAGTTAAGATTCAAGCATGGGAGTCTTTGGGTTAAAATACCTAAAAAGGTAGAGTGGTGTTAAAAGAAAGGCATGGACTTTGCAGACAGACAGAACTGAGTTTGAGCTCCAGCCGTGCCACTTACTATCTGCATGATTTTATGCAACTTACTGAAACTCTCTGAATTCTGGGGGTTGTCAATTCCAAAATGGGCCTGACCATACCCACCTCACAGGGTTGCAAGGAAAATATCATAAATAACCTCTGTAGAATGCCTCCATGGTGTCAGTCAACACGTGTGGACACTCCCCCATCCTGTGTCCCACCTCCCACTTCCATAGAGCATGGAGGTCTTCCAGGAAGACCCTTCAAGATCTTCTGAGATTTGTCCCATTTCCCACATCTCTCAGGCTGTGAGGCTCCAGAAGGTTTCTGGAAAGCACCTGCAACTCCCCTCCCATCAGTTCAAGAACAGAGATCACACAGGTTTGCATCAACCAGAAAGTCAGCTTTATTAGCCCACCACCAGCAGAGGAGCAGGGGAGATAGCTGGGAACTGCGCCAGGAGAGCAGGGTCCTGACCCGGGCCTTCAGGAGGTGAGGCCAGCTGGTGGGCAGGAGGCTGTGGTAGAGGCAGCTCAGTTCTAGGAGCTCTGGCCCTGGCTGAAGCTGGATGAGCTCTGCTCCTTGAGGATGGGCCGGGTCTGACGGCTCGAAGAGGACGAGGAGGAGGTGAAGACTGTGGGAGAGAGAAGAGGAGGTGAGAAGGGGTCTGAGAGCTAAGCTGACTCCAGGGCAGGGAGAAGGGAGGGCTGGGAGCTCTGAGGAGAAGGGCCCAGCCCCCACTCCATGGAAACAGGCAGAGGGGCTGCAGTGCCGGGGAGCCTCAGAAGCCTTACCCTCGCGGGAAGAATAGGATTGGCCAGATGCTTGCTGGGAGGAAAGGCTGTGGGAGAGAAAAAGCAGGGCAGTCAGTTGTGCTGAGAGCAGCAGGGGGGCTAAAGGGTCTGGGAGGCAGAACTGAGGGGCCTGGGACTCACTGGGCATCCTCGCCCTCCAGCAGGCGGCGGTAGGTGGCAATCTCCTGCTCCAGCCGCGTCTTCACATCCAGCAAGATCTGGTACTCCTGGCTCTGCTGCTCCATCTCACAGCGTAGCTGGGCCAGCTGCTCCTCCACACTGCCAATCAGTCCCTGGATCTGGGACAGCTGCATGCAGTAGCGGCCTTTGGTCTCCTCCAGGCTGTTCTCCAGGGATGCTTTCTGCAAGTGAGAGAGAGAAAAAGAGTCCATGGAGGTGGTCACTCCTGTTCCTCCAGGTCTCTGGGCATGTTTTTTGAGAGATGCCTGGATTTTGATCCCAGTTGGGGTACTGATGGGCCAGACAATATGGAGAAAAGCTAGCCCACTATTCTAGGGCTTAGTTTCTCTATCTATATAACGGTCCCATGAGTCCCCTGGTCCCATCCTGAGAAAAGAAAGGTGGAACTAGACTGTGGCTTTTTGAGGGGGTGGTGGCCATTACTGGTGACTTGGGGGCTGCTGCTGTGCTGGGTCCTTCATACCATGCTGAGCTGGGACTGCAGCTCAATCTCCAGGCCCTGGAGCACCCTCCGGAGCTCCGTCACCTCACTGCGGCTGCTCTGTACCAGTTCGCTGTTGGAGGCCACTTCTTTGTTCAGCTCCTCGGTCTGAGGCAGGAAAGCAGAGTGAAAGGTGAGGCTCTCCCAAAGCCCCCAGCTGGGAAGTGCTGCAGGCTCACTGCGGGCCCGAGCCCCACCTTGCTCAGGAACCAGGTCTCAGCGTCTCTGCGGTTTTTCTCTGCCATCTGCTCGTACTGGTCACGCATCTCATTCAGGATGCGGCTCAGGTCCACGCCAGGTGCAGCATCCATCTCCACGTTCACATCTCCGCCGGTCTGACCTCTCAGAGCAAGCATCTCCTGGGAAGGGATGGCAGGAGGCGGTCAGTTCAGCAGACTTCTCTCCTGGCCCTGGGTGCATCTGGCAACCCCACCAAACCAGCCTCCCACCCCGGAAGCCAGCAGCGACCGTACCTCCTCGTGGTTCTTCCTCAGGTAGGCCAGCTCCTCCTTCAGGCCTTCGATCTGCATCTCCAGGTCAGTCCTGGCCAGGGTCAGCTCATCCAACACCCGGCGCAGGCCATTGACGTCGGCCTCCACAGTCTGCCGCAGGGCCAGTTCATGCTCATACCTGGCAGGACAGAGGTCAGGTCCTCAGGCTGCAGCCCTGAGGATTCTGAGGCTCGGGGTCTGCTGGCCCTGCTGGGTGGACCGCCCCACTCTTTGTCCCTTGCCCTCTGCCCCCAGCCCACCATGCTGGCTGCTCACTTGGTCCTGAAGTCATCGGCTGCCAGCCTGGCATTGTCAATCTGCAAAATGGGCTGCGCATTCTCAATGGTGGCCGCAATGATCTGGAGTGGGGATGGAGGACAGGAGCCCTGGTCAGCCAAGGACCTTACTACTTGAGCATGAAAGGCAGAAAGGGGCAAAAGGAACCGCCCCAAATCTGGAAGTCTTCTGGCTGGCAGGGCTGGCATGCCTTCTCCACCAGCTCAGGCTACGTAGGGATGCACTCCATCCCGATCACCCCCTTCCTGGGCCCAAGGCAGGGAAGCTGAACTTGCAGCTGAACCCTTGAAGGAAATAAGAGATTTAGGGTAACAGCCCCAGTCCGGGCACAGAGATACTGAAAAGGGACCCTCTGCTACCACTTCCCTGGGTGATCCTGGCCACTCCCCAAAGGTGCCCAGTCTCCCTGTTTGTAAAGTGTAATTGCTAAAAAGAGGTATCCCAAGGGCCACTGTAGCCCCAGCCTCTCTCAGTGCTCCATACACCAAAGTCACCCACCTTGTTCCTCAGGTCCTCGATGGTCTTGAAGTAGGGACTGTAGTCTTTGATCTCACTGGGCCGCTGCCTCTGGTACCAGTCACGGATCTTCACTTCCAGGTCGGCGTTGGCCTCCTCCAGAGCACGCACCTTGTCCAGGTAGGAGGCCAGGCGGTCATTGAGGTTCTGCATGGTCACCTTCTCACTGCCCACCAGAAGCCCATCACCACCAGCAAAACCACCACCAAAGCCAGCACCCAAGCCACCACCGAAGCCAGCACCAAGGCCACCACCATATCCTCCCCCGAAGCCACTACCAAAGCTGCTGCTGCTGCTGAAGCCACCGCCATAGCCGCCCCCCAGCCCGCAGGCTCCCCCAGAGGAGAAGCGAGAGGAGACAGACAGGCCGCCCCCGTAGGTGCTGGGGGCACGGCAGGACCCTCCGGCCAGGACGGAGGAGATGCGGCTGGAGCCGCCCCCGATGCCGCCTCCGATGCCGCAGGAGCCCTTCATGGAGCTGGAGGAGGTGAACTGGCGGCTGCAGGTGGTCATGGTGCCAAGGAGGGAGGTGAGCGAGTGAGCAGTTGGCTGAAAGAAGGAAAGGTGCTCAGGAAGGCTGAGAGCGTGCTGTGGCTGCCTCCAACCCCAGAGACCTTTATATGCAGCTGGGGAAGGCGGGGCCCTCCTAACTGCTGACTCCAGGTTCCCCTCTGGATTTCATCACTCCCGGTCCCGTCCAACTCCTCACTCTGGATTATTCAGCCCAGGATCAACTCTGCTGTGTGCCGGCTCAGAGTTCCCACCCAGCTTTGGGGGTGTGGGGCCGAGAGAAAAACACAGAAATGCGAGTTCGGTGGTGACTCAGGCTAGGCGGTGGGGAATCAGGCTCCCTTTCCTGGAGCCCTCGGGGCCAGTCGGGCCTTGGCACAGGTGGCTTTGTGGCAACTGCGTCCCCAGGCAGTGAGTCAGCCCTTCAGAAGAACTCCCTGCCCCACAGTGACAGCCTTGGCTGAAAGAGAGCTCAGTGATGCCATCCTGGGCTGTCTTGGGGAGCAGTTGTGGGGATCCCACATGTCCCACTCTGGGCAGGGGCAGAGTTCCTGTCTTCACTCTGCTTGCTGTGTGGCCTGAGGCTCCCCACCTCCCACCTCTGGGCCTGTTTCCCCTCAGTGACCAGGCTGGACTGGGTGACTGCAGAGTCCCTTCTGTTCTAAAAATCCTATAACTCTCTTTCCCCTCTTGGATCTAATTCCAGTTCCAGAGGCTGCCTTGAGCCCCCGGGATCTCCAGAAGTGTGTGCACCATACAAACAGCACTGGCCATGGAGCTAGACAGGCGGCACTGAGTCCCTGCTCTGCCCTTACCAACTGTACAGCACAGGCTGGTCCTATAGCCCCTTGGTCCTCAGTTTTCTCATCTGTAAAAGGGGATGACACACCACTAGCCACAAAGAAACATGCGCGAAGGACCCCACCGGCCCTTCCCCGAGGGCCAGCCCTGCCCCTCAGCCTCCCCATCCTGCCCCTCCAGCCACCTGCTCCTCACACTCACCTCTACACACTGGCACCATCCCGCACCCCTAAGCAGGGCCCTGCGCCCCCCACACTCCCAGCTGAAGAACACCACAGCCCCACACCTAGCTCTGCCACTCCTCTACCGCCCTCTCCTAATCACAGGCACCCCACCTGCAGGCTGGTGGGAGGGAGCCCCATCCTGCCACTACAGCCAGGTATGACCCCTGACCCCACCTGGGCCTCAGAGTCCCCCCCTACCCTGTAGAAACAGGACTAGCCGGGGATCCGTTCCCAGCAGTTCTCTCTCCTGTGTCCACAGATCCCAGGCTAGGCCTGGCAGCTCCATTCATCCAGCTGAGCTGGGGGAGAGCACTGGTTATGGGCCCACTCAGGCATGCATGGAGAGCCCAGTGTGTGCCATACAGTTCTGTGAGCGTAGAGATTCACTCAAAGTCACTCTGCTTTAAGCTGCAGAGCTGCAACTAGAACCCAGAACTCTGGCCCTCTCCAGGCTCCCACCATGCCTGCAGGCGGGGCCAGTATACCCAACTCTCACCCACCTCCCCACGATCACTGGCAGGAGGTCTGCCCATGGTGGGCATGGCCTTGGCCTGAGAGCCTGGTCCAGCACCGAGGACTGGAGGGAGGATGGAGGGGTCTGGGCACCAAGACGGGGCCTCCTCAGGGTGCTGTGGGGCATCCCTCGGTGCTGGCCACTGGCCTTGCTCTGCAGTGTCTCTGTTGAGGTGAGGAGCCCAGAGACAGCCTGCTTCTGCCTGAGCTCCACTGGGGCAGGCAATTCCTTGTCTCAGCAGAACCAGGGTTTTGTCACTGCTACATCTCCCCTGGTCATTCATCCCAGAGGTAAGAGCAGAACGGATGCACATCCCTTCAGAGTCAAACCTGGGAGAGGGAACCTGACACTCCTCACCCCTACCCCAAAAAGGGGCAAAGGGGACCCCGGAATCTTGGACAAAAACCTCAGTGTTCAGGTGTCAGGTTGGGCCTGGAGTTCTGGTCCATCCACAGACCCATCACCCTCAGAACTGAAAATGGTCTTCAAGGTCACCAAAGGCTATTAATACCCCAACTGGAGAGAGCGAAAGCCTTATCCAGGTTAAGCAGCACAAAAGTGAGAGAGCAGAGACTCGAGCCAGCTCTAACTCCCAAGCCAGGATTCACACCGACTCTCGTAGTAGAGTCTCTGAGAACTCTTCACTCTCTGCCCCCATCGTGTGTGCATGCACACACACCCCTTTCTCATTGGCTCACTGCCCCCCACCAAGTTCCCCATTCCAGGAGGTGTCAGGGCGGGATTATACACAAGCCCAGCACTGCAGACCTGGGGATCTGCATGGGCTGAGAAGCTGCAGGAAGTTGCTGACCAACGCGCCAAACTGCTCAGCCAACTCCATAGATCACGCACCTGCTGTGTGTACAGCTCTCGGGGGCTGGGGGTGAAGAGGGAGATGATGACATAGTCTCTGACCTTAGAAGAACTTATCATTTGACCCTGGAGGGAAAACTAATGCTGGAAAATACAGAACCTGGCTAGAAACCCTGGGGTGCTGGGCTTGCCTGCCATGCCCACACCACAGGAGGCAGCTGGGGTAGGCATTGCCCCGCTGAGCCTCAGCAGTAGAGGAGGGGGCTGCCCTCCTGGCCTTGATCCCTGAAAGGGTCCTAGCAGAGAGAGGCACCAGCAGGGCCTCAGAGGATCTGAGTTGACAGAGGAGGAGGAGGAGGCGTTTCCTGTGCACCAGTGATGCACACCTGCCCCAAGGTGGCCAAGAGCCAGGACCACTAAGCCTGGTGAGCACAGAGAAGCCCAGTGGGCATCCTCCAGGCAGAGGATTCCTCCCCACACCCTGCCTCCTTCCTCCCTCCTTCGTACTGCCCATGTCAAGCATGAGGCATGAGATCATGGCATACCTGAGGCAGCCGGGAAACACCATTGGCCAATGCCACGCCTTGACTTGCAGTGATTCTCCAACCAGACAGATCGTCAGAGTCCCCATGAAGATTTGCAGCCCTGCTCCAACTCCCGCATCAGCACCGCTCAGGACAAGCCTGCTGGTGGGGCTGTTTTACAAGCTCCCCAGCCAACTCAGACTGGGAAGGCAGGAGGCAGCTTGGGGGCTAAGGAGGGGGGCAGAGAAGCTGAGGGGAGAGAGGGGGCTGCTGCAGGGCCCCCAGCCTCGGGTGGACAAGCCAGAGCCACAGGCTTCAGGGCAGGAGGAAGGAAAAGTAGAGCCCCACTGAGCCAGGACAGAGCAGCCTAGAATCGGGGCAAGCAGGGGCGAAATCTTGGGCAGGACATTCAGCCTCTCTGAGCCTCAGTTTCCTTCTCTGGGAAATGGGAATAACAGCCTTGCCTCACAGGCATATTAGGGGATTCGAGGCCAAATAAATAAAGCACCTGGAAAAGGCTGGTGGCTAGCGTTATGTTTATGAGCAGGTGTTTATAAAGTGCCTACTATGTGCCTGGCACTGTGCTGGGCACTCAGACTCAAAGAACAAGACAGAGAAGCCCTGGAGACACAGTCTTCTGGGGGAGAAGGTGGTAAAGACAATCCCAATACACTAATGTCAGGCCACGATGGGGTACTGGGGCCCTGCAGAGAAACAGAGAGAGCAGGGTCCCTGGGGGAGAACAAATGTCCAGGCCCAGGCTCTGCCCCTGTGACGGCTCCCGGGATCTGGGGAAATCTGTGAGTGCCAGGCCCACCTCTGGGGCTCCTATCCCCTCCTGCATGTTTGATGCCCCCCTTCTGAAGGTGGGGCTGTCATAGCCCTTCACAATCCAACCACAGATCTGCAGCTTCTGCCTTGATGATGGGGTGAAACATTCTGTGCATTGGGCAGGGTGGGTGTGGACGAACTGTGAGTCCCTCCATGAGTCCCATAGCTGGGTCTCCAGTCCAGCCCAGGCACATGTCCTCAGCAGCCTGGGCCCACTTGGGGTGCCTGTTCTGCACAAACAAGGAGCCCGGACTCCTGTGTGAGTCTCAGGAAACCCACAAGAGGGGCTCCCATTGCCCCCACCCCAGGAATGTGAGCAGGAAGCTGGTGCCTCCAGGGAAGGCTGCGGACCCCAGGGGGTTGTGGGAGAAAGAGTGGGCCTCTCTCAGGGATGTTTCTTCAAATGGTCACTACAGCTCAGGGTGAGGACGGGCCTCTGTCCAGCTCAGTTATCCCCTCAGCTCTGTGCATGGGGGGAGACCTGCCTGGCTCTGTTCCCTCTGTTCCCCTCATCTCCCCAAAACCTGGGTTGCCACAAGAGACCCACACTGCATAAAGGCTGAGGGACTGTTTTCAGTCCCTCAGGTCCCCTCGGGGCAGGCACTATCTCTTGGGGTCAGGACCGGTGTCTCCTCCTTCCCCTGGCAGGATGTCCTGCAGGGAGATGGATGTAGTGGGGGACACTCATCTCCCCCTGGACATGCTACCAGGTCAGCCCCTGCAAGGGGGATCCAGAGGTAGGCTACCACTGGCATGGACCTGGCCTGAGAATCATATGTGTGTGTCCATCACTCAAGACCAGGTGTGGCAGCTCCAAGGGCAACCACAGATCTGCAGCTTCTGCCTTGATGACAGGGTGGAACATTCTGTGCAGTGGGCAGGGAGTGTGTGGATGAACTGTGAGTCCCTCCATGAGTCCCATAGCTGGGTCCCCAGTCCACCCCAGGCACATGTCCCCAGCAGCCTGGGCCCACTTGGGGTGCCTGGACAGACAAAGCCGCTCAAGTCTCCCCACCATCCCCTGGCTCAGCTGTCTGGGCACACCGGGGGGCTCCCCCATTCTGGCATCCTGAGCCCCCCACCCACTCACTTTGTGGAGAAGGGTTTCTTCCCCAGCAGAGGGGCACAGTCTGGGGCCGTCTCTGGTCCTCCCCACACTCTGACCCCTCCTCACTTGTCCCATCAGTAATTGTGGACCCCAGGATCTACAGAGGGGAGAGAGAGCCCTGCCTGGAACCTGAGGTGGGGCAGGAGGTGGGGCTGGGCTCCTCTTCCCGGCACGGAAGCGGGGCCCACTCCCCTCCCGTGCCTGTCTCCACTATTGACCCCCTAGGCTCCGGGACAAGGGCTGAGTCACTGCTCCTTGGAGCCTCAGTGTCCCCATCCACACAACGAGGTGCCTTCCCCCAGGCCCTCCCTGCTTCCTGGGACTATTCAGATAAACGAAGTCACCCTCCGGAATGAGCCATCTGCAGCCCAGGGCTGGTTCTTCTGGTTGTGGCGGGATGTGTGGTGGGGGCCTGGTGCAAACAGTGCCTCCCTCCTGCCCTCCATGGCGCCACATTTGCTGCCAGACAACAGGGAGACGTCAGCCTCTGATGGAGCAGAGCCTGCCCTTGCTTTCAGTCGTGCAGATGCCGCTGCAGGTGCGAGTCCCCGACTCCAGGCAGCCATCTCCCCTGCAGAGAGAAACTCTCTCCCAGGATGTCTTAGCTCCAAGGTCCAGGGAGGGCCTGTGACCAGCCCAAAGTCACCCATACCCCAGTGGTCAGTACCCACCCCCATCCCTGGCCTCTGCCAGTCCCAAACCCCCACCAACCCAGGCTCAGAGGGCTCTGGTCACTCCCATTTTCCTCAGGCCTGGGCCCAACCCCCAGCCTCCAGGCACGAGGAGAGAGAGGGTGTTTGGGGGCCCTGGTCTGATTCCGCAGCAGCAGAGACACCGCAGGTCCAGCAGTGATGAGGTGGAGGCAACCTCCTCCTCCCACGAACCCCCTGCTTGAAGAAAACCAGGAAAGCAGGCCAACCCGCCTGGCAGTTTCCGGATTTACTAGAAGGAAGATTTCCAGGTGTCAGGCTCATCTCCCACAGACTGTTCCCCACAGCCACGTTTGCTGCCACCAGCAAGAGCTGGGGTTGGTCAGCTCAGAGGGTGCCGGGAGTGGCTGGAGCAGGACTGTTCCTTCTCATTTTCCCAGGAGGCAGTTTCTACCCTCCCTCACGCCACCCCTGTCCCTAGTGGGGAACCAAAGAGGACCCAGACTGCCAGGGAGAGTGGCACTGCTCCCTGGGCACAGCCACCCCATCTGCAGTGCCCCCCCACTCCACCCCGTCCCCATCCCGAGCAACAGCTGACCATGTGAGGAAGCATCCCTGAGAGAGGCCCCACCCTTTCTCCCACACCTGCCTGGGGTCCGTAGCCTTCCCTGAAAACGCCAGCCTCCCACTCACATTCCCAGGGCGGAGGCAATGGGGGCCTCTCTTGGGGATTTCCTGAGACTCACACAGGAGTCTGGGCCCCAACCACCCAGCCTGCCTCCCCCACCCACCCTCCCTTTGTGCTTATCCCAGCCCTTGCCCACCTCCTGCCCCATCTAGGGGTAGGGCACGGCCCACAGGACCGGGAGGAACAACTGATTGAGTGAGTCATCTCTGAGGATTCAGGCTCCCACACCTGAGATCTTCCCATCCGTTTATGGATGAGAAAGCAAGGCTCAGTGAGGGGAAGTGACTGCCTAACTTCTCGAGGTCACAGAGCTACTCACAGGGCAAGCAGTGGCCACCTAGGACCGCACCTGATACACCAACTCCACCCCAGGTCTAGCGCAGCCTGGACCACCCCCTGAAAATCTCCAGCCCTTGGGAGAGGCAAGCACCCCCTTCCAAACTCTCCCCAGACTTACTCTTTATGCCGGTCTAAGCTGACCCCTGACCTGCCAATCAACAACGGTGGGTCTCCAAGCACCATCTCCCCTCACCCTCACTCCTTCCCATTTCACCCTTTTGTCCCTAGTCCCCACTTCAGGGGCCAGAACAAGGACACATTTCATAGCTGAGTCAACAAGCTTTATTGTCATCAGGCAAGGAAGCATGGGGAAGGGACTGAAGCAGGGGGCTGAGGCTGGAGAGGCCGGAGACTGTGGGGCAGATGGGGCGGCTGCCTCCCTGCCTCCTGGGTGGCCGGCCGGGGTAGCTGAGTCCTCAGCGGGTGGTCTGGTGGACCTGCTCGCGGGAGGAGATGACCTTGCCATCCTGGACCTCTTCCACAATGGTACGCACCTGACGGGTGGTCACCGCTGCAGGAGAAGCAGGCAATTTAAAGTGGGTAGGGGCCAGGAGGCCCTCGCTTGCCCCCTAGCCCTCATGGACAGGAGCCGGCTCTCTCCCTCATCCTCCCCCAGGTGCTGTGAGTGCCTCCACTGGCACCTCGACATCACACTGCACACACATCCCTCCTGTCCCTGCCACCACCTCCCTTCCATCCCATCCCTCTGCCGGTGGCCCTGTGTGAGTCTTGCCTCCCCAGATGGGTTATTTGATTCTGATCCAGTGTGTCCTGCCAGGGAGGAGCCATGTAGACTCCATGAAATCCGTCTCCATTTCTCTGCAGTCTCTAGGACATAGATTTTCTACCATCTCCCCCATCAGACTGGGATCGCCAAGACAAAAACCAGGCCCCTATCTCCTCCATTAGACTAGGAACCCTAAGGCTAGGATCATATATTCTCCATCAGATTGGAATTTGGAGGACAAGGACCATGTCCCTATCTCCCATCAGGCTACAGACCCCAGAGACAGGACTGTTTTTGCTCATCCAAAAGCTGTCAAGAGCAAAGATCATGAGACCATGTTCCTATCTTCCCATCAGATGACAATCTCCAGAGCTGGGACCTGTCTCCTCCATCAGACTAGGATCTCCAAGGTAAGGACCAGTTCCCTGCCCCACCCCCATCAGACCAGACAGTGTCTCTCTCATTTGATCTTTTCCTGAGTATCAATCCTCAGTGCTAATGAGTCACTTCTCCCTGCTGAGGGACAGCCATCAACTCCTGGAGCTCCTGGGGACCCTGCCCCAGCAACGTGCAGGTGGGCTGCCTGTCCCATGCACCCAACCCCCAGGGCCGAAGCCACGCAGATACTTACGTTCTTTCTTGTACTGAGTCAGGCTGAAAGAAAAAAAAAAACAGAGAGGAAATTAGATGTGGGTCTGAGAGCCCCACCCCTGCCAAGAGACCCCCAGCCCTGACCCCAGGCGCCCCCACTCACTGGGCATCCTCTCCCTCCAGCAGGCGGCGGTAGGTGGCAATCTCCTGCTCCAGCCGCGTCTTCACATCCAGCAGGATTTTGTATTCCTGGTTCTGCTGCTCCATCTCGCAGCGAAGCTGGGCCAGCTGCTCCTCCACGCTGCCAATCAGCCCCTGGATCTGGGACAGCTGCACGCAGTAGCGGTTCTCTGTCTCCGCCAGGTTGCCCTCCAGGGATGCTTTCTGCAGGAGGGCAGGAAGACCAGGGGTCAGTGAGGATGGTCAATGCCCTCTTCTGGGCCCTCCCCCATGCACAGGACTGTTCCTACCATGCTGAGCTGGGACTGCAGCTCTATCTCCAAGGCCTGCATGGTGCGCCGGAGCTCCGAGATCTCACTCTTGCCACTCTGCACCAGCTCACTGTTGGTGGCCACCTCGCGGTTCAGTTCCTCTGTCTGCAGACAGGACACAGGACAGGGCGGTGTGAGCCTGGATCCCTCTCCCAAGTCAGGCCTCCTCCCAAATCTAACTGTGGAGAGAGTGTGCCTTCTCACCAGCTTCCCACATCCCAAAGCCCAGAAACATGCCATTTGAAATGTTAACTTTTTATGGTTAATCCCAGCGTGTGGGAGGCACAGACCGGAAACTTGAGAACAAGCCAGAACATGTAGCCTGGCTCTTGATGCTAGTTCCTGACTTCTTGAGGGAGACGTGGGGACTCCCAAGGTCTTTACCCTCTGCCTTTATTCTGAGGGAGCTCCCTACCTCCCCACCCACCCGCCAGATCCCAGCTTGAGCTCAGCTCCATGTCTGTTGATGCAGTGGGTGACCCTGTGGTCCATGCAGCTTACTGAGGAGGGGCACCTCCAAGACATCTGGCCGTGGGCTTACTGTCAGTGCTAAGGCCCCTGAGCCCCAGCCCCTAAGAGAGCCCTCTGGCCTGCAGCACCCCCCACCTTGCTGAAGAACCAATCCTCGGCATCCTTGCGGTTCTTCTCTGCCATCTTCTCATACTGGTCACGCATCTCGTTGAGGATGCGGCTCAGGTCCACGCCTGGGGCAGCGTCCATCTCCACATTGATCTCACCACCCACCTGGCCTCGCAGGGCGTTCATCTCCTATGGAAAAAGGGGATGTGGATGTGCGCATCTGGACCCATCCTGACCTCTCACTCCCAAGCCTTCCCCCACAAGGGGACCCCACTTCCCACAAGGACCCCTCCTTTGTTCTCCCTCTGCTCTATCTGACCCTCTAAATGATTTTTATTCATCTGCTCAGTATTGCCTCCACCATCAGACTCTATCTCCCCCATTAGACCAAGGACTCTCCAAAATAAAATCTAATTATTAGGCCTATGCCCCCAAAAGTTCCCCTCTAATTTCCAAGCTTCTATGTAGATGTTCAGCTTTGAGAGTTTGAAATGGGACAAGATTTCCTTACTTATCCCCCACCCTCATGAGGGAGGCAGGGTAGGTAGAGGGAGCCTCTGCAGGCCCCTGGGAGGTTCCTTGTGTACAGAGAAGCAGTGTGGTACAAAGAGGAGTCTGCCCTGCACACTGGACCCCAAGGATCAGGGCTCTGCAGACAGGGAAGCCCTCTAAGGTGACTAATCCCGGTGCACCTGCTCTGCTCTCTCCCACGGCCTCAGCCATTGCCCAGCCCCAGGGCTCTGCCACCCACTCCTCAGCATCTTTGACCTTCTGCCCCAGCCACCTCACCTCCTCGTGGTTCTTCTTCAGGTAGGCCAGCTCCTCCTTGAGGTTCTCAATCTGCATCTCCAGGTCGGCTCTGGCCAGGGTCAGCTCATCCAGCACCCTGCGCAGGCCATTGATGTCGGCCTCCACACTCAGGCGCAGGGCCTGCTCTGTCTCAAACCTGCCGTGGGAATCAGAGACTTCAGCCCAGGCTGCTTGGACCTGCAGATCCAGGTCCTGGCTGCTCACCTGCCTTCATTTTGCCAGGACTCTAAGGAGTTGGAAGGGCTGATGAGAGGGTCGAGTGGAAACGAATTCCAGCCCCGGGACCCCGGGACCATCACAGGGCCAGATCCCACGCCCACCAGCTTCCTTACTTCTCTCTGCCTCCCGCCTCCCGCCTCCCCTCCTTCTCTTCTATTCCCTGCCTAAGCTCAGCAACCTTCAGAACTGGCTGCCTTCACTGCATCCTGGACTAAGGAGTGGGGCTCCTAGGACTGCCCCACCCTGAGCTCCTGGGCCTTGCCACAAGCAACCAAGGAATCCTGGGGTCAGGAGGGGTACCCTGAGATCCTCCGCCAGCTGGCCCAGGCTGCCCAAGGCCACAGCTAGGACTCACTTGGTGCGGAAGTCATCAGCAGCCAGACGGGCATTGTCAATCTGTAGCAGGATGTTGGCATTGTCCACGGTGGCTGTGAGGATCTGAGGAGAAGGGAGAGTAGTCAGGTCATTGGATGGGGGTGGCTGAGCCCACACCAGGGTTCTGAGCAGATCTTCCTGCCTCAGGGCCTCTCTTCTCGCCCAGCCCCTCCCTTGCCCCGTGCTGTATTATTGGCAGAGGAGGGGCAAACAGGAGTCTGAAGGGCTGAAAGGTGCCTCTTCTTCCCCCGATACTCAGTACCCCACCAGACCCCCATGGCAGGCTCGGCCTTAAAGGAGAAGAGACAGCTGGCTGGGAGTATGAGGCAACCAGAAAAGAATGGGAAAATGTCCCCAGGGCAGAAGCTGTCCCAGAATTCTAGAACAAGGGAGGGGATGTGGGCAACCCCCTCGTTTTACAGTCAGCTAGAGGGTGCCCCTGACAGGCTCCCCCAAAAGGAGGCTAAAGGAGCCCTCATTAAAGAGTGGTTCCAAATCAAAAGTCAGGACCCCTCCTAATCCCTAACCCTGGGCGCCAGCCAGCAGCCCCGCCCCCTGGGGTTTGCTGAGCCCGTCTTAAGGGACAGCAGGAGGAAAGGAGAAGCCAGAAAAATCCCCAAATAAGGCACATCAGAGGCCTTCCCCACACTGAGGTCCCGCCCCCTCCTTTCTGCCTCCTCCTGCAGCAGGTGCTATCAGGAGCTCACTCAGACACCCCCACTCCACATCACCCAAAACCCCCTCCTGTTGACCCCTGCTCCAAAGGAGCAAGACACCACACATCCAGCAGCCCACGGGCCCAGCCCTCCATCTGCATCCTCCTGCCTCATCCTACAACCTCTCCAGGTGGCGGAGCTCCACGAGGGAGAAACTGAGGCTCCAAGGGGCTCCACAAGGCCTCTTTGTTCCTGACTCAGCTTGCTGTCCCCAGAAAAGGGGGATGTGAGCCACACAGGGGCCCCAAGGCAGGTTCCCAGAAGCTAAGCCACAGCCAAACCACCCTTGGCTCCCTGAGACCCTATGGCTGGACTCCAGGCCTTTGGCCAAGGCAGGAGTTGGGGGGAAGAAGTCATGCCCCCCGGAGACCCCTCCCACCAGCAGGCCCTACCTTGTTCTGCAGCTCCTCAATTGTCCTGTAGTACTGGCTGTAGTCACGGGCGGGCCCCGGGGCCTGCCTCTGGTACCAGTCACGGATCTTCACCTCCAGCTCAGTGTTGGCCTCCTCCAGGGCACGCACCTTGTCCAGGTAGGAGGCCAGGCGGTCATTGAGGTTCTGCATGGTGGCCTTCTCACCTCCAGCCAGCAGCCCATCAACACCCCCAAAGCTGCTGCCATAGCCACCACCAGAGCCAAAGCTGTAGCAGCTGGAGTAGCTGCTACCCCCGAGGGTGCTGCCCAGGCCGCCAGCAGATCCCAGCCTGCAGGAGCCGGCACCCAGGCCGCCAGACAGCCGGCAGGAGGTGCGGGACGAGCCGCCCCCCAGGCCGGAGGAGCCCTTGATGGAGCTGGAGGAGGTGAACTGGCGGATGGAGGTGGTCATGGTGGCGGCGGCAGGAGGCAGGCACACAGGAGAAGGGCTGGAGAGGAGAGGGGCCCCAAGTTGTGTAGGGCTGCCGGGGTTCGCCCGCTTCCTTTATAGGCCACCAAGTGGGCGTAGCGATTACAACAGGCTTGCTCCTCTGTTTCCATTCCCCTGGGCTTTCATCACCACTGGCCACCTGCCAGCTCCCAGGTGGCTGGGGGCCCCCTCCCCGCCCATCATCAGGAATTTGCCTCATTTCTCCAAATCCTCGTGCTGAGTGCCGTGCGTGTGCGTGCCTCTGGTCTCAGGCCCGTCACCTGTGATTCAGGCGGGCCCTCCAGCTATGCTTTCCCATGACCTAATACGGAGAAGAGGAGAAGGCAGGACGTCACCGTCCCCAGGCCCTCCCAGGCAGCCACCACCCCAGCCTGGCCCGCCTCAACCCTGTCTGGTGGGGAAATGGGTTGCAGTGTCAGCTGACCCCCCCGCCAAAGTTGCTGTCTTTCACCCCACACTGCTCCACCCACGGTGCTGGCCCCGGGGCTGGGTGCTGAAGAGAAAGAGGAGACCGAGAGCCTATCCTGCCTTGGAAACTGAGCCCAAACCCACCAGGCCCACCTCACAGCATAGAAATGCCATCAAGCCTCGGAGACCAACCCACATCACAGATAAAGAAATTGGGGCTCCAGAGGGGTGCCGTGTCCACACTGGCCCCTTCTGCAGAGCCTGACACCCAGGAATGCACTCTAGGGGCTACAGTTCCATCCAGTCAGCTTCTGACCCTGCCCCATCCCTAGAAATCCTTGCTAACCCAGTCTCTTCGTGTAAACCTTTCCCCAGGTTTACACTCCAGGCTGGGGTGGGCAAACAGGGGCTCAGCTATAGGATGGGGAAATGGTGGGCTGTGCCAACTGAGAGGGGGATGCCCCCTTCCACTCCCCTCACCCTTCTGTACCCCAAGAGACCTCAGGGTCAGGTGACGGGTATTTATCTCAGGTCTCAGCCCACAGGAAACCTAAAGGACATTGCCCAAGAAGAGGCTCTTACAGAGACCCCAGCCAGCCCCCTTCCCACTCCAGGCTCCCCAAGATGTGGCTCCTCAGGTGGGCCATGTGCCCCACCCCACAGCCCCACCCTGCCCTGCCCACCACCCCAAGCCCGGCCCTGGGTCCCAGGGTCCCGCCAGGCCCGCTGGGTGGAATGTGGTCATGTTTCAGACTGCCGATGGCTTCCACTTCCCAGACAGGCCCAGACGGCCCCGCCAGCAGCCGAGAGACATTCCTCAATAGCCCAGTGGCTGCCAAGCCACCAAAGCAAACAGGATGCCCCCTACGCGTACACGCACAGCGGCCACCCCGCCCCACACACACCCCGAGCTGGGGCAGAGCCGGTCTGGTTTCCTGGGCTGGCTGCGTCACTGCCATGCCCTCTCACTCATCAATGCCATGGACCACTCCTTCAGAAGCCCCTCCCCACCAAGCCCCTCTCCTTCTGCTCTTGAACCCGCCCTGGGCTGAGGCAGGGAGTGCTCCCCAACAGGCACCATCCTTGGAAAGTCTGTGTGGCCCTCCCAGGGACCAGCCACAGGTGACAGGGACTCAGGGGCTGATTCTTAGAAACTTTTCCCAATACAAGGGGCTGTCCCATCCCTCCACCCTTAATCTTTCCGCCTCCTCCCCTCTCATCTTTCCAGGAGCCCCAGGCCTGGATGGAGTGGGCAGAACAGATTGGCAGGTGACAAGCCCATACCCAAACACTCAATAAACTCCACCTCCCCCAGTCCCTCAGCCCACACTGCCCCAAACCAATGAGCAGATCAGATCACACGAGGCATTGAACTTGGAGCAAAGCTTTAATAGTAGGCACTGGACAAACCCAGGAGGCCTCCTCAGTGAGGGGCTGCAGAAAGTAGATACAGAAAGACAACAGGCCATGCACCGGGGCCCAGACGGACACTCGGGGCGTGGCAGTAGCATGCTGGGAGCTGGAGCTGATGGCTGTGCCGTGGCCCTCGAGGTGGGGCTGTCGCAGACAGAAAGGGGTCTCAGTGGGTGGAGAAGTGGACCTGCTCACAGAAGAAGACCACCTCTCCAACCTGGACTTCCTCCACGATGGCACACCTGGTGGCTGGTCACTGTGGCTGCAGGCGATGGAGGAGGGAGGCACAGGGAACATCAGGCAGGAGCTCTTCCCCCCGCCTGCCCCCGCGTCTGTGGTCCCCCCAGTCTCCCACACAGAAGGGTCCTCAGCCTCTCCCCTGCCTTGGGGTCCACACCGCAGGACAGGGCAGCTTCTTACCTTCCCGGGTGGGCTGCGAGGCCAGGGACAAGGAGTACTGAGTGGCCAGCCTGCAGGGAGAGAAGCACCCATCAGCCCAGGGATGCCAGCCAGCCCAGGCACCTGCAAGCACTGCTGGGGAGAAGTAGGCCCTGGCAGAGGAGGTTCCCCTAAATTGGTGAAAAATCACAGTTGGGAATGCACAGAAATTAGCGCAGGCCCAAGAATGAAAGGGCAGGGGTTCAGCACAGCAGGAAGAAGAAAAAGAAACAGCACAGCAGTAGGTCTGGCGGCACTCTGTGGCTACTCACCAGGAATTTACAAGGAGAAGCTGAGCAAGTGGTTTTTCCATAACCCAGAGGGCCCAACAAATAGACCCAATTAAAGCAGGAGAGACTGTTGTTAGACTATAGATGGACTTCACCATTTCCGGGGAGCAAAAAGCTGCAACGTGTGACTAAGCATGGAGACTCCGGGACACTCTCAGCTGAAGGCCTGATCACCCTTCCCAACTGCAAACCCAACCACCACCCACCTTGCTCTTCACCACTCACACAGTCATCAGAACCAGAAACCCAGGGCCATCAATGCCTGCTCCTTCATGTGTTCTCCCGACACTTACTGAGTCCTGACTGTGAGCCATGCTTACCCCGAGATCCAGGCATCCAGTCCCGCTGTTTTGAGCTATAACCTCTCTTCTGCGTGCACCACCTTCCTTCCCCTGCCCCACTACCCACCACCGCACGGGACTTCTCTGGCCAGACTCCCTGCTCCAGCCCCCTGACACATCTCTCTGGCCCCGCCCTGACCCCTCTGATCCATTTCTCCCTCTGCAGCCAGAGTGAATGTTCTAAAATCTCTTGATGTTCATTTCACTCTCCTGCTCCAAATCCCTCCATGGCTCCCCATTGCCTACGTGATCTAGTCCAGACGCTTTAACTTGGCATTCAAGGCTCCTCAGCCAGACTCCAGCCTGCATCGTCAGTATCACCTCCTGCAAACCCCAACAGGTTCCGACATTCACACCTCCTGAATTTCGCTGGTGCTCAGACACCAACTTCTCCCTGGGTGAAGCGGGCCCCCAGCCCACCCCAACAGGCACCCTGGTACACACTCACTGGGCGTCCTCAACCTCCAGCAAGCGGCGGTAGGTGGCGATCTCCTGCTCCAGCCACGTCTTCACGTCCAGAAGGACCTGTGCTTGTGGTCCTGGTGCTCCGTGTCGCAGCAGAGCTCGCACAGCTGCTGCTCCATGCTTCTGTTAAGCCCCTGCAGCTGGGCCGGCAGGGTCCTGTAACACACCTCCATCTCCACCAGGCTGCCCTCCAGCGATGCTTTCTGTGGGCCAAGAGATAGGTGGTGTGATGAGCTGGACCTGGGACCCTTCCCCATGGCAGAGCACTAGAGAGGAGCCCCTCCTGTATGGGGCTGTGGGTGCTGCCAGCACAATGAGGTGGTAGTGCACCCAGCCACTGAGTGTGAAGGGACAGGCTGGGTGGGGACTCTGGTTCCCCAAGCAGGGGTCTACAAGGCTGGGCTCACCCTGGGGTGACAGGTACAGGGTGGGGAGGGGACAGAGACCCTACCTTGCTGAGCTGGGACGGCTCAGGTTCTGCACAGAGACGTAGAGCTCCATATCTCTATCCAGCCACTCTGCAGGGCCTCTGTGTTGGTGGCCACCTCGCAGTTCAGCCCCTCTTTCTGGAAGGCAGAGTGGGCCACAGGGGTTTATGGAGACTTTCAGAAGCGGGGCACAGGAAAGGGCTGCTCCTGAACCCTCACCTCCCAGAACCATCCCCTAGCCCCTCCCTGGCCTCTATGGGGCCCCAAAGGCACCTGCACACAGAGAGCCTCTGCACCCACATTGGAACTTGGAGGAATTCAGCCTGCTCTGCGGTCATTTGCATTTCTTTTTCCTACTGAACTGCAGCACCTCAAAGACAGGCACTGGGTGTTATTCTTTTGCGCCTGTTGCTGTCCCTAGGATACCGGAGATACTCAGCCTGTGCTTGCCAAGGGTATACATATGTATTCAAATACGCACATCCTGTAAACAGCTGTGGTGGAAACCCAAGACCAGACTTGTAGAGACCTGGATCTATTTTGCAGGCCACAGTGAAGGGCTGTGTGAGCTTGAGTCCTCTCTGAGCCTCACGTTTTACATCTAAAACATGAGGGGCTGGTCCAACTGGTTTCCAAAAGTCCTTCCAACTGGGACAGCCTGTGGATCTGCCAGTGCTCCAGCTGCACCAGCATGCAGCACATGTGCCCACACGTGTACACACCTGCTTACGCACGGCCACCCACCATGCTGAAGAACCAGCCCTCGGCATCCTTGCAGCTCTTCTCCACCAATGTCTTGTCCTGGTCACGCATCTCATTCAGGATGCAGCTCAGGTTCACTCCAGGCACAGTGTCCATCTTCACACTGACATCCTCATCCACCTGACCTCAAAGGACGTTCATTTCCTGGGCAGAGAGGACAGCAGAAGCTCACCCAAGGCCATCCTGGAGAAAGACCCTGGGGCCTGCCTTCTTTCCCTCGGAGAGACAGGTACAGATGACAGACAGACAGACACAGATAGGCCAACAGCTCCTCACCCTGAAGGTGGAGGTGGATGTTGTCATTTCTCAAACATACAGGGCTGTGAATATTAGCAACCTCCCCCAACACACACCGTGACGCGGGACTGGAATTCACCCATCCCCAACAAGTGCTAAGCCCCGAGAGATGACAACCCCCCAGCACGGTGGAGGATGACCACGGGCGACCTCACTCACTGCCCTGACCTTGCCCCCACCACTGCCTTGCCCCCACCACCAAGCCCACAGCACAGGCATGCAGAAAGCAACCCTACGCTGTGTCACTGCGCCAGGCCCCGTTAGCAAATGTTAATCTGCTGGAGGAAAGCAATTGTATAACCAGCCTCAAAGCCAGGGGGAAACACCTTCCGGGTGTCCTGCTTCTCGGGGAGTAGGCTCCCCCAGCTCAGAGCAGCACAGAGCTCGGCTGAGAAGGAAGACACAGGACAGGGCATGTAAGGCCTCCTGACTGCCCCACAGGACCTTGGATCTCTATCCTTGGGTTGAGCTTTGGAGTCCCTGCGACCTAGAGCCTTCTGGAAAGGAGAGGCAGGAGAGGGGGCAGAGAGGTGGGGTGGATACGAGTCCAACAGACCTGAAGGAGGGTCCCTGTGCAGCCATAGATAAATCCCTTAACCTCTCTGAGCCTCCGTTTCTTCAAAGGTCAAAAGGAAGTAAGAGTATCTTTCTCCCAGCTGTTGTATCAGCTGAGATAATGGCTGTGAGTCACTTGTAGTGCTGGGCAGAAGTTCCTTGTTTTAATGACTATCACTATTATAATTAATTATAACAAGCATTGTGTTAATTATAACTAGCATTGTGTGTTCTTAAACTGAGTTACTCATTAGTTAGTTAACTGCAGTGAGCTGAGCCTCAAGGGACAAATGAAGTCTATTTGGGACGAGGGGCTCCTCCAGGCCTCACGCAGTGTCCTCTGAGGGTCAGGGCTAGTCATCCATAAAAGACGGGAACTGGACTGAAAGCACAGCCCAGCCCAGGGAGGTTCTGGGCCCCAGCCTCGCTTGCTTCCAGGTGAATTTCTGCTGCGTTCCCTGAGCTGACCTCACCTGCTTGTGGTTCTTCTTCAGGTAGACCAGGTCCTCCTTGAGGTTCTCAATCTGCATCTCCAGGTTGGCCCCGGCCAGGGTCAGCTTGTCCAGCCCCTGGGGCAGCTCCAGAGACCCAGCCTCACTTGGTGCAGAGGTCATCGGCAGCCAGGTGGGCATCATCCACCTGTAGCCAGCACGAAGCTGGAATTACCGACCACAGCCACCAGGATCTGGGAGAGACGGGGTCTCCATGAGAAAATGCCCTTGGCAGCCTCCAGGAGACCCTCCAACACCCTTCTTGCAGGCTTTTCGGAAGTGAGCCAGGGTGAGGGTGATGAGAGTCCCCATGGTCTTCTCTGAGCACCCCCCTGGGAACTTCTGGGGAGCCAGGGTGAGGGTGATGAGAGTCCCCGTGGTCTTCTCTGAGCACCCTCCTGGGAATTTCTGGGGAGCCAGGGTGAGGGTGATGAGAGTCCCCGTGGTCTTCTCTGAGCACCCTCCTGGGAATTTCTGGGGAGCCAGGGTGAGGGTGATGAGAGTCCCCGTGGTCTTCTCTGAGCACCCTCCTGGGAATTTCTGGGGAGCCAGGGTGAGGGTGATGAGAGTCCCCGTGGTCTTCTCTGAGCACCCTCCTGGGAATTTCTGGGACCCAGCCAAGGCCCTCAGGGGGTTAAAGGATGATGGGGGTAGGATGCCCAGGCATGGGTAAACATGGATGCCAGGAGAGAGACCCTTATGCAGCTGTCTCCCACCATGGGGGTCATGGCCTAAGCTGCCTAGGCCTCACTCCCTCTTCCCCAACTAAATTCACCTCTAGGCTCAGCTGCCACCTCCTCCAGAAAGCCCTCTTGGATTCCCTTTCTGCGTCTCTTTTCCAGATCATACCTCCTCCCTTCTCCAGGTTGTGAATTTATACCTATTTCTATGACTTTTTTGGTTATTTCCTCCTCCACTGGACTCTGAGCTCCAGGGAGACAAGGCCATGTCTGTTTCATTCTCTTTGGAATCCCCAGCCCTGGGCACAGTGCCCTGGCCCAGAGTTGGCCCCAAGGGTTCGTTAGTTTAATTAAGTGATTTGTTAATTAATTAATGAGGTTATGACTGGCCTCACCTCAAACCCAGGGCAAAGCTTTCTTTTCCCACAAGGTCATCTGGGCGGTTCCAATGCAAACACGGAGGGAGGGGCCCAGAAGGAGCAGAAGGTTGGTTGTGATTACTGCCGCTGTCATTGGCATGGTTGGAAATGCCCAAGAGGGTTTCCAATTGAGGCCATGGGCATGCACCAAAGAGTGAGGCCCCTCCAGCCACCCAGAGGTTGAAACACTTGTGAAGGCGGCACATGAGCGTGTAGAATCTGGAATTTGCTGAGGCTCAGGGCTGACTGCACATGACCTTAGAGGGATAAGCCCCAGGACACCCTAGTAGACCCTGCAGGCTCATCCTGTGCACCCCCTCCCCAAGACCCCACTCGAGGCCCTAAGTTCTGTGAAGTGACCCTGGGTCAAGCTGAGCTGAGGGCCAGTTTGTTCCCAGCACCCCCTCCTCTGCCTCAGTGGGCCCATCTGCATCCGGCAGAGACCCACCCAGCCCCCATCTCCTTGCTCGGGAGGCTTTGGGGGCACAGCGAGGGTCGGCTGTGAAAACACGGAGAGAATGCGTGTAGGGTGACTCGAGGCACAGCCCTGGTGCGTGCTGCGCGGCGGGGTTGGTGATGAGGTGCTGGCTGATCCCGAAGATCAGGAGCACTGACTCACCAGGGCTCCCCTGGGTTCCCCGCTGCCAGAACCAACCCCAATATCTGATCTGGCACTGCCAGTATTTCTGCTTCCAAGGGGAGATTGCAGGAATTCCCGCCTAGTGGAGGTCCCGGGCAGGAGCAGACAAAGCCCCTCGTAGGCAGCACCAGGCCTGGCTCTCCACCCAGGAAACTGAGCAGGCCTAACCACCAGGGCCAGCTGGGCCTAACCTGACTCCCGCCTGCCTCCCCTGGCTCCCCTGGCCCCCCTGGCCACCATACTCATCACTTGCACTCCTCACCTGCCACTGGTGGCTTTGCTCTGTAGGACCCTCCAGGGCAGGGTTTGTGCAGAAGACAAAGTGGCCATGTTTACAGAATGCCAAAGCCATGTTCTTAGAGGTCATGAGAGAGAGTGTGTGTGTATGTGTGTGTGTGTGTGGTGTGTGATGTGTGTGTGGTGTGTGGTGTGTGATGTGTGTGGTGTTTATGTGTATGTAGTATGTGTGTATGTGGTGTGTGTGGTGTGTGGTATGCATGTGGTGTGGTGTATATGTGTGTGTGGTGTGTATGTGTGTGTGAGATCTGTGTGTATTGTGTGTGTGGTGTGTATATGCGTGTGGTGTGTGTGGTGTGTGGTACATGGGTGGTTGTGGGTATATATGTGTATGGTGTGTGTGTAGTGTGTATGTGTGTGGTGCGTGTGGAATATGTGTGGCATGTGTGGTGTGGGGTGTGTGTGTGGTGTCTGTGTGTATGTGTATGTGTGTGTGGTGTGTGTGGTGAGTGTGTGTGTGATGTATCTATGGTGTGTATGGTGAGTATGTGTGTGGTGTGTGTGGTGTTTGTGTATGTGTGTGATGTGTTTGGAGTGTGTGTGTGGTGTTTGCGTGTGTCTGTGATGTATATGTGGTGTGTGCGTGATGTGTGTGTGGCGTGTATGTGTGTATGTGTATGGTCTGTGTGGTGTTTGTGTGTGTATATGTGTGTGATGTGTGTGTGCTGTGTGTCTCTGATGTGTGTGGTGTGTGTGTGGTGTGTGTGCGTGTACGTGCGCGTGTATGTGTGGTGTGTGTGGTGTGTATGTGTGTGATGTTTGTGTAGTGTGTGATGTGTATGAGTGTGTGTGTGGTGTGTGGTATGTTTGGGTGGGTGTGTATATGTGTTGGAGAGGGTGTGGGGGGTTTGGGGGGGTGTGTGACTAATATGTGTGGAGGGGGTGTTGGGGGTGTGGTGGGTATATGTGTAGGTGTGTGGTATGTGTGTGTGTATGTAGTATGTGTGTATGTGGATGTGCCTGTGAGCTATGTGTGAATGTGTATATAGGAGTCTTTTAGTGTGTGTGTATCGATCGGTGGGCATGCGCCTGTGTGTGAATCTGGGAGTGTGAGGTGTGAGTGGGGCGCGTGGCGTTTGGGGTAGTGTGTGATGTGTATGGTGTGTGGTGTTTGTGTGTGTGTACGTGTGTGCTGTGTGTGGTGTGTGTGTGGTGTTTCTGTGTGTGTATGTGTGTGATGTGTGTGGGGTGTGTGTGGTGTTTGTGTGTGTACGTGTGTGGTGTGTGTGTGGTGTTTGTGTGTATGTGTGTGATGGTGTGTGTGGTGTGTGTGGTGTTTGTGTGTGTGTATGTGTGTGTGTGGTTGTGTGTGGTGTTTGTGTGTATGTGTGTGCTGTGTGTGTGGTCAGTAAGGTTCTGCATGGTCTTTTCACCGCCCCCGCAGCAGGGCATCCGCCACGTCAACGCTGGAGCCAAAGCCCCCACCCAGGTTACAGGTGTAGCCACCGCTGTAGCCTCCCCCAAGTCCCACCAAGAAGCAGGAGGAGGTGACCGACATGTTGCCACAGCTGCTGACTCCCAGGAGGCTGGCGAAAGGCACCCCCAACACTGACAGATGACATCCAGGAGAAACCCCCGCCAGGTGTCCACAGGCCCTTGACAGAGCCAGAGGTGGAGAACTGGCAGATGCTGGTAGTGGTGACAACCAGGGTGTCCATGGGTCGGGTGAAGAGTCTGGTCTGGATGGAGACCCTGGGTAGCCCGTTACAGCCGGGCTGAAGTGGGGCTGGGACCCTGGCCCTTGAAGTTCAGGCCAAAACCCCAGGAGTGTATTTTGCCTCCTCCCACCCACCCAGGGCCTGGGGCTCAGGCTGGACATATTGAGAGCCTCCCCAAGGACCCCTCCATAGCAAGAGCCCAGCCTGAGCACCAGGGCCTCAGCGGTCTGTTCAGACACAAAGGTGGTGGCCAGGCACGGTGGCTCACGCCTGTAATCCCAGCACTTTGAGAGGCAGAGGCAGGTGAACCACCTGAGGTCAGGAGTTTGAGACCAGACTGGCCAACATAGCAAAACCCCATCTCTACTAAAAATACAAAAATTAGCTGGGCGTGGTGTCACGAACCTGTAATCCCAGCTACTCAGGAGGCTGAGGCAGGAGAATAGCTTGAACCTGGGAGGTGGAGGTTGCAGTGAGCCGAGATCACACCATTGCACTCCAGCCTGGGCAACAAGAGTAAAAATCTGTCTCAAAAAAGAAAGAAAGAAACAAAGGTGGTGCTGGTCTGTAGCCCTGGGGTAGGGTGACCCTCCATCCTCAGCCACAGTTAGGAGGCTGAGCTTATTCTTGTGGGGAGCCCGGAGAACCCAGCCCTGGGAGCCAGCACGGGCACAGGACAAGGCTGCACAGGCCAGGAGCCGGAGGCTGGCCTGGCCCCTCACCCAGCATTCCAGGGCCCTGGGGTAAGGGTGGAGAGATCGGGGCCTGACATCATTGCCCAGGTACAACGTGGCCCTGGTGGAGACTCCCAGTCAGAGGAGGCAGAATTAGCCTCTGACCTGTGGGAGCCCCACTCTCTTGGGATTCTTCCAAGTCCGCGGGGAGATACAGCCCACAGGTTCAAGGATCCCTGTGTCTGAGGGAAATAGACGTGGCCGCTGAACTGAGGGAGCTTTGGATCCAAGCCTTTCAGGAAGTCAGTTCTAGAGCCTCCGTTCCCTCGTTTGTAAAAGGGGGACCAAGTCTTGTCTCCCAAAGTCTTTGAGGGAATCTGGAGAGATAATGACGTCAGTAAGGCTCTAACAAAACAGGAAGCAGAGGTGGGGCTGGGAGCAGGGGTCTGAGGCCAAAGGGTTAGGGCAGCCTCCCTCCTCACCCGAACCTGAGCAATGTCAGTCCAGAGCAGTCCCGGAGGAGGGGAGGGCAGCCCAGGAAGGCCACAGAGGAGCAGGATCTGTGCAGGAGCCAGCGTCATGCCCCGAGGAACGGCCCCTGCAAAAGAGCAGCATGATCCGCAGGCTGGTGGCTGGCACCGCTCCACCCAACAAGGAGATTAGTATCCTAATCTCCGCGGCACTAATGATTTAGGTGCTGCCAGGACACCGGCGTCTGCACCAGGCCTGTCTGAATGTGGAGCTTCCCAGGGCAGCCAGGGCCCGCGGAACAGGAGAGGGGAGAGAAGTGCATGGGTGGCCTGGGCTCTCTGCCCGCATACGGGGACAGGGAGGGAGTTGGGTTTTCCATGTGGCCCAGAGCTCCCAGATGAGACCACACTGCTGGAAAGACTTCCTGCTCAGATAGTGGGTGGTCTCTCACGGAAAGTGCCAGCTGGGGACTGTGCCAGCTGGGAATGGCAGGAGCTATCTGGAAGAGAGCGGTTGAGCCCTGATTTTACTGCTCCCGCCCAGCCTGTGAAGGTGCTGGGCGGGGATGGGGGGAGGTTCAAAACCAAGGCTAGAGAGCAAGGTCAGACCACCATGAGCACGAGGTTAGACATCTGGAAGGACTTCCTGGCAATCCAGGACTGTCTTCGGGGAGGAGAGAGACCCAGTAAAACCCGTGCTCACCTGAGCCGCCAGAGTCAAGACTGCACCAGCAGGCACTCACACACGAAGAGACACGAAACCAAGACCCTCCCCATCCCCATCCTCTCCTAACAACCCCTCCCTTCCCAGGCCCCATCCTCCCCTAGGCCAGCTGGGCTACCCAGGTGGGCCTCACTCTGGGCTCACAAAAGGGACTGCCCCGCCTTCCAGCAGCAAATGTGGGGCAAAGCCAGGGCCCTAGGGAGGGGGCCAGGTCGTGGGGTGCCACCACCCCTCTGCCTCCCCGTAGAGCCCACACCGCCAGTGCTCACCCTGCCTGGGAACCCCACTTCCAGAGTACCCAGACCTTAGTCTTGAGGCCCAATTTGAAGGAGCAGAGAGTTTATTACTCTTCTTTCTGCCTCTAAAATCACCAAGGCCTCCAACCCCCAATACCACCATTTAGCCCCCACAAGCTTCCTCACCCCTGACAGGCTTTGGGCCGCGAGCCTGCTCCTCTTCCTCTCTGGGCCTCAGTTTCCCCACGCCACTGACCCCCCCCCCAGGCCCCTTTGCTACTGCTCGTTAGAGGCTCTACTGCCTGTGAATCCCCCTCTAGCCCCCAACCCAGAGAAGCCTCACATGCTGAGGACAGGCCGGGCCAGCTGGGCCAGCCGGGCAGGAGGGCACAGCTCAGATCTCAGCAGAGATAGAAGTGGGACCCCAGGAAGGCCTCCCTGGCCCTCCAGAGCGTGGGGCCACTCCCTGGCCAGGGCTAGGAAAATGCAAACATTCCTCCTGAGACCCTCACAACAGTGCCTTGAGGACACCAAGACACAGGGTGCTTGAGCAGCGGGCAGTCGGGCAACCCAATGTTGGCATCAGAGCCGGGCCTGAAGCCAGGGCCTCGGCAGCTCCCACTCTCCCAGCCAGGGAGGAAGGCTTGACAGGGGCCGGCTGGAGGGCCACACAGAGGTCCTCTGGGCTGTGGCACATCCTGTCTGGGCCTGTCCTCCACCCCCAGCAGGGAGAGATCCCTGGCACCCGCAAGGGGCAGCCCAGGCCTGCAGCCCCGGCAGCGGCAGCAGCTTGGCCCCCATGGAAGACAAAGGGGTAAAGAAGGAGAGGTCCAATGGCTCTTCCAGCCCCAGAGGCTGCTGGAGCCCAGCGCAGGTGGGAGAGGGGGAGGCCCAGGGAGGTGGCTGGGAGAACTTGAAGCTTCCCCCAGTGCCCTGGGTGCCAGCCCCACCTTGACTCCCCCTCAGTCTCCTCTGCAGAGAGTGCAGAAAAGCCAGCATGCTGGAGAGCGCAGCACAGACAGGACCTGCCTGGAATTTGAGCAGAGCTAGGGTTTGGGGACAGTGTCCCCTAATATCACCCCTACTATGTTGTGGGGAGGCAGAGGGCGTAGAATGATCTGGGGCCCTATGGAAAGGAGATGTTCAATAGATGCATTTTTTTTTACTTTAAATAGAGATGGGGTCTCACTATATTACCCAGGCTGGTCTCAGGCTCCTGGGCTCAAGCAGTCCTCCTGCCTCTGCCTCCCAAAGTGCTGGGATTATAGGAGTGAGTCACCACGCCCAGCCAATAGATGCATATTGATATTGACAAGGTTGACAAGGTCTGGACAGGATCAGTGGCTCACACCTGTAATCCCAACACTTTGGGAGGCCGAGGCAGGCAGATCACTTGAGGTCAGGAATTTGAGACCAGCCTGGCCAACATGGTGAAACCCCGACTCTACTGAAAATACAAAAATAAGCCAGGCGTGGTAGTACCTGTAATCCCAGGTAGTCAGGAGGCTGAGGCAGGAGAATCGCTTGAACCCGGGAGGTGGAGGTTGCAGTGAGCTGAGATCGTCCCACAGCCCTCCAGCCTGGGCAACAGAGCGAGGCTCCATCTCAAAAAAACAAAAGAAAAAACAAAAAGACAAGGTCATGCCCCGTCTGCCCAGCTGGCCTTGGCTCCTACGAGCCCCCGCAAGGATTAACTGTCAACCCTTAGGATGGTGCCCACCCCATACCCCACACCCCTGCCCAGAACCAGCGCGGGCTGTATGCAGCAGGTGCTCTGTGAGTGCTTGCTGAATTGTTAGGGTCATGGAGCCTGAGCAGTGACTGGGGAGGAGACAAGGTCCCAGGAAAGGGACATGGCCACCTACCCTTCCCCTCAAGGAAAAGGGTCAGTATCAGGTGGTCAGGGAAAGTGAGAGGCCCTGGAGCCCAGAACGGGCTCCCAGCTGAGACCTTGGCTTCGCTGATGAGGAGAGAACCCCAGAGACCCTCATTCCACCCCTAGTCCCCTGTCACTAAGACCCACTGGGGTCCTTTCCATTCACCCCTCAGACACAGAGCCCCTGTCACCTGCAGGGCCCTTGGAGGTCACAGATCTCCTGCCCCTCGCTCACCCCCAGGCACTCCCACCCCTGGCCCAGCATCGCCTGAGAAGTGCACCCTCACCCAGCCACACCTGCCGCCTCCACAGGTGGAATCCTGCTTCCTCTATTCTGTTTCCTGCCTCTATCCTGAGGCCCCAGGCGGCCCCACCCAGATCCTCCCACCCTCCACCTTCCCAGGGCCCTGGGAGATTCGGAACATTGCTGGGTGCCCTGAGCCTCTGCCCCAGTTTGAAGAGACAGAGGTAAGGGGATCCCCCAGCACCCCCTGTATACCCAGGGCTTGGCCAGGGGCTCCCCTACCCAGGGGTAAGTGGACCCAGCCTTTCTTCCCCTCTGCACCCCTCACTCACCTCTGACTGGTTTCCAGGAACTGTCAGCCTGTGGCGGATCCAAGACGTAGGATACGGACACCCAGGAACACCCCACCCTTCCAGGCAGCACATCAGCTGTCCAGGGGCCCTTCCCAAAAGAGGGCCTAGAGGACTGAATGCCTCGGATGAGGCCCAGGGCGGGAGGACAGAGCAAGGGAGGGAGGGAGGGAAGGCTGGGGACCAGTGGGAATGAGTGGGGAGGACATCACGGACAGGAAACCCAGGCCTCGGGGGTCACCCGTGGGACACCTCACTGCCTCTCACAGGGTGAAGACTCCTGTGAGAGGAGTCTTGACCAGACGGCTTCGTCCCTCTGTCCTTCCCTCTGTCTTTCCCTCCCTCTGCCCTTCCCTCCCTCTTTTTCCTCCCTCTTTTCACTTCCCCCACCGCTTCCTTGGCCTGAGAGATGCATAGGGGTGAGTGAGAGGCAGAAACTCCAGTGGGTTCCCCTTTCAGGCTCACACCCCCTCTCCACTCTGCCCTGCAGCCTGGCTGAGGGCAACCTGAGGGCCTGGGGAAATGGGAGTCAGAGACACCAAGGGGACTCCAGGCTCCTTCCCACCCTGCAGACCCCAAACCCCCAGCTGCACCTCCCTCCCCGACCCAGCTACCAGCTCGCTCCTCCCTCCCTGCGCCCTGGGGAGGCTGGTTTCTCCCTGTTGATGAGCGCTCATTCGCGCCTGCTCTGCAATGCTCTTGAGTGGCTTTCTCCAGGGGCAGATGAGGCCAGGCTCCCCAAAACAGAGACTGTGTCTCTTCCCTTAAATTGGACACTTCCTCAAGGTAGCAGCCATGTCTCCCCCTCAGATTGGGGGCTCCCTTGACATAGGAGCTCTTTCTCCCTGATGTGAAGGGGGTCTCTCAACTCCTTGTCCTGGTGTTGACCACCCAGCCCACCACAGTGTGACACACCTGACTGACCAACAAGGGAGGAGAAGCAGGGCAGGGAGCACTGAGGGAGGAGGACCAGGGCAGGGAGGACTGCTGGAGGAGGAAGAGGGGACGGAGGACTAGGTAGGTAAGACCAGCGGAAGGAGGACCAGGGGAAGGGCATGAGGAGAGGGAGGACTAGGGTAGGAAGACCAGGGGAAAGAGGACCAGGGGAGGAGGACTGGGGGAGGGAGGACCAGCAGAGGAAGGGCTATGGGAGAAGAACCAAGGGAGAGAGGACTAGGGGAGGGAGGACCAGGGAACGAGGACCAGAGCAAGCCATCATCTATCCTTTCCAAGGGCAAAACAGGAGAACAGGGCAGGAGCATTCCTTTGCAGAGGCCTGGGCTCCATGGAGTGTTCTGCCTGAGCCCCAGCCCGCCATACAGGCCTGCTTCCTCCATCCAGGAAGCTGAGCTGCCCTCCAGCCAGCCAGGAGCAAGCTCCCTCCACTAAACTCCTGCAGCACTGTGGTCCCTGCCATCTCTGCCTCAGAACCCAGGGTCCCTGGGAGCCTTGTTATTGAGTGTTTCTGGTTGACGCACTTTTTTCAGCAAAGTTTCATGGAGAGGGACCAGAGTTTCTAATCTTCACAACCACAGGGTCAGGCATTGTGTTAGCTATGATCACACTCTATGATGTCATGCAAAGAGCTCCAAGTCCAAGAACCTGGGGTCAAATCTGGACTCTTGCCCAACTTGGGCAAGTCATTTTTCTTCTTTTAGGCTCAAACCCTCCTCCTCTGCAGAATGAAAGGACTAGACTTTTTTTTTTTTTTTTGAGACGGAGTTTCACTCTTGTTGCCCAGGCTGGAGTGCAATGGCTTGATCTCGGCTCACTGCAACCTCCGCCTCCTGGGTTCAAGCGACTCTCCTGCCTCAGTCTCCAGAGTAGCTGGGATTACAAGTGCCCACCACCGCGCCCAGCTAATTTTTTCTATTTTTAGTAGAGACTGGGTTTCACCATGTTGGCCAGGCTGGTCTCAAACTCCTGACCTCAGGCGATCCACCCACCTCAGCCTCCCAAAGTGCTGGGATTATGGGTGTGAGCCACCAAGCCCAGCCAGGACTAGACTTTTGTAACAAACTCTTCATGAGATTAAATGAGTCAATATGTAGCTGTCACAGGCCTTGTAGTAACTAGTGATTCAATAAAGCTTCGGTGACTCCAAAAGCTGGCTGGGCAAAGCCTCCCTGCCATGAGAAGTCATCCTGCCCTGCCTGTGGTAGGCAGAATAATAAACCCCAAATATGCTGGGTGCGATGGCTCAAGCCTGTAATCTCAGCACTTTGGGAGGCCGAGGTGGGCAGATCACGAGGTCAGGAGATGGAGACCATCCTGGCTAACACAGTGAAACCCTGTCTCTACTAAAAACACAAAAAATTAGCCGGGCGTGGTGGCGGGTGCCTGTGGTCCCAGCTACTGGGGAGGCTGAGGCAGGACAATGGTGTGAACCTGGGAGGCGGAGCTTGCAGTAAACCAAGATCGATCGCGCCACTGCACTCCAGCCTGGGCGACAGAGCGAGACTCCGTCTCAAAAAATAAAAGCTAAAAAATAATAAACCCCAAATATGTCCATATCTGAATCCCCAGAACCTGGAAATATGCACCTTATAGGGCAAAAAGGACTTTGCGGATGTGAGGCTGTGGTTCACAAGGGATCTTAACAGGAAGGAGACAGGAGTCAATGCCCGAGAAGGAGACATAACCAGAGAAGCAGAGGTCAGACTGACGCGCGGCCCTGAGCCAAGGAGTGCGGCAGCCTCCAGAAGCCGAAAAAGGCAAGGAACAAGTCTCTCCTGGAGCCTGCAGAAGGAACACAGCCCTGCTGACACCTCAGTCTTAGCACCCTAAGACCCATGTTGGACCTCTGGCTTCAGAATTGTAAGAGGATAAATGTGTGTTGCTTTAATCCCCCAAGTTTTTGATAATTTGTTACAGCAGTAATGGAAAATGAACGCACTCCCCTAGCTCATTCTAGCACCAGAGGTGCTAGCCTCTCACACTCGTGTTAGAATTATTGGGAGGCGGGGCCAGGCGCAGTGGCTCACGCCTGTAATCCCAGCACTTTGGGAGGCTGAGCCAGGTGGATCACCTGAGGTCAGGAGTTCAAGACCAGCCTGGCCAACATGGTGAAACCCCATCTTTACTAAAAATACTAAAATTAGCCAGGTGTGGGCCGGGCGCGATGCCTCAAGCCTGTAATCCCAGCACTTTGGGAGGCCGAGGCAAGTGGATCACGAGGTCAGGAGATCGAGACCATCCTGGCTAACACAGTGAAACCCCATCTCTACTAAAAAACAAAAAAAAATTAGCCGGGCATGGTGGCGGGCGCCTGTAGTCCCAGCTACTCAGGAGCCTGAGGCAGGAGAATGGCATGAACCTGGGAGGCGGAGCTTGCAGTGAGCCGAGATCGCGCCACTGCACTCCTGCCTGGGAGACAGAGCAAGACCCCGTCTCAAAAAAAAAAAAAAATTAGCCAGGTGTGATGGCAAGAGCCTGTAATCCCAGCTACTTGGGAGGCTGAGGCAGGAGAATCACTTGAACCCAGGAGGCGGAGGTTACAGTGAGCTGAGATTGTGCCACTGCACTCCAGTCTGGGCAACAAAGCAAAACTCCATCTCAACAACAGCAACAAAAAAAAAGAATTACTGAGAGGCGGATCTGCTCCCCTTCTCAATTGATAATCCTTTACAGCCAAAAGGTGGTTTTCTGTTCATCTTTGGACCTACTACAAGGTCTGACTCAGTGCTTCGTACACAGTAGTTGCCCTATTGATGCTTGCTGAATGGACGCAGGCAGTAAGAGCCCAGAGTTGGATTTCATTCAGCACCTAATTGTTGGGTTCATTGTGTGCAGTCACAGAGCTGGGTGCTCAGAATTCAGTACTGAGTCAGCCAAGCCCTGCCCTTAGTGAGAGCAGGCCGTGAGTGAGACACACACAAAACAGTTCAGTGCAGCGCAATGTTACTCGTGCAGTGACAAAGGTATGTGTGTACAGGCACCTTGGGAGGCCCAGGGAGGGAGCAACTCATTCAGACCAGGCCTCGGAGGATAGTTTCACAGGGAGGGACAGCAAAGCTGGGTTTCGAAGCCAGGGCAGCACTTTGCCAGGCTGAGAAGACAAGGTGGAAAATCGTCCAGGTAGACACGGGAATGCACCTGGTGTGTTTGGGGAACACCCAGAGACCCATAGCTGCATCAGCATTTCCAGGGGGATGCAGTAGGAGTGCTATGGAAAATGGATCTTGCAAAGAAACGCATTTCTTTATCTCCTGTTAGTTGAGCACCTACTCTGTGCCAGGTACTGTCTCAGTCTCTGGGAATAAACACCACAAACCACATTTTTGCTCTCGTGGAACAGACATTCTAGCAGGAGAAATGGGCAATCAACAAACCAGTGGATGGTCCATTCTCCAAGGAAATACAAAGGGGACTATGAGTGCTTCGAGAGGCTGGGGAAGGCCTCTCCCAGGTGACAGTTAAGGGGGGAACTGAACTATGTAAAGAGCCAGCCACGTGCAGGGAAGGACACTCCAGGCTGAGGTGACAGTTGGTCCAAGGGCCCTGAGGCTGGACCGAGGTATTCCGTTCTGGGGAACAGAAAGAAGAGCCTGTGTGGCTGGGGTGGAGTGGGCAAAGGAGAGAGTCAAGCCACATCAAGTCAGGAAGGGACAGGGCTGACCCTCAGAGCAGAGGTTCTCATCCCTGATGTATAGGGAGGTTCTCATCCCTGATGCACAGGGGCCTCTTAAGGCCCCTGTGGTGCTCTTAAGAGCAGAACTGAGAACCGTGATCCACAGCCCCATGGGCCTGGGAGCCTCATGTCTTCGACAGACAGTTTTTGTTTGCTTGTTGCACTGCAAACTTCTCAGAGCTTGGAACAAGCCAATGCACAGTGTGATGCTGTGTTTCCCAAATTCATATGGACATGGAGCCACTTCCAGGAGAAGCAGGTGGAGCTAGGGTTCCTGGGACACCATTTTGGAAATCTCTGGGCCAATTCATAGGTCATACAAGTGGAAGAAATGACTGGGACAAAGGTTGAAAAGGAAGACCACCATGACAGGGTGCTGAAGAGTTTGGACTTTATCCTGTATTAATAGGGAGTCATCCAAGCATGGTTGTGTGCTGTTTTGTTCTTAATGTGTCTATTTATATAGATTTTAATCAAACAAAAGGGATATTATCGATATCTCCAATGCTTCGGTCTCCCAGTTAATAATATCTCTTGGAAAGCCACCTCATTCTTTTTAATCCGTCATGACGATGAGCTATAATTTATCTACTTCGTCCCTGACAACAACCTCTCTGGTCTCCAAGGCTTTTTGCTTTTCCAAGCAATAGTGTCATAAACCTCCCTGGATGTAAAGCATGGTGAACTTTTGCAAATACATCTTCAGGGGAAAGTTTAGCAGTGGGATGACTGGGTTAAAGGGTAAATCCTTTTATACTTCGAGAGCCACTGCCAAATTTTCTTCCAGAGTAAAATGAAATGATACTTGGAGTTTGCTTTAAAGTATTCTTACTTCTTCCATAAAAACTGGCAGCGGGAGAGAGAAGAAATCAAAATGGCATCATGTTGACAATTATCAAAACCGGGTGATGGGCATATGGGAGCTCATTTTGCTATTCTCTCTACTTTTGTGTACATCTGGAATTTTCCACAGTTAAAAAAAAAGTCACCTTGAAAAGTTCTACAAATTATCACTTGCCCTAATCATGACTAAGAATATCTTTCCCCTTATACATCTACTAGCAATGACACCATCAAAGTTTGTTTGTTGTTGTTGTTTTCCTTTTTTTATCTTTTTTTTTTTTTTTTGAAATGGAGTTTTGCTCTTGTCACCCAGGCTGGAGTGCAATGGCATGATCTCGGCTCACTGAAACCTCTGCTTCCTGGATTCAAGTGATTCTCCTGCCTCAGCTTCCCAAGTAGCTGAGATTACAGGCACCCACCACCACACCCTGCTAATTTCTGTATTTTTAGTAGAGATGGGGTTTCACCATGCTGGACAGCTGGTCTCGAACTCTTGACTTCAAGTGATCCACCTGCCTCAGCCTCCCAAACTGCTGGGATGACAGGTGTGAGCCACTGCACCCGGCCTTTCCTTTTTTTTTTTTTTTTGAGATAGGGTCTCATTCTGTCACCAAGACTGGAGTGCAATGGTGTGATCACCACTGATGGCTCACTGCAGCCTTGAACTCGTAGGCCCAAGTGATCCTCCCACCTCAGCCTCCCGAGTAGCTCAGACTACACGTGTGTGCCACCATACCTGGCTAATTTTTGCATTTTTTGTAGAGATGAGGTCTCACAATGTTGCCCAGGCTGGTCTCAAACTGCTGGGCTCAAGCTATCCTCCTGCCCTGACCTCCCAAAGTGTTGGGATTATAGCTGTGAGCCACCATGCCTGGCCCTTTTGTCTTTCTTCATAGTTGAAACAGATCTCTCTGTTGCTTCAGTTTCCGTTTATTTAATTATGAGTAAAATTGAACTTCTGTTGTAGTTTGAATGTATCCCCCAAAGTTCATGTTTTGGAAACGTAATCTCCAATGCAATACTGTTGAGAGATGGGACCGTTAAGAGGAGATTAGGTCACAAAGGCAGAGATTAATGGCCTTATAGATTAATGCCATTACCAGGGGAGTGGGTTAGTTATTGCAGTTATGGAGGGAGTGGGTTCCTGATAAAAGGATGAGTTTGGTCCCCTTCCTTCTCTGTCTCTCTCTCTCCCCCCACTCCCCTCTCTACCCTTCCACCTCCTGCCATGGGATGCTGCAGCATGAAGGCCCTCGCCAGATGCAGCCCCCTAACCCTGGACTTCCCAGCCTCCAGAATTCTCAGAAGTAAATCTCTCTACTCTGTTAAATCACCCAGTCTCAAGTGTTCAGTTAGAGCAGCACAGAACAGACAAAGACCACATCCTTCCCTATATTTCGTGGTTGCTTCTTGTTCTCCTTCTTGTTTCTTAGGAACTGGCTGTTCCTATCCTTTGCCTATTCTTGTCTGCAGTCTTGGCCTTCCTGGTTTGTGTGAGCTTTTCATAAACATGGGAAGAGGCCTTGGCACAGGTGTTGTGAATGCATTTTCCCAGTTACTTTTTCATTTTCCAACTTTGTTTTTCGGTCTTTCTCCATACAGACAATTCCCTCAGGCCACATTCCTTCCTTCTTTTTCCTGTGTCTGGGCATCGAGTAGTTTGAAGGAGCTCTCTTTTGTGGCAGTGTGAATGCTGGATAGAGCAGAACTGGCCTCAGGGCTGAAGTGGTGGCCTGGGAGAGAGTTGTGAGGTGAGGATGGGACACCATGGCCAACAGGGAGCCAGGCCTGAGCTGGGAACAGCAGGATGACTCTGCATTTTCTGAGCTGAGTAACTGGGTGGGTGATGATGTCACTGACTAGGATAGGGAAGCTAGGACAAGCGGAGTTCACGGAAACACAGCAATTCCCCTCTATGGGGCACGTCTCACCCTATGTGGTTACACCTGCTTGTATACCTGACTCCCCTTCTAGACATGGGACAGGGACCCTGCCTCCTTCTCTCTGTCCCTGGAAATGGCCATAGCAAAGAGTGCCCAATAACTGCAGATATGAATAAATGAATGAACAAATTAATAAATGAATGGCTCCAGCACTTTGGGAGGCCAAGACGGGCAGATCACTTGAGGCCAGGAGTTCGAGAACAGCCTGGCCAACATGGCGAAACCCTGACTCTACTAAAAATACAAAAATTAGCCAGGTGTGGTGGCACATGCCTGTAATCCCAGCTACTCGGGAGGCTGAGGCAGGAGAATCGCTTGAACCCAGGAGATGGAGGTTGCAGCAAGCCAAGATCACACTGCTGCACTCCAGACTGGGAGAGAGAGCCAGACTCTGTCTCAAAAAATAAAATATGTCCGGGTACGGTGGCTCACGCCTGTAATCCCAGCACTTTGAGAGGCTGAGGCGGGCAGATCATAAGGTCAGGAGATCAAGACCATCCTGACCAACATGGTGAAACCCCGTCTCTGCTAAAAATACAAAAATTAGCTGGGTGTGGTGGGACGTGCCTGTAATCCCAGCTACTCAGGAGGCTCAGGCACGAGAATCACTTGAACCCAGGAGGTGGAGGTTGCAGTGAGCCGAGATCGTGCTACTGCACTCCAGGCTGGCAACAGAGTAAGACTCCATCTGAAAAATAATAATAGTAAATAAAAATAAAATAAAATAAATGTTGCTGGGTGCAGTGGCTCACACCTGTAATCCCAGCACTTTGGAAGGCCGAGGCGGGTAGATCACCTGAGGTCAGGAGTTCGAGACCAGCCTGACCAACATGGAGAAACCCCGTCTCTAGTAAAAATACAAAAAATTAGCCGGGCGTGGTAGCGTATTCCTGTAATCCCAGCTACTCTGGAGGCTGAGGCAGGAGAATCGCTTGAACCCAGGAGGCAGAGGTTGCACTGAGCCAAGATCACACCATTGCACTCCAGCCTGGGCAACAAAAGCGAAACTCTGTCTCAAAAAATAATAATAAAATAAAATAAATTTTAATTTATTTTAAATAATTTAAAATTTATAAATTAAATTTTATAATTTTATATTATAAACAGATTTAATTATTTAAATATAATTACAAATAAATATATAATTAAAATTTAATAATTTTAAAATAAATTTAATTTAATTTAATTTAAAAATCAATGAGTAAATGGCTTGAGTGTGTGGTCCCTCTGTCCAGGTGGAGATGCTGGGAGGTGGAAGGCAGAATTCACAACCGAAGGGATTTTCTCCTCCCTAGTCGCCTCCCCCAGTAGTTGATGGCGGCTGCCACACCTCAAGCCAAGCAGGGGACCTGGCAGTGTTCACCCGCCAGCTGCGTGAACGCCCGTAACTCTTTACGGCAGAAGACCAAGGGTGCGTCTGGTCCTCAGAACTGCAGGATGCACCGGCAGCGATGGAGAAGCCTCCTTGGATGAGGCAGGGTGAGGAAGGAGACCAGACAAGCAAGTCCTCCTCCCAGAGGCAGGGACAGGAAGCAGGAGCAAGGGGCCACCAGGGAAGCTGCAGGGGCTAGAACCCAGGGAACTTTCTAGAAAGGCTAGCTGGCCCTAACAGACCCCTGGCCTGGAGGAAGACCTCCAGGGCAGGTTAGGCGGGCCAGTCACATCTCCGGGGGTGATTTAAAAGGCACCACCTTGGGACAAAAGGATGGAAGCATTGACCAGACAAATGCCTGACCCGGCAGCAGCAGAAAAGGATGCATGGAACCCTGTGGGGTTCCCACCTCATGAGGTCGTCTCTCCTCATTCTTGTGCTCGGTGGCTCCCAAGGGGCAGGCTCTAGTGCTCCCCATGGAGACCCCAGGCCCAGCCGCCTTCCAAGGCTCATGCCCTGTTAAACGGGGACACGCTCCGGCCGCCCGGGATCCCCAAATCTGTAGCAGGAGCGCCCTCTGCTGGCCATCTTGGGTGGCGCCTCTGCGCTGCAGTCCCGAGAGGAGCCCGCGAGGCCGCGGGAGGAATGCAGGGACCCTGGAGACCCATCCTCCACCTGCGCTCTGCAAACTACTCCTTCTCCCCCAGGGTCCTGGCTCCTCCTCGCCATCTTCAGCTTCACCGTCTCTAGTCCCTTAACAGCCAGAGCACCAGGCCCCGGCTGGGCCGTGTGTCCATGCCTCTGCCTCCAGGCGCATGGACACAACATTCCCTTCTGAAGCTGGCCTGCGCTGTGTATCACCCCCTATCCCCCATCCCTCCATCTCAAAAAAGCCCTTCCCTGCCTTTGGCACGTGTCCCTCCCCCACGCCCACCCGCTCAAGTCCCTCTGTTAATAAACTGCTAACCCCAAAACCAGCCTTCCCTCCAGCTTGCCCGGCCCCGAGTCTGAGGGTCCCTGGAGCAGACACGCTCCACCCGCGGGGACCTCTCCCTCCTGTCAACTCCTGAGGAGCGGCAGCGGCTTCTGGGCTTCCCACGCGGGGTGTGACACCAACGGGGGACATAATACAAACGAACGAGGGTAAAGTCCGTGTGCACACCTGTGCATGGCCACATGCGGATGTGCGTCCAGGCGTGCCTTGCAGGTGTGTGGGCAGTGACTGCGCCCACCCCTCTGTCGGGTCTCGCCACGCTTAGCTGGGTGGGCTCCTTCCAACCCAGGCTGGGGCTGAGCAGGAGGAAGCCGCGGCCTCGCCCCCAGAGGGCAGCACTGAGCTGTTCTGGCCCGACTGCTGCCAGACTCTACCCGGAGAGGAGTCCTGAGTTTCCCCGTCCAGGGCCTGGGGGAAGGACTTCAAATCTGTAAAGGAAAGCAAGGAATCAAATCCCAAATCCAGGCTAGCGGTTACACTGCGGGCAGAGCGCGAGGCGCACATCGAAGCTAAAATGTCCAAAATTGGGCAGTGGATTCACGGATGTTTGTTGTGCTTTTATTCTTTTTTTGTTTTTTTCTTTTTTTTTTTTTTTTTTTTTTTTGAGGTCGAGTTTCACTCTTGTCGCCCAGGCTGGAGTGAAATGGGGTGATCTCGGCTCACTGCAACCTCCACCTCCTGGGTTCAAGCGATTCTCCTGCCTCAGCCTCCCAAGTAGCTGGGATTACAGGCGCCTGCCACCACGCCCGGCTAATTTTTGTATTTTTAGTAGAGACAGGGTTTCACCATGTTGGCCAGGCTGGTCTCGAACTCCTGACCTCAGGTGATCCGCCCACCTCGGCCTCCCAAAGTGCTGGGATTACTGGCGTGAGCCACAGCGCCCGGCAGTGCCTTCATTCTTAAATCCTACACATATTTTGTAAATATTATTTTGAATCTATTCAGTATTACTCTTTTCAAAATAAAGGCCTCCGAGCCCTCTCTAGAATGTGGAAAGACCACTCATCGCTCAGTGGAGCAAAGTGAGCCTACAAGCTCCCCAGATCGCCCCCAGAACCCCCAGAATGCAGAGGGCTCTGAGTGTCTCTGGGGTTGCCTGTGGCTTTGGGGAAGGGGAGAGCCTGGACCCAGGCTTCTTTACCGCCCGGAGTCCCGGGTCAGCACTCCTGCAGGATAAGCCACACATCGACACGCAGCTCACACACACACACACACACTTCCAGATTCATACACAGGTGCATGCTCACAGGTTGACACACACATGCTCAAAGACTCATACACACACGTTCACACATAGCTCACATGCACATACACACACACATTGAGACTCTCAGACACACACAGACTGATACACGTACATTCACACACAGCTCATACGAACATTTACACTCTCAAATTCACACACAGGCACATGCTCACAGGCTGACACACACTCAAAGACTCATATACACACATTCACACACAGTTCACATGCACACTCACACTCCCAGATTCACACACAGGCGCATGCTCACAGATCGATACACACACACTCAAAGACTCCTATATACACATTCACACATAGCTCACAGGCACATCCACACACACACATTGACACTCTCAGACATGCGCACACACAAAGACTCACACACACACGTTCACACACAGCTCACACACACACTCCCAGATTCACACACAGGCGCATGCTCACAGATACACACTCAAAGACTCATATACACACATTCACACACACATTGACACTCTCAGACACATGCACACACAAAGACTCACACACACGTTCACACACAGCTCATACACACACTCACACTCCCAGATTCACACACAGGCACATGCTCACAGGCTGACACACACTCAAAGACTCATACCCATTCACGTGCCGCTCACATGTACATTCACACACATACACTGACATTCCCAGACTCACACACACCAGCACATGCTCACAAACTTCCCCATACTCACAAACTTCCCCATACTCACACTCACACTCATAGACTCATGTCCACACTGTCACCCACTCATGGACACACGCGCAAACTTTCACATTCACACAACCTCTCACGGGTACACACCTTACACACTCACACAAAGACGCCATTGCCACTCTGGCCTGTTAATCTTACATCCTCATCAGGAAAGAGGAGGGGCTTGTATCCTCCCTGATTGCAAGAGAGATTTCTAGAATGTTCCCAGGAGACCCCAGTCCCAAGGTAGAGGGATATTCCTCCTGGACTGGAGGAAGCAGAATCGGGGCCAGGACTGGGCCTCAGAGGAACTCCCCGGGCTTCCTGTACCCACTCACTAGCTCATCCTCTCACTCCCCAGCCCATACGTGGGAGAGCCTGACCTGGGGACATGACAGGGGACACACAGCAGGCCCTGATCTTGGGGAGCTCCTGGACCTCACGAGACACCGTGGAGACCTGTGCAGGCTGGCCTGTGGGAGTGCCCATGAGGGGTCCCTGACCCAGCCTCAAGGCAGGACAGGTGGGGAAAGGATCTGAGCAGGTCCAGCACAGCAGGAGACACAGGAGATGCCGGCCTTCCAGGCAGGGTGATGGGCACATGCCATGGCAGGGGGCACCCTCAGGGAAGCATGAGATGTCCCAGGCCAGGGGAGCTGGCTGGAAAGGCAGGGGGTGGGGGCTGGGCCTGGCAAGGTGAGCAGGGGCCCACCTGGGAGAGGCCCACCTGGGAGAGGCCCTGCGTGCCACACGAGGGAGCGGGGCCTTGCTCCTGAAAGCCACAGGGAGCCCTGATTAACTGCACAGGACAGGAGAGGACACAGCTGCTCTGCAGAGGCACACAGCTTGTACCCAAAACCTGCAGGAGGGCAGGTGGTCCTCAGCCTCCATTCCAGGAGCAGAGCAGGCCCAGGAGCCCACCACTGGTCCAGGGAAACCCCCCACAGGTACAGCCACGTTCTTCCCTGATTCATCACAACGAGGCCCCTGTAAGTGACAGAGGGTCGGTCTGTGCAGACCTGGAAACACACGGCCCCAAGACCTGGGATCCTGAAGAAGCAGTGCCAGCTCCTCCCAGACAGCCCGCCCCAGCTGGCCCGCTGGCTCCAGCCCAGCCAGGAGCGAGGGCAGTGGGGGAGCCCCACAGGAGGGAACGGGGGCTCAGGAGGCCTGGTGGGGCAGAGCTGGGACAGCTGGGCGAAGGGGCTGGGTCCTGGCTCCGCGACGAGGGCCCATTCCTGGGTGAGGGAGGGTGGGGCAGCCCACACATTCCAGCTGCTGCCGCTCCCGCCAGCCAGTACCAGCCTGTTCTCGCCTGTTCCCACTAGGTCCCAGGCTGCCCTGGGCCCAGCTCCCAGTGCCAGCTCCCAGAATCCTTCAGGGTTCAGACTCTAACTACAGGGACGCCAGTGCGAATGTCCAGAAGACCACCCCACAGAAACAAGTGCCTCCCCCACCAACACACATGCACACACACACCCCACCAACACACACACACGCATGCATGCACACACACTACCACCAACCAACACACATGCACACACACAAACACACACCCTACCAACACACACACACACCACCAACACACGCATGCACACACACTACCACCAACCAACACACATGCACACACATACACAGACACACACCCTACCAACACACATGCACACACATACACACACCCCACCAACACACACGCATGCACACACATACACACACATACACACACACTGCACACACACCCCAACACACATGCATGCACACACACATGAACCCCACCAACACACATGAACACACACTCACATCCCAGCAACACATGTCTGCACACATGCACACACACACGCCATCAACACACATGCACATACACACACACAAAGCCATCCTCAACCACAGGACACAGACACAGAGCAGGGTTTTCAGGAGCTGAGGCACTTCCTTCCACTGCAGGCAGCACCCAGCCAGGACAAAGTTCTATCCTCTTGCCACAAGGCCCTGGACAGAGAAGCAGGGAAAGCAGCCAAGGTCCCCAGAGAGCCCCTGGAATGGGGCACCCCAGAGCCAGCCCCAGGGCTCAGCCAAAGAAAGCTGGGGAAGTGAGGAGCTGCCCCCAGAAAGAGGAGCCAAGGGGTCTCTGCCCCAGCCTGGGACACCTCAGCCAGGCTTGCCCACCACTGCTCTGCAAGGGGCTAGGTGGGGCCAGGGGGCTGCACCTGCTCTGGTCCCTGCCCCCCAACCCAGCTGCCTGGAGCTCAGCCTGCCGCCCTCACCGTGGAGGCTACGCTAGATGCCCAGGACCAGTGTCCCACCCCATCCCTCAGCCTCTGCTCCCACAGCCCTGCTGTCACCCTTCCTGTCCTCCCTGCAGGACAGAATTCCCACGCCCACCCTGGGCCCAGGGCCAGGAACTGCTGGTTCCCACCAAGGCTTGGGAAGTGATTTCTGCAGACCAAGCCACCCTGGGCCCACCCTGGGCCCATCACAGGTTCCCAGGAAACAGCTTGGCCCTACCTGCTGCGAGGCATGACAGAGGGGACCAGCCCTGGGCTGTGCTCAGAAATGCTGAGGCCTCAGAACTGGGCAACAGGGAGGCAAGGAGGTCCCCCATGGGTGGTTGTTGGTGTGATTGAAATGCTGGCTCTACCAGTAGCCCTCCAGGAAGAGGCTAAACAGTGAGCAAGGTCCCCAAATCCCAAACTTGAAGTTTCCTTCCCCAATCACCATCCAGGGGCCCTGCCAGACTCACAGACAGTGATGGAGAAGCTACAGCGCTAAGTTGGGGGGTCCTGTGGTGGAGAAGATGCAGGTCCCAGCACAGCTCATCTCAGCTCCCAACACACATCCTCAGTCTCATGGTCACATTCCATCCACCAAGAACCCAGGGACATTCAGCTAGGCTTGGTGGTGTGCACCTGTGATCCCAGCTACTCAGGAGGCTGGGGTGGGAGAACCGCTTGAGCCCAGGAGATCAAGCCTGCACGAGCTGTGATGGCGTCACTGCACTCCAACCTGGGCGACAGAGTGAGGCCCTATCTCAAAAATAACAAAAAAAAATTTTAATTAAGTGAAAAACAAAAAGCGCCCAGGGACATTGGGAAAGGGAGTTCCTACCCCCACTTTCCAGGAAAGAAAACAGAGGCCCAAAGAGAGGAAGTGGATTGTGGGAAGAATTTCACTGCAGTAAGTGGTGAGGACTGACCTTGGCCAACCCCATATAGACCCCTTCCAGACCCAGGTGCCAGTGCAGACAGCCCAGCTGGGGTGTGGGGGACACAGGGCCAAGTGGCAAGGTGTCAGCAGCAGTCCCCAGAGATGGGCACCCCATGGGCACAAGTCCGCACTCACAGCCTCTACTCCAGGGCCCCATCTGGCACAGAGCTCCAAGCTGCTTAGGACAAAGGCATCCCTTAGAGGCTGGAGGCAGCAAACAGAACGTGTCCCTCTGCTGCTTCCTGGCCACTGCGGGGCCCTCACCACCACCTCAGCTCTCAGAACATCCTTCATTCTGCCCCCAGCATCTACTGAGCAATGACCAAGACCAAAGCTCCAAACCACAGACTGCCTGGGGCCTCGGCCTCCAGCTCTCCAACTGCAGAGGCAAGAGCAGAGTGTGAGGAGGGGGTGAGGAGTGGGCACCCCAATTGCCCTGGCCACTGTGGGAGCTTGGGCTCTAGCAGGCTGATCTCCCCCAGCCTGCACCCCACCCAGCAAGGACATGCAAGCCAAGCAGTTCCCACACCCCGTTCCTGGTGGCTGCCAGAAGCTTCCTTACAAGGCCCCAGCGCTGAGCTGGCTCAGCTGCAGGCGGGGGCCTGGGTGGGGCACAGCACACCTGGCTCAGCCAAGCCCAGACGCACCCTGCAAGTGAGGAATGCGGACGCCGCCCGGGCTGGCCCTGGGAAAGCTGCTGCCCTCGGCTCCTGCCCAGCCCTGACTCAGCCTAGGTGGGCCAGGGAAGCTGCAGCCTCAGCAGAACCAAGTCTCCCACCCCACCCTCCCCGCTGGCCTGCCTGGGATTGAACCAGGGGACAGGTCCTGGCAGGGGACTGAGAGTAGAGACAGCACCCCCTGGCCTCAGGACTTGGGGGAACAGCAGGGACTCTGTGGGACCTGCCCTTCTCCTGCACTGTCTGGAGGGTGCCAGCACAGCTCTGTCCGGGGGGGCTGCCCACAGCACATTTTCCCAGATGCCTGAGCCTCAGTTTCCTCATCCGTAAAAGGGGGCTAGTGACATTCCTGCCCACAGTGCAGGGCTGCAGTGGTGGAGGAGGTTCCCGGGAAGCATTTGAGAAGCAAACAGACCTCTTCCTAAGAAACAGAAGCGTCTGCCTAACCCCATGAGGCCAGGTGATCCCGTGCTCCATGCAGAAGAAACAGAAGCGTCTGCCCAGCCCCGTGAGGCCGGGTGGTCCCGTGCTCCATGCAGAGCAGGGTGACTCCATCATCCTCTGTCCCTGGCCCCAATACGGTTATTCCAAACTCCCCAGGACAAGGGCTGTGTCTCCCCCTCCGACTAGGCGGTCCCTGAAGGCTCGGGGCATGTCTCCCCTCAGACAAGAGGCTTCCCAGGGACAGAAACTCCATCCTCCTTGCTCCATCGCCCCACAGTCCCATGCCCTGCACTGCGGAAACCACAGGCCAGTGAAGGCCAGAAAAACTGCCCGTCCCCTCCTGGCGCCACCTTACCCCAGCCTCCCCAGGCCCTGACATCCACCTCCTTGCCCACCCAGCCAGCCCCCAAACGCGACGCTGGAGTGCCTCACGGTGCCCACCCAGACCCTGGGGATCAGGAGGCAGAGCCCCCCAGGTCTGGCGCTGGTAGAATCTCCCATCCCTCCCTGCCTGCAAAGAAAGGGCCCACTGGCCTCCCTCCCTGAGCCCTCCCACAGCTGGGCTGGCCAGAGAGAACTTTCTCCCTCTGCTCTCTTTCTCTGCTGTAGTTCAAGCACAGACCCTCTCACCCCAGCCAGCCCTTCTCCACCTTCCGGGCGCACAGTCTTAGGGGTGGAGCAGAGGCTGAGGTTGGGGGCCTCACAGTCAAAGGTGCTGAGACAACAGCCCCGCTGCCCTGTGCTCACTCAGAAGCTCCTGGGGAACTGGAGTGGAGGGGAAGGGTCCCCAAGCCCACAGGTTCTGGCTGCCCCTGCCACGTCCCCTCCCCCAGCCAGGCTTCTCCCAACTGCGGCAGGGCGTCTGGGCTCAGGTTGGGGTGCAGCGTTGGCAGGACAAACAGTCTCCAGTGTTGGGTGTTTGCCTCGGTTACCAAGGAGGGAGGTGAGGGGCCTGGCTCCCTGCCATGTTTGGGCCCCGGGCTGAAGGTGTGGGTGGCAGGGAAGGTGGAGGATTTGAGGTGGGGAGGCTCACTTCCCGCTCCCAGGGCTCGAGGGCAGGGCAAGCCAGCTGGGACTGCCAGATCCCTGGGCGGATTCAGACCTGCATCGGCCCTGCCTTTCTGCTGGCTCTGGGAAACTCAGTCAGGCAGGAGGAGACGCTGGGGGCGGGGCAGCCTCCCTTGCTGCTCAAAGCAGGGCTGTGGGCTGGAGGCTGGGCCCCGGCAAGTCAGGTACTGCCGTGGGTGTCCCAACCTTCCGGGACTGACGGCACCACGGCCTAACTCAGGCCGCCCGGGAGAGAGGCCTAGGAGCCCAGCTCTGGGCCCATGAATTTGGACAAGTCACCGCCCCTCTCTGGGCCCCAGTTTCCCCACCTATATAGTGTCAGGAGCTGGCCTGTGTAGTCCCACAGGGGCCTCCTTTGTTTTGTCCTCCCTGTCATGAGCTGGGCAGGTGGATGCTGAGGGGTTGAGGAGTTGGGCACTGAGCCGGGAGTTGTGACCCGGCCTTGAAGCCCTGGCTGGAAGGGCTCAGTACACATCCAGGCGGCCCTACTGCCCTGTCTGAGGCTGGCATGCAGTGAGTGCCCGGCTGAGTGCAGGAGCCCAGGGCTGTGGTCAGGAATGGCCGGGCCCTTTCTCCCTCTCTCAGCAATGATGAGAGCCACAGCCCAAGGAATCCCCTGCTGCCTCCTGCTCCCAGGTCTCCATCGCAGCCTCAGCATGACCGGCTCTGAGCAGGAAGTAGGGGAAGCAGGACAGAGGCTGGCCTGGCAGTCAGAGAGTGCACAGCCTGGCTCAGGAGGCTGGCAGGTCATCAGGGGCATAGAGCTGGCCCTCGTTGATGGGGCAGGGATGGCTTGGGGAGGGTGGAGACGCCGAGGCTTGAATTAGGGGGTGGGGGGTGCAGGTAGGGAAGAAAGGAAGAGGACTTGAGATTGTGACCAGGCAGTGCCACAAGGAACACAGGAGTGTGGGCCTTCCATGGGGAGGGAGGAAGGTGAGGCCAAAAGATGGCGGGGCAGGGGAAGGGACCACTTGCCTTGCAGCCCGGCCAGAGAGAGCGAGAATGAGCAGTTCCCACACCATGAAGACCTTTGCCCTGGCCCTGCTGGTGGCCCTGCTGTGCACAGAGAGACCCCAAGGTCTATGCTGCCACCAGTGCTTGGTGGCCCCAGCCTGGCACAGGCATGCCTGCCCCGCTGCCACATGCCCCTTCCCTGACAGGGTCTGCGTCTCGGGATATGAGAGACACAGGGAGTCTGGGTCCCTGTGGCATCTGGGAAAGTGAGAGTGGGGAACAGGCTCTGCCTCCTTTCCCTCCTGCCCCAAGAATGATACCATCATTTGGAATGTGGAGGTTCTGGACACCTCTATGAGTTCCAAGCTTTCTTGTTGCAAGAGAGGCCTCTGTAATGCGGGGGTCCTGGTGGCAGGCAGCACCTGGGCCCTTCCTTGGGACTCCTGCTCAGCCTGGGTCAGTTCCCCTCTGGGCCCTGCTGTGATGGCCTTTCCTGTCCCCCTTACCCCATGGCCCCCTCCTCTGTCCCCATGCATAGTGTCCTCCTCAGTTTGGGACCACTTCGGCACTGACCCTCGGGAATTCCAGTGTGGTTTTGCAGCCGCGCGTTCAGGGGAAGGATGTGGTGGGGCAGAGGCGGGGGCTTCCCTGTCAGGGGACTCTGGCACCGGGCGGGTCCCTGCGGCAGACTTGGAATCCCTGCTTGGACTCATCCTGTTACCTGGGCCCAGGGCCTTCAAACCCACATTCCCTACATCGCCACCTCCTTAAACCACCCGGCCTCAGAGCCAGGGGCCTTGCCATTTGCTGTTCTGAACCTGGAACCACAGGAAGAACACAGGCCAGGGGCAGGAGTCCAGGGTTCCGTCCTACCCAGCCATTAACTTAACACGGAGCCAGGGCCACACAACGCACCACTCCGGACCACCTCTGTTCAAGCAAGGAAGAAACCCAGGGCTCTGGAGCCCCTCAGGCCTCCCACACAGGGCGAGAGCTCCCCTGTCTCAAGGTCAATAAACACCCCTCTGCTTACTCAAAAAAAGACAGAGAGAGAGAGAGAGAGAGACAGCAGGGTCCAGTCTCTGAGGGCCTTGCGACCAGGCTGAGACATGGAATGGGGGCCAGTGAAGGGCGAAGGAAAGGACTGAACCCCAGCAGGAGCGACTCAGCACCCCACACACAGACACGGTCTCTGGGCCCTGACCACGGCTCCGGACACCCCCAGGAAATGCTGAGACCTAGATCTCTGCTTTGTGTGCTTTGGATAAGCGCATGAGCTAATGCCAGTCTGATCCAGACCTGCCCTCCGAAGCTGCAAGGTGGCAAAACAGAAGAGGCCTGCCCACACAGGTGCACCAGCCACCAGAGGACTGGGTGTGGGGCTGGGTGGCCAGCAGCTGAGGGTCCTAGGCAGGGCAGCAGGAGGGTCGGCCCTGGGGCAGGGAGAACCGAGGGCCCCTTCCCCCGCTACTGTGCCACTTGCCGCCTGCAAACAGGGAATCCCAGGAGGCCGGATCTTCTCGCTTTGCACCCAGGAAGCTAGAACTCTGGATTTGTATGGGAAGCCTCCTGATGCTTCATATTTGGAAACTAATTCCAAAATAACACCCTGTGCAGGCCAAAGAAAGCAAGGCATTCAGCCAGCCTTGGAGCTCATGTGGGCTGAAGGACAATCTCACTCAGGACCCCCTTTACAAAAAAGTAAAGTGAGGCCCAGGAGGGATGGGCTTGCAGCCAGTTAGGATCAAGTTGGGCCGAAACTCAGGCCCTGACTTTCCTGTGCTCTCCCCAACAAGGTTCCCACCCCCTCACCTGCTCCACCGTGCAGACCCCAGCCCAGCTGAAGAGCGCCCTCACGAACCCCACACACACCCAGCAGGCTTTTGCTCTGCACACGCCTGGGTGCCGAGGTCTCCCATACCCTCTGACTGATCTGACCTGGCAGCTGCCTGAATTGTTTTCCCCATTTTACAGAAAAGGGAAATTGAGGCCAGAGAGGCAGGCCATTGCCCAGAGTCCTCCTCTGCCAAGTTCTAGACAGTGGGGAGGGGGCTGTGTGCCCGCTTACAGGTCTCTGTAACTCAGGTGGCAGGGAGGCCCCAACTTGCAGGGCAGGGAGGGGCTGGCAGGGATGAGGCAGGGCCAGGCCAGGCAGGCCCAGAGCCACTCAGCATGCAGGCCCAGTCCAGAGAAGCCAGGCCTCTGCCTCCCCCTCCCCAAGCCTGAAGAGGAACTCAGCAGGGACCCAGATGGCCTCAAGGCCGGGGATGAACCACAGACAAGAGGAGGTGCCACCCGGGCTAGAGAGAACCAGGGGAGGGCAGGGCACTGAGGACCACACGGTGGCCGTGCCCCACACCCACTCCCACCCAGGGACCCTTGAGTCCCACTTCTAGCCCTGGGCCACAGCAGGGGCATTGTAATGCTGGCCTTTTGTGTGCTTGGGGGTGGCGGTAGTAAGGAGAAATGCCCCCTCCAGGTGGTCAGTGCCCCAGGCCTCCTGGAGCACCCCAGAGATGGTGAGGTCGAACCCATGGGTTCAGCACCTGCCCTGTGCCAGGTCCCATGTCAGGGGGACACAAGAATTAATAGGACGTGACACAAGAATGAACAGGACCTGGTTCTGCCCCGGGTGGCTCACAGTCCAGGGGGAGAGGAGAGTGAATAAATAAAACTCAGTCGAGTTGAAATTGACCAGGGCCTTCACCGCAGACGGTGGGCAGGGGGAAGAGAGGCACCCTGGGGAGGGCTCCCAGCTGTGGAATAGGCATGGGACTCTTCCTGGAAGTTAGTTCTGGTCTTTTTCCATTTTTTATGCAGAAAAATGCACATATAATTGCTGTACAACTCAGTGAATTTTCACAGACTGAACCCAACTGTGTAACCAGCACCCAGATCACAGCACCCAGATCACAAGGTTGTCACAGGGACACAGGGGAAAGGGCATTCCAGGAAAGGGCCACTGAGGAGCGAAGGCAGGGAGGTGGGAACTGCCCAGCCCCAGCAGGTACCCAGAGCCAGGAGGATCCAGCAGGCCTCTCTCCTCACCCAAAGAGGATGGGTGCTCAAACTCCAGACCTGCTCCAAGAAACATATCTGCAGCCCTAAAGCCCCCAACGCCCCCAACCCGCTGTCCTGTCCACCTTCTCCGCTCCACAATCCAGCCTGCGCCTCGTACTGCACCAGAGAGATATGCTAACCACATGCAAAGGTATGCAAATGAACACAGACTCCCTGAGTCAACTTGGGCAGTAGCCAGAGTGAGTGAAGAACCAGACCTCCAAACAGGTGACTAGACCGGCCCCTGCCCCTGGCCCCATTCCTCCCACCAGCTCCTGAGCACCACAGCCCTGCACCCCCACACCCTCAACCCAAAGCTCTGACCACCTGCCCTTCCCTTCATCTATTCATTTAACTTTGATTCTCAGGGGGCCAAGGGCCAGTCCCCAAAGTGAGCACCAGAGAGCTGAGCACCTGCCCACCAGGAGCTCACAGTGAGCAGGGAAGGGGAGGGGATGCAGACACGGCCACCAATTCCCAGGAAGAGCCTGCCTCAGGACAGAGCTTCCAAGCCTCAGAACAGCAGGTGCTGACTCAGTAGTGTGGGATCTGGCCCAACACTCTGCATTTCCCACCAGCTCCCAGCGGACGCCAAGGCTGCGGGTCCCAGGCCACACCCAGATTAGCCAGGAGTAAAGGAGGTGTGAGAAACATGGCCCTAGGAACACGAAGGGCTGGGGGACAGGCAGGGCAGGAGAGTGGCTAAGAGATGTGCCTGGATTCAGGTCCCAGCTCTGCCTCCTGCCCATCGTGGCCGTGTTGCTTCCCATCCCCCAGCCTCAGAGCCCTCAGCCCTAAGGTACCCCCTGTAACAACTGCCCCCACGTCACCAGGTCCCAGAGGCTTCAGTGAGACCAACTGGCCTAGGGCCCCTGTGGCACCTGACACCCTGCAAGCACTTGGTAATCGGGAGATTATTTTTAAGTCAGGGTCGACTGGGAAGAGGCACAAGGGACGTGTTTGGGGTGAAGGGAATGTTCTCTGTCTTGATTATGGTGGTGGTCTCTTGGAAGATGTCAAGGACAGGGGATTCACCAGGAGGAGGGACTGCAAGAGCAGAGGCCTGCAGGTGTGGACATGCAGCCAGGGAGGACAGATGACAGCTAACCTTCACTGAGTGCTTTCTACAAAGTGGAAGACAGCCAGGGGCCACAGTCGGAAGGACAGAGTCCCACCCCCCACCCCCCACCCCCACTCCAGGGGTGGCAGGAGGGTGGAGCCATGGAGCCTGGCTGTGAGCTCCTGGGTGGGCTGGCAACACCTGCCATGAATTGGGCACCTATTAGCAGTCAGGCACTGGTGTGAGACTTTACCTAGTCAGAGCCCGCCTGTCTGTCTTGTGTGGCCCCAAGAGCTAAGAATGATTTTCACATTTTTAGGTAGTTCTTTTAAAAATCAAAAGAACAGGCTGGGTGCAGTGGCTTGTGCCTGTAATCTCAACACCTTGAGAGGCCAAGGCGGGAGGATCACTTGAAGCCAGGAGTTTGAGACCTGCCTAGGCAAGAAAGCAAGACCCAACAACAAGAAAATGTTTAATTAGCCAGGCATGGTGGTGTGTGTCTGTAGTCCCACCTACTGTGGAGACTGAAGTGGGAGGATCATTTGAGCCCCGGGAATTTGAAGGTGCAGTGAGCTATGATCGTGCCACTGCACTCCAGCCTGGGTAATAGAATAGGATCTTGTCTCTAAAATAAATAAAATAAAGGAAGAAGACAGCCAGGCATGGTGGCTTATGCCTGTAATCCCAGCACTTTGGGAGGCCAAGGTGGGTGGATCACTTGAGGTCAGGAATTCAAGACCAGCCTGACCAAAATGGTGAAACCTCATCTCTACTAAAAATACAAAATTAGCCGGGCGTGGTGGCGCATGTCTGTAATCCCAGCTACTTGGGGGCTGAGGCAGGAGAATCGCTTGAACCCAGGAGGTGAAGGTTGCGGTGAACAGAGATCGTGCCATTGCACTCCAGCCTGGGCAACAAGAGCGAAACTCCGTCTCAAAAAAATAAGTAAATAAAATAAAGAAAGGAAGAAGAACAATACAGTCGATCCTCCATATCCATGGATTCAACTAACCACAGATGGACAATATTCCAAAAATCAAAATTGTTTCTGTACTAAACATGTTCAGACTTTTTTTTGTGGTTATTCCCTAAACAATATAGTATAACAATTATGGCGGCTGGGCACGTGGCTCACACCTGTAATCCCAGCACTTTGGGAGGCCAAGGCAGGCGGATCACTAGGTCAAGAGATCAAGACAATCCTGGCTAACATGGTGAAACACCGTCTCTACTAAAAATACAAAAATTAGCCAGGCATGGTGGTGTGTGCCTGTAGTCCTAGCTACTCCAGAGGCTGAGGCAGGAGAATCACTTGAACCTGGGAGGCGGAGGTTGCAGTGAGCCAAGATCGCACCACTGCACTCCAGCCAGGGCGACAGAGCAAGACTCCGTCTCAAAAAAAAAAAATTATCTATACAGCATTTACATCGTATTAGGTCTTCTGAGTAATCCGGAGATAATTTAAAGTATACAGAGGGTGTGCGTAGGTTATATGCAAATATTACTCCATTTTATAGCAGTGACTTCAGCACCTGCAAATTTTAGTATTAAGTAGAAGGTCCTGGAACCAAAGCCCCATGGAACCCGAGGGACAGCTGCGTTTTGTGACATCTGAACAGCCACCCCCACGCACCCACGGGTTGTCCCACACCACAAGGGCAGCGTTGAGTGGCTGCGATAGAGGCCTTACAGACCTTCAGTTTTTCTATAAATCCCATGAAGTAGGGGTCAAGTCCCCACTGTACAAAGAAGAGTAAAGGGGCCACCCAGCCTTCCTTCCCTGCTGCTGTTAGGACCTCCTCCTCCACCCACTCCTGGTGGGACAGACCCAGCGCCCCTTAGCCCAGCAGGTACTCCTGGCCCACCTCTGCTGCACCCGCTCACCTGGCGGAGCAGCAGCGCCCCCTGCCGGTGGTCCGGGGCTGGCCGGCGCGCCCTAAGGCCGGACTCTTAGCTTCTGCCACCACCTGGTGGCCATTTCTGGAAGCGCAGCTGGGAGCCCAGATCCGGTGAGCAAAAGCTCTCGTGGGTTCCAAGAGAGGCCCTGCTGGTCCAGCCAGGTGTGGCAACGACCAGCGCGCAAAGTATTCCAGGCAGGGCTTGACGCCTCCAAGCTAGTATCCACTGAAAAAGTTTCACTTCGTCCCTGCTTTTTCTTTTTTTTTTTTTTTGAGACAGAGTCTTGCTCTGTTGCCCAGGCTGGAGTGCAGTGGCACGATCTCGGCTCACTGCAACCTCCGCCTCCCGGGTTCAAGCTATTCTCCTGTCTCAGCCTCCAGAGTAGCCAGGATTACAGGCACCCACGACGCTGGGTAATTTTTGTGTTTTTAGTAGAGACGGGGTTTGCTATGTTGACAAGGCTGGTTTCAAACTCCTGACCTCAGATGATCCGCCCGCCTAGGCCTCCCAAAGTGGTGGGATTACAGGCGTGAGCCACCACGCCCAGCCCTTGCTTATTATTCCATCGGTGAGAAAACACCTGACAGAGCTTAAATGTTTACTAACTGTGGCTGTGAATCTCTAACCCCTGGGGAATTGATCAAAGACCATGAACTATGGCCAAAAGATGATGGAGGGGATGTGAAGGTCAGCTGACTTAAGTCCCTTCCCCCGTGCATTTGGCCTTGAGTACTTCATCATTCTTTCTTAACTTCATTCGTTATTCATTCTTTCAGCAAACTCTTCTTGAGCACTACACAATGTGCGGTGCCAGGTGCTGGAGAAACACCTGAGAACATGCAAAGCAGTCCGCCCTCATGGAAGTGACTAACAAATCATTCACAAGGTGTGATGAGGCATATTTGGAGGGGCAGAGAAGCCACTTGAGCATCACATATGGGCAGCGACTTGACCTTGTTGAGTGTCATGGAAGGCTTACAGTGGCCTGAGAATGGGTCGTCTAGCCGACAGGGTGGAAGAACCACATGTGCAAAGTTCCAGAGCTGAGGAGTGTATCCAGAAAGTGGCTGGAAGAAGGACTGACCGGCAGGAATGCAGAGGTTGATGGAGAGAGGAGGTGAGGCAGAGCTGGAGAGAGAAGGGGGCTGAGCCAGACAGAGCCTCCAATGCTGGGTGGATCTGCAAAGTTAAGGCATCTGCTCATGCTCTGGGGCAACAGGGGGCCACTGCCTGTCCTGGGAGGAGACAGAGCACATTCTGCTCCTTAGTAGAGCCCACTGTATGACTGGGCAGCTCTGCTAGCTGGAAAGTTCATTCTGAGATGAAATTGATGCCTCCCCTGCCCACAGGCTCCTGAGGCATACACACAGATGGAGGTGCTTCCCTGCCCCCAGCACAGCCCCTCACCCTATAACAGCCTCACTGGCTGTTCCCTGGCAGAGGCCCTCACACAGGGTAGGCAGGAGGGCACGCTGGATGTGAATCCCAGCTCAAGCCCTTACCGGCTGTGTTGTCTGTCTCTTACTTAACCTCTCTGAACTTCCATTTTCTCCTCTGACTTCAGGGCTGCACATGTAAGAGGGATAGTGTTGGGAAGTGCTTAGTACACATTAGGTACTCAGTGGTGATAACAGAGGTGGTGACAATGACATGGTTTATCCCCAGCTGACCTTTTCCAGAAAAGATCCTATCAGTCAGTGTTCTGCATTTTAAAATGTGCCACCAGGATGGGGCACGGCAGCTTGAGCCTGTAATCCTGGCACTTTGGGAGACTGAGGCTGTAGGATCGCTAGAGCCTAGGAGTTTGAGACCAGCCTGGGCAACATAGGGAGACCGCCCCCACCGCCCACCTTTACAAAAAAATTAAAAATTAGCCGGTCATGGTGGCATGCATCTGTAGGCTCAGCTACTCAGGAGGCTGATGCAGGAGGATCACTTGAGCCCAGGAGGTCAAGGCTGCAGTGAACCATGACTGAGCCACTGCAATCCAGCCAGGGCAACAGAGCAAGATGCTATCTCAAAAAAAAAAAAAAAAGTGCTATTAAGAGCTGAACTCTGTTCTGGGGGGAGTAGCCTTTCCTTCCCTTCTCTGAGCCTCAGTTTCCCTATATATAAAAGAAAGGAATCAGATAAGATGGCCTGAAAGGCTGCCACCAGTTCTAATGCTCTCAGGTCCTGCTCTCTGACCTACCCAGGACACATGGAACCATCATCACCTCCTTGATCCAGGCACTCTACTCCTCATAATGGAACCAAGATGGTCTTCACTTTATTTTTTTTTTCCCATTGTCCCTGTCCTTACTGCCCTCTGTGTTATGCCAACCTCCTCTGAGTTAACTGAGGCTCAGAGGCTCAAGCAGTCTTTGCCACCCTCTCCCCACTGTCCCCCCCACCCCTCACTCTCCCACCAGACTGTCTGCTCCATCCCCGTCCCAACTGCTCCCACCTGGACTCCCTGCTGCCCTTGGTTCCTACCCCACCCCTCTGTCCACTCCCCCACTCACATACCTGGCCCTCCTTCCCCCATGCAGCCCATCTACCTTCACAGGGAGGCAGCAAGACACCCCCGCCGGCCTAGGAGGGTCGAGATCCTAGGACTCTACTTTTTCCAGTCCTGGTATTTGCCTACACGCCCCAGCCTCCCACCCCCAGCGCCCCCCCCAACACACACACACCCACACACACACACACGCACGCACGCACGCAATTATAACCCCCTTAGGGACAGCCGTTGTGTCTGCTGTAGTTTAGCCTTGGATTCATCATGGCTTCGACATCGCCGGCCCTGGGCCAGTGTTCGAGAGCATGGCCCCAAACAGTTCTTGCTCTGTTCAGCTCCCCACATTGCCAAGCTGCGAGCGGGCTCTCTGTGCTTCCTGCCTTCTGTCTGCCTCGCCTGTTCTCTCCAGGTAGGCGGCTCCTCCTCCAAGCTCCCCCAGCCCTGGGCTGACCTCTGTCACCTGGATGGTGGGTGCGGGTTCTCCGGGCATGCACCTCGTTCCCCTCTTTACTCCCAGCAGTGGCTGAAACTTGTGGGTGCTTGATCGTGCTAGTTAAATGAATGAACATGTGGTGGTTACAGGCAAACCCACAATGCCACACAGGACACCGACCAACAACTGAAAACGGTGACAGCTGCCCTTACCCGCAGCTCCCCAGCGTAGCCCTCCCCCATCGCAGCCAGACCGGCTTGCCCACTGCGCAGCAAGGCGGAGCCCCGCACAGCTAAGCCCGGGCGTGGTGCTCGCGGCGCCCTCTGCTGGCCGGGCCCACGGCCTCCTCCTGCGCACGCGCGCCGCCACCCCGGGACCAGACCTAAAGGGAGAAGGCGCGATCTGGGGCCCTCCCTCCGCACCCCCTCGCCCCGAGAAGCCCCAAACCCAGGTCTTTGACCCTCATGAACATCCTTTGTCCTTCCTCTCTCCTGCTCCCCCTGCAAACATTTTAGGCATCCCTAAATGATCACCAGCCCTCGCCTGCTCTCTTAGCAGGCCTCCAGGTGGGGTTAGAATTGTCAAATGCTGGCACAGGACGAAACCCTAATAATAATAACTATGATGATGACGGCAGCTGCTGCTGAGCGGGCACTTTGTGGTTACCTTAGCAACCTTCCACCATCCAGGAAGTGCAGCCCCTTCTTTCACAGGCGGCAGCTGCAGCCAGAGGCGTGCGGGGACTTCCCAAGGTCACACAGCAAGAATCCTAAGAAACCCGGGGTGTTTCCTCTGCCTACGTGGAGCTAACCCTGCCTCCAGAAGCAGGGGCCTTGAGATGGGAGCAGAGCGATCTGGTGCCCCGGAAACCCCACCCCCACCCCCACCTTGCCCCATGCGCAGCGAACGTGGCTACATTTCCTATCGTTTGTCCAACCCATCATTTTGCCTTTGGGAAAATTGCAGGGGAGGTGGAGGCCAGAGGACAGGGAGACAAACGTTCGTGGGCATCTGCCACGAGCACATTTGCCACGCTTTGTGACAGGCCCTTTCCCGTTACACACCACACCTGCCCAGGACCGCAGCACAGAACCAGGACCCAAACCCGCCGACTCCCTCCCTAGTGCTCCTTCCTCACCCCCCACCCCCTCCCCCCTCCGCAAGTTCTCTCTTGGAAAAGGGGCCGCTGGGAAGGGGAGGAAACGCACTCACTACAGGACTCCAGGTGGGGTCCAGAGGCTCTGCCCCTGGTGCCTCTTCCCCAGCCCTAAAGCCCCCAGCCCTAGAGAGGGGACCCTCCTGCACAACATCTCCAGGGGACCGGGTACTCCACTAGGGTCGAGAAACGTTGAATAGTGCGGTGGGTGCGGGAGGCGCGCCTAGGTGCCGAAACCCGGTCTGTGCTGCCATCCTGTGGCCATTGCAGGAAGTGTGCCTGTCAGGCCGCTCTGCATTGAACCTGAAATGCCGGGTCACCCTTGGGTTGAGTGAAACCGGGCCCCATGCTGAGGCTACAAGGGACATAGAAAGGGACAAGACGCAGCCCGTGCCCTGAAAGAGCTTACAGTTCGGTAGGATGGCCTTCAAATGACATGATCCAACACTCAACTCGGCGCCAGATACCGCCCAAAATAGAAGATCGTGCAAAAGGTTCCAAAAGGTGGAGGCAGCCTGCCCCGAAGCACATCGAGAAAGCCCTCCTGCAGCAAAGCCGTGTCGAGACTGGGCCTTACAGGGCAGGCGGGGCTGGGGCAAACAGAGATGAAGGAAGGCGCTCCAGGCGGAGAGACCAGCCTGAGCAAAGGCACAGGGGCAGGAAACACGGATTCTCAGGAATCCAGCTTGTCCCAAGTCTAGGTCAACTGTGAAGGGGAGAGCAGCATGGCCAGGTCCTCCAGTGCCCAGGTAGGAGGTTTCACTTAACCCTTTAGGCCACGCGGCCAACAAAGGTCTTTGAGCAAGCCAGCAGCTTGACCAGAAGTCTGTCCAGGAAAAGAGCATGATAGCTGGGGAACGGGGGCAAATGGGTGAGGTTTCAGAGCAATTAGGAAGGAAGGAGAACAGGAGGAGGCATGAGCGACGCGGATGGTGGTGCCACTGGCAGAGCTGGGAAGTCAGGGGCCACGCAGGGGAGACCAGGGCTGGGGTTTAAGTTCCTGGCAGAACATCCCAGTGAAGACGTCCTTCAGGAAGCCAGAAAGAATACATTAATAAAAGAGGAAGTAATAGTTATTGCTCATATGTGTACAGACTTTATAGTAAATAAAGCAGCTTAATCCATCATGCATTTGACTCATATTTTATTTATTTATCTTTTTTTTTTCTTTTTGAGATGGATAAACCCCACCCCCTTGCCCACCCTCGTGGTCTGGCCCCTGTGCACTGCTCCGGCCCCTCCCCTTCCCAGTGTCTTATGATGGCCTCTGGGCCTTTCTAGTCAGCTTGGGCCCACGTCTTCCCTTTGCCTGGCTGAGCTTCACTTGCCCTGTGGTCTTAGCTTAGTGGTTCCTTTTTCCAGGAATCCTTCCTATACCTTGCAGGTTGGGTTGGGTGCCGTAGCTGTGATGCCCCTGCCCCGTACACCCTTGACATTTGCCCATCATGGCCTGTATGGTGCGTGACTGTGGTCTGTCTCCCCACCAACTTTACTTCAGTGTGGCGGCTGGGTCTTATTGACCACTCACCCCAGTGGCCTGCTCAGTATCAGTCAATGAACATTTCTTGAATGGAAGACCTGAGTGAGGAATGTGAAGCCCTGCGGGACCTGCTGGCACAGCGCAGCAGCCGAAGCGGGGGCAGACAGAGGCATCCGGGAGGGCCAGAGCTGGTCTCTGAAGGCTGGTCTCGAACTCCTGACCTCATATGATCCACACACCTCAGCCTCCCAAAGTGCTGGGATTACAGGTGTGAGCCACCACACCCAGCCTGGAAAGTTTATTTATTCAGGTCTGTTGCAGCCTCACTTCCCAGTCTGTGAAGATAAGAGCTAATTTCTCATCCAGAGAAGGGACCTCCGAGAGGAATCTTTATGGCTTACTGCATACAGGAAAAGACAGGTCAGCTCGCCCTTTCTAAAACTACAATTTCTCCAATATTTACAGCTCAAAATAATCACTATGCCAATTTGGCATATTTGGGGATGGCACGTTCTTCACTCCGTTGGGGGACTTCAGTGAATACGGTGTTAGATTGCAGTGAGGGAGACAGATATTAACTAACAGCCAAAATAAATAAGTAAATTACAGGGTGTAGGAGATGATGTCCTGGAGGGAAATGAGCAGTAATGCAGAAAAAGGGAGAGGAGGAAGACTGCGGGGAGGGGTACAATTCAAAATAGGGAGGTCAAGGCTGGGCACGGGGACTCACACCTATAATCCCAGCACTTTGGGAGGCCGAGGCAGATAGATCACCTCAGGTCAGGAGTTTGAGACCAGACTGGCCAACCTGGTGAAACCCCGTCTCTACCAAAAATACAAAAAATTAGCCAGGCGTGGTGGCACGCGCCTGTAGTCCCAGCTACTCGGGAGGCTGAGGAAGGAGAACCACTTGAACTCAGGAGGCGGGGGTTGTGGTGAGCCGAGATCACGCCACTGCACTCCAGCCTGGGCAAGGAGAGGGAAATTCCATCTAAAAAATAATAATAATAATAAGAGAGGTCAGGACAGGCCTCATACAAAAGTGCTATGTAAGCAAAACCTTAGACTTTGAGAAAGAAAGCCATGGAGATATCTAGAGGGAAGCTTCCAGACCCCAAGGTGGGAGCATTTCTGACATGCTCTAGGCCCAGCTGGGGGCTGGTGTGGCTGGAGTGGGGACGGAAGGCCAAGTAGTTGAGATGAGATGAGCAGAGTCACAGGCACTGGATCACAGGGGGCCTCCTAGAATGTGGTGGAGACTGTGGCTGCTGTGTCGAATGAAGGTGCCAGGGAGCAGGGACAGGAGTGAGACCCACTGGGAGATGAGGAAACTACTCCAATAGTCCAGGCGAGAGAGGATGGTGGCTCAGATCAGAGTGGAGCAAAGGAACCCTACACTGAACTGTAGGCTTGAAAATGATGTACAGGTGGCAAGAAGCAACGAGACACTGGAGCTAACACGCAGGGAAAGCCCCCAGACGTCCCAACAAACTGTAGTGGGCGGAGGAGTCAAGAATGCTATTACTGAGAGGATAGAGCTGCCATGAACAATGGGAAGGTTGTGGGCAGGAGCTGTTCAGTGGCAGGAGATTAGAGGTTCAGTCTGAGTCATATTGAGTTTGAGATGTTTATTAAACATCAGTGGGGGCCAGGCACGGTGGCTTATGCATGTAATCCCAGAATTTTAGGAGGCCAAGGTGAGTGGATCACCTGAGGTCAGGAGTTCAAGTCTAGCCTGGCCAACATGGCGAAACCCCGTCTCTATTAAAAATACACAAATTAGCCAGGCATGGTGGCACGCACCTGTAGTCCCAGCTACTTGGGAGGCTGAGGCAAGATAATCACTTGAACCCAGAAGGTGGAGGTTGCAGTGAGCCAAGATGGCGCCACTGCACTCCAGCCTGGGCAACAGAGTGAGACCCTGTCTCAAAAAAGAACTAAATGAATAAATACTGTTTTCCAACCCTGTGTGTTTTCATGCCCACTTTTGCACAGGAAGGAACTGAGAATCAGATGGGTGAAGGCACTTAGCCAGGCGGGAAGCTCCCAAGAGCAAAGCCCTGGCCCAAGGATCCTTGCCCCGGAGATGTTTCTGTGTGTTTTTTTGAGACAGTCTCATTCTGTCACCCAGGCTAGAGTGCAGTGGCATGATCTCAGCTCACTGCAACCTCTGCCTCCTGGGTTCAAGCAATTCTCATGCCTCAGCCTCCCGAGTAGCCTGAACAGAGATGTTTCTGGTTCACTGAGCTGCTGTGATTCTAACACCCCCTCTGGGGAGAGATCTGGAAATATAAACCCATGAGAGCTGAATTGAACTAACGTGCAACTTTAGGAATCTTTTTTTTTTTTTTTTGAGACAGAGTCTCCCTCTGTCACCAGGCTGGAGTGCAGTGAGAGAGCACAATCACAGCTCACTGCAGCCTCGACCTCCCAGGCTCAGGGGATCCTCCCACCTCAGCCTCCCAAGTATCTGGGACCACAGGCATGTGCCACCATATCCAGTGTATTAGTTCATTCTCATGCTGCTGATAAGGACATACCCTAGACTGAGCAATTTACACAAGAAAAAGGGTTTTTTTTTTCTTGTTTTTATGGGTTTTTTTTTTTTTTTTTTTTTGGAGACAGAGTCTTGCTCTGTCCCCAGGCTGGAGTGCATTGGCGTGATCTCATCTCACTGCAACCTCCGCCTCCCGGGTTCAAGCAATTCTCCTGCCTCAGCCTCCCGAGTAGCTGGGATTACAGGTGAGCACCACCACGCCCAGCTAATTTTTGTATTTTTAGTAGAGACAGGGTTTCACCATGTTGGCCAGGATGGTCTCGATCTCTTGACCTCGTAATCTACCTGCCTCGACCTCCCAAAGTGTGGGGATTACAAGTTTGAGCCACCGCGCCCGGCCAAGAAAGAGGTTTAATGAACTTACAGTTCCACATGGCTGGGGAGGCCTCACAATCATGGCAGAATGAGAAGCAAGTCATGTCTTATATGGATGGTGGCAGGTAAAGAGAGAGAACTTGTCCGGGGAAACTCCTCTTTAAAAAAACATCAGGCAGCCATAAAAAATGATGAGTTCATGTCCTTTGCAGGGACATGGATGAAGCTGGAAACCATCATTCTCAGCAAACTATCACAAGGACAAAAAACCAAACACCGCATGTTCTCACTCATAGGTGGGAATTGATCAAAGAAAACACATGGACACAGGAAGGGGAACATCACACACTGGGGACTGTTGTGGGGTGGGGGGAGGGGGGAGGGATAGCATTAGGAGATATACCTAATGCTAAATGACAAGTTAATGGGTGCAGCACACCAACATGGCACATGTATACATATATAACAAACCTGCACATTGTGCACATGTACCCTAAAACTTAAAGTATAATAATAATAATAATAATAAACATCAGATCTTGTGAGACTTATTCACTATCAAGAGAACAGCATGGGAAAGATTCGCCCCCATCATTCAATTACCTCCCACTGGGTCCCCACTATAACATGTGGGAATTCAAGATGAGATTTAGGGCCGGGCACGGTGGCTCATCTTCTTCATTTATCACATTGTTAAAATAATTGGGAGGCCATTAGACTGAAGCCACTCTAGTGCCCTGGGTTTCTTTTTTTTTTTTTTTTTTTTGAGACAGAGTTTCACTCTTGTCACCCAGCCTGGCGTGCAGTGGTGCAATCTCAGCTCACTGCAACCTCCACCTCCTGGGTTCAAGCAATTCTCTTGCCTCAGCCTCCCGAGTAGCTGGGATTACAGGCGCCTGCCACTACGTCTGGCTAATTTTTAGTGTTTTTAGTAGAGGCGGAGTTTTGCCATGTTCGCCAGGCTGGTCTCAAACTCCTGACCTCAAGTGATCCACCCACCTCGGCCTCCCAGACTGCTGGGATTACAGGCATGAGCCACGGTGCCCGGCCTTGTGCCCTGGGTTTCTATGTAAGTAAATCAAAACCCATCTCAGTATAGATGGGTTTAACTAATCAGAAACCACCACAAGTTACTACTAGCAAGGGACTTTCCATGCGAATAATCTGCATTTGAACCAATCAAATAGTTTCTTTGCTCTGCTTCAAAGTTTACCCTATACAATTTTTCCTTTATGCTCTGAAACACCAGAATCCCCCAGTCTGGGATTCATCCCCCAGTCTGCCTGATTCATGAATCACTGTCTGCTCAAATTAGCACTTTTTTTGTTTTGTTTTGTTTTTGAAGAGACAAGGTCTCACTATGTTGTCCAGGCTGGTCTTGAACTCCTGGGTTCAAGTGATCCTCCCACCTCAGCCTCCAAAAGTGCTGGGATTGCAGGCATGAGCCACCTCACCTGGCCAGCTCTTTAAAATTCTAATATGCCAGTTTATCTTTTTTTTTTTTTTTTTTGAGACGGAGTCTCGCTCTGTCACTCAGGCTGGAGTGCAGTGGCCTGATCTCAGCTCACCGCAAGCTCCGCCTCCCGGGTTCACACCATTCTCCTGCCTCAGCCTCCCAAGTAGCTGGTACTACAGGCACCCGCCACCACGCCCAGCTATTTTTTTGTATTTTTAGTAGAGACGGGGTTTCACCATGTTAGCCAGGATGGTTTCGATCTCCTGACCTCGTGATCTGCCCGTCTCGGCCTCCCAAAGTGCTGGGATTACAGGCGTGAGCCGCTGCACCCAGCGCAAGTTTATCTTTTAACACCTGGAATACTTCTGTTACCAGAAAGGGGTCCTGAGTCCTGATCCAGACCCCAAGAGAGGGTTCTTGGAGCTACTGCAACAAAGAATTCAGGGCAAGTCTACACAGTAAAGTGAAAGCAAGTTTATTAAGAAAGCAAAGAAATTTAAAAATGGCTACTCCATAGGCAGAGCAGCCCCAAGGTCTGCTGGTTGGTTATTTTTATGAATATTTGTTGATCTCATGACAAATATAGGGTAGACTGTTTATCAGTTTTCTGGGAAAGGGGCAGGGGTTTCCTGGAACTGAAGGTTCTTCTTCCTTTTATACCATATTGGGCAACCTCCGGGCATTGCCATGGCATTTGGGAGTGTCTTTTAGCATATGCTAATGTATTATAATTAGCATATAATGAGCAGTGAGGATGACCAGGGGTCACATTCATTGCCATGTTAGTTTGGGTGGGTTTTGTCTGGCTTCTTTAGTGCATCCTGTTTTATCAGCTGGGTCCTTGTGTAACTACTGTCTTCTGCAAGAATCTATTATTATCTGATATATTATCTTTTTTTTTTTTTTTCAGACGGAATCTCGCTCTGTCGCCCAGGCTGGAGTGCAATTGCTCAATCTCATCTCACTGAAACCTCCGCCTCCCGGGTTCAAGCAATTCTCCTGCCTCAGCCTCCCGAGTAGCTGGGACTACAGGCACCCGCTGCCACGTCCGGCTAATTTTTTTGCATTTTTAGTAGAGACGGGGTTTCACCGTGTTAGCCAGGATGGTCTCAACCTCCTGACCTCGTCATCTACCCACCTCGGCCTCCCAAAGTGCTGGGATTACAGGCGTGAGCCACCGCGCCCGGCCTCTAATATATTATCTTTATCTTTAAAGCAAAACTCACACTAAGAATGCTCTAAGAATGCTTTTTGTTGTTTTTGTTTTTGTTTTTGTTTTTGTTTTTGTTTTTGTTTGAGACCGGGTCTGGCTCTGTCACTCAGGCTGGAGTACAGTGGTATGATCTCAGCTCACTGCAACCTCCATCTCCCGATTTCAAGCAATTCTCCTGCCTCAGCCTCCTGAGTAGCTGAGATTACAGGTGTGTGCCATCACGCCCGGCTAATTTTTTGTATTTTTAGTAGAGACGGGGTTTCACCAAGTTGGCCAGGATGGTCTCAAACTCCTGACCTTAGGTGATCTGCCCGCCTCAGCCTCCCAAAGTGCTGGGATTACAGGCGTGAGCCACCGTGCCCGGCCTTGTTTCTTAAGGTATTGGTACATCAGGACATTTCCTGGGTCTGTTCATTAAACACGATTAACTTGTTTGTTCCCTTAACTGTAAATTTTTTTGTTAAAAAAAATCAGTTCAAAATAATCCTTATGCTGAAGAAGTATATTTGGGGCAGCATATTCCGGTCTATGGTCATATTTTGGGGTGGCATATTCTGATCTCCTACAATTTAAAGGTATAATTTAAAAATAAAAATAAAAATTTCAGCCAGATGCAGTGGCTCACACCTGTAATCCCTGCACTTTGGGAGGCCAATGTGGGCAGATCACTTGAGGCCAGGAGTTCAAGACCAGCCTGGCCAACATGACAAAACCCTGTCTTTACAAAAAATAACAAAATTTAGCCAGGTGTGGTGGCGCACGCCTGTAAACCTAACTACTCAGGAGGCTGAGGCAGGAGAATCACTTGAACCCGGGAGGCAGAGGTTGCAGTGAACCGAGATCACACCACTGCACTCCAGCCTGGGTTACAGAACAAGACTCCATCTCAAAAAAAAAAAAAAAGAAAGAAGGAAAATTTTGGATGTTTCTAACCCCTCCTGCTCTCTAGAGGTTCTATAAACCTGCAACCCTCTTTTTTTTTCCCCAGTACTGAAATAGGTCTTGGCTGTACACATTTGGGGGCAAGCAGGGAGCAGGGATAAACTGACCTGCAAAACCAGAGACAGAAAAGTTGAAGGTCTGCAACTGGGAGGGGATCAAAGGAGGAGATGAAGGAGCCAACAAAACAGGTTCTAGATGGGAGAAAGCAACCCCCATAGAGAGGTCAAGAGGGATCTAAGCAAGTTAAGACTTTTGAGATATGGGGTGTGTGTGCATTTGTGTGTGTGTGTGTGTGTGTAAATGCCCTCCCCCACCTCTTTCAGGGGTCACTGAGTAAAGTTTACATCACTCACACTGAAGCTGTCCTCACAAGTTTGACAAAAACTCTGGATAGGAATACAGGTATAATTAAGCATTAATCGGGCTGCTCTTTGGCCCAGTTCCTTGTAACCTAAAATCACCTAACACTCAGTACTGAACATCTGCATTTCCATGTTCCTACAGATAGGATCTCTGACATTAGAATCATGAGACTTCTGTTTAAGAATTGCTGAAGATGGCCAGGTGTGTTGGCTCATGTCTATAATCCCAGCACTTTGGGAGGCCGAGGTGGGTGGATCACCTGAGGTCAGGAGTTTGAGACCAGCCTGGCCAACACAGAGAAACCCCATCTCTACAAAAATACAAAAATTAGTTGGGCATGGTGGTGCATGCCTGTAATCCCAGCTACTAGAGAGGCTGAGGCAGGAGAATTGCTGGAACCCGGGAGGCGGAGGTTGTAGTGAGCCCAGATTGCATCATTGCACTCCAGCCTGGGTGACAGAGTGAGAATCTGTCTCAAAAAAAAAAAAAAAAAAAAAAAATTGCTGAAGATGTTTCTCCAATCCTGAATTCCAATGGAACAGCTGATGCCAACCAGTTTGAAGGTTCCCACGGAGTAATCAAATTAGCATAAGAATGCAGTTTCTTCATTTCCCTGTAGGTGAATTCACCTTGCACCAATCAATGATCAGTTCCCTCCAAAACCCTTAAAATTCCTAGCCCCAAACTCCTCAGGGAGATGGATTTGAGGTTTCCTCTGGTCTCCTCATTCAGCAGCCCTACAATTAAGCCTCTTTCTCTGCTACAACCCAGTATCTCAGTTACTGGCTTTCCATATGCACATCGAGCAATAAACCTACTACGGTTATAACTTGTGTTTTAAGTGAAAATGAATTCTTTGGGGAGACTGTGAAGAGCTGCCGAGGACTGCACACAGACTGACACAGCACAGAGCAAAGGGAGCCTCAAAGAATTTGGTGTCTTCATAAATCTACACAAAACCAGATGGAAAGAGGCCAGAATGGGTCCTGGTCATCTCTGGGTGGTGACTGATTTAACAGGTGATTTTTTGGTTGCTTTGCGACTTTTTAATTTTTTATGCAACAGGCATTGCGATATTGAGATATGATATGAAAAGTTGTTTGATATTGGTCCCCAGTTCCTGGCACAGAGCCCTAATGTAATATAATAAATTAATATTTGTCTTTTGTCCCCAGCTCTTGAAATATCCCTGGAGCAACAAAAGTTAAAGGAACATCTTTTGTTATCAAAACAAGCCTGTTTCAACCACACAGGAGTTTAAGTTAATGAGTGACTTTTGGAAAGCCCCTAAGGAGGGGGGCTGGATGCCAGGGGAACCAAGCATGTGATTAGAGAAGTAGAACTTTCAGCCCCACCTCCTGGCCTCTGGGGAGGGAAGAGAGGCTTGAGATTGAGTTTAATCACCAAGGGCCAATGATGTAATCAACCATGCCTACATAATGGAAGCACCATAAAAACCCAAAGGACCCATCAAGGTGTTGGGAGGATGGTGCACCCGAAAGCACGTCAAAGCTCCCCACACTTCTCCACACCTCACCCTGTGCGTCTCCTCCATCCTGCCAGGTTTGTTTTGTTGTTGTTGTTGTTGTTGTTGTTTGTTTTGTTGTTGTTGTTAAGAAGGAGTCTGGCTCTGTTGCCAGGCTGGAATGCAGTGGAGCAATCTTGGCTCACTGCAACCTCTGCCTCCCGGGTTCAAGCGATTCTCCTGCCTCAGCCTCCCAACTAGCTGGGACTACAGGCACCCGCCACCACACCCGGCTAATTTTTGTATTTTTAGTAGAGACAGGGTTTCATCATGTTGGCCAGGATGGCCTTGATCTCCTGACCTTGTGATCCACCCGCCTAAGCTCCCAAAGTGCTGGGATTACAGGCGTGAGCCACCGCGCCCTGCCTGTTTTGAGTTTTGTTTTGTTTTGTTTTTTGAGACAGCGTCTCACTCTGTCTCCCAGGCTGGAATGCAGTGGTGCGATCTCAGCTCAGTGTAACCTCTGCCTCCCAGGTTCAAGCAATTCTCCTGCCTCAGCCCGTTGCTGGGATTACAAATTGCTGGGATTACAAGTGCCCACCACCACACCTGGCTCATTGTTGTAGTTTTAGTAGAAACAGGGTTTCACTGTTTTGGCCAGGTTGGTCTTGAACTCCTGACCTCAAGTGGTCTGCCCGCCTCGGCCTCTCAAAGTGCTGGTATTGTAGCAATGAGCCACTGCACCCAGCCATCTGCTGTTTTTTAGTTGTATTCTTTTATAATAAGCTGTCAGCCTGGTAACTCAACTGTTTTCCTGAGTTCTGTGAGCCATTCTAGCAAACTATCAAATCCAAGGAGGGGTTGTGGGAACTCCTGATTTATAACCATTGGCCAGAAGCACGTGAAGCGCAGACTTGTGGCTGGCATTGCAGTGGGACAGTCTTAAGGAATTGGAGGCTGCAGTGAGCTATGATCACACCACTGCACTCCAGCCTGGGCAACAGAGCAAGACCCTGTCTCTAAAAGTAGATAGATAGATAGATAGATAGATAGATAGATAGATAGATAGACAGACAGATAGATAAAATTTTAAAATGAAGTGGGGTAGTATTGTAGAGTTAAGCCATTAACCTGTATAGTCTTGCAATAGGAGTTCCACAGGACTGGTTTTGCAAGGTACAGGTCACGAAGACCCCTCTGATAAAACGAGATGTGGTAAAGAAGCCAGCCAAAACCAAGATGGTAATGAAAGCGACCTCTGGACTGGGCGCGGTGGCTCACGCCTGTAATCCCAACATTTCGGGAGGCTGAGGCAGGCATATCACGAGGTCAGGAGATCAACACCATCCTCACTAACACGGTGAAACCCCATCTCTACTAAAAATACAAAAAATTAGCTGGGCCTGGTGGCACGTGCCTGTAGTCCCAGCTACTTGGGAGGCTGAGGCAGGAGAATCGCTTGAACCTGGGAGGCAGAGGTTGCAGTGAGCTGAGATCGTGCCACTGCACTCCAGCCTGGGCGACAGAGCAAGACTCTGTCTCAAAAAAAAAAAAAAAAAAAAAAAACAAAAAGAAAGCAACCCAACCTCTGGTGTCCTTACTGCTTATTATATGCTAATTATAATGTATCAGCCTCGTGGTCAGCAACCCATTTTTGGGTCCCCTCTCACTGTCGAGAGCTTTTCTGTCCCTCAATAAATTCTATTCTGCCTTACTCACTCTCTGCTGTCCATGTACCTCATTTTTCTCAGTCATGGGACAACAATTCGGAACTCATTGAACTACGGGGGTAAAAGAGCATAAAAACTTCTTAGTAATTTTCCACCAATCTCCCTACCCTGTTCCTTGGCTATAAATCCCCAATTTTCCCTATTGTAGAGAGAGTGAAACCCAGTCTCTCTCCTCTGCTACAAAACCCCAATGTAATAGCTCCCCCTTGAATAAAGTCTTCCTTCATCTTTAACAAGTGTCATGAGTAATCTTTTCTTTAATGCCACACTGACCTGGGCAGGACATTCAGCACCTCCCCCAAGCTCTGGGAAGGGAAACCAGCAGTGACTACAAGGATGCCTGTATGGGGCCCTGGACCAGACCCAGACAATCTTCCAGGGCAGGCACCCCTTCCAGGTTAGGGGCACAGGCTCTGGATCTGAATTCCAGCCATGCAACTTACCAGCTGTGATCTTGCAAAAATGATTCCTCTCTATGATTCAGTATCTTTGTTACCAACAAAGCTGGTCCCCAGAAAATGGAGCCTTTCCCCGTTTGGTGTTACAAATCAATATGCAAAACTGAAAGTGAATGTCAAGCAGTGCAGGCTTTAGATTAGACGGTCATGGAATTGAGAAGTGGGAGCTTGGGCTCGGCTCCTGAGAGCCAGGAAGTCACAGATATAGGGCACCTTTAATGAAAGGGTTGGATATTAAAAGTAAGGGGAGGAATATTCATTTCTTTTCTGGGAATGGGTGGAGAACTCCTTGAAACTGGAGTGCCGTCTTCCTTTTTGTGTTTTTGTGGTTTCTTCCGGTCTTAGTCACAGTGATTGTTAACTGTCATGGTGCTGGTGGGAGTGTCACTTAGCACAGAAATTAGTTATAATGAAGTTAGAGGTTCTTCAGAGGTCAAGTGAGCTGCCTTGGATCCCACAAGTCTTAGCCAGTTTGGTCAGAAGGGGGAGCTTTTGACCTCAAGCATCCTGTTTCCTAAAGATAAGCAGAATTAAGGCAGGGTAGAAATTCACCTATGTCACACAGGCATTACACTGGGTAACATCCTCATCTGTAAAAGAAAATAACAATTCTCGCCAGGCACAGTGGCTCACACCTGTAATCCCAGCACTTTAGGAGGCCAAGGTGGGCAGATCACCTGAGGTCAGGAGTTCAAGACCAGCTTGGGCAACATAGCAAAACCCCATCTCTACTAAAAATACAAAACTTAGCCAGGCATCATTGTGGGTGCCTGTAATCCCAGCTACTCAGGAGGCTGAGGTGGGAGAATTGCTTGAACTCAGGAGGCAGAAGTTGCAGTGAGCCAAGATTGTGCCACTGCACTCCAGCCTGGGCTACAGAATGAGACTCCATCTCAAAAAAAAAAAAAAGAAAAGAAAGAAAGAGGGAAGGAAGGAAGGGAAAGGAAGGAGAGAGAGACAGAAAGAGAGAAAGAAAGAAAGAAAGAGAGAGAAAGAAAGGAGGGAGGGAGGGAGGAGGGAAGGAGGGAAGGAAGGAAGGAAGAAAGGAAGGAAGGAAGGAGGGAAAAGAAAGAAAGAAAGAAGAAAAGAGAAAAGAAAAGAGAGGGAGAGAAAAGCAGGAGGAAGGAAGGAAGGAAGGGAGGGAGGGAGGGAGGGGAGGGAGGGAGGGAGGGAGGGAATTTGTTTGAATCTTATGTTGTGTGCTGTAATGAGATTGTCCACAGTAGCACTGGCCTCCCAGACCCTCTCCAAATATGCACGGCACATCTGAGCTCCGGAGAGAATTGGGGTGCATGCCCCAAATGCTGGCCTCCATCAAGAAAACAGATAACCCCTTTATAAGAGCACAATCATCCCAGAGGTTCCTCGCTCAGGAAACCTGGTCCCTCTTGGGTGGCCAGGCAGCCCAGCAGGAAGAGGGCCACCACCGCTATCCTGCCAGGTCTCTGTCTGCAGAAGGACTAATGAGCTTTGTCAGGATTCCATGGGACAGGGTGTGAAACACTCAGCTAAGCTCGTAGCAAGAGCTCAACCACTGTAAATTTCACAAAATAAAAAAAAAAAAAAGACCGTACAAAACTCCTCTCAGGAAGAGTTTTATCTATGGTAGAGGGACAGCTGCTAAGCTGTTTGGGGCAAAGGATGAAATCGATGCCCCCCACTGCCCCGGTGCATGCTCAGGTGGCAGTATCTGTCTTGGGCTAGGCAAGTGAAAAGAGGAGAGAATTTCACCTTGTTGGCCCAGGAAGGGACACAGTTTGGGTGAGTGAATACTCAATAAGCCACTTGAGCAGGAAAAAGTTCCCTCGACATCCTTGGCCCGGCTTTGGTACATATGACCATCACCAAGCTGTCTTCTAAACTGGGAGCAGGGAGAGAAATATGCAAGCTCACAGCAGAGCTAAATCACTGGGAACTAGAGATGCTGGAGGCGGGGGCAGGAGACAAAGAAATGAGGCAGGTGGTGGCAGAGAAGGCTGGAAAGAACAGCCGTTCCTGTGACTAGGGCCTGCCATGTGTGTGCCAGCAGGCTCGCTTCAGCCTAGCATCCTGCTGAGCAGCACTGTCCAGTAGGAATAGAACGCACACCACACATGCAACTAAATAGCTCCTGGGGGCTCCCAGGAGCCACGTTTCTTTAAAGTAAAAAGAAACAGGTGAATTTAACTTAATAGTATATTTTATTTAATATAATAGATCCAAAATATTCTTATTTTAATAAGTAATTCATATAAAAAGTATTGTGAAGGCTGGGCACAGTGGCTCACACCTATAATCCCAACAATTTGGGAGGCTGAGGCACGCGAATGGCTTGAGCAGAGGAGTTTGAGACCAGCCTGGCCAACATGCTGAAACCCCATTTCTACAAAAACATACAAAAATTAGCCGGGCTAATTCGGTAATGTGCGCCTGTGATCTCAGCTACTCAGGAGGCTGAGGCAGCAGAATCGCTTGAACCCAGGAGGCAGGGTTGCAGTGAGCTGAGATTGCGCCATTGTACTCCAGCCTGGGCGGCAGAGCAAGACTCCATCTCAAAAACAAACAACAACCCGGGTGCGGTGGCTCACACCTGTAATCCCAGCACTTTGGGAGGCCAAGGCGGGCAGATCACGAGGTCAGAAGTTCGATACCAGCCAGGCCAACATGGTGAAACGCCGTCTCTACTAAAAATACAAAAATTAGGCGAGCGTGGTGGTACACACCTGTAATCCTAGCTACTTGGGAGGCTGAGGCAGGAGAATCACTTGAACCCGGGAGGCGGAGGCCACAGTGAGCCGAGATCGCACCATTGCACTCCAGCCTGGGCAACAAGAACAAAACTCTGACTCAAAATAAATTAATCAATTAATATAACATAATATAAAGCATTGTGAGACTTTACAGTTTTTTTTCATGCTCATTCTTCAGAGCCCTGTGTGTTTTTACACTTACAGTGCATCCTCATTCAGACTGGCCCCATTTCCAGGGTTCAGAAGCCACAGGTGGCTTGTGGCTGCTGTGGCCCTTTGAGAGTTAGAATTAATTTGGGGAAGATGGGTGGGTGCAGAAGAGAGGGGAGGCTGCCCAGAGAGGCACCTCCAGGTGACATGTGCTTGGGGCCAGAGCTGCACACTGGGGACAGCTGAGTGTTGGGGGGTGTGCAGAGGTGTGGCTGAAAGGGGATGAGCAGTGTGTCCCAACTGGTGAGGGTTGTCACCACACGGCACCAGCCCTCTCTGCGTTTCCTCCTGTCCTCTCACAGTGAAAGTGAAGGACTTGATGAGTCTTGCTGCTCGATTACTGCTGGATGAACTCTTGGAGACAGCCCTTATATGAGTTACACTAGTTTAAAAAATGAAATGAAATGAAATGAAAGGAGGGCTAGAGGACCTATGCCTAGGTCCAAGGCAGACTGCTCCACCCAAACACACCTGTAAGCTTGTCCCAGGAAAGTGGCCAGATCTGAACTGATTGCCATCAAACATGTCTAATGCTCTTCCCTCCATCTGGAACATCCACCTGCCCTCAGCTAGAGAACACCTCCTTCAGTGCCCGGTCAGAATATAGAACCCCTCTGTGCACCTGTGTCTGGCACCTCCTCCACGCTTCCTGGGCCCCTGGTTCCTTGGAGTGCTGTCTGAACCCTCGCTAGGCTGTGATCTCCTTGAGGCCCAATGCCAGGCCTGGCCTTCTCCACCTCCCTAGGCTGCACTTTGTATCCTCTCCCACCCACCTCGGCAGTTGAGTCCGCAGTTGGGCCACCTGGATGGCCCTGCCCGGGGAAGAGGAACCAAGGGCTCTGGTCTTTATCTCCCTTCCTAAATGAAGTTTCCCCCCATCTATAGGAGCTCCTGCAGGACTCCCTGAAAAAGGAGGAAAGAGAGGAGGGGAAGGAGTGGGAAGCAGGATGGGGAAGACAGATGCTCTGCCAGCAAAGAGGCAAAGAGGAACTGAGCCAAGTCCCCACCGTGGGTTGGCATAAGTGGGTCCCTGGCAAGGGGAGGGAAAGTAAGAACAAGAAGAAAGGCTGGCCGGGTTGGGAGGTGGCGGTAAAATATAACCGCCATACACACACAACACACACTAGCCATAAGGGTACAGCTCAATAGATTTTTGCCACCTGGATCAAGAGGAAGGTCATTTCCAGCACCCCATAAGGTTCCCCCATGTCAGGCCGGGCGTGGCGCAGTGGCTCACGCCTGTAATCCCAACACTTTGGGAGGCCAAGGCAGGCAGATCACTTGAGGTCAGGAGTTCGAGACCAGCCTGACCAACATGGTGAAACCCCATCTCTACTAAAAATACAAAAATTTGCAAGGCGTGGTGGTGGGTGCCTGTAATGCCAGCTACTTGGGAGGCTGAAGCGGGAGGATCACTTGAACCCGGAAGGCGGATGTTCCAGTGAGCCAAGATCGCACCACTACACTCCAGCCTGGGAGACAGAGTGAGATATCATCTCAAAAAAGAAAAAAAAAAAAGTTTCCCCCATGTCCCTTCCCAGCATCTACCCTAGGCAGGTTTGAAGAATTGATGTATTGCCAGCAGAACCCCAGCTGATGCCCGACCTGCACATCTCATCATTACCCTGTGCAGGCTGCAGATCAAGCTGCAACAGGCCCGGGTCTCCCTCCTTCTCCAAGTGGTAAGAACAGCAGCCTTCATTCACTGGGACCTTCTATGTGCATGGGAGCGGGGGAGGGGGAACTATTCTAGTCACTTACATACGTGGGTCGTTAAGTCCCAAATAAGGAATGCAAGAAATGTGGCATTAATTGGACTTTCTTTAAATCAAGTGAGATCCTTGCCAATTAACATCCCACTGGGCTGCTCAGAAATCCAGCCTTGGAAATGACAGGGGCTCCAGCCCTCCCCAGGATTCTCTCTCGCTCACAAGGTTTTCTAGAGCACCAGAGCTACAAGGAGCCCCTAGACCAGATCATCTATCTGCCTTGGTTACCATGGAGATGTCTATTTTCCCAGAGGGTGCAATCCCTTCCTGGAGGGAGATTCTGCTGCTTCCGTGCCACGTTGGTGGCCTTGGAGAATCTTATTGAGGTCGAGGGTCCCAAGGTGTCCTACACAGCCATGCCCTTGTCACATCCCAAGGAGATCACCATGGAGAGGTGCCCACCTCTGTCCCATCCTCATTCAGAGGGGCTCACTCCTGTCCCCTGCTGCTCTCGGAGGCTCTCTCTCTCCCTTCCCCTCTGGGAAACTGGTATAATCTATATAGTGGTTTCATAACTTTACATTTTTATCCGGCTGTACATAGTCTCCTCTTTAAATCCCCTCAACAGCCTATGAGAAGGGCATTATTGTCTCTGTCGTACAGAGGAGAAAATGCAGGCTGGGAGGGGCTAAGTCGCCCAGGCAACAAGATGGAGATGATATTCAGATACAGACACTCCAGAGCCTGTGCTTTGTACCCTGCCCTTGGCTGCCCAGGTGACAGCATCTCAAAGCCAGGAGCACACTAATAAAGAAGCCAGCATTAACAGCAGGCATGCATGCCACTTTCAAACTAATTACTCCTGCCTCCATGATTACTCCTCAGGCTCCTGGGGCTGGGGTAACCTCCCACACTGGAAGGTAGACTTCGGAAGACCCTTCTGGAAATGCTCCCAACTTGGGAAAACAGCGCTTCAGACTTCAGACCCAGGAAGAGATCACCCAGTGCTCCTTTTATGGGGCATACAACTGAAGCCAAGAGGTAAACCAGGTCACCCACAAAGCTGGTGGCAAGTCAAGAACTGAGTCTCAGGCCTGGTGCGGTGGCTCATGCTTGTAATCCCAGCACTTTGGGAGGCCGAGGTAAAGGATTACTTGAGCCTAGCAGTTCAAGACCAGCCTGGGCAACATAGTGAGACCTCATCTCTACCAAAAATTTAAAAAATTAGCTGGCTATGGTAGCACATGCCTGTAGTCCCAGCTACTCAGGAGGCTGAAACGGATCACTTGAGCCTAGGAGTTCAAGTCTGCAATAAGCTATAATGGCACCATTGCACTCCAGCCTAAGTGACAAAGCCAGACCCTGTCTCAAAAAAAAAAAAAAAAAAAGAACTGAGTCTTGGCCGGGTGTTGTGGCTCACACCTGTAATCCCAGCACTTTGGGAGGCCAAGGCGGGCGGATCATTTGAGGTCAGGAGTTCAAGACCAGCCTGGGCAATGTTGTAAAACCCCTTCTCTACCCAAAATACAAAAATTAGCTGGGCATGGTGGCACCTGCCCGTAATCTCAGTTACTTGGGAGGCTGAGGCAGAAGCATAGCTTGAACTCAGGAGGTGAAAGCTGTGGTGAGCCAAGATCGCACCACTTCACTACAGCCTGGACGACAAAGCGAGATTCTGTCTCAAAAAATATTTTAGTGTGACAAAATATTGCATGCACACTGGGAAGGACAGCTCCAATTCATTCATTCAAACTCTCTCCCAAAACCCTTTCCAGCAGAACAATGTCCGTCAGGGCAAAGTGTTGTGGGATGTCAGGGACTCCCAACAGAGGGACCCGCTGAAGCCATGGCAGAAGAACATAAATTGTGAAGATTTAATGGATATTTATTAGTTCCCCAAATTAATACTTTTATAATTTCTTACGCCTGTCTTTACTGCAATCTCTGAACATAAATTGTGAAGATTTCATGGACACTTATCACTTCCCCAATCAATACCCTTGGGATTTCCTATGCCTGTCTTTACTTTAATCTCTTAATCCTGTCATCATAAGCTGAGGAGGATGTATGTAGCCTCAGGACCGTGATGATTGCATTAACTGCACAAATTGTTTGTAGAGCTTGTGTGTTTGAACAATATGAAATCTGGGCACCTTGAAAAAAGAACAGGATAACAGCAATGTTCAGGGAACAAAGGAGATAACTTTAAACTCTGACTGCCCGTGAGCCGGGCAGAACAGAGCCATATTTCTCTTCTTTCAAAAGCAAATGGGAGAAATATCGCTGAATTCTTTTTCTCAGCAAGGAACATCCCTGAGAAAGAGGATGCGTCCCTGAGGGAGGCCTCTGAAATGGCCACTTTGGGGACAGCTGTCTTTTACGGTCATCGCTGAGGGATGAAATAAGCCCCGGTCTCCTGTAGCGCTCCCAGGCTTATTAGGACGAGGAAATTCCCGCCTAATAAATTTTGGTCAGACCGGTTGTCTGTTCTCAAACCCTGTCTCCTGATAAGATATCATCAATGACAATGTGTGTCTGAAACTTCATTAGCAATTTTAATTTCGCCCCGGTCCTGTGGTCCTGTGGTCTTGCCCTGCCTCCATTTGCCTTGTGATATCTTATTACCTTGTGAAGCACATGATCTCTGTGACCCACACCCTATTCGTACACTCCCTCCCCTTTTGAAAATCACTAATAAAAACTCGCTGGTTTTGCGGCTTGGGGGACATCATGGAACCTGCCGACATGTGATGTCTCCCCCGGACACCCAGCTTTAAAATTTCTCTCTTTTGTACTCTGTCCCTTTATTTCTCGGACCAGCCAACACTTAAGGAAAATAGAGAAGAACCTACGTGAAATGTCGGGGGTGAATTTTGCCTGATAGTAAAGGTTCCCAAGTTGGCTGACTGGGGCCTTAGCTTCTCAAAAGGGGAAGACCATGAGACTGGGATGCCCATGACCTAGCCATGGTTCCTCCTTCCTGATGTCAAGGAAACCAAACTATTAATCAAGTTTATTTAGTAAATATAGAATCAAAACAAAGTATCAGGCCAGGCACACTGGCTCCTGCCTGTAATCCCAGCACTTTAGGAGGCCAAGGCAGGGGGACTGCTTTAAGCAGTTGAGGCTGCAGTAAGCCATGATCATGCCACTGCATTCCAGCCAGTCTGGGTGACAGAGTGAGACCTTGTCTATATATATATATATATACACATACATATATATATACATATATACACAAATACACACACACACATATATACACACACTCATATACATATATATATATATACACACACATACACATATATATATCAGGTACACCTAGCATTTCCTCCCTCAGAGTTTTTCTGAGTTTTCTGGTGGGCACATGCCCTGCCCCACAGTGGACTCCTTCCTACCCTCTGTCAGCCAGAATGCTGCCTCCCCAGAGGCCTTCTCTGACCACCCCATCTGAAGGAGCCTGGCCCTTTCACATCACCCTGTTTACCTCCTTTTTGGCACCTCTCACAATCTGTCATTATCCTTTTTTTTTTTTTTTTGAGACATAGTCTTGCTCTGTCGCCCAGGCTGGAGTGCAATGGCGCCATCTTGGCTCACTGCAGTCTCCTCTTCCCGGGTTCAAATAATTATTGTGCCTCGGCCTCCCGAGTAGCTGGGACTACAGGCACACGCCACCACGCCCAGCTAATTTTTGTATTTTTAGTAGAGACAGGGTTTCACCATATTGGCCAGGCTGGTCTCGAACTCCTGACCTCGGGTGATCCGCCCACCTCAGCCTCCCAAAGTGCTGGGATTACAGGCATAAGCCACAGCGCCCAGCCTCATTATCTTATTATTTGTTTAGTGGCTCTCTCTCCCGCTGGCCTTCAACTCCACAAGGGCAGTGACCCTGACTGTCAGGGACATAAACCAGCAGTCCATGGGCATGCATATTTTTGTTTGGCTTGCAGTGTTGTATCAAAAATTCAATTTATTCCTGTAATCCCAGCACTTTGGAAGGCCGAGGCAGGCAGATCACCTGAGGTCAGGAGTTCAAGACCAGCCTGGCCAACATGGTGAAAACCCATCTCTACTAAAAATATTTTTAAAAAACTAGCCGGGCGTGGTGGTGGATGCCTGTAACCCCAACTACTCGGGAGGCTGAGGCAGAAGAATTGCTTGAACCCAGGAGACGGAGGTTACAGTGAGCCGACACAGTGCCACTGCACTCCAGCCTCGGCGACAAAGTGAGACTCTGTCTCAAAAAAAAAATCAATTTATTGGCAATATTTAAAAATCAAGAGATTTTATGTAAACACCTGGATTTCCTGGCACTCTTGAAAAAGATCTAGCACAATGGGCTGGAGGTGAGCGGCCACTGCAGCCCGTAGTTCTTACTCCAGCCCCCAGTCCACCCCATTACATCACACTTGGCTGTTTGCACTCCTTGATCCTACTTACCTGCCTATCCCCGGAGGCCTTTGAGTCTAAAATTCCTGGTCTCTTTTCACCACTCTACTTACCCCTACAACTGAGTGTTGAAATAAATAAACTGAAAGCAAGAAAGGTTGACTGTTTTGAAGGAAATATTTCATCTAAACTCTAGGAAGGCTCTACTCCACACAAGCTGTGCCACATGAAGGACGCCCTCTGGTGCCAGAATTATTCTCGGGGGGGCCCAGAACCAGTTACTATACCTTGAACTCATGCCAATGAGCTGGGCACACTTTTTCCTTAGATGGATTAATCTAATCTAAATGAAAATTTTAGATCGGATTAACCCACTTTAGAATAAATCTAAATGGCAATCTAAATTATGCGGTTACCGTTTTGATTATATTATTGTATGTTGATTAATCAAAGTGCCGCCCTAAATCCCGCTGTGACTCCGTGGGTAGTAGGGTGGGTAGGTAGGTGGGTTTGACACAACGGGGATTTCTCGTGTTTGGGAGGCTCATCATCTAAATCCTCTCTAAGGAGTGTTCATTTACCATATGAAACTCCCCTTTTCGAGAAGACAGGGATGCAACAGGGTCAAGAAGGTGGAACGTACCAAAGGACACAGTGCGTAGGCGCGCTCGAAACCTGGGCCGGTATTCTCGGCACCCAGACACCGTCCACTCGCACTGCGCAGGCTCCGAGACAGATCAAGCTTTCCCTCCCCCTCCCAGCTCTCCTAGAGTCAAGAGGACGCCCTCCTGCCGCAGACTTCCTGCGCAAGCGCCATCCCATGTCCCCGCCTCCAAACCAATTGGAAGCGGCGCCGCCTGGGCGCTTGGGGCACGACGCTGTGGGTGGGGTCAGGACGTGAGGGCAGCGCGCTGGCGTCAGAGGCGCGGCTATATAACTAAACACAGGCACCGCCCCTCTGCCCCAGTCACTGAGCCGCCGCCGAGGATTCAGCAGCCTCCCCCTTGAGCCCCCTCGCTTCCCGACGTTCCGTTCCCCCCTGCCCGCCTTCTCCCGCCACCGCCGCCGCCGCCTTCCGCAGGCCGTTTCCACCGAGGAAAAGGAATCGTATCGTATGTCCGCTATCCAGAACCTCCACTCTTTCGGTAAGCTATGGGAAAGGTCGCGGGCCCGGGTGGGGCAGCGGGGCCTTCCGGGCCCGGAGACGTGTTCCGGGAAGTTGCCAAGCGCTCCGGGCCTTCGTAAGCTCGGGCAGGGGAAACTTGACCAGGGTCGCAGGGCAGCGGGATCAAGGCCTGGGCCCCGGGGTCGGACCCTGAGCGCGACCGGAAGGAGCAGGCGGTAGGTCAGCCCTTGGGCGGGCCCGGCGTCTCAGTGGCGCATTTACTAATGGCTCCTGGGCCTCCTCGGGCCACACCCGCCCCTCCCGTCACCATTGCGTCACGTCCGTTACGTCACCACCCGTTGTCACGGATCCGGAGGGAAAGGCGGTGCCAGCCCTAAGTGGCAAGCGGGTGCACCAATGGGGGTGGGAGGCTTAGCCCCGCCTCGGGAGCTCGGGTTCCGGCGGGTTGCATCAGCTGGGTGGGGCACCGCCTGGCAGCCCGGACTCCCCCGACATGTGATCGGCTTCCCAGGGAGGGCGGGAGGCCCGGGCGTTCCCCGAGCCTGGGGAAGCTGGCCGTCCCGGACTGACCTGCTCGGGGAGAGCCAGCAAAGGACACATTCGGCCTGGCCCAAGCCCTGACGATTTCAGTGTTGTTTTCTGCACGCGCAAAACACCTGGGGACCGAGGGGATGGCAGTGGCATCCTATCTTTGACAGCTCTGAACGAGCTTAACCTTTTTTTTCAGACCCCTTTGCTGATGCAAGTAAGGGTGATGACCTGCTTCCTGCTGGCACTGAGGATTATATCCATATAAGAATTCAACAGAGAAACGGCAGGAAGACCCTTACTACTGTCCAAGGGATCGCTGATGATTACGATAAAAAGAAACTAGTGAAGGCGTTTAAGAAAGTAGGTCTTCAGTGAGATTTTGGGAAAGTCATAATGGATTTGTCCACAAGGGGGTGCCAGCTGTGTTGTATGTATTGTTAGCGGAAGGGGTGATAAATGCGTTCATGCTCTTGCTAGGCCTAATTCGTTTTCCTTTGTGCTTGCAGAAGTTTGCCTGCAATGGTACTGTAATTGAGCATCCGGAATATGGAGAAGTAATTCAGCTACAGGGTGACCAACGCAAGAACATATGCCAGTTCCTCGTAGAGGTGAGTTCAGTCACTACTTGATTTGTGCCTCTCTGCTGGCAAATCTCAGATCCTGTCTGTTAGCTTCTGCTGGGGACATAAAAGTTGGCTTTGTAAGGCTGAGCAAAACCTCAGTTGGGTTTTAAAGTACATAGACTTATTTCTGTTTTATAGGAAAAAGCAGAAGGGACTTGTCTACCTTTGGTTTACTGTTTCTGTGGATCTACTTCACAGATGCAAATTTGAATAGCATATAGATGCATTGTAAAATAAGCCAAATGCTGGGTTGTTCCTGTATTTGTAAGGACATGAGTTTTTAAAAATGAATTTCCTGAGTATTAATACTAAAATACTGTTACATGATCAGCTCTTGATATAATTGAAGAGATTTCAGATACCTGATGAGTCTCATTCTCACACTAATTCAGAACCTTGGAAGGCACTGAGTGTTCAAAAAAGGTAGCTCTTAACTGAGGACCCTCTGTTGAACCATTGTGCGCACCCCTGGCTCTTGGGCAGTGTAGTAGCAGGAAGACAGGGTTGTTGCCATTAGAAATGGAGGCTTTAACTCTCCCTGTCCCCCATTTAAAACTTTGCCCTTTTGTCTTTTCAGATTGGACTGGCTAAGGACGATCAGCTGAAGGTTCATGGGTTTTAAGTGCTTGTGGCTCACTGAAGCTTAAGTGAGGATTTCCTTGCAATGAGTAGAATTTCCCTTCTCTCCCTTGTCACAGGTTTAAAAACCTCACAGCTTGTATAATGTAACCATTTGGGGTCCGCTTTTAACTTGGACTAGTGTAACTCCTTCATGCAATAAACTGAAAAGAGCCATGCTGTCTAGTCTTGAAGTCCCTCATTTAAACAGAGGTCAAGCAATAGGCGCCTGGCAGTGTCAAGCCTGAAACCAAGCAATACCGTCATGTTTCAGCCAAGCCCAGAGCCCTAAGATTACAAACAACTATGGCCGGAACCTCCTCAGCTCTCCCTCTGCAGAGTTCCCTACCCTAAGAGAATGTTACCACCTGAACAGTCCTCGGTGAATCTGAGAGGAGAGGATGGGGTAAGGCAGAAGCACCAGCTGTACTACTAGAAGGGAGCTTTTGGTGGTAGATCCCCTGGTGTCTCCAACCTGACTAGGTGGACAGAGCTCAAAGAGGCCCTCTTACCGCTAGCGAGGTGATAGGACATCTGGCTTGCCACAAAGGTCTGTTCGACCAGACATATCCTAGCTAAGGGATGTCCAAACATCAGAATGTGAGGCCAACCTTCTATCAGAGTTAAACTTTTGACAAGGGAACAAATCTCAAACTGATCCATCAGTCATGTAGCTAGCTGTAGAGCTTGCAACTTAATAGCAGCAGCTGCCCAATGCCATGTGAAGTAACAAACTGGTTTTTGGTTTTTTTTTCCCCTTCAGTTTTAATGTTATGTGTAATGTATTTAAACCCTTATTTAAATAAAACTTGTTTTCAGAAATACCTGACTTGCAGATTATTTATATATAGTCGATCTTGTGCATATAAAGGAACCATAGAAATGGGCAGTGGAGGATTCGTCCACACCCACAGCTTCTCAACGGGCCTGAATTTGGCCAAGAAAAACCTTTATGAGCTTGTCCCTCTCTGGTCAACTGGTTTTTTGTTCGTTTGTTTTTTGAGACAGGTTTGCCCTTGTTGCCCAGGCTGGAGTGCAGTGGCACAATCTCGGCTCACTGCAACCTCCACCTCAGGTTCAAGCAATTGTCGTGCCTCAGCCTCCCTAGTAGCTGGGATTACAGGCACCATGCCCAGCTAACTTTTGTATTTTTAGTAGAGACAGGGTTTCTCCATGTTGGCCAGGCTGGTCTTGAACACCTGGCCTCAAGTGATCTGCCTGTCTTGGCCTCCCAAAGTGCTGGGATTACAGGCATGAGCCACCATGCCCAGCAGGTCAACTGTTTTTGCAAGCATTTAGCCAGAGTCATGCTGTGCTGTTAATCAGTGTCCTGGAGAATGGGTTGCTTGGAAATCTTGGCGCCCCCTCAGTAGTAACAGCCTTGGTTTAAGGGCGCAGAGTGGAGAGTAAATGCAAGGGCTATAACAAGGGCATTCATGCTGTGGGTTAAGATCCACAAATCGCTAGGAATGTGTATACTCTGGGTAGTAAGTTTGTAGTATTAGAAGGTTTAATGACAAGTATTTGAAGAGCTGAAGTTAAGTGTTGGGAGGCCATCCCTTATGAAGGACAATGAATGGCAAGTAAAAGACCAAGTTCTGTTCCTGGGTCCATTAATTTAGTTAAAAAGGCAAAGTTCTTTCAGCACACATATCTGCATGCAGTCACGTGCTGCCTAAGGATGCTTCATTCAACAATGAGCCTCACAGCCGTGCTACACAATAAGATTATAATACTGTATTTTTACTGTACCTTTTAACATTGTGTTACAATGGCCTACAAGAAGCTTGTGTGGATGGCTTTGAATGTGGCCCAACACGAACTAATAAATTTTGCTAAAACATGAGTTTTGTTTGGTGACTTTTTTTTTTTTCTTTTTAGTTCATCAGCTATTGTTGGTGTATTTTATGTGTGGCCCAAGACAATTCTTCCAGTGTGGCCCAGGGAAGTGAAAAGATACGACACCCCTGGCCTACAATTTCAGCACAGTAACGTGCTGTACAGGTTTGTAGCCTAGGAGCAACAGGCTGTGTCATATAACCTAGGCATGTAGTAGGCTGTGCCATCCAGGTGTGCGTAAGTACACGATGATGTTCGTAGAAAACACAAAATCGCCTAACGATGCGTTTCTCAAAACATGTCCCTGTCATTGAGTAATGCAAGACTACTAAGTTTACTACCAGCCCATTTTGTAGATAAAGGTACAAGCGGTGAGTTAGGTTAGAGCCCAGGTTGGGAAAGAGCATAGAACCAGGTGAGTTGTGGAGGAGGGCTGGTGAGGTTGAGCCAATGGCAACTGCCCTAAAACTAGGAGGTGATTGTGTTAGAATACAGCAGACTGAATAATTGATAGAGATTTATTTGGCTCACAGAAGTCGAAAGGCATGGCATTGGCATCTGGTGAGGGCCTTCTTACTGCATCATAACATGGTGGAAGGGCTGGACAGCAAATGGGGGCCAAACCTATACTGTTGTGAGCCCACTTCATTCATGAGGGCAGAGGCTCAGGACCTAATACCTTTAAAAACCCCACCTTGGCCAGCCACAGTTGCTCACACCTGTAATCCCAGCACTTGCCAAGGGGGGTGAATCCTTGAGACCAACCTGGGCAACGTGGCACAACCCTATCTCTACAAACAATACAAAAATTAGCCAGGCATGATGGCACACACCTGTAGTCCCAGCTACTTAGGAGGCTGAGGCAGGAGGAAGGACGATCACTGGTGCCCAGGAAGCCAAGGCTATAGTTAGCTGTGATCATGTCACTGCCACTGTACTCCAGCCTGGGTGACAGAGTCTCCAAAAAAAAAAAAAAAAAAGCGCCCCACCTCCCAATAACTGTTCAATTGGCAATTAAATTTCAACATGGGTTTTGGTTTGGGTGGAGCATTCAAACTATAGCAATGATTCTAACCCCAGCATCAGGAGCTTGTCGTGTTAAAGGTCCTACAAAACCAGTCTGTTTCATGAACACAAAATAATTTAGCCTTGGAGCCAACCAAGGCTCCAAATACAGTGGCATTGTTCAAAATATTTGAGTGAATTTTTTTTTTTTTTGAGATGGAGTCTTGCTCTGTTGCCCAGACTGGAGTGCAATGGCACGGTCTCGCCTCACTACAGTTTCTGCCTCCCAGGTTCGAGCGATTCTCCTGCCTCAGCCTCCCGAGTAGCTGGGACTACAGGCACGTGCCACCACGACTGGCTAATTTTTGTATTTTTAGTAGAGACAGGGTTTCACCATGTTGGCCAGGATGGTCCCGATCTCCTTGACCTTGTGATCCGCCTGCCTCAGCCTCCCAAAGTGCTGGGATTACAGGCATGAGCACCGTGCCTGGCTGGGTGAGACTTTTAAATCAGTAAGATTTGACTGTAATGTAGGAGGTTTTTTCTTGGAGGAACTTCTAGAGCAAGGCGGGAGGCCAAACACACAAAATACTACAATCAGGATGAAACAGCAAGAGAAGAGAATTCCTTCTATGCTGTAGGTTGTGAACACGGCCAGGTTCTGTGCTAGGCTGTTCCATCTCATGCTTTTTAAGGACCTCCAATTCTCTAGGATGGGATTATTCCAAGTTAAACCATCAACATCTATTAAATCAGCTCTGTGAAGCCAAGCGAAACAAGTATCTGTGAACACAGAACTGAGGAAGTTGGTGAACACCCTTATCCACCTGATGTAACCTATCTCAGGCTGAATGAAGAAAAGTATAATTAAAAAGTCATGATGGGCCGGGCGCGGTGGCTCACATCTGTAATCCTAGCACTTTGGGAGGCCAAGACAGGCGGATTGCCTGAGCTCAGGAGTTCGAGACCAGCCTGGGCAACAACGGTGAAACCCTGTCTCTACTAAAATACAAAAAATTAGCCGGGCATGGCGGCGTGCGCCTGTAGTCCCAGGTGGGAGGCTGAGGCAGGACAATCGCTTGAACCCAGGAGGCAGAGGTTGCAGTGAGCCAAGATTGCGCCACTGCACTCCAGCCTGGGCAACAGAGCGAGACTCCGTCTCCAAAAAAAAAAAAGAAGGCATGATGGCTGGTTATGGTGGCTCATGCCTGTAATCCCAGCACTTTGAGAGACCAAGGCAGGCAGATTGCTTGAGTCCAGGACTTCGAGACCAGCCTGGGCAACATGACTAAACCCTGTCTCTACAAAAAATACAAAAATTAGCCAGGCGTGGTGTTGCATGCCTATGCTCCCAGCTACTGGGGAGGCCAAGGTGGGAAAATGGCTTGAGCCCAGGAGGCAGAGGTCGCAGTGCGCCAAGATGGCACCACTGCACTCCAACCTGGGTGACAGAGATAGACACTGTCTCAAAAAAAGAAAACAATGTGATGTGGACATTCCCAAGGTAAGTTGTGGAGCCTCATCTAGAACCCAGGACTCCCTGTGTACCCCTCCTCCCACCAGCTGCACCTGTACATTCACAATTTCTGTAACTCATTTTCCCGGTGGAGTGGGAGCAGAAATAAATAAATAAATGCTCATCTTACAGAGATTGTTGAGTGCTTGGTATCTGTAGTACACTACAGGGCATGTCAGGCAGACCCCCTGCACTCAGGGAGCTGACTGCCTGGTAGGTAGATGTAAGACCAGCACACAGCCTTGACGCAGGACAGAAAGGGACCCAAAGAGCCACAGGATCTCTGAGGACTGCGAAATCTTCCCCACTCCCATCCTCAGCCAAGGGGGCCAAGAAGGCTTCATAAAGGAGGTGCTGTCTGAAGCCAAGCATTTCGAGCAGAGAAAAAGAGTCACACCCAGAGGTGAAAAGGCACCTGGAAGCCGGCGCAGTGGCTCACGCCTGTAATCCCAGCACTTAGGGAGGCCAAGGCCAGCAGATCACTTGAGGTCAGGAGTTCGAGGCCAGCCTGGTCAACATGGCGAAATCCCATTTCTACTAAAAATACAAAAATTAGCTGGGCGTGGTGGCGGGCGAGATCGTGCCACTGCACTCCAGCCTGGGCAACAGAGCGAGACTGCGTCTCAAAAACAAAAACAACAACAAAAAAAAGAAAGATTGATTATGCTGAAAAGGTCCCTCAGCTCTCTGCTCCTTAGTCCTCCTCTCCCACCCCAAACCCCCCCAGCCCTCCTGCCCCCATCCCCACACGCTGCAACAGCTACACGCAAGGACAAACTGAGTGTTTCTTAAGATGGTGTTATGAAGACAAAATGAAAACTGGTCAGCTAAAACTGCATAAGAAGCTACAAAACAACTTTAGAACCTATTCCAATTGCTGTCAACTCTATGAATAAGCCAGAAAAACACATAGCATATTTGGAGAACTGAACATGACCCCCTTCCTGGTTTATCAGCCTCGATGGTGCCCCCTTGTGGCAGTAGTGTAAAAACACAGTTTACTGTGCACAAGGCTTTACAATTTTTCAATTAAGAGCTCCTTGACCAATTTTTAACTTTTTTTTTGGTGGGGGGACAGAGTCTCACTCTGTTTCCCAGGCTGGAGTGCAGTGGGGTCTCCTGCTAGGCACCATGCACCCTTGTTGCCCCCTCCTGCTCAAGCCTCTCATTTCTTCCACTCTCTAAATGCAAGCGTTCCCAAGGGATTGTCCTGACTGTCCTTCCCTCTCCCTTGGTGGTCTCACCCTATATCATGGCTTTGTTTGTCTTCAGTGTTCCTGATCCTAAGGCTCTGTGTCCAGCTACGACTTCTCGTCCAAGTCCAGACTCCATCGATAGCTCTTTGCCGCGTTCATTCATTCATTCATTCATTCATGCCTATGGAGCACTCACTCAGTGCAGGTGCTGTGCCAGGTGTGGGGGCCCAGTGATGAACAAGAGAAACCACACTCCTCGTGGGGTTTGCAGTACTGCAGTCGGAGAGTCAGATTCTAAACCAATCATCGTATAAATACTGAAGAATTTAAACTGTGTTTAGAAGGGGCCACATTCGGGTCTGTGACAGGGAGAGGCACAATCTCTCTTCTTCCTGCTTTTTTTTCTCCATAGCACAACTATATGACCTATTTGTAGGGCAACAATATAATTTATTTGTTCATTTGATTTTGGCCATCTTCCCCCACTAGAACATAAGTTCTGTGTGGGCAGAAACCTTTGTCCAGGGCTGTATCCCCAGTGCCTGCAAGAGAGTCTGGCACATACTAGGTGCTGAATACGTGTTTATTGGATGAATGAATGGGTCAGACTACGCGAAGTTTAAAATCGACAGAGTTACCCTCTATAAATTATGTGACTTGCTAGGGCCAGGCACGGTGGCTCACGCCTGTAATCCCAGCACTTTGAGAGGCCAAGGCAGGCGGATCACTTGAGGTGAGAGGTTCGAGACCAGGCTAGGCAACATGGAGAAACCCCGTCTCTCCTAAAAAAAAAAAAAAAAAGAGAGAGAGTTATGTGACTTACTCTCTCCCCTTTGCATCCCTACTTGGTAGAGCCGGAGGGAAAGGCTGGAATTACATCAGTAGTTCTCAGAGTCTGGAGACTATGTTAGTTGCCTGGGGTGGGGGTGGGAGAGAAGAGATGTATACTACTGGTATCCAGTAAGAAGTGGTCAGAGATGCTGCTAAACATCCTGTGACCCATGGAACAGCCTCTTACCCCCACACAAATAACTATCTGGCCCAAAATATCAACAGTGCTGAGGTTGGGAAACCCTGGGTCACATGAACCTCTGGGAACTGTCATAAACCCGGGCAAGCTTTTCAGAGTCACCCACGTGACTGCCTTCTATCCTGTGTCCCGCAGCCAAGCAGCTGCTGTCTCTCTCAGTGAGTCTCAACACTTTTTGGACCCAATAATCCTTTCCCCTGTTATATCAGCAATCTAGAGGACTAACTTGAGAATTTTAGATCTTTTTCATCATATGCCTGGTATATGCTGGGAATTTTATTTTATTTATTTATTTATTTGAAATAGATAAAGGCAGGATCTCACTGTATTGCCCAGGCTGGTCTCAAACTCTTGGACTCAAGTGATCCTCCTGCCTCTGCCTCCCAAAGTGCTGGGGATTACAGGCATGAGCCACCATGCCCAGACTATGCTAGGAATTTTAAGTAAAAGATAATTGGTTGGTAAATTATATGATAGTTTCTTCCTTCTCTAAAGTGCATTTAAAGTATAATCTGTGGTAATCATACCATTCAAAGACTATTTTGACTTTCTCCGTTAAAAAAGTGACAAAACACAGTGTTTATTTATTTATTTTAGATCTCCCAGGGACTCACTAACAAACATTGTATATATAATTGGAAGAGAAAGCAAGCCTAGTGTGGTGGTATGTGCCTGTAGTCCCAGCTACTCAGGAGACTGAGGCAGGAGGATCACTTGAGCCTAGGAGTTTGAGGCTGCAGTGAGTTATGATCACGCCACGGCACTCCAGCCTGGATGACAGAGTGAGATCCTGTCTCAAAAAAAAAAAAAAGAGAAAAAAGAAAAGTGCCAAACAAATTGAAAAGTGATATTACATTATGTTTGGTTATGAGAACACATATATATTAAAATGCAGATTTAGGCCGGTCGTGGTGACTCACACCTGTAATCCTTACACTTTGGGAGGCTGAGGCGGACGGACCACCTGAGGTCAGGAGTTTGAAACCAGCCTGGCCAACATGGCGAAACCCCGACTCTACTAAAAATACAAAACTTAGCGAACTGTGGAGGTGTGTGCCTGTAATCCCAGTTACTCAGGAGGCTGAAGCACTAGAATCACTTGAACCCGGGAGGCAGAGATTACAGTGAGCCGAGATGGCGTCACTGCACTCCAGCCTGGGCGGCAGAGCAAGACTCCATCTCAAAGTAAAATAAAATAAAATGCAGATTTAGATTTCATTATGAGTGTTTTATTAACACTAAAGCTCATTAGGATCCCCTGCTTACACTCACTACATTAAAATTTGAATTTATAACTCGTGTATTTTTCCCTAGAGCATGATATAAGACAGTTTCAGGATACTCATATCCAAGGAGTTTGCGAATAGTACGTGAGAGATGTAGGCTGTCCTTGGTCCCCATAAATGAAAAGCCAAGGCCGGGTGCGGTGGCTCACACCTGTAATCCCAGCACTTTGGAAGGCTGAGGTGGGCGGATCACGAGGTCAGGAGTTCAAGACCAGCCTGGCCAACATGGTGAAACCACGTCTCTACTAAAAATACAAAAATTAGCCAGGTGTGGTGGTGCACGCCTGTAATTCCAGCTACTCAGGAGGCTGAGGCAGGAGAATTGCTTGAACCTGGGAGGCTAAAGTTTCAGTGAGCTGAGATGGCACCATTGCACTCCAGCCTGGGCAACATAGCGAGACTCTGTATCAGAAAGAAAAAAAAGAAAAGCCAAATCAGATATAACCGTCACTGAATTTTCTCTGTCAGCATTGTTTGTGACATCCTGGAGCCCTCTTAATCGGTTGACCTGCGAGTCTGGTGAGGCTCAGTGGGAGTGGCTGGGTAGATCACCATCACTTCGCCACCTGCAGCAGTTCTCGCCTGAGACTCTGAGGCCTGAGCCCAGGCTTGGTATCACTGAAGGGCTCCCTGTTTGATTCCCCTGCCAGCCAGATACCCACACCTCTCACCTAATGCAATGATGCTCGATCCATACTCAATTCATAACTGTCGCTTTCTATGCTTCTACTGTCCGTTTTTGTGTGCTCCAATGCAGATCTAAAACTGCGATGGAATGTGCACTTATAAAAACAATGCCACTGTCTTTTTTTAACCAGTGAACAGATTGCAATATAAAGTCCACTAAAGCCAGGCGCGGTGACTCACACTTGTAATCTCAGCACTTTGGGAGGCTGAGGCGGGTGGATCACCTGAGGTCAGGAGTTCGAGACCAGCCTGACCAACATGGTAAAAACCCCTCTCTACTAAAAATACAAAAATTAGCTGGGCGCGGTGGCTCACGCCTGTAATCCCAGCACTTTGGGAGGCTGAGATGGGCAGATCATGAGGTCAGGAGATCAAGACCATCCTGGCTAACACAGTGAAACCCTGTCTCTACTAAAAATACAAAAAATTAGCTGGGCGTGGTGGTGGATGCCTGTAGTCCCAGCTACTCGGGAGGCTGAGGCAGGAGAATGGCATGAACCCAGGAGGCGGAGCTTGCAGTGAGCCGAGATCGGGCCACTGGACTCCAGCCTGGGCGACAGAGCGAGACTCCGTCTCAAAAAAAAAAAAAAAATACAAAAATTAGCTGGGCGTGGTGGCGGGCGCCTGTAATCCCAGCTAATTGGGAGGCTGAGGCAGGAGAATCGCTTGAACCCAGAAGGCAGAGGTTGTAGTGAGCCGAGATAACGCCACTACACTCCAGCCTGGGCAACACAGCAAGACACCGTCTCAAAAAAATAAATAAATAAAATTAAAAAAAATAAAGTCTGCTAATTTTATGGTCTAAAGTGCTGCATTTCAAACTTTTTTCTTTTTTTTTTTTGAGACTGAATCTCGCTCTGTTGCCCAGGCTGGAGTGCAGTGGCACAATCTTGGCTCACTGCAAGCTCCACCTCCCAGGTTCATGCCATTCTCCTGCCTCAGCCTCCCGAGTAGCTGGGACTACAGGTGCCTGCCACCACGCTCGGCTAATTTTTTTTTTTTTTTGTAATTTTAGTAGAGACGGGGTTTCACCTGTGTTAGCCAGGATGGTCTCAATCTCCTGACCTCGTGATCCACCCACCTCAGTCTCCCAAAGTGCTGGGATTAGAGGCATGAGCCACCGAGCCCGGCCCTTTTCTTTTCTTTTTTTCTTTTTTTTTTTTTTTTTGAGACAGTCTTGCTCTGTCACCCAGTCTGGAGTGCAGAGGCACGATCCCAGCTCACTATAACCTCAGCCTCTTGGATTCAAGCGATTCCTGTGCCTCAGCCTCCCAAGTAGCTGGGATTACAGGCATGCACCAACACGCCCAGCTAATTTTTGTATTTTTAGTAGAGATGGGGTTTCATCATGTTGGCCAGGCTGGTCTCAAACACCTGACCCTCAAATGATCCACCCGCCTCAGCCTCCCAAAGTGCTGGGATTACAGGCGTGAGCCACTGCATCAGGCTATATCAGACTTTTTTTCAAGACAGGGTCTGGTTCTGTTACCCAAGATGGAGTGCAGTGGTGTGGTCATGGCTCGTTACAACTTCCGCCTCCCAAGCTCAAGTGATCCTCCTGCCTCAGCCTCCTGAGTAACTGGGACTACAGGCATGCCCCATCATGCCTGGCTAATTTTTGTATTTTTTGTAGAGGTGGGATCTCACTATGTTGTCCAGGCTGGTCTTGAACTCCTGGGCTTAAGTGATCCTCCCACTTTGCCCTCCCAAAGTGCTAGGATTATAGGCGTGAGCCACTGCATCTGGCCTTGAAACTGTTTAAAATGAAGATTGTTAAAATGGAGATTGATTCAGTAGATCTGGGGTAGAGCCTGAAATTCTGCACATCTATCAAGCTCCCAGGTGATGCTGAGCAGCAAAAATCTTTAGTTCTGTCTCCAAGGTGGGCAAGTCATAATCTCCCTGAACCTTATATTCCCCTTGTGCTTGTTTCCTCCTATATCACAGAAATGGAGCGAGAATTAATAACTAGACACACAAAGGGCATCATGTTTATGTTCAATGTTCACTTATTTTTCAACCTCTGTGCTCCCTCTGCTTCCTGTTTTTAACCAATTGCCCATTATGGGTATAAATTAACCATAAAGGACTATGATTAAAGACAATTTAAACTGTGCAGTGACCCGGGCTGCTGTGACTGGGTAACGGCTGGCAAGAGTGGCTGTGGATTGAGGGAGCCCGTTTGGACACCTGGGTGCCGCAGGGTCACGGCTCCTGCGTGTGGACCTCCTGTCCAACAAGCACTCTGTTTTAAAGGAGATTTTTTAATTTTACTATTTTTTAGAGTTGGAGTCTTACTCTGTCACCTAGGCTAGGGTGCAGTGTCACCATCTTAGCTCACTGCAACCTCCTCCTCCTGGGTTCAAGCCATTTTCCTGCCTCAGCCTCCTGAGTAGCTGGGATTACAGGCATGTGCCACCATGCCTGGCTAATTTTGTATTTTTAGTAGAGACGGGGTTTCTCCATATTGGTCAGGCTGGTCTTGAAAACCTGACCTCAGGTGATCCACCCGCCTTAGCATCCCAAAGTGTTGGGATTACAGGCGTGAGCCACTGCGCCAGGCCAATTTTTTTTTTTTTTTTTAAGACACAGTCTCACTCTGTTGCCCAGGCTGAGTACAGTGATCATAGCTCACTGCAGCCTCCAACTCCTGGTCTCAAGGGATGCTCCCACCTTGGCCTCTCAAAGTGCTGGAATTACACCCAACCAAAAAATCCATTCTTAATCTTAGCAACTCTATCATTTTTTTCTGTTTTTCTCAATCATTAATCTCCGATTTTATTATTTTTCTTTCTTCCTTATTTTCCTTGATTTTGTGGCTCTTTTTCTAACTTCTTGAGTTTAAAGATTCACACATTTATTTTAGTTCCTTTGTTTAATAATGAATGTTTTGTTTTATTTTGTTTGAGATAGGCCCTGGAGTGCACCAGACCCTATCACCCAGGCTGGAGTGCACTAGTGCAATCTGATCATAGCTCACTGCAGCCTCCAACTCCCGGGCTCAAGCAATCCTCTCGCCTCAGCCTCCCAAGTAGCTGGGACTTCAGGTTCACATTGCCACACCTGGCTTTTTTTTTAAGTAGAGACAGGGTCTCGCTATGTTGCCCAGGCTGGTCTCAGACTCCTGGGCTCAAGTGATCCTCTTACCTCAGCCTCCCAAAGTGCTGGGATTATTGCCGTGATCCACCATTACCGGCCATGAATACTTTTTAATGCTCTAAATTAGATTTGGTCCAGGCGCGGTGGTTCACATCTGTAATCCCAGCACTTTGGGAGGCCAAGGCGGGCAGATTGCTTAAACCTAGGAGTTCGGGACCAGCCCAGGCAACATGGCAAAATCCTGTCTCTACTAAAAAAAAAAAAAAAAAAATTAGCCAGTGCGGTGGTGTGTGCCTGCAATCCCAGCTGCTCAGGAGACTAACAGGGGAGAATCACTTGAGCCCAGGAAGCCAAGATTGCGCCACTGGACACCAGCCTGGGCAACGGGAGTGAGAGAGAGCCTGTCTCTAAATTAATAAATAAGATTTGGCACCATTTCTTTGTTTTGTTTTGTTTTGTTTTGTTTTGTTTGAGATAGTCTCACTCTTGTCACCCAGGCCAGAGTGCAATGGCGCAATCTCAACTCACTGCAACTTCCACCGCCCAGGTTCAAGCAATTATTCTGCCTCAGCCTCCCGAGTAGCTGGGCTTACAGGCACGCGACACCATATTCAGCTAATTTTTTGTATTATTAGTAGAGACGGGGTTTCACCATGCTGGCCAGGCTGAGGCAGAAGAATCACTTGAACCCGGGAGGCGGAGGTTGCAGTGAGCCAAGATCGTACCACTGCACTCTAGCCGGGGCAACAGAGTGAGACGCTGTCTCGAAAAAAAATAAAATAAAATAAAAAATAAATAAAAATATAAAAATTAGCCGGGTGTGGTGGTGAGCACCTGTAATCCTAGCTACGCGAGAGGCTGAGGCAGGAGAATCGCTTGAACCCTGGAGGCGGAGGTTGCAGTGAGCCGAGATCGCGCCATTGCACTCCAGCCTGGGCAACAAAAGCGAAACTCTGTCTCAAAAAAAAAAAAAAAAAAGGCCGGGTGCAGTGGCTCACACTTGTAATGCCAGCACTTTGGGAGGCCGAGGCGAGTGGATTGCCTGAGGTCAAGAGTTCGAGACCAGCCTGGCCAACATAGTGAAACCCCGTCTCTACTAAAAATACAAAAAATTTGCTGGGCGTGGTGGCAGGCACCTGTAATCCCAGCTACTTGGGAGGCTGAGGCAGAAGAATCACTTGAACCCAGGAAGCGGAGGTTGCAGTAAGCTGAGATCCTGCCATTGCACTCCAGCCTGGGCAACAGAGCGAGACTCTGTCTCAAAAAAAAAAAAGAATGAAGTTCTGATGTATACTACAACATGAATGAATCACAAATGCATCATGCTAAGTAAAATAACCCATACACAAAAGGCCGTATATTGTATGATTCCAATTAAATGAAAGTCTCAGAATAGGCAAATTCTTGGAGACAGAAAGTAGATTTGTGGTTTCCAGGGAAAAGGGGGAATGAGGAATGACTGCAAATGGGTGTGGGGTGATGAAAGTGTTCTGAATTAGATAATGGTGATAGTTGCACAAATGTGTGAACTAAAAGCCACTGAAGCTGGGCTTGGTGGCTTGCATCTCCAGTCCTAGCTACTTGGGAGGCTTAGGTGGGAGGATCATTGAGCCCAGAAGTTAGAGAATAGCCTGTGCAACACAGCAAAAAACCTGTCTTTGGCTGGGCACAGTGGCTCAAGTCTGTAATCCCAGCACTTTGGGAGCCCAATGCAGGAGGATCACCTGAATTCAAGACCGGCCTAGGCAATATAAGAAGACCCCAGCCAGGCGCAGTGACTCACGCCAGTAATCCCAGCACTTTGGGAGGCCGAGGCGGGCAGATCACTTGAGGTCAGAAGTTCGAGACCAGCCTGACCAACACGGTGAAACCCCATCTCTACTAAAAATACAAAAAATTAGCCAGATGTGGTGATGGGCGCCTGTAATACCAGCTACTTGGGAGGCTGAGGCAGGAGAATCACTTGAACTCGGGAGGTGGAGGTTGCAGTGAGCTGAGTTCATACCACTGCACTCCAGCCTGGGTGACAGAAGAAGACTCCGTCTCAAAAAAAAAAGAAAAAGAAAAAGAACTTGTCTCAAAAAGAAAGTAAATAATATAAAAGCCACTGAAGTGTATACTTTCAAAGGGCAAAAGGTATGGTATATAAACAATATCTAAATAAATGGCTTTTTTTTTTTTTTTTGGAGACAGTCTCACTCTGTTGCCCAGGCTGGAGTGCAGTGGTCTGATCTCGGCTCACTGCAACCTCTACCCCCTGGATTCAGGCAATTCTCCTGCCTCATCCTCCTGAGTAGCTGGATTACAGGCATGCGCTACCACTCCCAGCTAATTTTTGTATTTTTATTGGAGACGGGGGTTTCACCATGTTGGCCATGCTGGTCTCGAACTCCTGTTCTCAAGTGATCTGCCTGCCTCAGCCTCCCAAAGTGCTGGGATTACAGACATGAGCCACTGCGCCTGGCTAAATGGCTTATTTAAAAAAAAAAAAAAAAAAAAAAAAAGAATTGCATCATTTCCAAAGCTGGCTGGGTGGGCACATTATGAGCAGGGGTGTTGCCCTTGCCACATGGCAGCATCTCTCTGGCTCGTGGACAGAAATGACCTCTGCCGTCTGCCAGGGATCATTTGGAATCAGGTGGGTTTATATATGCAGCAAAACTTCAGTAAAGCTTGAAGAAACGCACTGATCCTTCTACCTTCTCTGAAATAACGTTCTCAATAGCGAGGTCATAGGCATAACCAGCCATCCAAACCTCCCCCATGGCCCCTTGAGCCCACCATGTGTCACTCCAACCCACCCCACTCCTGGGCTCAATAGACAACAAAGAAAAGGGAAGAGAAAGAACAAAGACCCCCCTCGATCACCATTGTGTCCCCAGGGTCAGAACAGTGCCTGACACAAAGCAGGCACTTGGAAAATTTGTGTTGAGTAAACAGATGCATGGATGAATGAGTGAATGAAAGAGTGAAAGCACACGGTCTCTAAGCAGGCAGGAGGGTCTGGGATGATGGGCCCTGGTGGAGGGGCTGACACTGAATGGGGTGACAGAACCTCCAGCGATGGAGGAAAGGAGGAAAGGACGGAAGCGGGACTTAGGCAGCTGTGTTCACGGTGGGGAAAAGGGGGCTGACGTCAAATGACCTTGGGAATGAAAGAGAAATGATTCACCACAGTTGCCAGTAACAACCAAGCTGCAGAATATTAATTTGCAATTGAATCAACTGGTCACTTTCGGAAACTTCCTGTCGGTTTTTGCAGGGAGTGGCAGGAGCTGAGGAAGGGGTCGGGGTGGCCTGTCAGGGACCTGGGACCAGCCTGGCAGGTTCAGAAGCAGGACAGGGGCAGCAATCTATGTGCATCACACAGAACTGAGATGACAAACCCTGGGAGGGGTAGGCGGGCTGGGAGGAGCCAGACAGTGGAGGAGCTGGAGGTCACAGTGAAGACAGATTCAGCAGGAGCGAGGCTTCTGGAGAGGGTGGGATGGGAAGCTGTGGGCCGAGAAGAGGCAGCAGCACATGGAGTCCAAGACCCGGGGGTTCCCCAACTCAGCTCCCTCACCTCCTACCTGTTGGGCCGGGGATGAGCCATTCAGCCTGGAACACACCCGAATAAAGACTCCTCTCATCCTCTCACAGAGGGGCCTTTAGGATTATTTTTCCCAGTTAAAACCACTGTTAGGCCAGGCGTGGTGGCCCATGCCTATAAATCCCAGGGCTTTGGGAGGCCAGGAGGGAGGATCACTTGAGGCCAGGTGATCCAAATACAAAGCCTGGGCTGAGAACCACTGCTTCGAAGGCACAGGTGGGCATCAGAGGAGAAAAGGAGAGAGGAGGCTCAGGAGAGAAGCGGAAGCCAGAGTAAGGGTAGCCACTACTCTCTGTCCTTGACAGCCCAGCCTGGGCCCAGGGGTGGTGGGCAGCCTCTCCAGCCCAGTCTGCAAGCAGCTTGCAGGCTGCCCTCTTGGCCCTGCCATGTCACCACTCTCAGACAGCAGCTGAGGCCAGAACCCAAGAACCCACCTCCCCCTACCTAGCCCCCTACCCCAGGGGGGATCATGGATGCCCTCATTGATGCAAACACCTTCCAGGTGTCACTGTTTGTCCCCAGAACTACCACATCCTCCAAAGCCCTGGTTGCCTGGGCCAGAATGATTGAGTCGTCATCAAGCTCTTCCTTTTCTGCCATCAATAACCAATTAGGAAGCCAAGGCACTGCCTCCCTGACAACGGTTTGCAGCTCATCAATAGTGATCTGTTTCCCAAAGCCAGCCCTGGCAGGCAGGAGTGTGCCTGGGTCCACTGAGAAGCCTCTCCCTCCTCAGGGAACAGTCTCCTTCACAGGGGACCCTTGTTTTTCTGTTACTCTTTTTTTTTTTTTTTTTTTTTTTTTTTTTTTTTTTTTTTTGAGACAGAGTCTCACTCTGTCGCCAGGCTGGAGTGCAGTGGCACGATCCCAGCTCACTGCACCCTCTGCCTCCCAGGTTCAAGCAATTCTCCTGCCTCAGCCTCCCAAGTAGCTGGGACTACAGGCACACACCACCACGCCCGGCTTTTTTTTTTTTTTTGTATTTTAGTAGAGACAGGGTTTCACCATGTTGCCCAGGCTGGTCTTGAACTCCTGAGCTCAGGCAATCTGCCCACCTTGGCCTCCCAAAGTGCTAGGATTACAGGCGTGAGCCACCACACCCGGCCGTGTGTTACTCTTTTATGCCCCTAGAATCTAAACTCCACCAAAGCAATGAAAGGGTCTGTCCTGTCATAGTCACCTGTTTTTTTTTTTGAGACAAAGCTTCACTCTTGTTGCCCAGGCTGGCGTGCAATCGCACAATCTCAGCTCATTGCAACCTCTGCCTCCCATGTTCAAGCAATTCTTCCACCTCAGCCTCCCAAGTAGCCAGGATTACAGACGTGCACCACCATGCCCGGCTAATTTTGTATTTTTTAGTAGAGACAGAGTTTCATCATGTTGGTCAGGCTGGTCTTGAACTCCCAAACTTAAGTGATCCACCCACCTCAGCCTCCCAAAGTGCTGGGATTACAGGCGTGAGCCGCTGCACCCAGCGCTGTCATATTCACCTCTTATCCCCAAGTAGCCTCATCTGTACCCTAGCTCACAGCAGGTGCTCAGTAATTGGAATGAATTTGGAATATTCGGATGGTCAGAATAACTCAAAGAACAGCTCCCTTCTTTGTATTTGAAAATTTACATGGAAATTCATGCTGGGCCAGTTTTTACTAAACAGAAACCTTCACAAGGCTGTGATCCCTTGTATCCATTTTTGATTGCTACCATAATAAGTCACCACAATTTAGAAGCTTAAAACAACAGCAATTTATTCTCTCGCGGTTCTGTAGGTCAGAAGTCCTGGTACAGAGTGGCTCACGGGGTCCCCTGATTAGGATCTCCCAAGGCCACAATCAGGTCGGCAGGGCTGCATTTCTTTCTGGAGGCTCTAGGGATGAATCCACTTCCAAGCTCATCCAGGTTGTTGGCCAGATTTCATTCTTTGTAGTTGCGGGGCTGACATTCCTCTTTCCTGGCTGTCGGTGGAGAACCTCTCAGCTCCTCAAGGCCACTGCTTTCCTCGTCCTGTTGCCCTCCTGCCATCTTCAGACCAGCAATTGCTTGTGGAGTCCTCATAACTCCAGCTCTCCGACCTGACCTTCAGCCACATCTCTTCTGCCTCTAGCTGAAGAAAGTTAAGGGCTATGTGATTACACTGGGCCCAGTCAGATAATCCAGCATAAACTCCCTAATTTTTTTTTTCAGAGACAGGGGTCTCACTATGTTGCCCAGGCTGGTCTCAAACTCCTGGGCTTAAGTGATCCTCCTGCCTCAGCCTCCAGAGTAGCTGGGACTACAGGCATGCACCACTGCACTTGGCATAAGCTCTCTATTTTAAAGCCAGTAACCTTAATCACACCTGCAACGTCTCTTTTGTTATGTAATCACATATTCACAGGTTCCAAGGATTGGGGCAGGAACATCTTTGGGGACATGATTGTTCTGCCTGCCACATTCCTACTGGGAGGATAGAGACCTGAGTTTCAGACCCACCTCTCCTTTTTGGTGTGTGGACTCAGGATGGGGATTACTTCACCTGTCTAAGCCTTAGTTTCTACTTCTTTTTTTTTTTTTTTTTTTTTTTTGAGACAGCGTCTCACTCTGTCTCCCAAGTACAGTGGCACAATCATGGCTCACTGCAACCTCACCTCCCCGGCTCAAGCAATCCTCCCACCTCAGCCTCCCAAATAGCTGGGACCACAGCCACGCACCACCACACCCAGCTAATTTTTGTATTTTTTGTAGAGATGGGGTTTTGCCATGTTGCCCAGGCTGGTCTTCAACTGTTGGGCTCAAGTAATCTGCCGGCCTCGGCCTCCCCAGGTGCTGGGATTACAGGCGTAAGCCCCCGTACCCATCAGTTTCTTCTGAAGAAGGGGTTCACACTAGCACTTAGGTCCTAGGATCATGGTGAAGAGTGATTGCATTCATTCATGCTAAGAGCTTATCAGTTCCTGGTACACGGCATTGTTATCGTTGTGATGACAGGGGCAGGGCCCACACACCTGCACCCTCGAGGGGGACGGAGATGGGTCCCAAGGTCTGGGATCTGGTCTTCAATTTGGTAGGCCCAGAAATTGAATTTTCTGCTCACCCAGCTAGTCGGTGTTAGAGCCATGATTCAAACCCTGGCCTCACCAGTTCCAAAACCCCCTGTACACCAGGAGGTCCAGCTTCCATAGACTCTATCCCTGCTGCCTCTTTCAGTGGCAGTTGGGCTGAGGTCCCTCTGAGTCACAGCTGGCAGGAGGGAAACCCTTGGATTCACAGAGTGATATGCTTAGGGAATTACCCTCCTTTAAGCCTTGGGGAAGGAGAACTCCCCCAAGTGTATAAAGCGTGTGCACAGACCTTGTCACCTCTTCCCTTCACTGCAGCCCTATGAGGTACAAATGAATGATTCCTATTTCCAAATGTGGTTAATTGAGACCCAGAGAGGATGGGGGAGAAGACGCAAAATGGATTAAATACCTGCGATATTCTCTTTTGTTTGTCTGTTTGTTTGAGACAGTCTCACTGTGTCACCCAGGCTGGAGTGCAATGGCACAATCTTGGCTCACTCCAACCTCCACTTCCTGGGTTCAAGCAATTCTCGTGCCTCAGCCTCCCAAGTAGCTGGGATTACAGGCATGTGCCACCACGCCCAGCTAATTTTTGTATTTTTAGTAGAAACGGGGTTTCACCATGTTGTTCAGGCTGGTCTCGAACTCCTGACCTCAGGTGATCTGCTTGCCTTGGCCTCCCAAAGTGCTGGGATCACAGGCATGAGCCACCGCACCCGGCCAAATATCTGCAATGTTTTGAGCACCGTGCAGGGCGCTTTATGTACATCACCTTCACGAGACCCTCCTCCCCAAGTTACTTTCCTCATTTCCTAGAGGAGAAAACAGCTCAGAGAAGGAGAGAAATATGCTCAAAGCTCAACAGCTGGAAAAAGACAGGACCAGGAAACCCTTCCTTTTCCATCAGACGAGGTCCCCTCATGAGGAGAACGTGCAGTCCGTGACTGGGGAGCTCCTCAGGGTCAAGGATGCTCATCTCTGAATGCAACCCTTCCCCTGCAGACCTGGCAGGGTCTGCAAATAGTGACATTCTTTTTTTTTTTTTTTTTTTTTTTTTGAGACAGAGTCTCGCTCTGTCACCAGGCTGGAGTGCAATGGCATGATCTCAGCTCACTGCAACCTCTCTGTGCCTCCCAGGTTCAAGCGATTCTCCTGCCTCAGTCTCCCGAGTAGCTGGGATTACAGGCGCCCGCCACCATGCCCAGCTAATTTTTGTATTTTTAGTAGAGTCAAGGTTTCACCATGTTGGCCAGGATGGTCTCGATCTCTTGACTTCGTGATCCACCTGCCTCAGCCTCCCAAAGTGCTGGGATTACAGGAGTGAGCCACCAAGCCTGGCCAAATAGTGACATTCTAACCATTGCCTATGGAATAGGAGACATGCTTCTATTTGTTGAAATTGTCATCCCTCATGTAACCAGCCTGGGGAAGAACATTCAAGGGGGCATAACCCCCTCCATGGGCACAAACTGAGTCTTGGGCTCTGGTACAACCAGGGTTCTACTGAAAACTTATCATTTCCCATTAGTGTTACCATAGCAACACGAATGTCTTCATTCATTCCCCTAGTGTATGAACAGAGCTACACTCACCCCACCTGTTCTCCCAAGCCCCCTCAAAGTCCTTTCATCTCTGAGATTCTGTGATTCAATTAATTATCACCAATGCCTGCACTGCTTTTTGTCGTTTTCATTTATTCCATCTGCTGAGTCACCGTGTCCTGCTCTAGATGAGAGTGGTTATTCACAACGGTTATTCAGCCGTCAGTTGCCATGGACACCGCACAGCCTGCTTCCTTCATCACCCATTAATTCTCAGCAAGGCTGGCTGTAAGCATGGGTACCACTGCAGTTACCCAATACCCAAGGGGATCAAACTCTCCCAGAAAAGGTGGGGGCCCAATGACGCATGAACAGGAGCAAAATCTCTGCTCTCAACAGTGGAAAAGTAAAAAACAGCCTACGGCTCATTACATCTGGTCAAACCATGTGGAGGCAGCAGTTTATCAAATAAGTCAACAAGGTACCATTTTGTTTTCTGGTCCATCTTTGGCAAATGCTTTAGTCTGTTTGCTAACCATTTGAAGGTATATTTTGATACTGAAAAGTTGTTGGCTGGGCATGGTGGCTCACGTCTGTAATCCCAGAACTTTGGCAGACTAAGCTGGGCCGATCATGAGGTCAGGAGTTCGAGACCAGCCCGCCCAACACGATGAAACCCCATCTCTACTAAAAATACAAAAAATTAGCCAGGCGTGGGGGCGTGCGCCTGTAATCCCAGCTACTAGGGAGGTTGAGGCAGAAGAATCGCTTGAACCCAGGAGGCGGAGGTTCCAGTGAGCCGAGATCACACCACTGCACTCCTGCACTCCAGCCTGGTGACAGAACTAGACTTTGTCTCAAAAAAAAAAAAAAGTTGTTATGCAGATTACTAGCTCCCCTTGAAAGCAAAATGAAGGAGGCTTCAAAGGCAGGACCCTCCAGGAATTGGTTCTGCATAGGGGGTTTGCAAGTGGTGGTGCATGGGCAGCTGACCTAGAAGACACGGGGCAGCTACAAGCCAAACCCAGCCCAGCACAGAGGGCCTAAGGAGAAGAAGGCACCAAGGGTGTTCCATGGTAGGGGGAGGGTGAAAGGACTTCAGAGGTGACCAGGATGTGAGCCACTAGAAGGAGAGAACAGGGCCATCAGCCCACAACCCATTGCTCCTGGTAACACGTTATGTTTGCAGAGTCCAGTGGAGGGGACGGGGAATCAATACATCACCCCACATTCACACGCTTGCCAAACATCAGTGGATGGCGAAATCCACTTTCCCTGAATCTAAGCCCATCGGGTTCACTCCCTCACCTACCACCACCCACAAAGGTCCCTATGTAGTTCGAGAGATAAGTGCCAGGCCTCTGACCCCCAGGATATGGTGGGAAGCATTGCTCCTGACCCAGGGAGCTTGGTTCCTGCCCCTCAGGTACAGCTGGAGAGCTGCCGCCACCCCGCTCCAGCCCCTCACCATGAAGGTCAACTCCCCTATCCTTCCCCCACATCCTGGATGACTGACTGACACTAAATGAAAGGGCGGGGCAGGGTGATGGGCTGTACCTGTGCCCCACCCCATTCCTCTCGCCTGGACTCATATGGCAGGGTAGGGGCGGGGTGGGGGGACAGTTGGGAGGGACCTTGAGGGCTTTATAAGGCAGGCCTGGAGCATCAAGCAGAGCAGAGACCTGAGAGGCACCAGGCCCAGCCGTGGCACCACACACCTCCCAGCTCTGCAGGTGAGAAAACCCAGGAGGAGAGGGGAGAGGCTAGGAAGTGGGTTGACAGGTCCTCTCCCCCATCAAGGTACCAGGCCACTGGCCAGAGTCTGGGGCTCACCCCTTGGGGTCTCCAGAGCTGGGACCCTTTCTTTATCCCAGGATGGAACTAGGTCTTGGCTCCAGTACCTACCCTGGTATTCCCAACCTTGCCTTCCACCTGCCCTTCTGCCGCAGCCGGGGCCCTGCCCTTAGCCTATCCCTTCACACTCTTCCCAGCCCTGGGAGGTGAGGAGGACTGGGGTTCTTCTCCTTTCTCTCAGACAAGAAAACTGAGGCCCAGAGGCAAGATGTGACTTGCCCAAAGTCACAGGGATTATTAGGCAAGGCTGGGATAGGAATCCACAGCTCCTGGATCCCACTTCAAGCCCTTTCCTAGACCAGTGCCATCCAAAAGAACGTCCTATGATGCAGGAAATGGTCTTCATCTGCACTGTTCAATATGGTAGCCACTAGCCACGTGTGCGCTTGAAATGGGGTTAGTGTAAGGAAGTTTTTGTTGTTGTTGTTGTTTGTTTTTTTATATAGAGTCTCGCCGTGTCACCCAGGCTGGAGTGCAGTGACATGCAACCTCTGCCTCCCAGGTTCAAGCAATTCTCCTGACTCAGCCTCCCGAGTAGCCGGGATTACAGGCGCCTGCCACAACACCCAGCTAATTTTTCATATTTTTGGTAGAGACAGAGTTTCACCATGTTGGCCAGGCTGGTCACAAACTCCTGACCTCAAGTGATCCAACCCCCTCAGCCTCCCAAAGTGCTGGGATTACAGGCGTGAGCCACTGCACCTGACCATAATTTTTTAATTTAATTAATTTAAATGTAAAGAGCCACATGTGGCTGGTGGCTATAGCACTGAACAACACATGTGGTTAGCATCTGACAATACAGCTCCAGATCACTGATTTTTCAAACATTTCTTCAGCAGCAGAATTCTTTTCTTCCAAAGAAAACCTAACAGAAAACCTGATTATGAAAAACTTAATGGCCAGGCACCGTGGCTCATGCCTGTGATCACAACACTTTGGGAGGCTGAAGCAAGCAGATTGCTTGAGCTCAGGAGTTCCAGACCAGCCTGGGCAACATAGTGAGACCTCATCTCTACTAAAAATAAAAACAAAAAAATTAGCTGGGCATAGTAGTGCACACTTGTAGTCCCAACTACTCAGGAGGCTGAGGTGGGAGGATCTCTTGAGCCCAAGAGGTCGAGGCTGCAGCGAGTCAGGATCACGCCAGCCACTGCATTCCAGCCTGGGAGACAGAGCAAGATTCTGTCTCACAAAAAGAAAAGAAAAAAAGAAAAACTTAAAAGCAGTACAGTATTTTATTAATACAAATGTATTCTGACAAGAGAAAATTTTTATCATTTTCTTATGATAAAGCCAATCAGAATAGTGAGACCAAAAGCATACAAAAATAGTGAGTCCAGGGAATAGATGAGCATTTGAATTTTATGTTTGTTTGAGATTCCAGTTTAGTTCTGTATTATGTTTTCCCCAAACTTGATTCACCCTGATACATAATTGCTAATGGTGACAGCTTAATTTTTTCTTAACTGCTTCATTATAATCACAGGATATTCCTCAGTTAAGCAAAAATGACAGGAGAACCTTTCCTCTCAGGGCTGCACAAAAATCAGTGTGAGCTGGCCAAGCATTGAATGTGCTGCAGTCTCCAAAGTGATAACATGCGGTCTGTAACACAGCTGGATGTCCATGTTCCTTTGGTATTACTATTTAAAAGTTTCACTTTTTGTTTTTGTTTTTTTGAGACAGGGTCTCACTCTGTCGCCCAGGCTGGAGAGCAGTGGTGCAATCTCGGCTCACTGCAACCTCCACCTCCCCGGTTCAAGCGATCCTCCCACCTCGGCCTCCCAAGTAGCTGGGAATACAGGTGCATGCCACCATGCCTGGCTAATTTTTGTATTTTTTGTAGAGATGGGGTTTCAGTATGTTGCCCAGGCTGGTCTCAAACTTGTGGGCTCAAGGGATCCATCCTCCTCAGCCTCCCAAAGTGCTGGGATTACCATGCCTGGCCTAAAAAGTTCACTTTAAATAACAAGTCTTGGGCTGAGCACAGTGGCTCACATCTGTAATCGCAGCACTTTGGGAGGCTGAGGCGGGAGGATTGCTTGAGCCCAAGAGTTCAAGACTAGCTTGGGCAACATGGTGAAACCCTGTTTCTACAAAAAATACAAAAAAAATTAGCTGGACGTGGTGGTGCAAGCCTGTAGTCCCAGCTCTTCTGGAGGCTGAGGTGGGAGGATCACCTGAGCCCAGGAGGTAGAGGCTGCAGTGAGCAGTGATTGCACTACTGCACTGCAGCCTGGGCGACAGAGTGAGACCCTGTCTCAATAAATAAATAAATTACATTACTTAAACAGCTACAGAACCACTAACATGGCCTCAAATTCTGCAGAACAGAACCTAGGGAAACCATTGCCCTAGGATTTGACTTTCTCCAATAGAAGCAGTGGCTGTAATCGGGGTAGGTAAAGAGAAAAAACACAAGACTTCGGGGCTGGTGTGGAACTGGCAGAAACTGGAGAACTGATCTGAAGAAATAGTCCACAACTCCACACAGAATTGCAGACTCACCCGGGTGCGGTGGCTCATGCCTGTAATCCCAGCATTTGGGAGGCCGAGGCGGGTGGATCACCTGAGGTCAGGAGTTCGAGACCAGCCTGGCCAACATGGTGAAACCCCATCTCTACTAAAAATTACAAAAATTAGCCAGGCATGGTGGCACGTGCCTATAGTCACAGATATTCTGGAGGCTGAGGCAGGAGAATCACTTGAACCCGGGAGGCGGAGGTTATAGTGAGCCGAGATCCCACCACTGCACTCCAGCCTGGGCAACAAGAGTGAAACTCTGTCTAAAAAAAAAAAAAAGAAAGAATTGCACACTCATCAGCAGGTAGAGGCCTGGAGCCACATGGTTCAGTCCCCTGCCTCTGGGCCTCTGTGGGGACAGCCTCACCCTTAAGCTAGTCCCTTCTCCCCTTTGCAGACGAGATGCAGCGACTGTGTGTGTATGTGCTGATCTTTGCACTGGCTCTGGCCGCCTTCTCTGAAGCTTCTTGGAAGCCCCGCTCCCAGCAGCCAGATGCACCCTTAGGTACAGGGGCCAACAGGGACCTGGAGCTACCCTGGCTGGAGCAGCAGGGCCCAGCCTCTCATCATCGAAGGCAGCTGGGACCCCAGGGTCCCCCACACCTCGTGGCAGGTAGGAGCTGCTGACTGCCCTGCTTGCCTCACTTGGCCAGGTTTGGCCAAGGTCTCCCCAGACTGGCTCTGACTTCAGTTCCTGGAAGGTAGGCATCCTTCCCCCATTCTCGCCTCTCTCACCTCCTCAGACCCGTCCAAGAAGCAGGGACCATGGCTGGAGGAAGAAGAAGAAGCCTATGGATGGATGGACTTCGGCCGCCGCAGTGCTGAGGATGAGAACTAACAATCCTAGAACCAAGCTTCAGAGCCTAGCCACCTCCCACCCCACTCCAGCCCTGTCCCCTGAAAAACTGATCAAAAATAAACTAGTTTCCAGTGGATCAATGGACTGTGTCAGTGTTGTAGGGCAGAGGAGGGGGACTCATCTGGGGGTGAAGTTGTGGCAGGGAGAAGAGCTGAGTGCCTCTTAGGGGCAGGGACCCTGGCTGATTCTTCTTGGGTCCCCCAGAGCCCCACATTGAACGAGAATCCACAGGTATGGGCAGGATAATATATGGTAGGGTTCATAGCCAGAGTAACCTTTTTTTTTAATTTTTATTTTATTTTATTTTTGAGATGGAGTTTCGCTCTTGTCTCCCAGGCTGGAGTGCAATAATGAGACCTCAGCTCACTGCAACCTCTGCCTCCTAGGTTCAAGCGATTTTCCTGCCTCAGCCTCCCAAGTAGCTGGGATTACAGGTGCCCGCCACCACACCTGGCTAATTTTTTTGTATTTTTAGTGGGGACGGGGTTTCACCATGTTGGCCAGGCTGGTCTTGAACTCCTGACCTCAGGTGATCCACCCGCCTCGGCCTCCCAAAGTGCTGGGATTACAGGCATGAGCCACCGTGCCCAGCCTCAGAGTAAGCTTTTTAAAAGATAAACCGTGTCACACTCGGTTTTAACGTTGCAATGTTTCCCAGTGCACTTAGAATACAACCTGAACTCCCTGCCACAGCCCTGAAAGCTAGCCCTGAGGTTCTCCTCCCACTGTGCGCCAAGTGGCTTCCTTCTCTTTGTCCTCTCGGTCCTTTCCCTTACACAGACACGCCATGTTCTCTCTTGCTCAGAGCCTCCGACCTTGCCATTCCCTGTGCCTGCAACGCTCTTCCCCAGGCACAAATATGGTGGGCTCCCCTTTCCTCCTTAGCTCTTGGGTGAAATGCCTCTTCCTGAGAGACCTACCCTTTCTGCTCCTCACCCTTCACACATAGACCCAGTTATTCTCTACCACAGGGTCAAATAAAAGAGAAAAAATTAAGCTTTTTAAAGAATGAATGCTAGTTGTATTCAGAAGTCTTACAGAGGACTATAGATTGAGGCCTCCAGCCCAGGAGCAGGCTCTGGCACAATGTTTCAGCCCATTGCTTATATACATCTGGGGGCTAAAGGTGGAGGTTCCGTATGTGCAAAATCCCATCAGACTTGCTCAGAATTACATGACAGCAGAATCACAGCAAGATTTGGGTCCTAGATCACAGAGGCATCATCACTAACCTCGTCAGATGTCATCTTGGAAATGTTCTGTGTCAGAAAAGCCAGGGACTAGGATTATTTCTCTTTTAAGAAACGTGAAGACTCAAGCCGGGCGCAGTGGCTCACATCTGTAATCCCAGCACTTTGGGAGGCCGAGGAGGGTGGATCACTTTAGGTCAGGTGCTCGAGACCAGCCTGGCCAACAAGGTGAAACCCCGTCTCTACTAAAAATACAAAATTTAGCCAGGCATGTGCCTGTAGTCCTGGCTACTCGGGAGGCTGAGGCAGGAGAATTGCTTGAACCCGGGAGGCAGAGGTTGCAGTGAGCCAAGATTGCGCCATGACACTCCAGCCTGGGCAACAGAACAAGACTCTCTTTCAAAGAAAAAAAAAAAAGAAGAAGAAAAGAAAAGTAGTGACTCAGCCAAGAGACATGGGAGGGCCTCAGGCTCTCTCCTGTGCTGTCTTCAAAGCATCTTTCCGGAGGGCTGCACGTCTGTCTCTAGTCACAGAGTCAGGTGCTTTGTGAAACTGTGCCGACAAGCAGAAAGGAGCAAACACAGCTTCTTAATGTTTGTTGCTTTGTCTCACAATAGCAGAATATTTTCTTTAGAACACATTTCACAATCTGTAGTTGTTTTGTTTGCCAGTTTATTGTCTGCCTCTCGGGCAAAACAGGAAACTGGGAGCGTGACAAGTCCCTCCTCCCTTCTGTATCCCCGGTGGCAAGAATAGGAGGAACCCAATAAATATTTGTAAATAATTGCTCATGAGTGGCTGGTGCAGGCATTGCTGGTGTCTCACTCCATTCCATCATTGTTCTTGTGCCTGTTGACACCATTACCTTGAGCTACCCGCCACCTGAGGGCTGTAGAGGAGGGAAAGTGTTTTCTCTACCCATCTTAGGTCCTCGGCTGGGGCTCTGTTATAAAAGACAGATTACAAGAGAAAAGCAAACAAGTTTATTAACATGTGTATCACACATTTAACACACAGAGTACCCAGAGTTGAGTAACTCAGAGAGGTAGCTTAGAATTCAGGCTCACACTGTCTACGGCCATACCACCCTGAACGCGCCCGATCTTGTCTGATCTTGGAAACTAAGCACGGTGGGGCCTGGTTAGTACTCAGATGGGAGAATTCAGGCTCACAGAGCATCTTCAACAAAGAACAATACATTTGTAGGCAAGATAAAGGACAGCAATTTTTAGACTTCCAAGGGTGGCTAACTGTGTGTGGGAAACAGCTTTCTGCCCGTGGGAGCTGAGCCCTGTCCCCTCTCAGGGCTGGGTCTGGTAGCCAGTGGGCCTCCCCCGGCTTCTCCTGCCCCCCTGGGCTGCCATGTGACCCACATCCGGCAGTCACAGCTCTTGTGCCAGCTGCAGAACAAGGGCTGGGGTTCCTACCGCCTGTCCCAGAAGAGGGCTGAGGTCCAGGCCCCCAAGCTCCAGCCTAGGTTAGACTTCCAAGGGTGGCTAACTGTGCATGGGAAAGCAGCTATATGGAAAACGAATGGTAGATAAAGGCTAGTGAGTCAAGTTTGTTATTAGATTGCACTGGTGCCACTCCAGGCTGAAAGGGGTCTAAAGTTGTCTCCGACTTGTTCCAGACATTATGGAAGGAAAACGTCCTACGTAAATGAAATTGTCATTCTGTGTCCTCCCACCACAGCAGCAGATGTGTCCTTCCGTTGAGTGAGGGTAACCTTACGTCCACCAAGGATACTTGGAGAAAGTCTATGAGGAGCAAGCTTCAGTCCCACGGTTTCAGACTATTTATGCTCTGAACACAAGAGTACTGGTTAATTATGTTCTCAGCTCTCCTCGCTGTTCTAAGTGTGCACTTGTTGCAAGTAACTTATATTTTTTTATTTGAATGTATTTTATTTTTTTGAGACAGAGTCTTGCTCTGTCACCCAGGCTGGATTGCAGTAGTGCCATCTCAGCTCACTGCAACCTCCACCTCCCAGGTTCAAGCGATTCTCCTGCCTCAGCCTCTCAAGTAGCTGGGATTATAGGCAGGCACCACCATGCCAGGCTAATTTTTGTACTTTTTAGTAGAGGTGGGGTTTCACCATGTTGTCTAGGCTGGTCCTGAACTCCTGACCCCGTGATCCACCCGCCTCAGCCTCCCAAAGTGCTGGGATTCTCTAGGTGTGAGCCGCTGCACTCAGCCTGAATGTATTTTAAAGCAGTAGATAGAATAACAAAGGAATATGAAAACCATGGATTGAATGGACCATTTTATGTATTCAGAGAGACGAGCCACCATCATTGCCAGAAATACCATGTAAAAATTGGCAATTTGGCCAGCCGCAGTGGCTCACGTCTGTCATCCCAGCACTTTGGGAAGCCAAGGCAGGCGGATCACCTGAGGTCAGGAGTTCGAGACCAGCCTGACCAATACGGTGAAACACTGTCTCTACTAAAAATACAAAAATTAGCTGGGCATGGTGTTATGCATCTGTAATCCCAGCTACTCAGGAGGCTGAGACAGGAGAATTGCTTGAGCCCAGGAGGCAGAGGTTGCAGTGAGCTGAGATCACGCCATTGCACTCCAGCCTGGGAGACAGGGCGAGACTCTGTCTCAAAAAAAAAAAAGGCAATTTGGAGATTGCAGTATTTAGTAAACAAATAAATGATCAACATTGTGCAACCACTACCAAAAAGTGTATTGTAATGCATCAAAAATCAACATTTTATTCACTAATGAGTATCAATAAAATAAGTCCAAATTATGGAAACCAAAAAAATAATAAAAAATAAAGTTGTCTCCAGATATTTAACTTTTTTTTTTTTTTTTTGAGACAGAGTCTCACTCTGTTGCCCAGGCTGGAGTGCAGTGGCACGATCTTGGCTCACTACAAGCTCTGCCTCCCGGGTTCATGCCATTCTCCTGCCTCAGCGTCCCAAGTAGCTGGGATTACAGGCGCCCACCACCACGCCTGGCTAATTTTTTGTATTTTTAGTAGAGGCGGGGTTTCACCGTGTTAGCCAGGATGGTCTCGATCTCCTGACCTCATGATCCACCCACCTTGGCCTCCCAAAGTGCTGGGATTACAGGCATGAGCCACCGCGCCCAGCTTTATTTATTTATTTATTTATTTTTGACACAGAGTTTCGCTGTTGTTGCCCAGGCTGGAGTGCAATGGGGCAATCTCGGCTCACTGCAACCTCCGCCTCCCAGGTGCAAGCAATTCTTTTGCCTCAGCCTCCCAAGTAGCTGGGATTACAGGCATGTGCCACCACACCTGGCTAATTTTGTATTTTCAGTAGAGACAGGGTTTCTCCATGTTGCTCAGGCTGGTCTTGAACTCCTGACCTCAGGTGATCCACCCACCTCGGCCTCCCAAAGTGTTAGGATTACAGGCATGAGCCACCGTGCCCAGCCCAGAGATTTAACTTTTATCCTTCCTGGTAGATGGACACAGTTGAAAATGTATGTCCTGTTTTTATGCAAATAGGAGGGTAGGGAGCTTTTCTTGTATCTGCTTCTTCTCAATTGCCTTCAGCTCAAAATAGTCCTTATGCCAAAGTGGCATATTTGGAGGTAACACATTCTAATTTCCTTCAGGGCCAAGTGCAGGGCAGTTAAATGCCTCCAGAAGCATCTCTCAGACAGTGTCAGATGACAGTTAGAGGATAAATACCCCAGCTCCCCCACCCAAGGGGTGGGATAACTCTGAGATATATTCTTTTTTTTTTTTTTCCTTGAGACGGAGTTTCACTCTTATTGCCCAGGCTGGGGTGTAATGGTGCAATCTCAGCTCACCGCAACCTCCACCTCCTGGATTCAAGCGATTCTCCTGTCTCAGCCTCCCGAGTAGCTGGGATTACAGGCATGTGTGCCACCATGCCCAGTTAATTTTGTATCTTTAGTGGAGACGGGGTTTCTCCATTGGTCAGGCTGGTCTCGAACTCCTGACCTCAGGTGATCCACCTGCCTCGCCCTCCCAATGTGCTGGGATTACAGGTGTGAGCCACCTCACCCAGGCTACTCTGAGATATATTCTACTGTCCCCCAGAGTTCCCAGCAGGACTGAGACCCGGTTAGCCACAGCAATAATCTTCTCAATGATATTCTTTTGGCAGGGGGGCCACAAAGTGTGTTTTATTTTTACTATTCATATAAATAATTTTCTATAATATCCTGGAGCAAACCAGAGAATTTGGCAGTCCCATTTGCGGGTCCCCTCAGAGACCCACAGGCCAGTGGCATCTGTGTGAGGTGCCCAGGTTCACAGAGCAGCTTGTGGCTTGCATCCACCTTGCAGGTTGCTTTTCTTCCACATCACCACTGGGGACTTGAAGATAACAGGGGCAGGGAATCCTCCAGATTTTAGGAAATTTCACTGCTTCTCCTGCTCAGTGGTCTCTGGTCCACAAGGTGTTCTCCTGCATCTCCGTTTCCTTCAAAGCTTTATCAAAGCTGGCAATTTCCCCCATGTCTGGTTTGTCTGTCATTTTCTTTTCTCTTTTTTTGAGACAGGGTCTTACTCTGTCACCCAGGTTGGAGTACAGTGGTGCAACCTCAGCTCACTGCAACCTCAACCTTCCAAGCTCAAGTGATCCTCTCACCTCAGCCTCCCAAGTAGCTGGGATTACAGGGGCTGCCACCATGCCCAGCTAATTTTTTTTGTATTTTTAGTAGAGACGGGGTTTCACCATGTTGACCAGGCTGGTCTCGAACTCCTGACCTCAAGTGATCCACCCACCTCAGCCTCCCAAAGTGCTGGGATTACAGGCATGAGCCACCGCGCCTGGCCTCCCCCAGATATTTTCTTGTGTTTTCAAATGGAGTCTCGCTGTTGTTGCCCAGACTGGAGTGCAGTGGCATGATCTCCGCTCACTGCAACCTCTGCCTCCTGGGTTCAAGTGATCCTCCTGCCTCAGCCTCCCAAGTAGCTGGGATTACAGGCACCCACCACCACGCCCAGCTAATTTTTGTATTTTTAGTGGAGACGGGGTTTCACCATGTTGGCCAGGCTGGTCTCGAACTCCTGACCTCAAATGATCCACCCACCTCGGCCTCCCAAAGTGCTAGGATTACAGGCATGAGCCACTGCACCCAGCCTCCCCCAAATATTTTCTATCTGTGGTTAGTTGACTCCACGGATGCAGAGCCTGAGGATACGGAGGGCGACTATACTTGTTCCTAAACCCTGTTCCAGGTCTGCTCTGGGGACTTCACCCTAAGACAGTGGGTGACTCTCTCCCATCCTATCTTTCACAGCCAGGCCACTGAGTCAGTCTCTGGGGTGAAAGGATCAGGGAAGCATGAGCTCAAATCCCAGCTCCACACTAGCCATGATCTGCTGGTGAGGGCATCACTTAACCTACTCTGGCCTGAGTTTCTCCATCCAACAGACACTTATGACATCACCCACCGCCCTCTAGGAGCTGCTGCTATGATTAAACGGCGTATTTAATAGGAGTCCTCGGCACATACTTCAATATTAGCATCCACCCTTTCTCTACAACTTCGCCCTGCCAAGTGCACACACACACTCCCTAGAGAGACAGCTGGAGGCTGGGCCAGGAGGGTATAGATCCTTTATTTCCTGCACCACACGCACACAGGCTGACAAGCAATAGGAGATTGAGAGGTGCTGTGTGAAGGGGGGCAGGTACCTGCAGGAGGCCTCAGTCCCAGCCCCCAGCTATTGAGGAACAAAGGTGTGGGAAAGGGCAGAACATGGAAGAGGAAGCCAGGGGCAGGGAGGGGGGGATCAAGACAGAGGGGAGAGGGGCTGGGCCACGGATGGGAGCCTGGACACCCCCAGGCCACTGGCAGAAGAGGGAGGGAGGGAGAGGAGACACACCACTGGGCAGAGGGGCCCTCACCCACCCACACACAGAGACACTTGTGGTTACAAACAGTAGGTAGGGACTGAGAAGAAAGGATGAAGAACAGGGAAGACAGCCAGGTCCCTCAAGTCAACAAGAACCAGGGTGGCTACCATTAGCATGGGCATCAAGGGGTGAGGGGCACATTGTTGGGAAGGCGCTCACAACTCCCTGCCGGTGGAAGCTGGGCCCTGTTCCCTGCTCAGGGCTGAGTCTGGTAGCCAGTGGGCCTCTCCCGGGCTTCTCCTGCCCCCTGGGCTGCCATGTGGCCCAGACCTGGCAGCCACAGCTTTTGCACCAGCTGCAGAGCGAGGGCCGGGGTTCCTACCGCCTGTCCCTGAAGACGTTGGAAAAGCCTCCAACATGTGGGAAAGGGCAGAACATGGAAGAGGAAGCCAGGGGCAGGGAGGGGTCCCCAAGCTCCAGCCCAGGTTCATGAACACAGAGGGTGGGCTGGTGACAGACACAGGGTCCCATTTCAGAGGATGGGAAGGAGGGTCTGCGGGTGTGGGGCTTGGCCAGGCAGCAGAAGGAGGGGCCTCAAGCTGTCTGTGGGGCCTCTGCAGGCTGCTGGGGAACAGCAAAGCCTGGAAGAGAAGCAGGTGGATGTGAACTGGGGCATTGATGACCACAGGCCTGGCCTGGGCGGTGGGCAGGGGTCTGATCAACTGTATCAGAAGGACACGGAAAGTCGCCATTGATAATTATGCAGGTTGCCCCCTGCATGCGCCATAAAGGTCATGGTTCAGTTTATAACCTGCACAAGCTTACATGACACGCCTGCTGAAGCCAGTGCTATTCCACCCGGCAGTGACCAAAGGGCCATGAGAATGGGGACAGGCTGGGACGGGTACCAGGACAGCACTAGAGGGGAGGGATGGGCCAGTGAAGGTGCTACAGCACAGGAGTAGAGAGGACGGGCTCAGATCTACCCCGGCTGTGTGGCCCCAAACAAGTGTCCTTAGCTCTCTGAGCCTCACCCTCCTCACCTAACCAATGGGGACACATCACCTGCCACGGAATGAGGCTGATGGGAGCTGATGCACGTGCAATGGCTGCTGTGCATGAGTGTCACAAGGTCATCTTTCATGTCCTGCGGCTCCTTAAAGAGGCAGGGCTCACATGGCCTGCACTCGGAAGGTGCAGCTCCCAGACTTTGGGGTTTCTGGCTGGGGAGAGGAGACCCTGTTCCACCCCACAACCCTGCAGGAGGCCCTAGCCCACCTTCTGACACCCAGGGGACTGTTCCAACTGTGGCCCTTGCTGGTGAAGGCCTTTGTCCCCATAGCCTGGGCAGTCCCAGAAGGCCTCTCTTCCTCCCAGGCCGTGGGAGGGTGGCTGGCCCTGTCCTCCAGCCTGGGTCAGCCCCCGGGCTGCTCCACCATCCCACCCACCGCCCCCCGTGTTTGTTTTGACTGCTGCTGCCACTGCTGCAGAGTTGGAGAGCCTGGGGGATAGAGGAGGCAGGGGTTGGGGGCAGGGGAAGCAAGCGGGCAGAGATGGGAAGCTGAGGCGCAGTGTGGGGGCACAGTCCCAGCCCTAACCCCCAGCCCAGCCCCCAGGAGAAAAGTGGATGGAGATCTGGAATCCTAAGCAAATGCCACATAAATGAGCACTGACACTACGGTTCCCACTGAAGGGGATCAGAGGTGTCTATGCAAATGATATGCAAAGTCCATGCAAATAAGCACAGCAGGTAGAGCCAGGCTGGGGCAGGTGAGCACTCGGGGAGCTTATCCACCCTCTCTTTTCATCGGCACGACGATCTGCAGCTTGTCCGGCTGGCGGCAGGGAGGGCCCCGTGGGGGCACTCACCTTTCTGGAGCATCTTCCACCTCAGCTGCCGCCTGTAATGGGCATCTTGCCAGTTGGCCAGCTGCTGGAGGACATAATTCATGTCCAGGTGTGAAGGGCCCAAGCCGCTGGCCTCCAGGGCTGATGTCACCACGTTCATCCGCGTTGCCTCATCCAGCTCCAGTTCCACCTCCTCCCAGCCCTCGGTCTCCTCTGACACCAGCTCTGCCTCTTCCATCACCCCTTCCTCAGCCGGCACCTTCTTGGCAGCCCCCAGCTCCTCCTGGGGCACGAACTCCTCCGCAGGCGTGAAATCTTCCCCCCGCATGATATCCGCTGCCAGCATCAACCCTTCCTCAGCCTCAAACCCCCGCACCTGCTCTCGATCCTCACTGTAGCGAAAATCATACCTGGGCGGGAGATAGCGACATCTTTTGAGGGGCTGGAAAGTCCAACCCCCCAGGCCCACCCCCACCCGTCTCCACACAGATCCTGATGGTTCCTCCTGGTTCTGTCCCAGCCAGGGGAGAGGGGAGCTAGGTACCAGCTCCAAGGCTTCAAATACCCAGCCCATCCCCCTGGTGGGAGGGAGGAAGAATGGTCACCAACACTGCATAGGCCCCATCTTCTTTTATGTCCCTGACCCTGCACGGAATACACCAACAGGGTTAACACCCACTTCTGCCTCCCTCCTGCATGATTTAACCTTCATAGCCCACCCCACAGCTACTTGCCATAGGAACAAATCCATTCTAGACAGGCTCAGACAGGTCAAATGACTTGCCCAAGGACACACAGTCAGGAAAGGGACCACGCTGGGCCTTAGTCCCAGGTGTTCCCAGCTCCTAAGCCAGTGCCTGTCACCTCTCAGCCCATAGTCAGTTGAAAAGAAAGCTTCAGTCCCCACTCAGAGCTGCCTGGAATCAGACGGCCACCCAGGGGGCAAGATTTGAAGGAAAAGTGGGGCAGCTCCTTCCCAGAACAGTTCTCAGTTCAGCCAGCCGAGATAGCAGGGCCTTCTCCGGAGTTGCAGGGTGGCAGAACCAGAGGCAGGTGGGCTGTCTGGCTGCTGAAAGCTGAGGGCAGGTTGTAGGGGAGCCCCTGGCAGGCTTACCTTAGGCTGGATGTGTCCCCTCTGGGCATCTCATAATTCCTTCAAAGAGAAAAGGACCTTCATTATGAGACAATGGAAGCCGAAACTGCAGTCCCTGGGGCTTGGTCAAGCTGAAGAACCTTAGGTAGTGGCCATGAGCAGTGGCTCACGCCTGTAATCCCAGCACTTTGGGAGGCCGAGGTGGGCAGGTCACCTGAGGTCAGGAGTTCAAGACCAGCCTAGCCAACATGGTAAAACCCCGTCTCTACTAAAACTACAAAAATTAGCTGGGCTTGGCCAGGTGCAGTGGCTCACGCCTATAATCCCAACACTTTGAGAGGCCCAGGCGGGTGGATCACAAGGTCAGGAGTTCAAGACTAGCCTGGCCAACATCTCTACTGGCCCATCTCTACTAAAAATACAAAAATTAGCCGGGCGTGGTGATGGCCACCTGTAGTCCCAGCTACTCAGGAGGCTGAGGTAGGAGAATCGCTTGAACCCAGGAGGCGGAGGTTGCAGTAAGCCGAGATCACGCCAACCTGGACAACAAAACAAGACTCCATCTCAAAAAACAAAAAAAAAATTAGCCAGGCTCGTGCCTGTAGTCCCAACTACTTGGAAGGCTGAGGCAGGAGACTCGCTTGAACCCAGGAGATGGAGGTTGCAGTGAGCCAAGATCTCGCCACTGCACTCCAGTCCAGGTGACAGAGTGAGACTCGTCTCAAAAAAAAAAAAAAACCTCAGGCTGGGCATGATGGCTCACGCCTGTAATCCCAGCACTTTGGGAGGCTGAGGCGGGCAGATCACCTGAGGTCAGGAGCTTGAGACCAGCCTGGCCAACAGGGTGAAACTGTGTCTCTACTAAAAATACAAAAAGTAGCCGGGCGTGATGGCACATGCCTGTAATCCCAGCTACTCGGAAGGCTGAAGCAGGAGAATTGCTTGAACCTGGGAGGCAGAGGTTGCAGTGAGCCAAGATCATACCATTGCACTCCAGCTTGGGTGACAGAGCAAGACTCCATCTCAAAAAAAAAAAAAATACCTCAGGGGGAAGTGATGGGTCCATATTCATAGAGAAGCAATGAGTGGAGGGGCTGATGCAGTGAACGAGGCGGGTATAGGGAAGCGTGGAAGGTCAGAGTGTGAGGGCAAACCCCCTCCCCACTACAGGAAAGGCCATGGCCTATGGGGCAAGGGAGGGCCCCAGCCACGCACCTCTCCATAAAATACACAGGGTCTGAGATCATCCTCCTTAGAGACGTTCTGAGCTCCTCAGCCAGCGTCTCCTGGAAACCAGGAAGAGTCTCCTATGGTGGAGAGAACAGACGTTACCAGAGGACCCCCACAGAACCCCCACCCATAGGCTCAGGCACAGAAGGGAACTGGGATCTCAATCAGCCACCAAGGCTGAGACACAGGCACAGACGTAGGAAAGTGGGCAGCCAGGGGAGGGTCCTCACCAGAGGCACGCTGTATGGGTAATGGGTGGCAGACCCAGTGGACACTGGGGGTTGCTGGCGGAGGGTCTTCACCTCCTCCTGCATCTCAATCAGCATGCCCCCACAATCCATGTACTTCTCCCGCAGGTCCTGCAGCTGGGAACCCACCCACACGCTCTGCTGGGACCCAGGCACACCCAGTCCAGCACTCCTGCCTATCTGCTCTCAGGCTGAGGCCAGAGGCCCAGGTTCTGGACTCCAAGTGTCATGTGGGGGACCCAGGGCAGGTCCCTGCACTCCACACCACTCAGACCTTGATGGAACTGTCACCTGCTGGGCTGTGCCAGGCATGGAGGGGGTGGAAACGGACAAGACTCAGTTCCTGCTAGTCCTCTCCAGAGTCAGGTAGCTGCCAAGGGCCTGGGGTCCCCACTCTGGGCCAGCGGCTCTCCAGGGTGGGGGCAGAAGCCGGCAGCGAGACTCACCTCTTCCTGGAGCTGCATCTGGATTTCCTTCTCCGAAGCCAGCTGCTTCTGCAACTTTTCAGTCTCAGCCCCATACTGGAAGGACCCAAAACCAGTGAACCCCCATCTGAGGCCTACCCACTCAGGGCACCCCCTGCTTCCAGCAAGTCTTCCCAGGCACATCAGTGAGTCCTTGGCAGCCCATGAAATGACAAGTCACACGGAAGGAGGGCAAAGAAGGCAGGGGAGTCACGCAGCCTGGTTCCTAGAAGACTCCAGGACCCTCTCTGGGCCTTGGTCTCCTCAAGATAACAAGGGGTCAAGATAAGGGGCTCTCTGAGGTCTCTGACTCTGACACAGAAAGGGACCTCAGGCCTGGTGGAGCCGAGTGGAGGCAGGAAGAAGGAAGCTAGGGTCCCATGGGGCCACGACAAGAGGGTTCCACACACACCCGACTCACCATCCGGCAGCGCTGCTGCAGCTTCAGCACCTGGGCCTGCAGCCGAGCGACCTCCTGCTGCTGCCGTTCATAGTTTTCCAGCCTGAGCACCAGCACCTCCGACAGCTCAGCCATCTGTTGGCTGGCCTCCGCTGGGGAGGGCAGAGGACAGGTCAGCCCTGGCTCCCCTGGCCTTCAGGGACCAGCTCTGGCCCTCCCAGATGCCTCTGTCTCCCCCACCCTCGGCTGCTGCGCTGTGCCAGTGGGTCCTGCAGGGCTTTGCATTCCTCACTCAGGTCTTCCATTCAAGAAATGTTCATTGACTGATACTGAGCAGGGCACCAGGGTGAGTGGTCAGTAAGACCCAGCCGCCACACTGAGGTAAAGTTGGTGGGGAGACAGACCACAGTCACACATCATACAGGCCATGATGGGCAAATGTCAAGGGTGTACAGGGCAGGGGCATCACAGCTACAGCACCCAACCCGACCTGCAAGGTAAGGAAGGATTCCTGGAAAAAGGAACCACTAAGCTAAGACCACAGGGCAAGTGAAGCTCACCCAGGCAAAGAAGGAAAAACATGGGTCCAAGCTGACTGGAAAGGCCCAGAGGCCATCATAAGACACTGGGACGGGGAGGGCCCAGAACAGTGCACACAGGCCAGACCACAGTAGTGGGCAAGGGGGTGGGGTTTATCCTTTGGCCAATGGAAAGCTATTTGGGAGTTTTAGGCACAGTAATGACGTGGTCAGACTTGGGTTTGTTGGTTTATTTATTTATTTATTTGAGACCGAATCTCTGTCGTCCAGGCAGGAGTGCAATAGTGCAATCTTGGCTCACTGTAACTGCCGCCCGAGTCCAAGCGATTTTCCTGCCTCAGCCTCCCGAGTACTTGGGATTACAGGCATGCGCCACCACGCCCAGTTAATTTTTGTATTTTTAGTAGAGACGGGGTTTCACCATGTTGGCCAGGCTGGTCTCAAACTCCTGACCTCAAGAGATCCACCTGCCTCTGCCTCCCAAAGTGCTGGGATTACAGGGGTGAGCCACTGCACCCGGCTACTTGTTTTTTAAGAAATGAGGTCTTGGGACAGGCACAGTGGCTCATGCCTGTAATCTCAGCGCTTTGGGAGGCTGAGGGGGATGGATCGCTTGAGGTCAGGATTTCAACACCAGCTTGCCCAACATGGTGAAACCCCATCTCTACTAAAAATACCAAAATTAGCTGTGCATGGTGGCGCATGCCTGTAATCCCAGCTACTCGGGAGGCTGAGGCAGGAGAATCGCTTAAACTCGGGAGGTGGAGGTTGCAGTGAGCAAAGACCACACCACTGCACTCCAGCCTGGGTTACAGAGGGAGCCTCCTTCTCAAAAAAAAAAAAAAAAAAAAAAAAAAAAAAGGAAATGCGGTCTTGGCCGGGCGTGGTGGCTCACACCTGTAATCCTAGCACTGCGGGAGGCCAAGGCGGGAGGATCACTTGAGGTCAGGAATTCAAGACCAACCTGGCCAACATGGTGAAACCCCATCTCTACTAAAAATACAAAAATTAGCTGGGCACGGTAGCACAGGCCTGTAATCCCAGCTACTCAGGAGGCTGAGGCAGGAGAATCACTTGAACCTGGGAGGCGGAGGTTGCAGTGAGCTGAGATCATGACATTGCTCTAGCTGGGCGACAGTGAGACTCCGTCAAAAAAAAAAAAAAAAAAAAATTTGCCAGGCGTGATGGCACACACCAGTAGTCCCAGCTACTCAGGAAGCTGAGGCAGGAGAATCACTTGAACCCAGGAGGCAGGGGTTGCAGTGAGCCAAGACTGCAACACTGTACTCCATCTCAAAAAAAAAAAGAAAGAAAGAGAGAGAGAGAGAGAGAGAGAAGGAAGAAAAGAAAGAAAAGAAAGAAAAGAAAAGAAAAGAAAAGAAAAGAAAAGAAAAGAAAGAAAGAAAGAAAAAATGAGGTCTTGCCAGGTTCCCAGGCTGGGGCTGGAGTACAGTGGCTATTCATAGGTGCGATCCTATTACTGATCAGCATGGGAGTTTTGACCTGCTCTGTTTCTGACCTGAGCCAGTTCACCCCTCCTCAGGCAACCCAGTGGTACTCCACTCCCTGGACCATACTGACCCTGTCGGCATAGTGTACTACAGCCCAGAATTCACAGGCTCAAGCAATCCTCCCACCTCAGCCTCCTGAGTAGCTGGGACCACAGGTGGGAGCCCCTGCACCTGGCCAGGTTTGGTTTTAGAAAACTCATTAAGGCTGTGTGCAGAAGTTCCTGGTAGGGCGCGAGTAGAGGCAGTGCGACCAGTTAAGAGGTATCTTGGGCTAGAGGCAGCCCGAGTGGGGAGGGGGAAAAAGACTTAAGCCATTCCTAGGAGGTAAAAGCAACAGAGCTTGGGGACTGGTTCCTACTCCAGTAGCCTGGGGACCAGTGGGGCCATTCAGGGAGTTGCAGAACCCAGCAGGAAGGAAGGTCAGTTCTGGGGTAAAGGGAACAGCAGGAGTTCAGCTGTTGCCACTTTGCGTTTGCATCTCACCAGCTACACTTGAACTCCTCAGGCACAAACACTGCTCCTCACTCATCTTCATAAACACACAGTGCCTAGGACGATGCCAGGCACAGCCACTGCCCCGTGCATGACTCTGAACTGTCCCAGCCCTGGGTGCCTGGTCTCTGGCAGCTCATGGCTCCCTCTTGCCTGCCCCAAATAAGAGAAGACAGGCTTGGAGGAGACCCACCTTTTTTTTTTTTTGAGATGGAGTCTTGCTCTGTCGCCCAGGCTGGGGTGCAGTGGCGTGATCTAGGCTCACTGCAAACTCTGTCTCCCAGGTTCAAGCAATTCTCCCACCTCAGCCTCCCAAGGAGCTGGGACTACAGGCTTGTGCCACTGCATCTGGCTAATTTTTGTATTTTTAGTAGAGATAGGGTTTCTCTAAGTTGGTTAGGCTGGTCTCAAACTCCTGACCTCAGGTGATCCGCCGGCCTCAGCCTCCCAAACTGTTGGGATTACAGGCATGAGCCACCGTGCCTGGCCTGAGACCCACAATTTCTGTATAGCTCTTTATAGTTTGCACAAAGTACTTCCTCAGCTGTTGACACTCTTAATCTTCATAAACCCTGGAGAGATCAGTGGGGCTGAGAAAATTAATCCCCATTCTAAAGACAAAGGTTCAGAGAGGTCAAGGAATGTATCCAAGTTCACACAGCTAGGAGTGCCAGATCTGGGACTTGAACTTGGATCTCCATACTCCACATCTTGAGTTCTTTTCTCTGCTCCTTGGGACAACCCCCCACCCCGAGTGACAACATTACGTACAAAACTGCTCCACACACTCCAGAATGAGCATCTGTTCCTCATCCTCAAGAGTGTCGAGTTGAGAGGCCTGGAGGGAGACAAAGAGGAAGGGACAGGGAAGTCAACACCCCCTGCTAGCAGGGACGCCCTCCTCCCCCATTCTCACCTCTTCTCTCAGCTGATGATTCTCCTCCTCCAGCAGCCTCAGCTTCTCCTGCAAGGCTTCCAGCTGTGGGCAGTGGTGCTGGTGCAGCAATGCCTCCTGCGAAATCCTAGGGGAGGGAGGAATGGGAGTCAGGGTGCAGGGAGTGGGGCTTCCCAGTTCCCAGCCCACCAGGGCTAAGGGCAGTGTTCTCAATTAGTTCCAGCAACCCTGCCAGCAAGCACATCACCTGTGTCCCTCTTAACAAATGAGGAAATTGAGGCTCAGAGAAAGGACTTGCAGGTGCAAAGGCAGGAACTCACAGCTTAGGGGCATCACAGGGATGAGCACACTGCAGGTCTTCCTCTGCTTCTTCTTCTTCCTGTTCCTCTTCTGCCTCCTTTTCTTCCTCCTCCTCTTCTTCATCCTCATCCTCCTCATCAGAATCTGAGTAGAGCTGGAGGAGCTCATCCCGCAAGTTCACCTGGTGTCTGAGGTATAAAATCTGGCAGGAAGAGAGAGGAGCCATGGGTTGGGAGTGGGCAGGGACAGGAGAGGGTCCTGGCATGAGGCAGGTGTAGATTGGCCCGCTATCCTCTCCTCCCCACCCGGTTACCTCCTCCTTGGCTGAGCCCAGCAGGGCTTCCAGCTTGCTGTTCTCCTCCATCAAAACACTGTTCTGTTTCACCAGGGACTGGCCGATGCGAGCTGCAGTGTTCAGGTCCCTCTCTCTCTGCAGGACCATCCCATAGGTAACGCTCTCCCAGACAGGTGGGAGAAGCTGGGGGGGACACAGGGGTCAGAGAGAGGCTAGGCCCCTAAGAGAACCTTCCCCATCCCCTAGTTCTCTAGGGTACCAGACCAGAGTCTGCCATTAACCCACTGTGGAACCTGGCTCAGTTTCCCCTCATGGAAAAAGAAGATCAGACCAGATTGGCTCTGAGAGCTCTTCCAGCCTGAACATCCCACATCGACCTGTCTTCCATAAGAAGGACCCTAACCTGGGGCCCCAGAGAGACTGCCAATCAGGAAATAAACAAGACCCCCACCCCTACAGGACAAAACTAGAATAAGGGCTTGCCTGGATCAGGAAGGCAGTACACACCTCCTCCAGCAAATATAACATCACTTTGACGTCTTCCTGGGTGATCTTTTTGACTGGCGGAGGTAGGTTAGGACACAGTGCTGCAGGAGGCGGCAGGTGGGGAGAAAAGGCCCAGCCAGGTCAGGAAAAAGGAGCAGATGCTACCAGCAAACAGCTGTTTCCCGTCCTATCGTCAGTTCTCCAACAAGGGTCATCGGGAGAGAAGACTGGGCTCCCCTCCTGCCCCCCACATCCTCCCCTTACCCCTCGGCACTCAACACTCCCTTCCCTGCTCCCAGGGCCAAGTGGACAGGGTTTTTAGGTTTTTGGGTTTTTTTTGGTTTTTTTTTTTTTTGGTTTTTTTTTTTTTTTAGACAAAGCCTTGCTCTTGTCCTCCAGGCTGGAGTGCGATGGCGAGATCTCAGCTCACTGCAACGTCTGCCTCCCAGATTCAAGCAATTCTCCTGCCTCAACCTCCCGAGTAGCTGGGGTTATACACGCCCGCCACCACGCCCAGCTTATTTTTGTATTTTTAGTAGAGACGGGGTTTCACCATGTTGGCCAGGCTGGTCTCGAACTCCTGACCTAGTGATCCGCCCGCCTCGGCCTGCCAAAGTGCTGGCTGGGATTACAGGCGTCAGCCACCGCGCCCGGCTTTTTTTTTTTTTTTTTTTTTTTTACCCCTGGAGGAGCCTGAGGTAAGGGGGTCACAGTCCTCCAGGCTCAGAAACTGGGCTCTCCGGACACCTGGGTCCCTGGCGCCTAGAATGGAGACAGCCAGGGGAAGTACAGCCTCAGACTGGCTCATCACCCCCTACCCAGGAGGCAGTGCAATGGAGTCTCCTGGGTCATACAAACAGACGCAGCCACTCACCCTGCACCTGTTGCGTGTGCAGAGGACAGGAGGAAGACTTCACCAGATTAGGAGACACTCGAGCCTCTAGGCCCAATCCAGAGATCTCCCCCGACCCGCAGGAGGATAGGAGAGACAAGGGGCAGGAAAAGAGCGCGACTTTGCCCCCATACCCGCAACCAAAAAGTGGGCAAAACTTCCCCCTCCGCCCGCCCACCCACCCCTCCATCGCACGCAAGCCCGGTCGGCCAGCGCAGACTCAGAGCGCGCGGGACAGCGCCCTCCCGCAGCCCCCCGCCCCTCTCCTGGCACTGCGGTAGACCCAGGAGAGGGGCGCTGAAGGGGTGCAGATCTGCCGCAGCAAGAGGCGCGTGGAGGTGGGTGGGCGAGCGTGCAGGCCCCAGAACCTGACTCACGGGCACAAACCAGGGGACAAGAGCAGAGGAGGAGATGGAGAAGGGGCGACCAGACAGACACCGCAGTGACATCGCGGGGGTGGTGGACGGGTGACACTGAGTGCTAGAGGGGGCGGGGTGCCTGGACCCGATGGGGCCACTTCCTCCCTGGAGTTGCCCCAGTCCCCACCCGGTCCAGGACCCCGGGGGCCCGATTTACCTTCCTCCAGCTCCCGAATAAAGGCGGCGCGCTCAGGGCCGGACACCCCGGGTCGCCGGCCAACGTAGGCGGCTGGCGTCTTCCAGATGCCCGCTGCCTTTCCAGTCCCCCGGCCAGTGGCCCGGGAACCAAACGGCCCTTGGAATACGAAGCGGGTCCACGGCGCGTCCGAATTGTCGGGCATAGACCGGACATCCCCTTGGATGGCCGAGAATGCGGACGGGCGCCGGGCTCCTGCCTTGGCTCCAGCCTCCGAGGCCGGGCGAGCTCCGGTGCGGGCTTCCGAGAGGAACTGGGATCCAGAGGTGGCTCGGGATCCTACTCTCTGTCCAGTGCCCCGTGCCTGCGGCTGCGCAGAGGGCTCCGGAGCGGGACTGGCTGAGGGCGAAGGTGCACAGGTGAGTGCTGCTGGGTCCCCGGGTCCGAGCCGGCTCCCCGCGCAGCACCGGCCCAACCTCTTCGGGCGCATCTCGAGTCTGCCGTCCGCTGCTGCGGCGGGACCTTTATAACCTGCGCCAGCCGCCGGGCCGGACCACGCGTAGGGGTGGGGGCTGCCGAGAAGCAACTAGTGGCAAGCGGGACTCAGAGCCGCGCGGGAGGGGAGCTAGTGGTGACGGAACAGAGCACAGTAAGAAAAGCAGGGCAAGAAGGGCGAGTGCAAGTTCCGGATGGCTCCGAGTTGGGATGGGAGCGAAAGATTTTTTCTGCCCTCTCCATCTCCGGAGAATGGTTCTGCCCAAAGCCGCGGCTGCCCCAGCACTCGCGGGTCCCTGGCTGGGGGCAGCCCCTCCCCAGCTGCCGCGCCGGGGTTTCGGGTGCCTTCCCTGGTGTAGAAGCTGCCAACCCAACGTTGTGCATACGGTCTGGGGTGGCCAGTGCATTAGGGCAGCGCTGCGTCTTTCCCGGTTGACTGGGAGAGACATTCCAAACTCCAGTGCGCTTCCAACGTGCTGCAACCCTGCCTGGCGCTGCAACCCTGCCTGGCGCTGCAACCCTGCCTGGCGCTGCAACCCTGCCTGGCGCTGCAACCCTGACCCTCGCGCTCACACCCCAGTGCTCGCGCCACTCGACGTCTTCCATTTGATTGGATTAACTGTTCTTCACCTCCAACCCTAGTTCGCTTTGCCCTCCTCTTGCCATGCTGGCGAACCCCTGTTCTCCTTGGGAGACGCCTCTTAAAAGTCTCCCTGTAGCCGGGCGCAGTGGCTCACGCCTGTAATCCCAGCACTTTGGGAGGCCGGGGCAGGCGAATCACCTGAGGTCAGGAGTTCCAGACAAGCCTGGCCACCTGGTGAAACCCTGTCTCTACTAAAAATACAAAAATTAGCCAAGCATGGTGGCGTGTGCCTGTAGTCCCAGCTACTCAAGAGGCTGAGGCAGGAGAATTGCTTGAACCTGGAAGGTAGAGGTTGCAGTGAACCGAAATTGTGCCAATGCACTCCAGCTGGGGCTACAGAGCGAGCCTACCCCTCAAAATAAATAAATAAATAGAATACTTTTTTTTTAAGTATCCTACTGGAAATGTTGGGTAGACAATTAGATGTATAAATCTGAATGTAGGGGAGAGACCGGGCTGGAGATTTAAATGTAGGAGTCATTGTTCTTTGATGACCATTTAAAGCTATGAGACTGGTGAGATCCCCAAGAGACTGAGAGAAGACAGGTAAGAGCGCCCAGGACTAACCCCCTAGGATTCAGAGGGCAGAAAGAAGAAGAGGAGGCATCAAAGGAAGACTGGGATGAGTGGGGCAGTGAAGTAGAGGAAAACCAGGAAAGTTGGGTCCTAGAAAGTAAAGAAAATGTTTCATGTAGAGAGTGGCCACCTGTGTTGGGTGGTGCTGTTGGGCCAGGCAAAGACTGAGGACAGAGACTCAGCTTGGCAAACTGGGGTCATGGGCAACCTTGGTGAGCTGGGGTCATGGCCTCGGCAAGAGCGGTCTTGCGGGGCCAGGCACAGTGGCTCACACCTGTAATCCTAGCACTCTGGGAAGCCAAGGCAGGTGGATCACCTGAGGTCAGGAGTTTGAGACCAACCCAGCCAACATAGTGAAACCCCATCTCTACTAAAATACAAAAATTAGCTCGGTGTGGTGGAACAAGCCTGTAAGCCCAGCTACTTGGAAGGCTGAGGCAGGGGAATTGCTTGAACCCAGGAGGCAGAAGTTTCAGTGAGCCGAGATTGCACCACTGCACTCCAGCCTGGGCAACAGAGCAAGACTTGTCTCAAAAAAAAAAAAAAAAAAAAAAAGAGCGGTCTTGGTAGAGGGGGTGAGAGAGACCAAAGAGGAGTGAGGAAATAACGAGAGGTAACAAAATGAAAACAGAAAGAAGGCTAGGCGCTGTGGCTCACACCTATAATCCCAGCACTTTGGGAGGCTTAGGAGGGTGAATTGCTTGAGCCCAGGAATTTGAGGCCAACCTGGGCAACATGGCAAAACCCTTTCGCTACAAAAAAATACAAGAATTGGCCGGGCGCAGTGACTCACACCTGTAATCCCAGCACTTTGGGAAGCCTAGGCGGGTGGATCGCCTGAGGTCAGGATTTTGATACCAGCCTGGCCAACATAGTGAAACCCCGTCTCTACTAAAAATACAAAAAATTAGTTGAGCATGGTGACGGGTGCCTGTAATCCCAGGTACTCAGGAGAATCGCTTGAACCCGGGAGGCGGAGGTTGCAGTGAGCCGAGATTGCGCCATTGCACTCCAACCTGGGCAACAAGAGCGAAACTCCGTCTCAAAAAAAAAAACATAGCTGGGCATGGTGGTGCATACCTGTACTACTTCAGGGGCTGAGGTGGGAGGATCACCTGAGCACAGGTCGAGGCTGCACTCCAGCCTGGGTGACAGAGCAAGACCCTGTCGGAAGGAAGGAAGGAAGGCGGGAGGGAGGGAGGGAGGGAGGAAGGAAGGAAGGAAGGAAGGAAGGAAGGAAGGAAGGAAGGAAGGGAGACAGTATAGAAAACTGTATTGAAGAAATCTGCAACAAAGGAGAGCTGGAAAAGGGCACAGGAGCTGAAGGAGGACATGAGTGCTGGGGAGTGTGTTTTGAAGATGGGAGAGAGGACAATATGTTTACATGCTGATGGAAATGTTCCCTCAGGGAGGAGAAAACAGGTGCAGAAAAGAGAGCTTATCTCCCAGAATACTTCTGGAAATGGAGGAACTTTCATAACATAACCGTTCTCCTCCTTGTTCAAAGTCTGCATGTTTTATTTTCTTTCTTTCTTTCTTTCTTTTTTTTTTCTTTTTTTGAGACGGAGTTTCGCTCTTGTTGCCCCAGGCTGGAGTGCAATGGCACGATCTCGGCTCACCACATCCTCCACCTCCCGTGTTCAAGCAATTCTCCTGCCTCTGCCTCAGCCTCCCCAATAACATGCGTCACCACATCCGGCTACTTTTGTCTTTTTAGTAGAGACGGGGTTTCTCCATGTTGGTTAGGCTGGTCTCGAACTCCCGACCTCACGTGATCCGCCTCCCCCTTGGTCTCCCAAAGTGCTGGGATTACAGGCGTGAGCCACTGTGCCCAGCCCAAAGTCTGCATGTTTCCTATGGTTTCTTTGTCAGCAGAAAGCTTGAAGGAGACACACAACCCCAGGGTTTGCTACGACAGTGAGGTTGAAGAACATAAGGAGGTGGCTGTTCGGGCATCGGCACAGCCCAGGCTTCCGTGAGGCTACAGCTCCATAGGCTCTGCCGAGTGGTCCTCCCACAGCCCAGCTTCCTGGACTGTCTCTCTGTGCCTTGGACATCTCTGCAGCCCCAACCACCAAGCACAGAACAGGGCATACAGAAGAAGCCTATTACACTCCTGCTGAATTAAATTGTTTCTGGCCCCATGAGGAAGAAGCCCTGGGAAACCCCTGGAGAGTTTGACGGGGAAGAAGGCAGAGGCAGTGGGATGGAGAAGACAGAGATGAAGTTAGGAGACCCTGAAAGCTCCCCCAGCTGACCACACCCTCTAGGTCAGCGCACTGGCAGCCAGCAACTCTGGCTACGGCCACCAGAGGGCAGTGTCAGCCCGTATACCTCCCCACGTGGCTTCCTCACCTACAGGCTCAGTCGCCCCACAGAAAGTGGAGTAGGGACAGAGACTCCATTTTACAAATGGAGAAACCAGGGCTCAGGGCCCGTCATTCTGGAAGTAAGCATTTTGGCCTGGCTGACAGATATCTGCCTTTCGACAGCCTAGGGCTGTCCAGGAGACTGGGGGTAGTCTCTGATCCAGGCCTCTCAAGTGGTTTTCCTCTGTCAACCACCCCCTCCCTCTCCTGCTTCTCATCTAGGGGGAGAAATCAGACACAGCAAAGACCCTTGGCCTCCTGTCCTCCCTCCCAGTGTGCATCCATGGACCCTCCTGGATCCGAAAGAGGATGGGAGGGTGCAGAAGACTTGCCAGGCTGCAAAGCCAGACCACCCACCACCTAATTGTGCACACCCCCTGAACCTGGGGCACATTCACTCCAGTGCCCAGCCCTGGGCAGCACACAGGTGGCTCAGGCCCCTCCTCCTGCCCCCTCCCCTGGCCTGACCCTGGGAAAAAAAACACCTGGAACAGGGTAGGTAATAGAAAGAGCCCCTAAGGGTCGGTGCCAGGGACCTGGGGGGGACAGGCACCGGGGTTACTTTCTGCAGGGGAGCAGGGTGGAGGGGCACCCTGAACTAGGAACAGGGGAGACCTCCTCACCCCCGCCGCAGTCCTGCTGTCTCCTGCAGGCCTTTCGGGGGCCCTCCCCCATCTCTGATCCAGGCCTTCCCCTCCAGAACCAGGCAGTGGCCGCCATAGCCCTCACCCCCACCCCAGAACCCAGGTACAGTCCCTCCTTACATCAGCAGAGAATGGGGGACTTGAGGGCCTAGGCCCTCAGAGGTTCCCCTTTAACTTTTCTTTTTGTTTTTTTGAGAGGGAGTCTCACTCTGTCGCCCAGGCTGGAGATCAGTGGCATGATCTCAGCTCACTGCAGCCTCCGCCTCCTGGGTTCAAGCAATTCTCCTGCCTTAGCCTCCCGAGTAGCTGGGACTACAGGCACATGCCACCATACCCATCTAATTTTTGTATTTTTAGTAGAGACGGGGTTTCACCATTTTGCCCAGGTTGGTCTTGAACTCCGGACCTCAAGTGATCCATCTAGCCTCGGCCTCCCAAAGTGCTGGGATTATAGGCATGAGCCACCACACCTGGCTCCCTTTAACTTTTCTCCTCTTCTTAAAGAGCCCAGCCCAACTCCTGGGCCACTGAGCCCCTCTGGCCTGGAACAAGGAGGTAACGAGGTGCTGGGGGCAGCTGGGGGTCTGAGCCCTCTGCCTGCTGTCTTCCATGGCCCCGCTGCTGGCCAGGACCGAAAGGGAGAGAGGCAAGGAGAGAAAGGACAGAGAGCAAGTGCCGGGGACGAGGGCAAGGGGCTGAGGTGGCTGGGACCTCAGGTGGAGAGTACTGACCCCCACTCTGAAGTTCTTCCCCACCTGGGGGCTCCTATCCTGGAGGAAGGCCCCGCCTCCCACACAGGCTCACTCCTGCTCTTGGTTCTGATGTCTGACTCCTCCTCTGAGAAGCCCTCCCTGGTGGGGCTCACCTGTGTTAGGTATCCTGTGCCAGATCAGGCCTCTCTGTGTCCTCCCCTCCCCTGGCATTCTCTCCCGACTCTGTCCGCTCACAGGGTAAGATGATGTCATTGACAAGATGATCTATTTAGTAACAATGAGAGCAGTATCTGTTTTGCTCACTTTTGTATTCTCAGGACTCTAATGAGGCATCCAATAAATATTTGTTGAATGAACACATCAGTGGATTCTCTGGGTATGGATGGTGGGAGTGGTAATCGCCCTGGGGAAGTGACTTCCGGTAAGGGTGAGATCCTAGGACTCTGGACTCCCAAACCAGGGCTCCACATCCCCTGGCACAGGTGAGCGCCACCAGGAACCCTCCAGGGGCACCTGTGGGAGAGGATGGAGACCGGCCAGGATGTGAGCCACAGATCCCCAGGGAGTGAGCCTTGGCACAGCCAGGTGCCCACTTCTTCCCTAGAGCCCTCAGCCCAGCCCCGCTCCTTTCCCCAGGGACCAGAGCAGGAGGCCTGGGCTGGCCTGATATGGAGCTGGGTCCAGCAGGTCGGCAGTGCCCTGACCTGGGAAGCTCCACGGGAAGCAGCTGGGAGTGGGGGGACCACAGCACCCTCTGTGAGGAGGGCAGGACCGTCAGCTGCGTCCAGCCTGCTGGACAGGCAATACCAGGTGGTGGCGAGCCTAGAAGGATGTTCTGGCCCTTTGGCCTCCCTGAGCTACCTCCAGGCTCAGGGATAACACCAAGGAGCCCTTCGCTCCCTGACCTCTGTCCCCAGAGTCAGCAATTCCCTCTCATCCCTGCGTCCATGTCCAGGCTCTGAGCCCTTCCAGGGACAATTTGTGGGATTGGGGATAGAGACAGAGGAATAAATACACATTCACTGAGACCTGACTAGGTGCCGTATGGATTTTGGATATATTTCATTTTATCATCACTGGAAGGAAAAAAATACTGCTGTGTTATAGATGAAAAACAGAAGCCCAGAGAGGTCAAGCAACTTATCCAAGGCCACACAGCCAGGAAGTATCAGGGAGGGAAGATCACAAAGGCTTGTCTTACCAACAGCCCATGTGCTGTCCACGGCCTCCCAGTTCAGAGAAGAAGCTGGGCGACCCTCCCTCTCCCGTACCCAGGGGTGCCTGTGCTCACTGGGTTTGCTTCCACATAATACTACTTATGAGCCAACTGTTAGGTCTTATAAATTAGATGCCCACCGTGGGCATCTGCCCCATGGCCTCTGGAGGAATCCTGCCAGAGGATGGAGATAAAGGAAGGACAAATACCAAGTGCCTTTTGCAGACGCTATGTCCGCTCTTCCTTCTTCAAGCCTCAGCTCAGACGCCACCCAGTCTTGGGAGCCTCCCCTGATCTAACCTGGCTGGATCTGGGTCCCTGCCTCCCAGATCCAATGTGCTTCCCTCTACCTCAGCCTTCCACACACTGGGGCAAAAGCAAGAAGGGCTTCTGTGCCCAGCTTTTAGTATCTGAGCCTGCCTTGGCCCATGCTTGATGGGCTCAGAGGGAAACACTTGTACTCTGACATAAATCCGAAATAACAGAATCATCCTGACTGGTTCCAGTCTTCAAAATAAGAAAGACTGAGTTTTCACCATAAACCTGGACTCCTGGCCGGGCGCGGTGGCTCACACCTGTAATCCAGCACTTTGGGAGGCCAAGGCAGGCAGATTGCTTGAGCCCAGGCGTTTGAGACCGGCCTAGGCAACATGGTGAAACCCTGTCTCTACAAAAATACATAAATTAGATGGACATGATTGTGCACGCCTGTAGTCCCAGCTACTTGCGGGGGCTGAGGCAGGAGGATTGCTTGAGCCCAGGAGGTCAAGGCTGCAGTTAGCCGTCTTCCCGCCACTGCACTCCAGCCTGGATGACAGAGCAAGACCTTGTCATAAATAAATAAACAAAGAAACAAACAAATAAATCTGAACTCCCTAACAAAAAATAAGCCTATTCCTAAAGCTAAGTCATGACCTTTGTGATAAGGTAGTGAAATCGTTGTGGTTCCCATGGCAGAACGGATAATGTCAGGCTTTCCTTTACATCCTTGCCGTGTTTTGTATCTGCCCCGCCAGGCCTTCTGAAAAGGAACCCCCTTTACTCCTCATAAGTAAACGTTCCTCTCCTCTATGTGTCTGTCTCTTTCTTTGACCTGGGCTATAAACACTGATTTCTCACCTGTGGGCCCCACTCAAGGCAGGGGTTGGCAGTCTTCATCTGTGCATTCCAGAGCCTGGTGCAGGCTAGCAAGCTTGAGCGCTCGATAAATACTTACCGGATAACTTAGCAAACTAGGAGAGCAGGCAACACCCTGACCCCAGGCGCTTCCTCAAGGCCCAGCTCTCCCCAAACCCTCCTCCAGGAAGCCCAGAGCATCCTTCACCTTCTCCAACCACATCACGCCCATTGGGCTACAGGAGGGCCTTGGGCTGCCTCGCAGGTGGTCATTGACACTCTCCCGTGTGTAGAGGTCTCAGCTTGACCAAAAGCTACAGCATCAAGAACACAGACAGCTCCTCACATGCTTGTGGTCACCCCACCTGGGCACCTCATACCTAGCAGGGGCTCCAGCAACGTGCGCTGATTCCTTAGTCTGGAGGGCAGGCTGTCATGGTGTAGGTGGGGCAAAGTGGCACCAGGGATGCCCTCAGGGCCTGGCTGGGCCCTTCACTGCTACAAGTGGTCTCCAAAGTGGAAGATGTTCACTGCTGTCCTGACCTCTCAACCTCTCAGCTCTCACTCAACAGTAGACATCACAGAGAGTCTTTGCAGAGGTTTTTTTCTTCTTTTTTTTTTAGATGGAGCCTCACTCTATCGCCCAGGCTGGGGTGCAATGGCATGATCTCTGCTCACTGCAACCTCCGCCTCCCGGGTGCAAGTGATTCTCCTGCCTCAGCCTCCCGAGTAGCTGGGATTACGGGCACACACCACCACGCCCAGCTAATTTTTTGTATTTTTAGTAGAGACGGGGTTTCTTTCTTTCTTTTTTTTTTTTTCTTTTGAGACAGAGTCTTGCTCTGTCACCCAGGCTGGAGTGCAGTGGCGTGATCTTGGCTCACTGCAAGCTCTGCCTCCCAGGTTCATGCCATTCTCTTGCCTCAGTCTCCTGAGTAGCTGGGACTACAGGCGCCCGCCACCACACCTGGCTAATTTTTTTGTATGTTTTAGTAGAGACGGGATTTCACCATGTTAGCCAGGATGGTCTCAATCTCCTGACCTGGTGATCCACGCGCCTTGGCCTCCCAAAGTGCTGGGATTACAGGCGTGAGCCACCATGCCCGGCGTAGAGACGGGGTTTCATCATGTTGACCAGGCTGGTCTCGAACTCCTGACCTCAAGTGATCCGCCCACCTCGGCCTCCCAAAGCGCTGGGATTACAGGCGTAAGCCACCTTGCCGGCCCCTTGGCAGAAATTTTTTTTTCTTTTTTTTTCTTTTTTTGAGACGGAGTTTCGCTTTTGTTGCCCAAACGGGAGTGCGATGGCACGATCTCAGCTCACTGCAACCTCTGTCTCCTGGGTTCAAGCGCTTCTCCTGCCTCAGCCTCCTGAGTAGCTGGGATTACAGGTGCGCGCCATCACGACCAGCTAATTTTTTGTATTTTTAGTAGAAATGGATTTCACCATGTTAACCAGGCTGGTCTCAAACTCCTGACCTCAAGTGATCTGCCCGCCTCGGCCTCCCAAAGTGCTGGGATTACAGTAGGCATGAGCCACCGCGCCTGGCCAGAGATTTTTATAAGACCTCCCTGGCTTTCAGTTTCCCTCATCTGTAAAATGGGGATAACGAATCATAAGTCCTGCTTAGTAAAGACTTCCTATTAAGTGGGATAAGGAAAGTAAGGCACTTAGCAGCCACATAGTACGTGCTTAGCAAAAGCTTCCCCTTTGACTCCCCAGCTGGCTCTTGGAGGGGAAAGGAATCCTCACCCCCTTCTCTCCACAGTGGAGGGCAGAGTGGGCAAAGCCAGGCAGAGGTAGGGCAGGGCCAAGCAGGCAGAGCCTAGAGGTCCCTTCCATTCCAGGGCATCAGAGTGCCATGGCAGACCTAGGAACAGACAGGCAGGAGGAGCCAGGACAGGTTGTGATGGGGATCAGGCATTCTCCACTACCCTCCAATCCTCAGCTCCCTGAGGACCACCTGGAGTTGGGCCTAACAGGAAGCCCAGGGACACACCTGGGCTCAAAGTCCACCTGCCCCCTGCCCTGTAGCTTTAAATCCAGCAGGCAGCTCTGTCCTGCTGCAGTCGGTTTCTCCACATGTGAAATGGGGATAAGACCGCCTATATCACAGGGTTCATTCGAGAACAAATGAGACCACACACACCAAGTTGCACTCCAAGAGCTCCCTCAACAGTGGTGGCTGTTGGCCAGGTGCAGTGGCTCACACCTGGAATCCCAGCACTTTGGGAGGCTGAGGCAGGAGGATCGCTTGAAGCCAGGAGTTCAAGACCAGCCTGGGCAACATAATGAGATCCTGTCTCTATTAAAAAAAACTTTTTTTTTTTTTGAATCAGAGTCTCTCTCTGTCGCCAGGCTGGAGTGCAGTAGCGCGTTCTTGGCTCATTGCAATGCAACCTCCTCCTCCCAGGTTCAAGCAATTCTCCTGCCTCAGCCTCCCGAGTAGCTGGGACTGCAGGTGCACACCACCGCGCCCAGCTAATTTTTGTATTTTTAGTAGAGGCAGGATTTCACCATGTTGGCTAGGATGGTCTCAATCTCTTGACCTCGTGATCAGCCTGCCTTGGCCTCCCAAAGTGCTGGGATTACAGGCGTGAGCCACTGCGCCCAGCCTTTTTTTTTTTTTTTTTTTTTTTGAGACAGAGTTTCACTCTGTCACCTAGGCTAGAGTGCAGTGGCACAATCTCAGCTCGTGGTAACCTCCACCTCCGGGTTCCGGCAATTCCCTGCCTCAGCCTCCCGAGTAGCTGGAATTACAGGCACATGCCACCATGCCCGGCTAATTTTTGCATTTTTAGTAGAGATGGAGTTTCACCATGTTGACCAGGCTGGTCTCAAATTCCTGACCTCAGGTGGTCCACCTGCTTCAGCCTCCCAAAGTGCTAGGATTACAGGCATGAGCCACCGCGCCCAGCCTAATTTTTTTTTTCTTTTTTGAGAGAGAGTCTCGCTCTGTGGCCCAGGCTGGAGTGAAGCGGCGCAATCTCCACTCACTGCAACCTCCGCCTCCCAGGTTCAAGCAATTCTACCTCAGCCTCCGGAGTAGCTGGGACTACAGGCATGCATCACCACGCCCGGCTAATTTTTGTATTTTTAGTAGAGGTGGGGTTTCGCCATGTTGGCCAGGATGGTCTCCATCTCCTGATGTTGTGATCCGCCCGCCTCGGCCTCCCAAAGTGCTGGGATTACAGGCGTGAGCCACCGCCCCCAGCCTAATTTTTGTATTTTTAGTACAGATGGAATTTTGCCATGTTGGCCAGGCTAGTCTTGAACTTCTGACCTCAGGTGATGCGCCTGCCTCGGCCTCCCAAAGTGTTGGGATTACAGGCATGCGCTATCACGCCCGGCCCTGCTTCTTGTATAATTGACCTTCATATTGCACAGCTGGCAGGGCTGTGGCACTTGAGATTATGCAGTAAAGCACCCAATGAGGGCTCAACAAATGGTAACAGTTATTGTTAATATGATTATTAAAAACAATAGAGTTGGCCAGGTGCAGTGGCTCATGCCTGTAATCCCAGCACTTTGGGACACCAAAGCAGGTAGATAGCTTGAACCCAGGAGTTCGAGACCAGCCTGGCCAACATAGCAAAATCCCATCTTTACAAACAAAAAAACCCACAAAAATTAGCCAGGCGTGGTGGCGCATGCCTGTAGTCCCAGCTAGTCAGGAGGCTGAGGTGGGAGGAACACTTGAGCCCAGGAGGCAGAGGTTGCAGTGAGCCGTGATTTCGGCACGCCAGCCTGGGTGACAGAGTGAGACCCTGTCTCACAAAATAAAAGTCGGGGTTGGGGGCTGGGGGCAGTGGCTTACGTCTAATCCCAGCACTTGGGAGTCAGAAGCAGATGGATTGCCTGAGTCCAGGAGCTTGAAACCAGGCTCGACAACATAGAAAGACCCCCATCTCTATTTAAAAAAAAAAAAAAAAGAAAAGAAAGAAAGAAGAAGCCAATAGGGTCACTAGGCATGTCACTCACACTTCTTTGGCCTCCAAAGTGAAATGAAAGGAGAAACATTTCCAACCTCAAGGTTGTTAGAAGGAAGGTACTTACTTAGCACAGGGCCCAGCACAAAGAAAGCTCAGTCTATGATGGGCATGATCAGTAAGTGTCACCAGTCCCTGGCTCTCCAAGAATGACCCAGGACAGAACCTCACCTTCCAGGACAGGTGACAGCTACCTTGCAGTTAAAACCAATCAGGGGAATCAGGGGTTCCCACCCCCATCTTCTTTTTTTTGAGACAGAGTCTAGCTCTCGTTGCCCAGGCTGGAGTGCAATGGCGCGACGTCGCTTCACCGCAACCTCCTCCTCCCAGGTTCAAGTGATTCTCCTGCCTCAGCCTCCCGAGTAGCTAGGATGACAGGTATGTGCCACCACGCCTGGCTAATTTTGTATTTTTAGTAGAGACGGGGTTTCACCACGTTGGTCAGGCTGGTCTCAAACCTCTGACCTCAGGTGATCAGCCCACCTTGATCTCCCAAAGTGCTGGGATTACAGGCATCAGCCACTGTGCCCGGCCTCCCACTCCCATCTTCTGCAGAACCAAATTCACAGACCTTGGTCTGACAGACAAAGGCCCCCCCATCTGACTTTTGCTTTACTTTCCAGCCTTGTTTCTGGCTGTCTTACCGGTTCCTCTCCCAGGCTGGTCACATCAACCCACTGTCACTTCTCACACCCTCCCACTAGGTAGGTCAGATCTCCATGTCTTCAGTGCTCCAGCTGCCAGGAATGCCAATGCCTTCCCTGGGGCCCAGCAAACACCTCCTCCTCAAATCTCACTCACTCCTTCTTCCTTTATCAGAATGACCCTCTTGCCTCCAGTTCCCAGACTCTCAAGCGCATCGCTCTCTCCCACACTTTTCTGTGGATTCTCATTGGAAGACAAGAAGGTTGGGCATCTCTATTCCCAGGACCTTGAACCAAGGCTGGCAAAGAGCAGCCCTTGGGACACATTTAGTGAAAGAATGAATGAATGACCAATGAATGTAGCCAATGCAGTGCCCATTGCTTTCCTTGGGAGATATTATACTTCTCTTTTATTATTATTATTATTATTATTATTTTGAGACAGTTTTGCTCCTGTTGCCCAGGCTGGAGTGCAATGGCGCGATCTCGGCTCACCACAACCTCCGCCTCCCGGGTTCAAGCGATTCTCCTGCCTCAGCCTCCTGAGTAGCTGGGACTACAGGCATGCGCCACCACACCCAGCGAATTTTGTATTTTTAATAGAGATGGGGTTTCTCCATGTTGGTCAGGCTGGTCTTAAACTCCTGACCTCAGGTGATCCACCTGCCTCGGCCTCCCAAAGTGCTGGTATTACAGGCATGAGCCTGTATGGGAGGCTGGGATGGGAGACATTATACTTCTATCAATATGAAGTAAGTGCCATGGTTAATTTTATGTGTCAACTTGACTGGCACGGGGTGCCCAGATTAAACATTATTTCTGGCCAGGGGCAGTGGCTCACGCCTGTAATCCTAACACTTTGGGAGACTGAGGAGGGCAGATCACTTGAGGAGTTTGAGACCAGCCTGGCCAACATGGTGAAACCCTGTTTCTTTATTTTTTGAGACGGAGTCATGCTCTGTCGCCCAGGCTGGAGTGCAGTGGCGCGATCTCCGCTCACTGCAAGCTCCGCCTCCCGGGTTCACACTATTCTCCTGCCTCAGCCTCCCGAGTAGCTGGGACTACAGGCACCTGCCACCATGCCCGGCTAATTTTTTGTATTTTTAGTAGAGACAGGGTTTCACCGTGTTAGCCAGGATTGTCTTGATCTCCTAATCTCATGATCTGCCCGCCTCAGCCTCCCAAAGTGCTGTGATTACAGGTGTGAGCTACTGCAACCGGCTGAAACCCTGTTTCTACTAAAAATATAAAAATTAGCCAGGCATGTTACCATGCACCTGTAATTCCAGCTACTCAGGAGACTAAGGCATGAGAATCACTTGAAACCAGGAGGCAGAGGTTGCAGTGAGCTGAGATTGTGCCACTGCACTCTAGCCTGGGTGATGGAGTGAGACTCTGTCTCAAAACAAACAAGCAAACAAACAAAAAACCCCACATTATTTCGGCTGGGTGTGGTGGCTCATGCCTGTAATCCCAGCACTTTGGGAGGCCAAGGCGGGCAGATCACAAGGTCAGGAGTTCAAGACCAGCCTGGCCAAGATGGTGAAACCCCATCTCTACTAAAACTACAAAAATTAGCCAGGTGTGGTGGCAGGCGCCTGTAATCCCAGCTACTCAGGAGGCTGAGGCAGGAGAATCGCTTGAACCCGGGTGACAGAGGTTGCAGTAAGCCGAGATTGCACCACTGCACTCCAGCCTGGGCAACAGAGAGAGACTCTGTCTCAAAAATAAATAAATAAATAAGTCGGTAGACAGCAAAGTAGATTGCTCTGGCCAATGTGGGTGGGTGTCCTTCGATATGTTGAGGGCCTGAAGGGAACAAAAGAAATTGCCCCCTTTCTTCCGGCCTCACCACTTGAGCTGAGACATTTCATCTCATCTCCTGGGATTTACATCATCAGCTCCTCCAGTTCCCAGGCCTTTGGACTTAGACTGAATGGCGCCCCCAGCTTGTCCGTCTCTCTAGCTTATCATGGTGCTTCTTAGTCTCCATAATCAATTCCTCATAATAAATCAACTGGGCTGGGCATGGTGGCTCACACCTATAATCCCAGCACTTTGGGAGGCCGAGGCAGATCACTTGAGGTCAGGAGTTCAAGACCAGACTAGACAACATGGCAAAACCCTGTCTCTACTAAAAATACAAAAATTAGCCGGGTGTGGTGGCACGCGCCTGTAGTCCCAGCTACTTGCGAGGCTGAGGCAGGAGAATCACTTGAACCCAGGAGGCGGAGGTTGCAGTGAGCTAAGATCACACCACTGCACTCCAGCCTGGGCAACACAGCGAGACTCCGTCTCAAAAAAAAAAAAAAAAACACTGATTCCTCATAATAAATCTCCATATATGTGTGTGTGTGTGTGTGTGTGTGTGTGTGTGTATAAATCTCACTATGTTTCCCAGGCTTGTCTCATATTCCTGGCTCAAGTGATCCTCCCACCTCAGCCTCCCAATTAGTTGCGACTATAGCCCCATATATATATATGCACACACACACATATACATGCACACACGTATATATACACATGCACACATATACACACACCAACATACATACACAAACATATATATGTGCTATTGGTTCTGTTGTCTGAAAATCCTAATACACTGGACTGCATTTTTGGCTATTTTCCATTATATATAATCATTGTATTAGTAATTTTATCATGAACTTGAGAGTCGACTGAGTTTCTCAAATCTGTCCCTCATGTGCTGGGTATAGCAGAATTTCCCCATACTTTCTATATGGGCATAGATGTTATTTATTTATTTATTTATTTACTTATTTATTTATTTTTGAGATGGCGTTTCACTCTTGTTGCCCAGGATAGAGGGCAATGGCACGATCTTGGCTCACTGCAACCTCCACCTCCTGGCTTCAAGCGATCCTCCTGCCTCAGCCTCCCAAGTAGCTGGGATTACAGGCATGCACCACCATGCCTGGCTAATTTTGTATTTTTAGTAGAGACAGGGATTCTCCATGTTGGTCAGGCTGGTCTCGAACCCCCGACCTCAGGTGATCTGCCTGCCTCAGTCTCCCAAAGTGCTGGGATTATAGGCGTGATCCACCATGCCCAGCCTAAATAAAATAAATAAAATTTATTTTATTTTATTTATTTATTTTGAGATGGAATCTCACTCTGTCCCCTAGTGGAGTGCAGTGGCACGATCTTGGCTCCCTGCAACCTCCACCTCCTGGGTTCAAGCGATTCTCCTGCCTCAGCCTCCTGAGTAACTGGGATTACAGGTGTGTGCCACCATGCCCGGCCAATTGTTTGTATTTTTAGTAGAGATAGGATTTCACCATGCTGGCGAGGCTGGTCTCGAACTCCTGACCTTGTGATCCACCTGCCTCGGCCTCCCAAAGTGCTGGGAGTACAGGTGTGAGCCACTGCGCCCAGACTCGGGCATAGATGTTTTAAGATTTCCTACCTAGTTGTTATTATTATTATTATTTTGAGACATGGTCTTGCTCTGTGAGTCACCCAGGCTGGAGAGCAGAGCGATCAAAGCTCACTACATGTCATTCACAGCTTCTCAAAGAATGAAAAAAAACAAAACCAAAAGAAAACAAAACAAAAAAGCTCACTACATCCTTGACCTCCTGGGCTCCAGCAATCCTCCCACATCAGGCTCCGAGTAGCTGGGACCGTAGGTGCCATCCGTGCTGGGCTAATTTTTTTTGTTGTTGTTTAATCTTTTGTAGAGACAAGGTCTCACTATATTGCTTAGGCTGGTATTTTTTTTTCTGTCCTGCAGTGGCCTCTGTCCTGTGCCTCTGTCCTGCAGTGGCACAATCTCTGCTCACCGCAACCTCCGCCTCCTGGGTTCAAGTAATTCTTCTGCCTCAGCCTCCCGAGTAGCTGGGACTACAGGTGCGTGCCACCATGCTGGCTAATTTTTGTATTTTTAGTAAAGATGGGGTTTTACCATGTTGGGCAGGCTAGTCTCAAAATCCTGACCTCAGGTAATCTGCCCACCTCAGCCTCCCAAAGTGCTTGATTACAGGTGTGAGCCACTGTACCCGCTGACTGTCCTCTTTTAAGCCCAGTGACAGACTTTCTGGGATGAGGTTGTGTACATGTTTTACATTTTTTTTGGTATGACTTTAATGACATTTATTTTTGAGCAACTGTTTTAAAATTGACACTTTTTTTTCTTTTTTCTTTTTGAGACAAGGTCTCACTATGTTTCCCAGGCTGGTCTCAAATTCTTGGGCTCAAGTGATCCTCCCGCCTCAGCCTCCCAAGTAGCTGGGACTATAGGGCCGTGCCACCATACCTGGATTAACACAATTTTTGAGAGCAGTTTTAGTTTCACAGCTGATACATTATTTTTAAGACTTATTTTAATAACTTGTCACTCAGTGTGGCACCTGCCTTTTTGATAGGTCTATCTCTGTCTCCACTGGTTTTGTAGATTCTGACATAGAAATGTTGGCCATGGCAGATGGCAGATAGAGAGCTTCCTCCAGATGGACAGGACCACGTCTGCTACTCCCTGGGGATAACTGCTCCACCAAGCCCGCTCACATCACCGAAGCCTGCATTTGCCCTCTGGTCTTGCTGAAATGAAACCCGGACACTCAGAGCTTTCCTGCCACCTCCCTGACCAAGCCTACCCAAGAAGAGGCAAGGTTAGTCTGGGGAGACTTGTTCCTAGCTGTGGCAGCCCCCTGTGGTGATGTACCCAATGCCTTATCCATCTTTTTCTTTCCTACTGTCAGAACCCTGAGTTTTATGCCAGGTGCAGTGGCTCACACCTGTAATCCCAGAACCTTAGGAGGCCAAGGTGGAAGGATTGCTAGAGACCATGAGTTCAAGGCCAGCCTGGCCAACATAGCCAGACTCCATCTTTACAAATCATTTACAAAAAAAAAAAAAAACTAGCCAGGCATTGTGGTGTGTACCTGTAGTCTGTAATCCCAATTACGCATGAGGCTGACGCAGGAGGATCACCTGAACCCAGGAGTTCGAGGCTGCAGTGAGCTGTGATCATGCCACTGCACTCCAGCCTGGGCAACAGAGCAAGACCCTGTCTCTTAAAAATAAAACAAACAAACAAAAAACCCTGATTCTTATCAAGGGGGCACTGTGTGCAGCTAAAATAGTCTCCATTTCCCAGCTGTCTTTGCAGCAAAGGATGGGCATGCGACATAGCTCAGGCCAAGGTCCAGATAAGTCCCCAGGGTAGATGTCCCTTCTGAAAATCAAAAAGGCATAACCTTTCCGGGATATAGCCCATTGCCCTTTCCTCCCTTCTGCCTACCTGGAATCCCTGTGCTTTCTCATTTCATCCTCACATTAGGTACATGGAGAAGGGATCATCCTCATTTTACATGTGAGGAAACTGACGTTCAGAGAAGCGAACTGACTTTCTCAAGGTTGCAAGGCTCAGCTAGCTCTTCCATGAAAACTGAAGTGGCCAACTCACTGCATTGAAATGAACTGGCCTGGCCGGGCACGGTGGCTCACACCTGCAATCCCAGCACTTTGGCAGGCCGAGGCAGGCAGATAACCTGAGGTTGGGAGTTTGGGACCAGTCTGATCAACATGAAGAAAACCTGTCTCTACTAACGATACAAAATTAGCTGGGCAAGGTGGTGCATGCCTGTAATCCCAGCTACTCAGGAGGCTGAAGCAGGAGGATCTCTTGAACCCGGGAGGTGGAGGTTGCGGTGAGCCAAGATTGCACCACTGCACTCCAGCCTGGGCAACAAGAGCGAAACTCTGTCTCAAAAAGAAAAAGAAAAAGAAAGAAAGGAAAGAAGGAAGGAAGGAAGGAAGGAAGGAGAGAGAGAGAAAAAGAAAAGAAAAGAAAGAAAGAAATTAACTGGCCTTAAGTTTCCCATTTTGGCCAGGCTGCCAGGAAGCTGACGGCCTACTGTGAAGCTCCAATCTAGCACTGCCCCTTAGCATGGGGACTTAGCTGTCTTTCTCTTGTCCTCAGCACCCGTCATGTGGCTTGAGCGAGCAGTCCTTTTCTGTGGGGTGCCTCCGGCCCTCTTTTGGAAAGCTGGGGTGGGGAAATGGCGTTAATGTGTCAGTTATCTATCTTCATTGGCTTCTCCAGACCTTTTCTCCACTCTGCACTGGGCGGTGGGAGATGACACGAATGGACGTGAATGGGCTCTTGTTTCTGCTTGGGCTGGGCCAGTAGGGAGCTCTGGTAGGAGGGAGCACGGTCACAGTCTCCCCTTGTCAGGAAGCCTCATCCACAGGGTCTTGTCCCAGGGAGCACCCCCTCTCCTCCCAGTATCAGGCCAGAGGTGAATATCACTATAAATAGCCCGGCACCCTGTCCTATCCCTTGCGCTTTCCTATACATGCCCACAGCTTTGTAAACTGTCCCCTTACCACAATCTCCTCAAATCACCCAATTCGAGTGTTTCCTGCCAGGGTCCTGAACACAGAGCACATATAAAGGGCATTGTTGGCTGGGGACGGTGGCTCACGCCTGTAATCCCAGTACTTTGAGAGGCTGAGGTGGGCAGAGAACCTGAGGTCAGGAGTTCGAGACCAGCCTGGCCAACATGGGTAAACCCCATCTCTACTAAAAACACAAAAATTAGCCGGCCAGGCACAATGGCTCACACCTATAATAGCACTTCGGGAGGCCGAGGTGGGTGGGTCACGAGGTCAGGAGATCGAGACCATCCTGGCTAACACGGTGAAACCCTGTAGTCCCAGCTACTCGGGAGGCTGAGGCAGGAGAATGGCGTGAACCTGGGAGGCGGAGGTTGCAGTGAGCCGAGATCGTGCCACTGCACTCCAGAGTGGGCGACAGAGCAAGACTCTGTCTAAAAAATAAATAAATAAATAAATAAATAATTAGTCAGGTGTGGTGATGCACGCCTGTAGTCCCAACTATTGGGGAGCCTGAGGCAGGAGAATCACTTGAACCCAAGAGGTGGAGGTTGTAGTGGGCCGCGATCGTGCCATTGTACTCCAGCCTGGGAGATAAGAGTGAAACTACTCTCAAAAAAAAAAAAAAAAAAAAAAAAAAAAACGCTGCGGGGTGGGCGTTGTTAAAAGATTTTTAGGTCTTCCAGAGCTCTGAAAACTCTGTCCCCTCCCTGCTGCCCCGGCTCTAGTCGGCAGAGCTCAGCTCTGTGTCTCATCACCTAGTGTCTGGACCTTACAGCCAGCCCTTAATTGGAAGCACCTCCCTGTCTCCAGCCCCAGCCCCACATCCCACCAATCCTCTGTGAATGAAGCCATGGCCTCCCTCCACTGCCCTGAGCTCCAGGTGGAGTAGAAAGAAGGCACTGGGCCCTGGGCAGGCACATAGGCACCACAGGTTCTCAGGTTTGCCGGGTGCATTGTAACCAGCACCTCCTCAGAAAGGAGAATTTGGGGTTGTGGGTGGGGGAACTGTCACATGAGCTAAAGGACAGACCAACGTGATGGGTGAAATGACAGTTGTGCACGGGGCATTGTGGAGCACAGCAGGAGGGGCACCCGCTCATCCCTGCTGGGGGCGGAGGTCGTGGAGCAGGTGTTTCTGGAGTCAGGTCTGAGCCGATCCCGGCAGGTGAACAGTGGAGGCACCCAGACAGTGGGAACAGCATGGACAAAGAACAGGAGGAGGCTGCTGGCTGTCACAGGCACGGCTAAGGGCAGAGTAGGTGGTGGGGGGAAGGAAGAGGGGAGGTGGGCAGGAGCTGGGGTGGGCCCACAGCTGACCAACAAGGGGCCTGGACCCAAAGCCATAAGCCTCGGGGAGCATTACGCACGGGGACATCTGCCATATTCACTTTAAGGCTGGACGGGAGGAGAGCCAGCCAGGAGCTTGCCTGTTTGAGAGAGAAACAAGGCCTGGCCTCCCGAAGTGAGGGACTCATCCCCATTCACCTCCTCCCCCGTCCTCGCCCTACAAGCGCATATTGGGTTAAATCCACTCCGGCTCCCCCAACACTCCTGGCTCCCCAGCTTGCCTCTTCTAGTCCTTCCCACATGCAAGGCAGCCCTGAGGACCCGCAGGACCCAGCAAAGAGGGCGCCAGGCCGCTAGGGAAGCCCCTCAACTTTCCCACCCCACTCCCCTAAACAGCCTCCAACGCATCTGTGTTATTTTTATTTTCTTTGCTTTGGTCTATACAAAAAAACCAATAACCAAAAACATAAAGCGATAATAATAAAACACTCTGCTTGGACCTCCCCCAGCCCCCCACACCATGTGCGGGAAATGGGGGGGTCTGAAACAGGAAGGGGAAGAGAAAGCCCCTCACCACACACCAGAGGGGTCAGCCAAGAGCACTTCTCGGGGTCAGCTAGGGCAGCTGTGTGGGTGGGACAGGGGTGTGAGGAAGCTGTCCCCAGAGCTCCCTGGGGAGTGAGGGGTGGGCAAAGCCAACTAAGCACCCTGGAGAGAGAAGCTGGCATCTTCTGGAGCAGGTGACTCACTCCATATCTCCTCCCCATCTCCCCTGGACGGTCCCTGAACTTTTCAAGAGAAGTTTTGGATTTTGGGGGTTTGGGTCTCGAACCTGGGCCCTGGAGGCCCTGGGGGCTTAGGGCAGTTGGTCGGTGGAGTTCAGTGAGAAAATCAGACCCAGAGAAGGAACCAAAGCCCTTCCGGGCCCAGGCAGCTGGAGACAGGGAGGCTGGAGGTTTGGAGGGGCGTTGCTGGGGGAAAACAGAATGGGTACTTGAGTCTGAAGCTTTAGTGGCCAGGGCCACAGGGGCGGGGAGGGGGTGTCAGGCCCTGGACCCATGCCCAGGACAGAAAAGCAGGAGCAGAACACTATCCCAAGAAAGACCCTACGGAGGACCTCTGGAGGCGCAGGGTGCAGCAGGAAGTTACACCCCGGCTTCCCCAGCTCAGGCACTTTTCTGTCTTGCCCCATCGCCTGCACGGAGAGCCTCTCAGATGAGGAACCGCACCTGTTAGGGGAGCGGGGACAGACAGGGGTCAGGGGCTCGGTGGACCTGCATCCCCAGAAGCTCAAGCCACTCCGTGTCACCTGCCCACCACCCCCAGAAGGGGCCAGCAGGAATAGGCCTCCCCATCCCCACCAAAGACACAAGAAGAAGGCAGGCCAGGGCACACCGTGCTTGGGGAAGCTCAGCAGCAAAGGATCCCCCCAAAAAAGGAGCGCAGGTTTCAGCGGGGAGATGGGAGGGCCTCCAACAGAAGGAGGTTCTAGAGAGGAGGAAAAGCCTGCAAAGAGGGGGCCGTACTGGGGCCAGGCCGCCTAGGCCAGCATGTGGTCTGCAGTGGGGTACGGGGGCCTGAGGCCGTCGCTGTAGGTGTCGATGGGGTAGTCTCCATCCATGTCCATGTGCATCTCCAGCGGGTCAAGGGGCACATCGCTGGAGTACATGGGGCGGTAGGTGGCATCCATGTCTGGGGACAAAAAGTGGGGCTCGGTCCTAGGGTCTGCAAGCTACCCTGCAGGGAGCAGTCTGCACAGCCTTCAGCTGCCTCCTCTACCCATGCCCACCCCTGGTGGGCCTGACCCCTCCCCAGACCCCACACCAGGGCATCTAGACTGGGGTACATGTGGATGCCACACAGCAGTTGCCACTGGTCCTCTGGCCCCGGAGACATAATATTGTCCCCTCACACACACCCACACAGCCGCCCAGGATCTCCAGGGTCCTGAAGAGCCCGGCACACACTTACCATCTCCATAGGGCTCATTGATGGGAATCATGCTCTGGGCCTGAAAAAGGAGAGAGAAACATGGAGGGGAGGTTTGAAAATGCAGGCTCCGAGCTGGATCTCAGCTGGTGGGCAGGGAGAGATGCTTCTAAAAGAGGGGGCCAGGCTGGGTGCCATGGCTCACGCCTGTAATCCCAGCACTCTGGGAGACAGCAGGCGGATCACTTGAGGTCAGGAGTTCCAGACCAGCCTGGCCAACATGGTGAAACCCTGTCTCTACTAAAAATACAAAAAAAATTAGCTGGGCGTGGTGGTGCAGGCCTGTAATCCCAGCTACTCGGGAGGCTGAGGCAGGAGAATTGCTTGAATGGGGAGGCAGAGGATGCAGTGAGCCGAGATTACACCATTGCACTCCAGCCTGGGCGACAGGAGTGAGACTCTGTCTCGAAAAAAATAAAAAATAGGCTGGGCGCAGTGGCTCACGCCTGTAATCCCAGCACTTTGGGAGGCCAAGGCGGGCGGATCACAAGGTCAGGAGACAATCGAGATCATCCTGGCCAACATGGCGAAACCGCGTCTCTACTAAAAATAGAAAAATTAGCCGGGTGTGGTAGCGTGCACCTGTAGTCCCAGTTACTCAGAAGGCTGAGGCAGGAGAATTGCTTGAAACCGGGAGGCGGAGGTTGCAGTGAGCCAAGATCACACCACTGCACTCCAGCCTGGCGACAGAGCAAGACTCCATCTCAAAAAATATAAAAATAAATAAATAAATAAAAGAGGGGGCTGGAGAAAAGCAAAGAGGCCTTGGAGGAATAGAGGATGATGAAATGGGGTCACCCAGTGCCCTGATATACTCATGTCCTCGGTACTCCCCAGGGAGGAGGGTTCCCCACTCATGAAGCAGGGACTCCTGCCGGACTAGAGCAGCTCAGGGGAGGAGGCAGAGGACTCAAGAATGGGTACAGGGCACTGCCCCACCCTGGAAAAGACCGCCCATAGCCTATCCAGCACCTCCACGCAAATTACAAAAAGGCACCCCCACCTCAAACACTGTATACTCATTTGGGCAAAATAAAAATTGGCATTTTGTGGATATATGATTCAACCCACTACTTCCATCTGCTAGGAATTGTTATAAATGATCCAATTACAAAATAAAAATCTATGAAGTTGACAGTAGTAGGAGACCCCCAAAAGTGTTGCCCATGGGCAGTGCCCAACTTGCACAACCAACTACTGTGGTCCAACCTAGGATACTCACAGCCTCCCAGGCAGCCGGGTCATGCTTGAAGAGGGAGTTGGTGAGCTCCACGGACACGCGCTTCCGGTAGTCTGGGTTCTTGTCCTCGGAGATGCGGAACAGGACGGCAGCAGCGTAGGTGGCTGAGCAGAGAGGAAAGGAAAAGCCAGGTTAAACGTCGGCCAGCCTCCATCGTGGCTGGGGGAGTGGGACCCAGCCTCCTGCCCTCCCCCAGCTCACCAGTGCCCTCGTTGCGGGAGTGCAGCAACTCCATGAGTGGGGCCGAGGCCCCCTCTGCATCAATGGCGTCGGCCGCCTCCTTGTCCTGGGCCAGCTCACACAGCACCCCGGCAGCCACGCGCTGGATGTTCTCCACCGACGAGTACAGGAGCTGGGGAGAGGGGACGTGGGAAGCAGGGGAGAGGTGGAAAGGGGTGAGGCAGGCCGGACAACACACCCCACAGCACTGCCCACCTCCACCCTGTAGCAATTCCATAGTGGAAAATGGGCCGTCACTGGGGAGTAAGTGTTACTGCTTTAAACTGGGCTGAGCATTGTTCATGAGCTACCTTGAAATTACCTGTGACTCTGCCTCATCTAACCATTGGAATCTAGTGTTAATGAGCTCACTGATGTGAAAGATGTTAGACTCTTCTTGTCTGTTATGGTACTTGCACATATTCTCCCAGTTTGCTGATTTTTTAAAAATGCTTTTTTAGGTTCTTTCTGAAATACAGATGGTTTTCATGTTTATATGGTTGAATCTCAAGTTTTTTTGTTTTTTGTTTTTTTTTTCCATTTGTGATCTCTTTCCTTGCTTTGAAGCTTAGAAAGCCATGCCCATGCAGGGGGTTGCTAAGTAGTCAATCTGGAGTGGCAACTTTCCTCCAAACTCCTCCAAAGACCTCTTGATACCTGGTCCAGGCCTCCCAAATCTGGGACTCCTAACCTTGCCCTTTAAGCAGTGGTGGGGGGACCTCTCCTGCCCACCTGCCCCAGACTCACCTGCACAAACAGGGGAATGGTGTTGAGCCGGAAGATCTCCATGCGGTTCATGGGGTCCCGGGCGAGGATGTGCAGTGCTCCGGTGCAGCCCTCCACAATCTCCTCCATCCTCACACCATCCTGTGTGAGAGGAGGCAGGGGGCATGGGACAGGTGCCTTGGACATGGCCACAACTCCTCCCCATGACAGCCGAATGAACTTCACAGGTTCTTGGAATTGGCATCAGTTGCAACTGACCTCCCCATTCACACACACACCCACAGAGGACACCCTGACCCCCCAGGAAGGCTGTCAGAGGCACCACCAGCTCACATACCGTGTAGGGCTGCTGTGTGCCTGCAGCTACGTGGCGCTGGGCATCCTGGTGGGCCTTCACCAGCAGTTGGACGAGGCGGGGGATGACCGCTGCCTCCTGCAGCGGGGCATGGTTGGCTGGGCACAGGGCCAGATTCCTGATCAAGCCGATGGTTGCCTGGCAAAAAAAGGGGCAGTGATCAGGGGCACTTCTTGGACATCTGAAGGATCCCAGCTTCCCAGCTTCAAGTATCCCTTCCCTCCTTCACCTCTTCTGTCCCCGAGGCCAGACACAGACATACTGGAAAATATCCAGAGAAGGAGACCATCCCAGCCATGTCACTTAATCCACAGGATCTGGGAGTGCTCATGGCTAATTCTTTTTTTTTTTTTTTTTTGAGACAGAGTTTCGCTCTTGTCACCCAGGCTGGAGTGCAGTGGTGCAATCTCACCTCACTGCAACCTCCACCTCCTGGGTTCAAGCGATTCTCCTGCCTCAGCCTCCTGAGTAGCTGCGATTACAGGTGCCTGCCACCATGCCCAGCTAATTTTTTGTATTTTTAGTAGAGACGGGGTTTCGCCATGTTGGGCAGGCTGGCCTCGAACCCCTGACCTCAGGTGATCCGCCTGCTTCTGCCTTCTAAAGTGCTGGGATTACAGGTGTGGGCTACCACGTCCGGCTGCTCATGGCTAATTCTAATAGCCCTTGCTAAAATGACACCCCATTCCAGAACATCCTGCCAGCCCCATGCCTGGCCCCTCACCCTGTCCCCTCTTTCTTAACCACCCCCCACAGACACCATGACCTTGCTTGCTTTTCTGATAGTCCTCCAAGCCTGATTCTCAGGAATTCTGTGCTCTAGGTGCCCCCGAAGCCTCCTGCTTGGGTGGTGCTCACATTGTCATTAATCCCCAGCAGGGCAGCTCTGGAAAGAGGTGTCCTGAGATCTCCTCCCCAGGGTCTTTGACTCAGAGGAGCCACTCTGGCCTCCCAGAGCCTCTCAAGGTGTCATCTATTTCATCCTCAAAACAAGACGCCAGGAGGACAGGGATGAAAATCATGTGAGATGGGGACGTGAGCACAGGGCAAATGACTTGCCAAAGTCACTTGCCACTTAGCTGCTGGGTTAGGATGCAAAGTCCCACCTCAGGTTTGCAGCAGGGACCAAGCATCAAGGAGGGGTCACAATGACATTTTTTTTTCTAAACATGAATTTTCTTTTTTTAATTCAATGTATAGGCCGGGCGCAGTGGCTCACGCCTGTAATCCTAGCACTTTGGGAGGCCAAGGCAGGCAGATCACTTTAGGTCAGGAGTTCGAGACCAGCCTGGCCAACATGGTGAAACCACGTCTCTACTAAAAATACAGAAATTAGCCGGGAATTGCTTGAACCTGGGAGGCGGAGGTTGCAGTGAGCTGAGATCATGCCACTGCACTCCAGCCTGGGCAACAGAGCAAGAATCTGTCTCAAAAATAATAATAATAATAAAAAATAATAATTCAATGTGTAGAATCACTTAGAGTCATTCTTATCTGCACTGGGTTTTTTTTGTTTGTTTGTTTTTTTGTTTGTTTTTTTTGAGACGGAGTCTCGCTCTGTCGCCCAGGCTGGAGTGCAGTGGCGCGATCTCAGCTCACTGCAAGCTCCGCCTCCCGGGTTCACACCATTCTCCTGCCTCAGCCTCCTGAGTAGCTGGGACCACAGGCGCCCGCCACCACGCCTGGCTAATTTCTTTGTATTTTTTTAGTAGAGATGGGGTTTCACCGTGTTAGCCAGGATGGTCTCGATCTCCTGACCTCGTGATCCACACGCCTCGGCCTCCCAAAGTGCTAGGATTACAGGCGTGAGCCACCACGCCTGGCCATGTTTTTTGTTTTTGTTTTCCAAGACGGAGTCTCTCTCTGTCACCCAGGCTGGAGTGCAATGAGCGATCTCAGCTCACTGCAACCTCTGCCTTCCGGGTTCAAGTAATTCTTCTGCCTCAGCCTTCCGAGTAGCTGAGATTACAGGCACATGCCACCATGGCCAGCTAATTTTTGTATTTTTTGTGGAGGCGGGGACTTACTATGTTGGCCAGGCTGGTCTCGAACTCCTAACTTCAGGTAATCCTCCCGCCCCGTCCTCCCAAAGTGCTGGGATTACAGGCGTGAGCCACTGCGCCTGGCCTGTCTGTACTATTAAATTGTCTTAAATGTAGCTGGCGGATGCCCCTGCCAGCTGGCTCCTGTGCCCGTTGACAAGACCCTCATCGATGGTAGCTTCCTCACTCTCTGGCACCAGATGCCACCTTGCCTTTGGCTGCCTTCCTTGTCTCTACATATAGATATACACACACACAAACGCTTTCCCCCATAACTCTGTCCCTTGGGTCTGCCCACACCCTGACCCACTCTCACTTCCCCCACCTGACAGGGAAGTGACACACAGCTAGCTCTCTTCCACCCAGGTAGCCTCAAGAAGAAGACCCCACTCCTTCACACACCCAACTCCCTATGGGAGATGCTAAGCGTCCCCAGAATCCTCTGTGCCCTGTGTCTCTGTAGTGGCTCTCCTGATTTTCAGCAGGACACACGGCCATCTGGCTGGTGATCACACTTCCTAACCTCCTTGCACCTTGATGTGGCTGAATGACCAAGTTCTGGGGTGTGAGCAGGAGTGATGTGTGCCACTTTCTGGTGGCCGCTAGCCATCCCCAGTTCTCAGGGCTAGAACACATCCGTGGGGATGATACAGTCCACTCATTCGTGTGAGGACAACCCTCTCGTCTACACCCAGTGGCATAAGAAATGTGCTCCATGGAGCAGCACCTGCGAGCTTGTTAAAAATACAGAATTGGGCCAGGTGCAGTGGCTCACACCTGTAATCCTAGCACTTTGGAAGGCCAAAGTGGGTGGATCACCAGAAGTCAGGAGTTCAAGACCAGCCTAACCAACATAGAGAAATCCCGTCTCTACTAAAAAATGCAGGAGAATCGCTTGAACCCGGGAGGCGGAGGTTGCAGTAAGCCGAGATCGCACCATTGCACTCCAGCCTGGGCAATAAGAGCAAAACTCCGTCTCAAAAAAAAAAAAAAAAAGAAGAAATACAGAATTGTCCGGGCCTGGTGTCTCACACCTGTAATCCCCGTACTTTGGGAGGCTGAGGCTGGTGGATCACTTGAGTTCAGGAGTTCAAGATCAGTCTGAGCAACATGGCAAAATCCCATCTCTACTAAAAATACAAAAATTATCCAGACATGGTGGCGTGCACCTGTAATCCCAACTACTCAGGAGGCCAAGGCAGGAGAATCACTTGAACCCGGGAAGCAGAGGTTGCAGTGAGCCAAGAATGTACCACTGCACTCCAGCCTGGGCAATAGACATTGTCTCAAAACAACAAAAAAAAGACATACAGAATGGCAAGCCCTCTGCAGCAGGCCTGCAGAGAGACAGAGAGAGAGAGAGAGAGAGAGAGAGAGAGAGAGAGAGAGAGAGAGAGAGAGAGTGTGTGTGTGTGTGTGTGTGTGTGTGTGTTTTAGATTGTTTATTTGTTTGGGCTTTTTTTTTTTTCCAAATTTTTTGTAAGAGATGGGTGTCTCACTATGTTACCCACGATGGTCTCAAACTCCTGGCCTCAAGTGATCCTTCCGCTTCCGCCTCTGCCTGCACCTCCCAAAGTGCTGGAACTACAGATGTGAGCCACTGCACCCAGCCTCCTGTTTTTCTTTTCTTTTAAGACACGGGTTCTTGCTCTGTCACCCAGGCTGGAGTGCACTGATGCAATCATAGCTCACTGTAACCTCCAACTCCTGTGCTCAAGCGATCCTCCGACCTGAGCCTCCCCTCCCCAGTAGCTGGGACCACAGGCGTGCACCACCACACCTGGCTAATTTCTGTTGTTGTTATTGTTGTCGAGACAGGTCTTGCTATGTTGTCCAGGCTGGTCTCAAATTCCTGGCCTCAAGCAATCCTCCTACCTTTGCCTCCCAAAGTGTTGGGATTACAGGCATGAGCCACCGTGCCTGGCCCTGGAACCTGCAATTTAATGAAACCACCCAGGGTACTCATGTGCATTTTGAACTCTGAGCTCTGCCCTAGGGGCTGGTAGAGCTACAAGATAGAAATCCCAATTCTGGAATTTTAGAGCAGAGCCATTGTTGAGGTCTAAACTATTACACGAGAGAGAAATAAACTTCTGTCTTATTCGAGCCACTGTATTTAGGGCTTCTTTGCTACAGCGGCTTTGCCTATACCAATACAGCACCTAAGCCTGCTGCAGGGAGCTCCTTCCCCTCGCCTAACAGCAGTACCTTGACCAGTGGCCACTGGTTGGGCTGGTTGAGCAGCTTCACGATGGCTGGGATGCCATAGTTGAGACGCACAGAGTTCTGGGCCATCTCGGCCTCAGGGTGGCGGCTAGTGAGGTGGCGCAGAGCGCAGACGGCAGGCTCCGTGATGTCGTCCTTGTCACCAGCACGCAGGATGGCATGGATGAGAGCCTCCACACCGCTGTTCTGTGTCACCAGCGTCTTGTTCTTGCTGTTGTTGCATGTCAGGTTGGAGAGTGTGCCCGTGGCACAGGTGAGGACGTTGACGTCATCCACACTCAGCTGATTCACCAGAATCTTCAGCACACTCTCCAGGCCCTCCTGGAGGGCAAGGAAGGGACGGGGGAGTCAGGGAGCAGCCAACTCCAGGGAGCCTTCTCGAATATGTCCAAGGGGAGTGGGATGACCTAAAGGGGTCAGCCCTGCCTGTGTGTGCCCGGGAACTTTCATCCCTATGACCCGCCACACCCTGTGAGAGGGCGTTACTATCCTGTGGTGCAAGTGAGGCAATGAGGCTCAGAGAGGTTGGGGAACTTGCCCACAGACACACAGCTAGTGGCTGGATCTGAACCCAGGCTTGGCTCTAAGCCCCACATCTCTTCCCTCCAACTCATCAGCCTTTCCCTGGGGCCCTCAGACCCAGGCAGAACCCTCCTCAGGCCAAAGTACGGTGGCCAAGGGAGGCCTCGAGACCAGGAGGCAATTGTTGAGGGGGCCGCATGATTCAGTGGCCCAGCTGAGCCATGTCTACTCGCTTGTCACCTTTCTGGGCCTTCACTGCTGCCCCACCACCCTGGGGCCCTGAGCCAAATCCATTTCCAGTAAAATCACTACCTCAGACGTCTATCTCACTTCTCCCAGGGAGACACGTGGGCCTTGTGGTGGAACAGAAAAACCCCAGCTTTGGGGACGGACAGTCCTGGGTTCAAATCCCAGTTCTGCCATTTACTACCTGTGACCATGGCCATTAGCTCCCCGAGCCTCAGTGTCTTCATCTAACCCACAGGGTCCCACACTCTAACCCCAGGTTGAATGAGCTACTGTCCACAAATGCCACGCAGAGGGCCAGCACAGGGTGAGCACTTGATAAACAGCATATTGCTAGGGGAGGCCTGGGGAATGGTTGTTGGAAGGAGGCACAGGGCACTTGCCCTGGAGCTGCATTTTTCCTTAAATTGTATTTTTAGTCATGGGGGCCTGTCTCTTGGTACACTATTGCTCCAGCCCAGGGCCCAGGTCAAAACTGTTCTTTTGCTGGATGTGGTGGCTCACGCCTGTAATCCCAGCACTTTGGGAGGCCAAGGCGGGTGGATCACCTGAGGTCAGGAGTTCAAGACCAGCCTGCCCAACATGGTGAAACCCTGTCTCTAATAAAAATACAAAAATTAGCCAGACATGATGGCAGGTGCCTGTAGTCCCAACTACTCGGGAGGCTGAGGCAGGAGAATCACTTGAGCCCAGGAGGCGGAGCTTGCAGTGAGCCGAGATTGCACCACTGCACTCCAGCCTAGGTGACAGAGTGAGACTCCGTCAGAAAAAAAAAAAAAAAAAAAAAAAGAGATGAGGGTTTTCAAGGCATTTCCAGCCTCAGTCACAAGGAAGAGAGATTTAGAGCCCCCAGTCCTCCCACAGTACCTCAGGTCAGATGCCCAGACAGGAGGCTGGATGGGGCAGCTGAAGAGGTCAACCCCAGGCCCAGATACCTCCCTCACCTGCTTGGTGGCCACATCTGAGAGGTTGCGCAGGGTCCACAGGCAGTTCTGCACCAGGCGGGGGCTGTTGCTGGTCAGGTGCTTGCCCAGGGCCTGCATCCCACCTGGGGCAGGGATAGGGGTGCCATCAGCCACGGGGAGCATGGCTGACTGAGCCTGGCAGCTGGGCAGAGCTCCCACCCCAGCCGCCCTCAAGGCCATCATACTCACCAGCCTCCACAATGGCAGGCTTATTGCTGGGACACACGGATAGCACCTTGAGCACACGACTGGTGGTCCAGAGCAGCTTTTCATAACTGTAGTTACGCATGATCTGCACGAGGGCCTGGGGCCCACCATTGGCCAGGATGATCAGCTATGGGTAAAGAGGGAATGAGTGTGAGATGGACGGGGAATATGACAGGAACAAGGAAGCGCGGGACAGGAGACAGAACTGTCATTACTGAGCTTCAGCTAAAGCACGAATAGTTCGTTTTTTTCTTTTAATGTATTTTTTTCTTTTTATAAAGATGGGGGTCTCACTATGCTGCCCAGGCTGGTCTAGAACTCCTGGCCTCAAGTGATCCTCACACCTCAGCCTCCCAAAGTGCTGGGATTACAGATGTGAGCCACCACACCCAGCCAAGCACCCCAATAAGTTTTTTTGTTTTTTTTTTTGAGATAGAGTCTCGCTCTGTCACCCAGGCTGGAGTGCAGTGGCACGATCTCAGGTCACTACAACCTCCGCCTCCCGGGTTCAAGCAATTCTCATGCCTCAGCCTCCCAAGTAGCTGGGATTACAGGCGTGTGCCATCACGCCCGGCTAATTTCTGTAGTTTTTGGTAGAGACAGGGTTTCACTATGTTGGCCAGGCTGGTTTCAAACTCCTGACCTCAGGCAATTCACCCGCCTCTGCCTCCCAAAGTGCTGGGATTACAGGCGTGAACCACCACACCCAGCCCACCCCAATAGTTTCATGACTGTTATGTAAGCCAAAATTTTGAAAAAAGGATAATACCCAGTGCTGACAAGGACATGACAAAACTATATGCACACCCATTACCAGTTATGGCACTGGAAATTAGTCCAGTCCTTCTGGAAATCAATCTGGCCATTTGGGGAAAAGCCTAGAAGTGTTAAAAATTGATGAGAATTTTTTCCGCTCTTTGACAAAGGCTAGACATTCATTACAGCATTGTTTATAAAGGTGGAATAGGAGCAATCTAAATACCCTCCCTCAGAATAAAGCCTGAGGTCTCCACTTAATGAAATGCTATCTGTAGGCTGGGTATGGTGGCCCATGACTTTAATCCCAGCATTTCGGAGGCTGAAGCAGGAGGATTCCTTGAGGGTAGCCTGGGCAACAGAGCAAGACACCATCCCCACAAAAAATTTAAAACTTAGCCCGGGTGCTAATTAGCTCAGTAGTATGTTCTCATAGTCCTAGCTATCAGGAAGACTAAGATGGGAGGAATGCTTGAGCTCAGGAGTTTGAGGATGCAGTGAGCTAGGATCATGCCACTGCACTCTAGCCTGGGTAACACAGTGAGACCCTGTCTCAAAAAAGAAAGAAAAGGAAAGAATGGGAAGGAAGGAAGAAAGAGAGGAAGAGAGGGAAAGGAAAAGGAAAAGGAAAAGGAAAAAGGAAAGGGGAGGGGGAAAGGGGAAAGGAAAGGCAATCTGTCATTATTAGAGGGTGGTTTTGAGGACAATATAGCAAAAAAAAATTTTTTTTAAACATCATACAGGCCAGGCACAGTGGCTCACACCTGTAATCCTGATACTTTGGGAGGCCAAGGCAGGCAGATCACTTGAGCCCAGGAGTTTGAGACCAGCCTGGGCAACATGGAGAAATCCCATCTCTATAAAAAATTAGTTGGGGGTGGGGCACGGTGTCTCATGCCTGTAATCCCAGCATTTTATGAGGCCGAGGCAGATGGACAACCTAAGGTCAAGAGTTCGAGACCAGCCTGGCCAATGTGGTGAAACCTTGTCTCTACTAAAAATACAAAAATTAGCTGGGTGTGGTGGCGGGCACCTGTAATCCTAGCTACTTGGGAGGCTGAAGCAGGAGAATCGCTTGAACCCGGGAGGCGAAGGTTGCAGTGAGCCGAGATCGTGCCATTGCACTCCTGCCTGGGCGACAAAGTGAGACTCCATCTCAAACAAAAAAAAAAAAAGAAAGAAAAGAAAAGGAAAAAAAAAATTAGTCGGGCGTGGTAGCACACGCCTGAAGTCCCAGCTACTCTGGAGGCTGAGGTAGGAGGATCATCTGAGCCCAGGAAGTCAAGGCTGCAGTGAGCCCTGATTACACCACTGCACTCTAGCCTGTGTGACAGAGTGAGACCCTGTCTCAAAAAAAAAAAAAAAAAATCAGGCAGAAAACAGATGCAATATTGCAGATTGTTATGATGACAAGGATGTGTACACATCTGTAATCTGCCCACAGAACAGCTCTTAAGGAAGCACATCGAAATGACAATAGTGGCTATATGAGGATGAGTGATTTTTTTTTTCCCTTATCCTCAAAATAATAATTCTGGGCAATTCAGTCGCATGATGAAGCATGTATATCTGCACCTATATCTCATCTAAAAGGAGTAAGGGGGCAGCGGCCCAAGGCTGTGCAGGATAGAAGATGGCGCAAGGGTGGGCTTCAGGCCTCGGGAGAGTTGGGGAGGGCCCACCTTGCTCTCCTGGTTGCCGTAGGCCAGGAGCTGCAGGCAGTCGGTGGTGATGGCCAGGAACTTGGGGTTGTTCTTGTTGAGCAGGGGCACCATCTTTTGCAGCCCGTCGGCCAGGCGCACGGCCATCTTGGCGCCCTCCTGGTACAGGAGCAGGTTGTGCAGCGTGGTGATGGCATAGAACAGGACCGACTCCACAGGGGAGCTGGGGGGGTGGGCAGGGGTTAGTACGCTGAGGTCCCAGAGGCCTGGCATACATGTGAGCCTGGCATGGGTTCCCACCTCCCCCAGGAAGCCTCCCCGCTACTGACGCCCCTCTGGAAATATCCCTTTGCTAAAATCTCATCACTCCTTGAGCCTGCCCTGCTCTTAAGCATGAAGCAAACAGCACCTCTCTTCTCCCAACTGGGACAATGACTCCTCCTGCTTCTGAGTCCCCAGCCCTGTGCTGAGCGCACAGTAGGTCCCCTAGACACTGATCCCTACTAAGTAACCACCATGTGGAAGGCCACATATTAGAGAGGCCTTGCAAGGCGTTCAGAGGGGAGTGAAATCAGTGTCTCCCCTTCAGGGAGCTTCCAGCCTGGTATGGGAATGAGAAATAAGGCCAGGAGCAGTGGCTCACGTCTGTAAACTCAGCGCTTGGGGAGGCTGAGGCAGGTGGATCACCCTGAGGTTAGGAGTTCGAAACCAGCCTGGCCAACGTGGTGAAACCCCGTCTCTACTAAAAATACAAAATTGAGCTGGGCATGGTGGCAGACGCCTATAATCCCAGCACTTTGGGAGGCCAAGGGGGGCAGATCACCTGAGGTCAGGAGTTCAAGACTAGCCTGGCCAACATGGTGAAACCCCATTTTTACTAAAAATACAAAAATTAGCCAGGCATGGTCGTGGGTGCCTGTAATCCCTGCTACTTGGGAGGCTGAGGCAGGAGAATCTCTTGAACCCGGGAGGCAGAGGTTGCAGTAAGCCGAGACTGTGCCATTGCACTCCAGCCTGGGCAACAGGAGGAAAACTCCATCTCAAAACAAAAAAAAATAGCTAGGTATGGTGGCAGATGCTTGTAATCCCAGCTACTCAGGAGACTGAGGCAGGAGAATCATTCGAACCCAGGAGGTGGAGGCTGCAGTGAGCTGAGATCACGCCACTGCACTCCAGCTTGGGTGACAGAGCAAGGCCTCATCTCAAAAAAAAAAAAAGAAATGAGGCCAATCCACATTTTGTAGGGGGCCAGGAAACAGAAAGTTTGCAAGGGACTTTGCATTTGCTGTTCCCTCTGCCTGGGACACTCTTCCCTTCCTCTGCACTAGCCAAACTCCACTCATCTGTCAATCCCCTGCCATTAAGCGATTCCACCTTTGAGCAATCTCAATGCTCTTCTGCCATAGCCTGTGTCGTATCCTGATCATTAACCTGCTGTTTACATGCCTGTGTTCCCTGCTGGGCTGTGAGCCACCGAGCACCCGGATGGGGTGTGCTTCTGCCTGGCACATAGTAGGTGCTCACTGGATATTTATGGAAGCTCAGGGAAGGGAGGGGAGAGGCCCAAGTGAGAGGGGGTCCTGGGCTCATGCAGTGAGCAGGGTTGGGTACCTGAGCATGCGGACCAGAGCAGGGATGCCACCCGACTTGAAGATGGCGAGCAGCCCCTCCCGGTGGTGGGAGAGGTTGTGCAGGATGCTGGTGGTGCAGCGGGCTGTGTCCAGGTCGCTGGTATTCTGCATGGTACGCACGACAGCGGCCACCAGCTGGGGCGAGCCCATCAGGGCCCGCCGCGACGCCTCCTTCTTCGACAGCTGGTTCACAATCATGGCCGCCTTGGTCACCACCACCTGGAGGGCAAAGGCAGGGGCGGGGACGTGAGCACTAAGGAGAGGCCGGGATACCCTTCCACAGAGCTGAGGAGGGCCCCAGTCAGACTCATCACACACGGGAGAGTCTGGGTCATAACCTCCCTCCACCCCTACAATGTCCCTCCCCTGAGGACATCTGCTCTCTCCCCTCCCTGCCCAGCCCCCACCCTAGCAGGGACCCTCACAGACCGGGTCCTCGTCGTTGAGCAGTTTGGTGAGCTCGGGCAGGGCGCGAGTGGCCAGCTCGGCATCGTCCTGGTAGTTGATGAGATGCACAATGGCCGACTTGAGCAGCTGGGACGGCTCGGCCAGTCGCTGCAGGTTGGTGGCCTGCCCCTCCACCTGGGTGGCCAGCAGAAGCGAGCTGTCCTCGCCTGACACACCAGGGCACATGGCCTCCCGCACCCGTTTGGCCCTGGCTGTTGTGGACATCTGGTACTCCAGATCACCTGGGGGCCATGGGGACAGGGACTGAGTGCAGGCAGTGGGCTGGGCAGACACTGGGGAGCAGGGCAGGCCACAGACAGCCCCACCTGGGTCCTCTGGGCTACCTCTTGCCCTGCCCAAACCCCCAGCACATGACTGGCCATTCTACCTCTCACCAGGAACCTTGGGGAAGTCACCATCACCTCAGTAATCTCTGTAAAATAGGCCCCACATGTTCTGTCCATCAAGGGAATTTTTTTTTTTTTTTGCACACTTATTATGTGCCTGGCAGTGAATTCAATGCCCTGCTTATATTTTCTCACATAACCTGACAACGACCCTGCAAGGTAAGTACTATCACTGGCTCCACTTTACAGATGGGAAAACTGGGCACAGAGGGGTTATAAGGCAGCCTGACTCAGGGGCCCAAACCCCTACTCTATTCTCCTCCCTTACCCATCAGGTCTGTTTTCAACCCTGAAATCTCAGGAGTCTAATTACACCCTCATCATCCCCAACGGTAGCAATCCTCCCACTATACAGGCAGGCAAACAGAGGCCCAGAGAACCACCAACATCACATCTCACAGCAGATCAGAGGGAAAGTCAGGGCTGTGGGTTCAGAGAGCAGGAGCTGGGTCCTCAGCTGAGACGTCAGGTTCCTCTCTAGCTTCCATCCCCTGGGTGGGTCTGGGAGTCCCACAGGTAGGTGCCCAAGCAGCCACACCCTGGCAACTGTCCTGATGCCCCCAGGGAGAGGGACGCAGAGGTTCCACCCTCTAATTAGTCGAGAAGGAGGAGACAGCTGCATGGCTTTCCCACCTGGATGCTGTACTTTTTGCTACCAACACAGTGCCTGGCCCTGCCAGCCAAAAGGCCCCCTGCTACCCCTACCAGCTGTCAGGGAGGAGACTGGCATGCGAGGGCTGAGCTCCATAGAGCCCCACCAGCCACAGTCTACTCACACTACTCCCAGCACCCACAGCCCACCCCCTGGCATGTTCAGGGCCCTGGAGGCACCTGTGGCCAACAGTTCTAGGGCCTGGCTATTCCTCTCTCCCAGAGGGGCAGGGGAGGCTTGGGCTGGCGGGGCATCCCCATCCCGGACTAAGCCCCAGAGCTGAGTCAGTCACTCATCCCACAGCCTTGGCCTATCTGCAGGTCAGCCGCAGAGGCCTGGTCTCCCTCCAACCCCAACGAGGGGCCCTCAGGCTTGACACCTACACCCCTCTACCCAAAGGGGAATCCCTGGGGGTTCCTGGGGGCTACGGCCCTGGCTCTCCCACAAACGTGAGGCTCCTGCAGCCAAAGGGCTGCGTCCTCCCTGCCATCCATGGGCTCCCTGAGAGCCATAGTGATACATCCTCATCAGACTCTTTTTTTTACTATTTTTTGAGACGGAGTCTCACTCTGTCGCCCAGGCTGGAGTGCAGTGGCGCAATCTCAGCTCACTCCAACCTCTGCCTCCTGGGTTCAAGCAATTCTCCTGCCTCAGCCTCCCAAGTAGCTGGGACTACAGGTGCATGCGCCACCACACCCGGCTAATTTTTGTATTTTTAGTAGAGACGGGGTTTCATCATGTTGGCCAGGCTGGTCTCAAACTCCTGACCTCAGGTGATCTGCCCACCTCAGCCTCCCAAAGTGCTGGGATTACAGGCATGAGCCACCGTACCCAATGTCTTCATCAGATTCTTATGTTCACAGAAGGCAAGGACTATGGCTTTTCCTTCAGACTGGAGGCACCCTAAGGGCAGGGACTATGCCTTCCCTCCCTACTGATGGTTCACAGAAGAGGATTCTGTGACCCTCCCAGATGCAGCACCCTGAAGTAGCTGCACCTCCTCCTTCAGACTGGGTGGGCCCCTAGTTAGCATGAGCTGTGCCTCCTCCCTCAGACCAGAGACCCCCTACAATCTGCCTCCTTTCACTCTGACCTCTCTCCAGGACCCAGGCAGGTTTTCTGCCCCATGCAATAGTCCCCAGGGGTCCTGACCTTGGCTGGGGGGCACCCCCTGGGTGTAAGTGGTGGTTTTCTTGAGCGTGTACTGGCGCCCGCAGGCCTCATCCTCCTCCATGATGCCCTTGCTGCTGACGGAGGGCACGCAGGTGTTGGCGCCCGAGTGGATACCCGAGTCGTAGGTGTATGTCTGCTGCCACTCAGTCACCTTGATAGGCTGCTCCATCAGGTTCATCACCTCCATCGTGGCTACTGGGGGCACAAAGGAGGAAGTCAGGAAGCAGGAAGTCACCTGGCCCAGCCCCCAGCTTCAGCCCGTCACCAAGCCCCGCCTGTCTTCCCACATCATCACCATGGCCCAGGGATTTCAATGAGGATGCAGGCTGGGGATGGGGGGACTGCCCAGAAGGGCACCAGGCCCAGGGAGGGGCTGCCCACGACGAGATACCCTGGGAGCAGTGAGCCCCAGGGGTGCGGCTGTGTGTATGTCCTGGGCTTGCATCTCTGACCTCCCAGGGGGATGAGCCCCAGGGGGCAGGACAGTCAAGGGCCAGCTGCCGCCAGAAGCCCCTGCTCACGCACCTTGCTGCCCTGACCCAACTCTCCCAGGGGCAAGAGAAGGCACTCAGGGCTTCTAGCAGCTTCTGAGGTCCCCTGGGCCCACCCTCAACTACTGGGGCTCCCTGGGAAAGGCTGCAGGGAGGAGGCACCCAAGCCATTGGGCAGGAAACTGGGCGGGGCAGGGAAGCGGTCTGACAGGTTTCTCTGGAGCGCCCCAGGCTCCCTCAGAGACTCCAGGATCTGGCTTTCCTACAGGTTGGGCAGGATCACACATGGCCCTGAGGTCCAGACCCTAAGGCCCCCTCTCTCCCAGCCCTCCCAGTCCCTAGACGCCTCTTTGAGTCCCACAGAGCAATTCAAATCTCAGCTACTCACTACTGGGGCAGTTCCTCTCCCCACAGAACCTCAGTGTCCTCATCTGTAAAGCGGGGTCACGCCACCTCCCTCAGAGGTGGTTGCGAGGACCTGGTGCATAGCAGGTGCTCAGAGGCCACGGCCATTATCATCAGCACTGCCTCTCCTCCAGAAGTGCTTCCTCACCTCCTGGTCTCCTCGAGCCCAGGCTAGGGATCTGGGGTGGGGCAGGCCTGTGGGTGGTCACTGCCGTCAGGAACCCCTCTCTCTCTCTGCAAAGGTTTAGGCGCACCTGAAGGTTAATGAGTAGCAGGGCCGAACTTTGTACCAGGGAGGTGAACTTCCCGCTTGGTCTGTGTTTGGCTCCACTGTCCTGGGAACTGACCTGCAGAGGTCAGAGGCTGCGGGGAGAATGGACGCCGTGATCCCATGAGGGCCTACTACGAGCCAGACCTTTCACAGACACCGTCATGCTCATGGGCGGGTTTCAAAGCCCATGCACTGGTCCCCCGCGTACAGATGCAGAAACTGAGGTTAGAAATGGCAGAGCTGGGACTGGGACCAGGTGTGAGGGCACCAAGGTCTGTAGTCTTTGCACATCCCGGCGCAGCCTCAGTGAGTAAGCAGAACTCAGGCTGGTCCACCCATGAAGCCAGGCAGCACCCGGGTTGTCTCACTGTGATGGGGACCAGGTGAGGGTGGGGTGGCTGGGGCAACCTGGCCCCACCCCAGGAACAAAGATCACCAAGGATAAGTCTTCCCTGTGACTGCCCCAGTGCCGCCCTGGCCCTCCAGGAGGATGACGAATGGTCCTGCAGGTCTCCCAGCCTTTTATGGCAGGCAGCCGTGAGCACACCCGGAACAGGCAGAGGCAGGGGCCAGGCCAGCTCCCAGCTGCCTCCTTCCTCTCCTCCCGCAATCCCTAGTGACTCAGAGTTTCAGGCTGATTAAACAGAAGCAGTCCCGCCACCTCAGACGGCAGACCCCAGACGACAGGCTCGGGCCGCCAGATGTGCACAGCTGCTTCCCAGGCATTCGAAAGTGTAGCTATTTCAGAAGGAGCCCCCCCAACCAGCCCCCTTTCCACACGCACCCCTTCCCCACACCCCTTCCCCAGCAACAGAGGGGAATGGCCACTGGCAGGAAACAGGGGCAATGGTGGGGGGCGGGGGGCGGGGTGCTCGGAGAAGGCAGACATGGGAAAACCCTACTAAAATCCTGAGCTCCTCGTGCTGTGCCGCCTTCCCCAACCATTTCCCTGCCCCAAGGGCAAGTCCCAAGAGAGAGCAGAGGAGAGTTTGGAAGAGAAGCTGCCCCCAGGAGAGAAGGAAGGTGCAAGTGTACAAGTAAACACGGTAGCAATAACCCACTGAATGCCGCTCTGCTGGGCTCAAGGCTGAACGACATCTGGACACTGCTGGACATCTGCAGCTCTGGTCAACAAACACACTGCATCCCAGCCAGAGGGCCCTCCTGCATAGACAGTGCCTAACCCTGGGGCTTCTCAGCTAAGGGAGAGGGAAGCGGGCCTCACTCCAAACAAGGGTCACCCCTTGCCGGCCTCACATCTAAAGGGACCACCACAGTCAAGCTGAGGAACTTCCTCAGCAGGCCCCTCACCACCCCCACCAGCCCAGGTCAACCGCCAGGAGACTGCTGAGGGCTAGACAGCTACCCAGGGAGAGACAGAAGCCACAGGATGCCATGGGGGGGTGGGGGGGTGGACGCCCAGTGGCCTTTATTATTATGTGAATCTCATTCTTCCCTCAAAGCAACCCTGGCAGATGTTTTATAATTTCCAATTTCTTTCTTTCTTTCTTTTTTTTGAGACAGAATCTCTCTCTGTCGCCCAAGTTGGAGTGCAGTGGCATGATCTTGGCTCACTGCAACCTCCACCTCCTGGGTTCCAGTGATTCTCCTGCCTCAACCTCTGAAGTAGCTGGGACTACAGGTGTGCACCACCACGCCTGGCTAATTTTTGTATTTTTAGTAAAGACCGGGTTTCCCCATGTTGGCCAGGCTGGTCTTGAACTCCTGACCTCAGGTGATCCGCCCACCTCAGCCTCCCAAAGTGCTGGGATTATAGGCTTGGGCCACTGTGCCTGGCTTTATTCCCAATTTCTAGGTGAAGAAGCTGTGCCTGCACACTGAGAAAATGGCAGCACTTGTGGTAGGAACAGCATCCAGTCCACTAGACAAGCCTGGGTGGAGCTGAGCCCTCTTGCCAAGGGGAGGAGGGGACCAAGGTGCTTGCAGATGGAAGCAGAGCACTCGGCTGCAAATCAAGTGTCCCAGGTTCGGGTGCGGTGGCTCACACCTGTAATCCCAGCACTTTGGGAGGCCAAGGCGGGCAGATCACGAGGTCAGGAGTTCAAGACCATCCTGGTCAACATGGTGAAATCCTGTCTCTACTAAAAAAGTACAAAAATTAGCCAGGCATGGTGGTGTGCACCTGTAATCCCAGCTACTCGGGAGGCTGGGGCGGGAGAATTGCTTAAACCAGGGAGGTGCATGTTGCAGTGAGCCGAGACTGCGCCACTGCACTTCAGCCTGGCTGACAACAGAGCAAGACCCTGTCTCAAAAAAAAAAAAAAAGAGTCCCAGGTTCTAGTCCCAGCTCTGCCACAAACTTGCTGGGTGTCCTTGTGTCCCTGGATCTCAAAGGAATGTTGATGTCTAAGATTCTAGAAATAAAAAAACAGGATTCCCACAACAGACAGAAGAAGGCTGGGGGTGGGCAACGTCAGAGTTGGGAACCAGTTCAGAGAGAGGACACACTCCAGAACTCCTCCTGAGGAAGGGGTCACGGGAGCTATTCCTGCAACAGGAAGGCTGGAAGTCAGACCTCAGGCAGGACTGTCAACCAGCCCCACCCTTCTCCTTACCTACTGCCCAGGAGAACAAAGGAACTTCTCTCACAAGAAACAAAAGTGCTGGTTTTACAGTTCCCAGGGTGGAGGGGGCCACACCCAGTTCAGTCTTGTCCCTCTCCACCCTGGACCTGGAGTCAGACCTCCTGCAATGCCCCTGGACAGAGCCAGGGTGGAAGCGAGAGAGACAGACGCAGGCCCTGCCCACTCATCCCAGCCAGAGACGGGCAGGGACAGAGACAGGGCGGGTTTCTGAGTTGAATGGGGGGCCTTTGTTTAGAGCGTGCTCTATTGTTAGCAGCACGGGAGGAAGAAGCCAGATCAGAGACTGTAGGGACAGCCCAAGGACAGGAAGAAGGAAGACGGGCCCTGGAGAGGGGGTGCAGAGGACCCTTCCCCATGGGACCCACACCAGGTAAGTGTGAGCAAGTAATAAGGCTAGACTGGGTGCACCCCTACCCTTCTTTCCTGCCTCCTCCTCTGCGCAGCCAACCCAGAGGGCTGGCACCGGGCACCCTAAATCCAAGACTGACCTGGCAGAGTGTGGCCCAGCCCTGACATTAAAAATAGCCCCACCAGAGCTACACCAGGCTCCTTCCCCAGCCGGCACCTGCCAAGGACAGTCAGCAATGGGCACATCTAGGCTGGGTTGCAGGGCACCAAGTGCCAAGACACCTGGAAATAAGGACAGGAGTGGGTTACCCCAGAGGCCGTGCTGGAAGCAGACTCAGAAGCATTGCATTTGGGAACAGAGGAGCAGGGCGGAGCAGGGCAGGGCTGGGTCCCCCAGAGGTTCCTTAGGCTAGAGGCCAGCACCCTGTGCAGACACAGGTCCCCAGGCTCAGACAGCGACAGGGTGAGCACAGGATTCTGAGTGAGGAGAGGGGCTCAATTTCCTTAAGCCTCATTTTCTCATCTGTAAAATGGAGATGATCAAGTGACTTCTTTTGTCACTGTGACTCTGGAAGCCCTCTGTCCACAGGAAAGGCATGCATTCTCATGCTAGAAGAACAAAGAGATGGCAGAGGAGGCGGAAGCCAGCTGGCGCAGTGGCTCGTGCCTATAATCCCAGCATTTTGGAAGGCGGAGGTGGGAGGGTCGTTTGAGCCCAGGAGTTCGAAACCAGCCTGGGCAACATAGTAAGACCCTGTCTCTACAAAAAATAAAAAGAAATTAGCCGGGCATGGTGGCATGCACCTGCAGTCCCAGCTACTCTGGAAGCTGAAGCATCACTTGAGCCCAGGTGATTGAGGCTGCAGTGAGCCAGGATCATGCCACTCCAGCCTAGGCAACAGAGCGAGACCGTGTCTCAAAACAAAAAGGTGAGGGGGCCAGGCGCGGTGGCTCACGCCTGTAATCCCAGCATATTGGGAGGCCAAGGTGGGTGGATCACAAGGTCAGGAGTTTGAGACCAGCCTGGCCAACATAGTGAAACCCCATCTCTACTAAAAATACAAAAAATTAGCCAGGCGTGGTGGTGGGCACCTGTAATCCCAGCTACTCGGGAGGCTGAGGCAGGCGAATCACTTGAACCTGGGAGGCGGAGGTTGCAGTGAGCCGAGATCGCACCAATTGCATTCCAGCCAGGGATACAGTGCGAGACTCTGTCTCAAAAAAAAAGAAAAATAATAAAAATTTAAAAAGGCGAGGGCTGGCACAGAGACCTGTCGGGCAAGGTGGATGGCAGTCTGTCTGGGGGAGCCCTGGCTGCTTTCTCTGACCCCTGAGATGGGGACTAGGTAGGGAGCTGCCTCCCAGGCCCTGGGGAGGTCAAGGGAACATGGCTGAGGAGAAGGGGAGTGGAACTTCGCTCACGCCAGGTGGAGACACTGGCTGCCCTATGCCCAGTCCATGCTGCTTCCTGCAGCCAGGGGCAGCTGCACAGCCAGGCGTGAACATTCCCCACATAGCAGTCCCAGGGGGAAGCTGGGCTCAGCAGGATCTCCAGCCCCCACCTTCCCCACTCTGTCCCTGGCTCCTGCTGAGGTCTGGCCAGCAGTTCCAAGCACAGACACAGACTCTAGAAAGTCCAGAGAGATGGACATGATGGCTTCCCTTGAGGGCCTGTTTCCCTCTCAGGCTGGGGCTGCCCAAGGAGGCCTCTCCCCTCTGGCTGGCAGCTCCAGGACGGAACCTCCTGCAGACTACAGGTTCTCTGGCAGACACTGTGGTCTCCATCAGCAAGCTGGTCCATTCCAAGAGGGCAGAACTGAAGCAGGAGCTGTCAGACAAGCTGGTCTTAGGCTTCCGGAGGAAAACCCTCACTTCCAGTCTGGAGAGCAGCCCAGGCTGTGGCCTGAGGATGAGCTGGGGCCTGGGGGAGGCTCAGGCCTGCCGACCCAGCTGCTGTTTATTTTCCTCCTTCTGGGCTCCTTCCCAAAGCAAACAAACCCGGGTAGGAAAATGAAGGGGATTTGTAGGAGAGGGAATTTGCCACGGCCAAGTGGCTCGACCCAGGGACCTCTATGCTCCCCTGGAGAGGGCTCCAGCTGGAGCTCCGTTCCCTGCTGGTGACCCCCGTGGGCAGATTCCCAAACTGGCAGATGACCCCAAACCGGGACTCCTGGGAATGGAAAAACACTTCACCCCACACCAGGAAACAACAACAAAAGGTTGACGTGTGTTGGTGACGCAAAATACACAAGTACTCTCATTCCACTGCCTCCAACCACCACCAGTGGGGCTTGGGCAGCCTGGGGTCCAGGGGCGGCCCACTTCTCAATAACAGCAGCTCCGATCCCAGCTGACTGAGGCCCACTCCCTGGGGTGTGATTCTGCAAGGATCCCTACATATAACCCTCTCCTGGGAAGATCCATCTGTTTATTGTACAACACATGCTGGAAAACCAGGATTGGAATAAAGTTTTGGCTAAAATCTGTTACTGTAGGCAGGGTGCAGTGGCTCACCCCTGTAATCCCAGCACTTTAGGAGGCCAAGGCAGGTGAATCCCCTTGAGCTCAGGAGCTCCAGACCAGTCTGGGCAACATGGCGAAACCCTGTCTCTACAAAAAAATGCAAAAATTAGCCGGGCGTGGTGGCATGTGCCTGTAGTCCCAGCTACTTGGGAGGCTGAGGTAGGAGGATCGCTTGAGCCCAGGAAGAGGAGGTTGCAGTGAGCTGAGATCTGCACTCCAGCCTGGGCAACACAGTGAGACCCCATCTCAAAAAAAAAAAATGTTACTATATACAGGGGATGAGCTCATCAAGATCAAGGCTAAAGAACAAAAGGATGTTGCCGAGCACGGTGGCTCATGCCTGTAATCCCAGCACTTTGGGAGGCCGAGGCGGGCGGATCACGAGGTCAGGAGATCGAGACCATACTGGCTAATACGGTGAAACCTCATCTCTACTAAAAATATAAAAAATTAGCCGGGCGTGTTAGCGGGTGCCTGTAGTCCCAGCTACTCGGGAGGCTGAGGCAGGAGAATGGCATGAACCCAGGAGGCGGAGCTTGCAGTGAGCCGAGATCCTGCCACTGCACTCCAGCCTGGGTGACAGAGCGAGACTCCGTCTCAAAAAAAAAGAAAAAAAGGATGCTAAGAAAAGAGGAAGAGACTTGGCTGGGCGTGGTGGCTCATGCCTGTAATCCCAGGACTTTGGGAGGCCAAGGCGGGTGGATCACAAGGTCTGGAGTTTGAAACCAGCCTGGCCAACATGGTGAAACCCCGTCTCTACTAAAAATACAAAAAACTAGCCAGGCATGGTGGCAGGTGCCTGTAATCCCAGCTACTCAGGAGGCTGAGGCAGGAGAATCGCTTGAAACCAGAAGGCAGAGGTTGCAGTGAGCTGAGATTGTGCCACTGTACTCCAGCCTGGGCAACAAGAGCAAAACTCCGTCTCAAAAAAAAAAAAAGAGGAAGAGACCTTAATGAAAGTTGCTTTTTAGGATTATGGGCGATTTTTTTTCTTTTCTCTTAAACTTTTCTAAACTTCCCAATTTTTTTTTTTTTTTTTTTTTGAGACAGATGTCACCCAGGCTGGAGTGCAGTGGCACAATCTTGGCTCACTGCAAGCTCCGCCTCCCGGGTTCACGCCATTCTCCTGCCTCAGCCTCCACAGTAGCTGGAACTACAGGTGCCTGCCACAACGCCCAGCTAATTCTTTGTATTTTTTAGTAGAGACGGGGTTTCACCATGTTAGCCAGGATGGTCTCGATCTCCTGACCTCGTGATGCGCCCGCCTCGGCCTCCCAAAGTGCTGGGATTACAGGCGTGAGCCACCGCGGCTGGCCCCCAGTTTTTTTTACAATGATCAGATATTACTTTTTTTATTTTCTTTCTCTTTTTTGAGACAAGGTCTCGCTCTGTTGCCCAAGCTGGAGTATAGTGGCACAATCATGGCTCACTGCAGCCTTGAACTCCTGGGCTCAAGCAATCCTTCCGCCTCAGCCTCCCGAGTAGCTAGGACCACGTGCACATGCCACCATGCTTGGCTAATTTTTTTTTTTTTTTTTAAGAGATGGGGTCTTGCTATGTTGCACAGGCTGGCAGGCTGGTCTCAAAGTCCCGGCCTCAAGCAATCCTCCTGCCTCAACCTTCAGAGCGGTTGGGATTACAGGTGTAAGCCACTGCCCCAGCCAGATATTACCTTCTCAATCAAGGAAGAGGAGGAGTCTCCCCTAAATAAGCAGCTTATTGATTGCCAAGCCCCTGTCCCAACTCTGCTCTGGTCCCTGCTACTGTCTCCATGGTAGGGAAAGACACAGAAAGCTGAGCTTCAGCTGGGCATGGTGGCTCATGCCCATAATCCCAGCACTTTGGGAGGCTGAGATGGGACAAATGCTTGAGCTCAGGAGTCCAAGACCAGCCTGGGCAACATAGCAAGACCCTGTCTCTACACAAAACTTTAAAAATTAGCTGGGCATGGTGGTGCACACCTGTGGACCCAGCTACTTGGGAGGCTGGGCGGGAGGATTGCTTGAACCCAGGAATTCAAGGATGCAGTGAGCTGTGATCACGCCACTGCACTCTAGCCTAAGGGACAGAGCGAGTCCCTACCTCAAAAAAAGGAAAGAAGGCCGGGCGCAGTGGCTCACGCCTGTAATCCCAGCACTTTGGGAGGCTGAGGTGGGTGGATCACTTGAGGTCAGGAATTCAAGACCAGCCTGGCCAACATAGTGACACCCCCATCTCTACTAAAAATACAAAAATTAGCTGGGCATGGTGGCGCATGCCTGTAGTCCCAGCTACTTAGGAGGATGAGGCAGGAGAATTGCTTGAACCTAGGAGGCAGAGGTTGCAGTGAGCCAAGACTGCACTACTGCACTCCAGCCTGGGCGACAGAGCAGGACTCCATCTCAAAAAACAAACCAAAAAAAAAAAAGAAAGAAAAGAGAAGAGGAGAAGGGAGGAGGAAAGAAAGCTGAGTGCCAAAAGCGGTGGCTCACGCTTATAATCCCAGCATGTCGGGAGGCCAAGGTGAGTGGATCACCTGAGGTCAGGAGTTCAAGACCAGCCTGACCAATATGGTGAAACCCCGTCTCTACTAAAAATACAAAAATTAGGCCGGGCACAGTGGCTCACGCCTGTAATCCCAGCACTTTGGGAGGCCGAGGCGGGTGGATCATGAGGTCAGGAGATCGAGACCATCCTGGCAAACACAGTGAAACCCCGTCTCTACTAAAAACACAAAAAAATTAGCCAGGCGTGGTGGCGGGCGCCTGTAGTCCCAGCTACTCGGGAGGCTAAGGCAGGAGAATGGTGTGAACCCAGGGGGCGGAGCTTGCAGCGAGCGGAGATCGTGCCACTGCACTCCAGCCTGGGCGACAGAGTGAGTGAGACTCCGTCTCAAAAAAAAAAAAAAAAAAAAATTAGCTGGGCGTACTGGCAGGCGCTTGTAGTCCCAGCTACGCGGGAGGCTGAGACAGGAGAATCACCTGAACCCGGGAGATGGAGGTTGCAGTGAGCCAAGATTGTGCCACTACACTCCAGTCTGGGTGACAGAGTGAGAGACTCCATCTCAAAAAAAAAAAAAGAAAGAAAGAAAGAGAAAAAGAAAGCTGAGCTTCCTGCTCTGCTGGCCCCAAAGGCCAAGATGCCAGGAGGCTGAGCAAAGGAGAGTGGTCCATGAGCTTGCCCTTCAGGCCTGGCAGAGGAAGTCGCTTCACAATAAGATATTCCATGTCCCCAGACTCAACCATGTCCCAGGAGAGGCCGCTCAGTGTCACTTGCAGGAACACAAGCCCTGGTGACCTGCCCAGCCACACTGCTTGCTTTTCCTCTTCACAGGGGTCACAGGACCAGCTCACAGATGCCTTTCCCTCTCACTGCCAGGTCGCTCTTCTCCCAAAAGATACAAATGAGGAGTCTCCCCAAAGGGCAGCAATTCCTGTCTGGCCTCCCTGCCGCACAGGATGGCCCTCATCAGAGAAGAGTCAATGCTGAGTCTCCACCTCTCCCTCTTATTTCTCAACTCAAGATTTCATCTTTAGCAGGCAGAAAGCCCCTCCTCCTGTCTAGACTGCGTCCCTTCAGTAAGTGCATCGGGCCTGCAGCTCTCAAGTCCTCGGGGGAGATGGAAAAACTGCAACCTCATGCCCTCTTTGTAGTAGTCAGTGGGATGGGGTTCATTCTGTTTTCTTCTCTGTCTCAAGTCCCATTAGCCTTCTCCACGATCAATAATCCCGTTGCCTGGGGTCCCCGCCTGCCCTCAGGGAATCCAGAAGCGCGGTAGTGACAGGTTCAGTACTCCGGCTGCACCATCACATAAAGAGAACCCATTTCCCAGACCCCAAATCCAGGCCCATTCTGGTGTCAGATGTCCAGTTGGCAGAGACACCAGAACCAGGCAGGTCTGGAGAACAATCTGACACCAGCTCCTCCCTAGAGGGCCAAGGCTCTGGCTGACAGGCAGCACACATGACCCCCACCTCCATCACCAGAAAAGCCCTCCCAGCAGCTGCCTATCTCAGGTCTCTTGGGCTTCAGAGCAGAGGACAGCCAGTTCCCCATCAAGAGCAGCCTGGCAGCACTGCCTCGTCAACTCCAGCAGGACATTAGCCCAGGCCTAAATCGGACTCTCGTTTCTCGCCAATCCCCACAGGGCAGCACCCCTTTATCTTGGCATAGCCCCAGCCCCCAGCAAAGCAGGCAACTCCCACTTCCTACACATGAACAAGCCCAGAACAGCCATGGTTCTACCTAACCCAAGCTAGGAGGCAGCACAGCTTTGACCCCTGCCTCCTCTTTCCCTCTCAACCTCCCCCCAACACTCACCACAGCCCTGGCCTTGGGGAGAAGCCGCTTCCACCGGAAACTAAAAATCAAGCCACTGGGGAGATTTAAGTGGGCTGGTGGCCAGGACAGGTATCACCCCCACCTACAAAACCTGCCCTACATTCACCACTCACACATGCCTTCATGGGCCCTTCTGAATTCTCTTCTCCCCAGTCAGGCAGAGGCTCTCAAAAGGGGGTGCAGAAAAATCCTTTCCGCTCACACCTGTAATCCCAGCACTTTGGGAGGCTGAGGCGGGCGGATCTCCTGAAGGTCAGGAGTTCGAGACCATCCTGACCAACATGGTGAAACCCCATCTCTACTAAAAATACAAAAATTAGCCTAGTGTGGTGGTGCATGCCTGTAATCCCAGCTACTCGGGAGGCTGAGACAGGAGAATCGCTTGAACCCAGGAGGTAGACGTTACAGTGAGCCGAGATCGCGCCACTGCACTCCAGCCTGGGTGGCAGAGCGTGACTCCATCTCAAAAAAAAAAAAAAAATCCTTTCCAGAGCTGCATGGGGCAATACAGCAGGATGGGTTCTGGGCTTGGAATCAGAGGACCCAAACGTCAGTCTTGGTGCTGCTTGGGTCTCGCTGTACAACATTGGGGAAATTACTTAAGTTCCTTGAGTTTCAATTTCCTCCTCTGTAGAATGCGAATAATGATACGCGTTTTTTTTGTTTTTTTTTTTTTTTTGAGTCAGGGACTCACTCTGTTGCCCAGGCTGGAATACAGTGACACAGCTCACTGCAGCCTTGACTTCCCTGGGCTCAGGTAATCCTCCCACCTCAACATTCCCAGTAGCTGGGACCACAGGCATGCACCACCACGCCCGGCTAATTTTTCTATTTTTTTGTAGAGACAGGGTTTCTCCATGTTGCCCAGGCTGGTCTGGAACTCCTGGGCTCAATCAAGCAGTCCACCCTTCTGGGCCTCCTAACGTGCTGGGATTGCAGGTCTGAGCCATCCAGCCTGGCCAGCCATAAGGATTAAGTAAAAATAGTTAATGAAAGTGCTTGGTTTGGGCCAGGTGAGGTGGCTCACGCCTGTAATCCCAGCACTTTGGGAGGCCGGGGCGGGCGAATCACGAGGTCAGGAGATCAAGACCAGCCTGCGCAACATGGTGAAACCCTGTCTCTACTAAAAATACAAAAATCAGCCGGGGGTGGTGGCACACGCCTGTAATCCTGGCTACTCAGGAGGCTGAGGCAGGAGAATCACTTGAACCCAGGAGGCGGAGGTTGCAGTGAGCCTGGGTGACAGAGCGAGACTCCATCTCAAAAAAAAAAAAAAAAAAAAAAAAGAAAGTGCTTGGTTTCTGTAAAGTCTTACCTTGATCTTGAGTTACCGTTTGTCAAGTACTTACTGGGTAGATAGGTATTAGTATTCCCATTTTGCCAAAGAGGTCACTGAGGCTCAGGTAATGAGAGACAGAGCTGGGTCTCAAACCCAGCTCAGTTCAAGCCCAAAGCCCTGTGCTCAGAACTGCCCCACTGTCCCATCTCTCCAAATAAACAGTCCTTCTGTAGACTAGTCAATTGACCCATCTCACTCTAAGGTGGCTCCAGGATGGGAAAAAGGTTGGCAGCCCTAGCCCGACCTTTTTCGTTCCTATGCACTGCATTCTCAAAGCCTCGGCCCTGGCAGCCCAAACAGAGGCTCCAGAGGGAATGGGGTGGAGCCAGGGTGCAAGGGAGGGGTGGAGTGGGGGTGGGAGGGCTCAAGTCACCCAAGCTGGGGCTTGATCTAGCAAGAAATGACTAACTGGGTCCTACCTTCTCCTCCTCCCCCGCATCCCCCAGTCCAGTCAGTGGCCAGTTTTCACCAAGCACCTCCTAGCAGTACTTCCTCAGTATTATCTTTTCATCACAGCCACAAACCAGATTAGCTAAACTAATCATGTAGCCAACATAATTACAATGCCCTCCCCTCCTCCACCTTGGCACAGAGAAGAGGGAAAGCAGGTTATTTTTGCCCAAACTCCCTGCTCCTGTTGCTCCCCAGAGGTGCAGAATCCCATCCCCCGGCAGAAAAGGATCTGAGTTCCCACACTGACTTCCCCCTAGCACAGGGCTGAGCGTGATCCCCACCCAGGATAAAGGGGCTGAGTCTGGGCCCCCAGCCTCACTCCCCCATCTACAACAAAGAAAGAGGTGGTAGACTCTTCCCCTCCAAGCACTCTCGATCCCCGCCCCCCACAATCTTTCTCCCACCCCCAGGACTGAGAGAGAACCCAACTGTTGTATTCTCTCTCTGTTCCCCAACGAGGCTGGGCTCCAAATCCTGCAAAAAGACCACATTTCAGATTTTTTTTTTAAACCGGGGTACAAACCCTGATCAAGATCCCCAATTCTGGGTGGGGGGGGGCGGTCTCAGGAAATTGGGAGCAGGGAAGGCAGGGGGCCCGATGCAGCTCTGCCTGAGAGAGTCTAGCATTGAAGAAACCTTCCCCCAAAAAGCCTTCCTGCGGTCTCACTTTCCCTGTCAAATTCTTTCAGGAAAGCGGGTGGGAAAGGTCTGTGCAGGCCTCCAGAAAGCATGCACCTTCACAATTCAGAAATCAAATGGAAGGCAAGTCCCACAGCCTCATGCGCTTCTGCCTCAATAACCAGCCAGCTAAGTAATGTGGGGGATGGGGTAGAGGCAAAAAAAAAAAGACAAGAACAACCACTCCCCCCACCTTCCTCAGTTTGGCCCAGCCCTGCCCCACCCCCATTCCTGGGGAGGGGGCAGAGCTTGAGAGACAACCACTTACGCAGGCCTTGTCTGAGGGGGTGTGGTGGTCCCAGGAGGCAGGAAGAGAAGGAAGAAGCTGCTTCCCCTCTCAGCACTTTCCACCCCCCACCCCGGCCCCTACCTCAGGCCCCTGGGGCCCAGCGAACAGGATGAATGTGGGGGCAGGGAAGACAGGGTCGGAGCCCAGGCACCGGCCCAGGTTCAGCCAGGGGCCGGCTGGGGGAAGGGGTTTTGCACCAGGAAGGACCCCCTAAGCCTAAAGGAAGTTTTGGGCAAGGAGACGGGAAAACCCCCAGATAAAGCTGCTGTGAATACTTCCTCCTGCAAAGTTTGTTTTGGGTGATTTTTTCCAACAATAAGAGGTTAGAGAAGACGGGTCCTGTTCCCCTACCAACACTCTGGCAGCCACAGCTACTGGAAACTGGGCCAGGTGACCCTGAATTCTTCATCCGTGCACAGACCCCACCCCCCAGACCCCAGGGCGAGCCACGGGTGCCAGACACCAGCTGGACACTGAGCCGAGCCCTGCACCCCCCAGTCACTCCATCCCACCTCCGCTGAAGAAGCCAGAGCCGGGCTCCCACCGGCGTGGAGGGAGGCGCCGCAGGTAGTATCGACGAGGCTCTGGGAGCTGGAGGGCAGGGCCTCTGGACTCCGTGCGCTCACCTGCTCGGCAGGTGGGGCCAGAGTCGCTGGGAAAATGTGCGCTCGGCCCCCACAGTTGGGCAAGCTGGGCGCAAACAATAGGGCCCCACCCAGGCCTGGGGGAGTAGGGAGGGAGGGAAAGCGAGGATGACGCGTGGGGTGGGGTGAGGGTGGCCCCAAAGAGACCAGCGGCAGCAAGTTCCCCAAACGGTAAATTCCTGACTGCAGCGTGAGCCCTGGGACGCAGTCGAAGCAGAGCAAAGTCTCCCCCGCCAGCCCAGGGCGAGAGTCAGGGACGCGGCGTCGGGCGAGCTGCGCGGGCCCCGGGGGAGGCGCGACCCCGGAGGCACCTGTCCGGATCCCTCCCCGCCTTGCTCAGATCTCTGGTTCGCGGAGCTCCGAGGCGCGCTCGGCCCGAACCGCGCGACCCCCAAGTCGCCGCGCCCAGGACCCCAGCGCGCCCCCTGCCGCCGGTGCAGGGTGGCGCTCGATGGCACCGGCCCTCACCTGCCCAGGGACGGCTGGGACCGGCCCCGCGGCCGCTCGCCACCCCTCTGTCCCCAACGATACCTGCGCCCCCGATAGCCCGCACCTGAGTATGGGGCCTGACCGGGCCGGGTCGGGGTCGGGCCGGGGTGGGAGCCGGCGCGGACAGCGAACTGAGCTCGGCGTGGTCGGGCGGCGGCTGCTCCGGACTCTGGCCAAGGCAGCAACTCAGTAACCGAACAAAAGGCGAAGAGACCTGACAGCCAAGCCACGCCCCTCGCCACCTCGAAGCTCCGCCCCTGGGGGAGACGCCCACCCTCTGGTGCGAGCTCACTGGCTATCTCGCCTGACTGTCCCGTGGAGGGGCGGAGCCTCGCCTCCAGTCCTCTTCCACGGCCGCCTCTGTTTATCCGCTTGCCATTGGCCCCGGGGACTGCCAGTCGGCTCTAGGGATGGACTCTAACTTGAGGTCTCATCCTAACATTGCATCTATTGGCAGATAGAAAGTTACTTCCTCCTGATTGGACAAGGCTCTGTCAGTAAGACTAAGGAAAAAACCAATGGAAGGGATGGGGTGTGTCTTGCCCCACCCTTGCTCTGAGCAGGTGAGACTCATTACTCTCCCCTTCCCCCTACCTGTCCAACAGGTAAGTCATAGGGATACCAAGGGAAGGGACAGACGCCTTCACCGGCCAGCCAACTCAGCGTCAGGCATGATGCTTCTTTGGGCTTATTCATCCTTGCCCCAAAGTAGTAATCACATATTTGTATAGCATTTCATAGGCTTTGTGCTGGGGTGGGATTTTTTTCCCGAAAGATGGAGTACTCCTGGGATTTAGAATTAGAAGGCCAGGTTTGGTCTTCTCCCACTTGGTATGATTTTAGGCAAGTTACTTCACCCTGTTTCTCCTCTTCTGTAAACTGGATACATTAGCCATATCTACCTCACTGGAGTATGTGGGGATTAAATGAGGTCAGGTTTGTGAAAGCACTCAGAAACTGCTAAAGGTTAGAAATTTAAATTAACGGTATGTTTTTTTTTAATTATTGTGACAGCTCTGAAAAATAGTTAGGATGAGAAAACGACCCTCATTGTAAAGATGAAGAAACCGAAGTTCAGAGAAGTCACAAAACTACAAAGTGGCACACCCCAAGCTAGAACCTCCTTCCTCTCATTTGAAGGACCATCAAACCAGCTGTTCCCCTCATGGAAGAGGAGCATAGACATAAAATGTCAAGGCAATGGGGAAGGGGCAGAGAAAAGGCACAAACACTTGGAGGAGAGACAGAACAATTAATTGGCACAAAAATACAGTATTGGTGTCAGGAGGCTTTGGTGGGCTTGGAAACATCAAGCAGCAGATCTGAAGGAAATCCAGCCCTGGCATGAAAGAAACGGGGCAGGCCAGGCGCAGTGGCTCACTCCTGTAATCTCAGCATTTTGGGAGGCAAAGGCGGGTGGATCACCTGAGGTCGGGAGTTCAACACCAGCCTGGCCAATATGGTGAAGCCCCATCTCTACAAAAAATACAAAAAGTTAGCCGAGCGTGGTGGCGGGCAACTATAATCCCAGCTGCCTGGGAGACTGAGGCAGGAGAATTGCTTGAACCTGGGAGGCGGAGGTTGCAGTGAGCCGAGACCATGTCACTGCACTCCAGCCTGGGCATGACAGAGCGAGACTCCATCTCAAACAAAAAAAAAAAAAAGAAAAGAAAAAAATAAACCGGGCAGCACACCCCTCTGCGATAGGAGAGCCTGGGGTAGAGATCAGAGAGAACTTCTCGGCCAGGCGTGGTGGCTCATGCCTGTAATCCCAGCAATTTGGGAGGCCAAGGTGGGCAGATCACTTGAGGTCAGGAGTTCGAGACCAGCCTGGCCGACATGGTGAAACCCCATCTCTACTGAAAATACAGAAATTAGCCAGGCATGGCAGCGGGCACCTGTAATGCCAGCTACTCGGGAGGCTGAGGCAGGAGAATGGCGTGAACCCGGGAGGCAGAGGTTGCAGTGAGCTGAGATCATGCCATTGCACTCCAGCCTGGGTGACAGAGTGAGACTCTGTCTCAAAAAAATAAAAAGGACTTCTCACAGGCAGCTTAAGAAGACAAGGGCACTTCCTTTCTGTGGTTGATGACATGAATGCTGCTCGTGGCTGTATGGTGTGCCAAGGGCCCTACAAACATTCCTTCATTCAACACTTGAGTATTCATTGTCAACTGTATGTTAGGCACTGGTGAACACAGAAAATAAAACCTGGTGACACAGGAAATAAAAATGATCCCAACCTTCAAAGAGCTCATAGAAGGATAAGCAGAAGCAGCGTGTGTGGGTGGGTTTTGGAGGAGTGGTGGTTTAGAAAAGGGTCCCCCATCAACAAAGCTCTACAGCCCCAAAGCTAGCACACAGGATGGGCTGGATGAAGGTACCTTAGCAGCAACCTTGACCACTTTCCCCACCAGAGAAAAGAATGGTAGCTGAACATTCTCCCTTCTGAAGTTGCGCCATCCAAAAGCAGGGCCAGGGAGATACGGACATCCCTGAACTAGTGGCCATCCCATAACCAGGGCCACCGCCCTTTGCCTGTTTCCTCAACTCTCCATCCTCCAGCTTACCTCCCTATCTTTATCCCTGCCTTACCCCTGCCCCATCCACCTGCTTGTCACCCTGTCACATAGAGCTGTAGCCAGGCCACAGCTGGGGAAGGAATGGGCTCACAATCCTGGACTGCTGCAGCTGCCAGGGTTTCATTTCTTCCCCCTTCTGCCCACCTCCCACCTCCACACATGCACACACACATACGTCCCAGCTCCAAGCCTGGCCTGACTCCTTCCTATTTCTCCTGACCTCAGCAAAGAGGCAGGGTAGGGCTGGTTGACTGCAGAGAGGGGTGGAGGAGCCCATGTGGGTGGAGGAGCAGAAATAAGGTTTCAGAATAAACCGTGTGTGTGTGTGTGTGTGTGTGTGTGTGTGTGTGTCTCCCCAGAATGCCCCCTGCGTGTCTTAGCATGGAACATGTTGCATAACACCAGCCCCAGAGCTAAACACACAGGCTGGGACTGGTGGAAGCACCACCACAGCAGCGGCAAAGACTGGGATTAGAGCTGAGTCTCTCCTCCCAGATCAAGGGATTCTCTTTAAGCACCTACTATGTGCCTGGCAGGCACTGAGATTCATCTGTATCTGAGAATACAGAATAGAATCAGAAATGATGTTTCCTAGACTCAGCTGTCTGCACAGGCAATTTGGTCTCTTGTGAAAGGAGGTATGTAGGGATAGGATGGGGGTTTCTGTGACCACAGTCTCCCCTGTAGCTTGAACTTGAAGAAAAGGCCGCAAGGTCATCTTATCCAGTCCCCTGCCTGCAAACCTTTAAAGGCAAGAATTCTCTGACAAATGTCCAGGAAAGAAGATCCTGCAGCCTCCCTTATGGTGAATGCCCCTGTCTCCTTGTTCTAATGTCCAGCCTCAATTCCTATTCCTGCAGTTTCAATTCCTTCCTCTTGCCCAGGGCTCAGTGGAAGCAGAGTCCATGGGCTGCCAAAAACACATATGGGTAACTCAACCTTGCAGCTTGCTAGTGCTTCAGAGTAGAGAATATAAGGGTACCACATGGCCCATCTCAAGCTGCTGCAGAGACAGAAGTAACTGGCGCAGAGAGGTTCAGTGAGGGACTGGTGGGAGGGAGGCTCTTTTCTAGGGGAGGGTGCACACCATCAGCCAGTGTCCAGGACCACCAGGCCACCGTCCTCTCCTTATCTCACAACCCCCCTCATCTTCCACGAGGCCTCTGGGCCATACAAGGAGATGGAAGAGTTTCTGTTCTCCATTCAAACACAGTCCTTAGGGCCGGGCACAGTGGCTCATGCCTGTAATCCCAGCACTTTGGGAGGCCGAGGCGGGTGGATCATCCAAGGTCGGAAGTTCGAGACCAGCCTGACCAACACAGAGAAACCCCATCTCTACTAAAAATACAAAAAATTAGCTGGGCGTGGTGGCACACACCTGTAATCCCAGCTACTCAGGAGGCTGAGGCAGGAGAATCGCTTGAACCCGGGAGGCAGAGGTTGCAGTGAGCAGAAATCGTGCCATTGCACTCCAGCCTGGGCAACAAGTGCGAAACTCCAGCTCAAAAGTAAAAAAAAAGAAAAAAAACCCACAGTCCTTATTCTATGGGGGCCTTTTCCCCAGAGACAGGTAGAAATTTAGACGTACACAAGCCACACACACACACACACACACAACCTTCTATGCTCACACCTCAGGGATATACACTTGCGGGTGCAGATTCAGATACACAAACACCAGCTTTCTCTAATACACGCGCGCGCACACACACACACACACACACACACACACACACACACCCTTCTTCCTGCCTCTTCAGCCTCAGGTAGCCTAAGACATAACCACTTCTATAAAGGGGAGCCCAGGGTGACCAGCTGGGTTGCCAAACTTCAGGCTGATGATGGTACATTTTCATCACCCAGTAGCCTCTTCCCCGCGCTTTGCAGCAGCAGAAAAGGAAATCACACAACGGGAGGTTCTTCCCGGATGGCAGACTTGAAAGAAAGGCAATGCAGAAAGCTAGAGGCACCTTGGGTATGAGCCATCTCTCAGCCCAGGGACAAAGCCAGCCTTTTTTTTTTTTTTTTTTTTTTCTCAGAGACAGGGTCTCACTCTGCTGCCAGAACTGGAGTGCAGTGGCGAAATCACAGCTCACTGCAGCCTCAACCTCCTGGGCTCAAGGGATCCCCTAGCCTCAGCCTCCTGAGTAGCTGACCACAGCCGCTACCACACCCAGCTAATTTTTTTTCTTTTTTTTGGTAGAGATGAGGTCTCACCATGTTGCCCAGGTTGGTCTGGAGCTCCTGGCTTCAAGTGATCCTCCCACCTCAGCCTCCCAAAGTGTGGGGATTACAGGTGTGAGCCACCACACCTGGCCAGAGCCATCTTTACACCCAGTTTCTCTCCAGGTCCTGGCCTGTTTTTTGTTTTTTGTTTTTTGTTTTTGGAGTCTCACTCTGTCACCCAGGCTGGAGTGCAGTGGTGCGATCTCAGCTCACTGCAACCTCCGCCTCCCGGGTTCAAGTGATTCTTCTGCCTCAGCCTCCTGAGTAGCCGGGACTACAGGCACGTGCCACCATGCCTGGCTAATTTTTTGTTTTTTTTTTTCTCAGTAGAGACGGGGTTTCACAGTGTTAGCCAGGATGGTCTCGATCTCCTGACCTCGTCATCCGCCTGTCTCGGCCTCCCAAAGTGCTGGAATTACAGGCCTGAACCACCATGCCTGGCCGATCCTGGCCTTTAAAAGGCCTCCACTCTGGCCCTCCTGGGGTTGCCCCCTCCACACAGGGGCAAAGGGACAGAGGAGCCTACATGGACTTCACATTCCTTCTAGACCACACTCCAGGGACCAGCACCAGAAACTCTGGAATTCCTGCCCAACACTGACCCTACTTTCCAGGCCTGCAGGTCGCTGACTCTGGTCCTTCTCCCCAGGAGCAGCGGCACCAGTGCTACTGTGCATGGACACACTTGGGCCAAACTAGGGACATGACAAAGGGCAGTTATTGCTGGGGTGGGGAGATAGAGGCAGCATGGATGCGCGCTAGGAAATCTCCATGCAAGGGCTGGAGGACCTTGTGGCGCAGGCAGAGCCAGAGGTGCTAAGGAAAGGGAAATAGTCCAGGCCCTGGCTGGGGGCCAGGGAGGAGCCGTTCTCCATGGGGCTGCCATGCCCTGACACAGTGAGAACTTGGGACTCCATCATGGACTTTCAGGTCATCGCGGGGGTGCAACTGTCAAGGTATATCTGACCTAGCAGTTCAGGAGCATGCTCCATTTTTTGTTTTTTTGGGTTTTTGTTGAGACAGAGTCTTGCTCTGTTGCCCAGGCTGGAGTGCAGTGGTGCAATCTTGGCTCACTGCAACCTCCGCCTCCCAGGTTCAAGTGATTATCATGCCTCAGCCTCCCAAGTAGCTGGAATTACAGGCACGTGCCACCATGCCCGGCCAATTTTTGTATTTTTAGTAGAGATGGGGTTTCACCATGTTGGCCAGGCTGGTCTTGAACTCCTGACCCCAAGTGATCCACCCGCCTCGGCCTCCCAAAGTGCTGGGATTACAGGTGTGAGTCACCACAACTGGCCTGGGAGTGTGCTCTGTAACTTACCTAGATCTATGGCATGTAGGCCTCATTTGTGCTCTTGGCCCTGCCCACTGGCTTTGGGGGTGGGGGCTTACTCAGAAGGCCCCCTTCAGGGCTCGGGGAGGACACAGCTGCAGAAGAGCCTGCAGGCTCCCAAACTCTGCTGGCTGGAGTGGGCCCAAGCATGGCCAGAAGCTGGGAAGGGAGCAGGAGGCTGCAGGGCTCTGGAGGGAGGCTGTGGGGAGATGGACTCCTGCCTTTTTTCCTGCCTTGTGTCCAGGGGAGGGGCCTTGAGGCCAGAGGCTGCCCACAGCCTGGTCCTGTGGGCGTGTGTCTTTTAATTACAGATGTAGCTCCAGCGACACTTCACTGCAAGGCGTGTGGGTGGGGATGGAATGTCAGAAGGAAAACAGGAGACAAGAAAACAGAGATAGGACGGGCCAGAAATAGTACAGGCCAGGGTGAGATAGCAGCGGCCAGTGGTGGTGGAGGGAGAGGCTGGAGGAGGGTCTGTCGAAACCTCTCCAGAGAATGCCTGTCCCAGGCTGCCCCTCCTTATTCACCCCAAGCCCCGCAAGTTGAAACTCCAGGACCGGTGGCATCTAGATCGGGCTCCAGAGCTGGTTCACCAACTCCCTAAGCAACACCCTCCTCCTGAGTGGGGAGGGGTAGCCGAGCCTTTGCGACCTGAGTCACCCGCTTCCTGCTCCTGGTCTGGGCGACTCCATGCACAGGCTGACACAGCTGGGGCCCCACCTGCCCTGCCAGCCTGTCCCGCTCCTCCCTCTTTCCACAAGCCAGGAGAGATGCCTGCCCTGACAAGGCATGCTTCCCACGGAGAGGCCATCCCTCTCACGCGCACACACGGCTGGAGGCAGCCATTTCTCCCTGACCTGTGGAGAGCCTTGGGAAGAGGAAGAAGGCATAGTCTAAGCGGAGCCCCCTTTTCCCTGCATCTATGAAGAAACTGCGGCTGGAGCCAGGAGAGGGACTTCCCCAAGATCACACAAGAAAATTCCTGGCAGGGCTGGGACTTGAACCTTGGTCTTCTGCCAGCCAGTTCACCTCCCCCACCAATGTAGGTCTCTTTCCACCCCAAGGAAGGCAAAGACGGGCTGCAGTCAGGGAGGAGACGAGAACCAATTTTGCCAGCTTGATTTTGTCAGCTCAGAGGTGTGACCCCAGGAAAACCTTGGAGTTAGACAGCCAGGGCTGGGGGAGGGGGTGGCTCTGGGTGGTCCCAGACTCAGGCCTTACTTCCCCTAAGCCGACCAGCGGATGGCACCACCTAGAGCCTCTAGCCATCAATTATGCAAACAGACCCTTCCCCACCCCCGCCTCTCGCCCTCCGGCCCTCTCTGCTTCCCAGGTCTTTAAGCGCTGGACTCCACCTGGCTGAGAACTGGGACAGGACTCAGCGGCCCCTGGCCTTGTACTTTCATCCCATCTTTCCCAGTCCCATCCCACGGCCCCCAGGGAATTTGAGAGTTGAGATCCTTGAATATTTCATCAGCACTTCAGCCTCCAGTGGAAGCAGCAGCCAACTTACATCTCCTGGAGCATTTATGGCCCCAACAGAGAACCTGGAAGTAGCCAGGGGGAGGGGTGGGTGCATGGGGGAGGGTGAAGCTTGGGCCAGGCTGCCAATAAGGGTTGATGGAGAAGAAGGCTGCCGGGTCCAAAGTGTGTGTGAGCTGGGGGAAAGGGGCTCCAAAGCCGGGAACATTTCCGTGTTTGAGGATACAGATGTATTTTAAAATAAATAAACAAAATGGAGTTATCAAAACAATTATACGCAAGGTTAAAGTCATATGACAGGGTTTTCTGACTTCAGTCCTGCCCCTGTCTCGTGACTGGGTTTATAACCTCATCCGGAGATAAGGTAAAAAATTTTAATGGGAGCTTTTTTTTTTTTAGGGCTGTGAGGCCCTCAAATGACCCCCTACTGCCTGGGGCCAGGGAGGAAAGGCCAAATTCTCCAGCTACATTGGCTGAAACTTGCCCCTTCCCAGCCTCCTCCTCCAGGAAGGTCAGGAGGATTTAGCCCAGTAGTCAAGGAAAAATAAAGTAATTTGGCTTAGCTACCCCTTATTTTACCCCAGAAACACAATATCACACTTTTCTTCTGAAAAGAAAGGTGAAAAGGGTGACCTCAAATGGAAAATGTCAAGTTCTCTTGGCCTCTTCTTTGCACATGACCTCACTTAGTAAGTTCTTCTGGAGAGCGAAAGGATCAAGGCTGAGCGAGGTGGCTCACGCCTGTAATCCCAGCACTTTGTGAGGCCGAGGTGGGCAGATCACCTGAGGTAGAGAGCTCGAGACTAGCCTGACCAACATGGAGAAACCTTGTCTCTACTAAAAATACAAAATTAGCTGGGCTTGGTGGCGGGCACCTGTAATCCCAGCTACTCAGGAGGCTGAGGCAGGAGAATCGCTTGAACCCGAGAGGTGGAGGTTGTGGTGAGCCGAGATCGCGCCATTGCACTCCAGCCTGGGCAACAAGAGCGAAACTCTGTCTCCAAAAAAAAAAAAAAAAGAAAAGAAAAGAAAAAAGAAAGGATCAAGTGCAGATGCTCCTCAACTTCAGAGGGGGGTTATGTCCTCATAGACATTGTAAGTTGAAATGCAATATAGGGAGCCCCCATCTGTACAAAACGTTAAAAAATGAGCTGAGCATGGTGGCACATGCCTGTAGTCTCACCTGCTCAGAAGGTTCACTTGAGCCTGGAAGGTGGGGGTTGCAGTAATCCGAGATCATGCCACTGCACTCTAGCCTGGGCAACAGTTCGAAACCCTATCTCCAAAAAAAAAAAAAGAAGATTGTGAGAGGAGACAAGGGGAAAAAATTAAAATTAAAAATTAAAAAAAAAGAAGAAAATGTACTTAATACACCTAACCTACATCATGGCTTAGTTTAGCCTACCTCAGATGGGCTCAGAACACTTCAGCCTACAGTGGGGCAAAATCGCCTAACATGAAGCCTATTTTATGAGAACTTGTTGAATATTTTGGCCAGGCACGGTGGCTCATGCCTGTAATCCCAGCACTTTGGGAGCCCAAGGCAGGCGGATCAGTTGAGGTCAGGAATTCAAGACCAGCCTGGGCAACATGGTGAAACCCCGTCTCTACTAAAAATACAAAAAATTAGCCTGGCATGGTGGTGCGCGCCTGTAATCCCAGCTACTCAGGAGGCTGAGGCTGGAGAATTGCTTGAACCCGGGAGGCGGAGGTTGCAGTGAGCGGAGATTGCGCCACTGCACTCCAGCCTGGGCAACAACAGTGAGACTCTGTCTCAAAAAATAAAAAGAAGAACTTGGTGACTATCTCATGTAATATACTGAATACTATACTGAAAGTGAAAAAATAGCATGGTTGTTTGGGTGCTTGAAGTACAGTTGCTACTGAATGCTTATCACTTTTATACCATCCTAAAGTCAAAAAATCCTAAGTTGAATCATTGTAAGCTGGGGACTGTCTGTACAGTATATGCATGTGGAGGGAAGGGTAAACAACCTTATCCTCCAAGTTATCTGTTTCCCCACCTGAGTCACAGGCATGAGGTATTCCCATCCCAAGGGCTGTTTGCGGGACAGAAGAGATGCTATCCAGGAACGTTGGCGCCAGCTGGGACCCAGGCAGGCAGTGATTATGCAGTGGTGTGTCCATAGGTCAGACCTGGGGTTTGGGATGGGGCCGGTACCAGGGGGCTGTCCCCAGCCCTCAGCACACTCCCATCTAATTCCCAAGTCATCTTGGAACTTGTGAAGGGAGCTGGGCAGGGCTGCGCCAGCCTAGCTTAGAGTGAGCCTCAGCCCTGGGGGCCCAACCCAGACTCTCTGGGCCTCTGTTTCCCCATCCACAAAATGGAAGCCATCTATCTGCCAGGGTTGTCCTTAGAGACAAGATACAAGAGAAGGCCTGGAGCAAGGCCCCAGAATGGGGAAACTGTCTAAGAGTTGAGTCCTGTGGCTGCCAGGATCTCCCCAGTCATGTTGAGCTATTGGCTCTAGCAACAACTGGCCACAGCCTTCTGACAAGGGGAAGGGCCACTCTTTGTTCCCAAGGGAGTTTCTATTCTCCTAGAGACAGAGAACCAGGTTGAGACTTCAAGAACTACTTTTCTTTTTTCTTTTTCTTTGTTTCTTTTTTGTTTGTTTGTTTGTTTGTTTGTTTGTTTTTTGAGACGGAGTCTTGCTCTGTCACCCAGGCTAGAGTGCAGTGGCGCAATCTCCGCTCACTGCAAACTCCGCCTCCCGGGTTCAAGCAATTCTCCTGCCTCAACCTCCGGAGTAGCTGGAACTACAGGCACCCACCACTATGCCCGGCTAATTTTTTGTACTTTTAGTAGAGACGGGTTTCACCGTGTTAGCCAGGATGGTCTCGATCTCCTGACCTTGTGATCTGCCCGCCTCGGCCTCCCAAAGTGCTGGGATTACAAGCGAGAGCCATCGCGCCCGACCTTTTTTTTTTTTTTTTTTTTTTTTTTTATTGTGACAGAGTCTCGCAGTGGCACGATCCTGGCTCACTGCAACCTCCACTTCCCGGGTTCAAGCGATTCTCCTGCCTCAGCCTCCCAAGTAGCTGGGATTACAGGAGCCCACCACCACACCCAGCTAATTTTTTATATTTTGAGTAGAGACAGGGTTTCACCATGTTGAGCAGGCTGGTCTCAAACTCCTGACCTCAGGTGATCCACCTGCCTCAGCCTCCCAAAGTGCTGGAATTACAGACATGAGCTGCGCCTGGCAAGAACTACTTTTCAAATCTAAGAGTGGAATTTCTTCGGCTGGAATTTACTGAATTTGCGGGGAGCCCAAGGGACTCCCTCCCACCTCCCTGAACATGACTCTCAGGATTCAGGAAGTTGTTAGTCTAAGTGATCCCAGCAACTCTGTCCCCAGGCCCCCCTGCCTCCCTTCATTCATTTCTTCCTTCTGTCCTCCCTCCCTTCATTTCTTCTTTCTTTGCTCCCTTCCTCCTCCTTTCTTCCTTTCATTTTTTTCCTTCCCCCTCCCTTCCCACTCCTTGCCTCCTTCAGCGAGAGCTGAGCTATGGCATTGCAGGGGATTTTTTTTTTTTTTGGGGGTACTCACTCTGTCACCCAGGCTCCAGGCTGAAGTCCAGTGGCCTGATCTTGGCTCACTGCAACCTCCGCCTCCCAGGCTCAAGTGATCCTCCTACCTCAGCCTCCTGAGTAGCTGGGATTACAGGCATGTTCCACCACACCCAGCTAATTTTCTTTTTTTTTTTTCTTTTGAGACAGAGTTTTGCTCTCGTTGCCCAGGCCAGAGTGCAATGGTGCGATCTGGGCTCACTGCAACCTCTACCTCCCAGGTTCAAGAGATTTTCCTGCCTCAGCCTCCCAAGTAGCTGGGATTACAGGCATGTGCCACCACACCTGGCTAATTTTGTATTTTTAGTAGAGACGGGGTTTCACCATGTTGGCCAGGCTGGTCTCGAACTCCTAATCTCAGGTGATCTGCCCGCTTCGGCCTCCCAAAGTGTTGGGATTACAGGTGTGAACCACCATGCCTGGCCTAATTTTTGTATTTTTTGGTAGAGACAGGGTTTCACCATGTTGACCAGGCTGGTGTCGAAATCCTGGGCTCTACTGATCCACCCACCTTGCTTGGCCTCCTAAAGTGCAGGGATTACAGGTGTTAGCCACAGCGCATGGCCCTGTAGGGGATTTATCTCCACATCCTGCAGCGCACCCTCTCCTCTCCCTGTCCCCAGCTGACAGCCTAACAAAACCAGGCTGGCCAGGCAGGGTGGCTCACTCCTGTAATCCCAGCACTTTGGGAAGCTGAGGCAGGCGGATCGCGAGGTCAGTAGATCAAGACCATCCTGGCCAACATGGTGTGTCTCTACTAAAAATAAATTAGCCAGGCCTAGTGGCATGTGCCTGTAATCCTAGCTACTTGGGAGGCTGAGGCAGGAGAATCACTTGAACCAGGGAGTTGGAGGTTGCAGTGAGCCGAGATCACGCCACTGCACTCCAGCCTGGGCTGGAGTGAGACTACGTCTCAAAAATGAACAGACACACACCAGGCCAGCCCCTGCAACCAGGGCATTCTCTCTCTTCTCTGAGCAGCACTGATTTAGTTAGAAAAGATCCAAACCCAGCTCAGTCACCAACCACCTCAAGGAACCCTGGACAAACTGCTTCTCACTCCTCAGCCCCACCTGGAGCAGAGGGGAACTGACATGTACATCTCAGGACTGTTTTGAGGGTTATCAATAATTTGTCAAGAGGCCTGGTGGTGGCTCATTCCTATAATCCCAGCACTTTGGGAGGCCAAGGCAGGAGGATCACTTGAGCCCAGGAGTTTGAGACCAGCCTAGGCAACAGAGCAAGACCCTGTCTCTACCAAAAATCAAAAAAATTAGCTGGGTGTGCTGGCACGTGCCTGTGGTCACTGCTACTCCGGAGGCTGAGGTGGGAGTATGGCTTGAGCCTGGAAGGTGGAGGCTGCAGTGAGCCGTGATTGTCACTGCACTCCAGCCTGGGTGACAGAGCAAGATCCTGTCGCAAAAAATAAGCTCCCAAGTGCCTGGCACACAGCAGGCACTTAGGACATCATAGTAGCTCTGATTTCTTTAGGATGGGGTCTTCCCGCGGCATCTGAGTCTGGTCCTGCTGCATGAGGCCAGCCTCCCCAGAGCCCTTTCGGTCATCCCTAACCTCCTACCCATTATTCCAAGATTCTAGGACTGGTGAGGTGCTGGGTGGGGTGTGGGGGCGGGTGGGGAGGTGGCTACCTGAGACAGAGGTGTGGAGGAGGTGAAGCTGTCTGGATGGGTGGAGTCAGGAGAATGAGCTGGAGGGCCCCAGAGGGCCCACACTGGGACTGGCTGGGAGTAGGTTTCACCGGTTTGCAGAGCTGGCTGGGCAATGGGGAGATGCTGGCATCAGGGGAGGCGGGAGGGGCTGGCGGCTCCCTGGGAAAGGAGAGCTGAGTAACGCAAGGCTGAGCCAGTGGCCTGGGCTAAAGGGCTGCACAGGAATGGTGCCTAGAGAGGGTGGGCCTGCTCCCTAATACATACACTGCTTCACCACACACTCGGAGACGCCACTCTCAGATGCGCACTTGCACAGCTACCAACACACCTCAACTGCAACCCCTCAGCTCTCAGATCCTTTTCCCACCTCCATATATGCCATACCTATCTAATTCATACATTCTGACATTTATTGTTTTCTGCCTGCCTCCCTGCTGGAATGTAAGCCCATGTGGGTCCGGCGTTTGGCCTGATCTGTTCATTTTTCTATGCCCAGCACCTCAGCATGCCTGGCACATGGTAGGTGCTCAATAAATATGTGCTGATTGAGTGAATGAATCCCTCTAAAAACACATTTATTCCCAGTACTTTGGAAGGCCGAGGTGGGTGGATCACCTGAGGTCAGGAGTTTGAGACCAGCCTGGCCAACATAGTGAAACCCCGTCTCTACTAAAAATACAAAAACTAGCCAGGCGGGGTGGCTCACGCCTATAATCTCAGTACTTTGGGAGGCCAAGGCGAGTGGATTGCCTGAGGTCAGGAGTTCAAGACCAGCCTGGCCAACATGGCGAAACCCCATCTCTACTAAAAATATAAAAATTAGCCGGGCACAGTGGCGCATGCCTGTAATCCCAGCTATTTGGGAGGCTGAGGCAGGAGAATTGCTTGAATCTGGGAGGCGGAGGTTGCAGTGAGCGAGGATATGCCACTGCACTCCAGCCTGGGCAACAGAGTGAGACACTGTCTCAAAACAAAAACAAAACAAAACAGAACAAAAAAAAACCCCAAAAAATTAGCCAGGTGTGGTGGCAGGTGCCTGTAATCCCAGCTACTTGGGAGGCTGAGGCAGAAAACAGCTTGAACCCAGGAGGCAGAGGTTGTAGTGAGCTGAGATCACGCTACTGCACTCCAGCCTGGGCGACAGAGCAAGACTCTGTCTCAAAAAAAAAAAAAGAAAAGAAAAAAAAAAACCACATTCATGCATGCACGCAGGCAGGCACACATTCACACCCAGACCCGCACATTCACGCAACACACAAGCACACGGGCACTTTCAGACCCACACCCAGCCGTCCAGATTCCAAAGCTTGTGCTCATGGCAGGTTCACGTCTGCGCAGACACGCCACAGCACATCCCGCTCCCCACCCTCTGAAGGGCCAGCCCCTCCCAGAAACAGGGGCTGGGCCTTGGTGGACCTGACAACACTGCAGCTTGAAAGAGGTGGGGTGGGGCGGGGCCACCCTGCACCTGGAGGCGGTCAGGAAACGCTACCACTGCAGATGTGCTTCCCCGGAAGACCCACCTATGGGAGGAAGGAGTGAGGTCACTGAGCCCCCAGCCTTGACCCAGCCCTTTTTCCAGACTCAGACTCTGCCCTTTCAGCTCTCATCCCGATCAAAGGCCTAGGGGAGGGGCTTGGAGTGGGACAGGGAGTCCTCCTAGGAACAGAGGTGGACAGGGCCCAGGCCAGATCACCTGGCACATCTGGAGAGAAAGTAGGGGTGGGGCAGTGAGAACTTGGCTTCCCAGCCTTGACTCTACCTTCAAGTGGGAAGACAACTCTGCCGCCCTGCCCCCGGGAGGCTGGAAATATGGGGCAGAACTGTCACCTGGCTGGCCTTGGCCCTGGGTTCCTCCCAGACAGACCCCCTTTGCCCCCACCTCCCTGCTGTGGAATAGGGGTGGGGTTTGGCGGTGAGTCCCAGGCTAGGAGGTAGCCACCAGGCACCATCGTTGCCTGCACACCCTGCACACCGGGACCCACTGCCCCTGGGAGCCCATGTAAAATCGGTCAAGAGGGATCTGGCTGTCCCACTGCACCCCAAGAATCCCAAAGTAATCAAACCACATCCCTGGGGCTCCTCTGCCTGCTAAGCTGGGGCCCCAACCCGGCTCTGGAATGTGGGAATAGAGGGCAGCGGCAGGGCCAGCTCCCTCTGACTCTAAGGAAACTGGGTCAGTAAATGCCCACAAAGTAAACACTAGGAGCAAATGTCCTTGGCCCCCTCCCACACTTGCCACATTCCCCGAGGGAAGTGATCCTGAACTAGGAAAATACAGGACTTCCCATCTTAGAAATCTGAAACCATCGTCTTCCCGCCTGGGGAGGACTGTGTTCTCCCGCCCCCTGGTGGCAGATCTGCACACTGCGTCCTCTCTCACACATCCTTCAGCCCCAGGTGCAGAGGACCAGCCAGGGCCCAGATGGTGCCCCTCCGCCCCACATTTTACAGATGAGGGGACACAGGTGCGGAGAGAGGGAGGGAAGGACCTGTACCCTTACAACTGAGCTCCAGGGAGACGACCACGGGTACTATGACTCATTCAACAACAAACATTTATTGAGCACCTACTGGTCAGGGCCCTGGAACCACTAGACTCTTAGTCCAGTGCTCTTCAGGACCCTGGAGGACCCTCTGCAATTTGGCCTGAGACTCCAGCCAGCAGCTGGAAACTCCTTGTCCAGGAGACTGTCCAGGTGAGGAGCTCAGCAGTGAGGAGGGCGGACCCCATCAGCCCACTTGCCAACCTGCAATGCCACCACCATCCTGTGGTCCAGAGACATAGAAGTGGCAGGATGGGTCTGGGGTGCAGCACCCATGGGTGAGGCAGGATGGGGGTCCAGTCAGCTGTGTCCATCTTAAGTTTTTTTTTTTTTTTTTGAGATGGAGTCTCACTCTGTCGCCCAGGCTGGAGTGCAGTGGCACGATCTCGGCTCACTGCAAGCTCCGCCTCCTGGGTTCAGGCGATTCTCCTGCCTCAGCTACGATTACAGGTGTGTGCCACCATGCCTGGCTAATTTTTGTATTTTTTAGTAGAGATGGGGTTTCACCATGTTGGCCAGGCTGGTCTTGAACTCCTGACCTCAAGTGATCGGCCTCTCAGTGCTGGGATTACAGGCGTGAGCCACCGTGCCGGCCCGTCTTGTTTTTTTTTAAAGATGGAGTCTCGCTCTGTCGCCCAGGCTGGAGTGCGGTGGCGCAATCTCAGTTCACTGCAACCTTTGCCTCCCAGGTTCAAGCGATTCTCCTGCCTCAGCCTCTTGAGTAGCTGGGATTTCAGGCGCCTGCCACCACACCCGGCTAATTTATGTATTTTAGTAGAGACGGAGGTCTCATCATGTTGGCCAGGCTGGTCTTGAACTCCTGGCCTCAAGTGATCCACCCACCTTGGCCTCCCAAAATGCTGGGATTACAGGTGTGAGCCACCGCACCTGGCCCATCTTAAGTTTTTAATAAATAGTTCTTGCTGCTGCCCAGGCTGGTGAGGGTGGGGCCATCGGCACCAGGCTTCCCAAGCTTGAGCGGTGTGGGGTGTCCCCTTCTCATGCGAGTTCAGGCTCTGGCTCTGAAAAGGAAAGGAGAAAGCACTGGGGTTGCTCCCCCACCCACTCCCAATGGGTGTCCAGGTGCTGTCCTGATGGGAGGTGGGGTGAGGCTCCCCCGGACAGGTCTCAGCTGGTCCCAGCTCCAGGGGAGATGCTGCACCACCACCCCCAAGCGGGACAGGGGTTGCCAACAGGCTGGAGGCCCCTGGAGGATGGGCCCCAGCACCCACACACACCCTGGGCTCCGGAGCCCAGCGGGTGAATGCATCTGTCCCCAACCTCCATCCCAGGCTGCATCCCCACCCCCCAAGGACTCGTGTCACTGACCAGCCTCGGCCTCGTCACCCTTGGCATCCGGCTCCTGCCACCAGTCAGCATACATGCCCTCCTCGTAGTCACCCTCCCCCTCAAACTCGGCGTCAGATAGGGCATCCTCAGGCTCCAGGGGCGGTTCTGTCTCCTCCAGCTCCATCTAGAGTAGCGCCACGGTTGTGGGAGAAACCGGGTCACAGTACGCCCAAACCCATATGGGCTCCCTTCCTGGCCAATGGGACTTCCCATCCCATCTCTCGGTCCCCAAAGCCCCTCCCCCTCCCCAGTCTCAAGATCTAATGAGACAGTCCTGAGGATTTTTCCCAAACTGCCCCTCCCTGAGTGGCTGCATAGGGCACCACCAGCAGAATTTGGTGTCAGCATAAACATCGCCCCTGCACAGCCCCACCTTTTAAGCATAAAGACCCTGGCAAGAATATTGCTAGTCCATGCATAATATTTGCTCATACTGTTTCCCTGCCAGGAACTACTGCTGTCCCCTGTGCCTGCGTAGCCCGCACTAATCCCTCCAAAGCCAGGCATCAGTTCCAGGCTGAGCCCTTGCTGGTGACTCTGGCTGGGCTGGAGACCTCCCCTGGTGCCGTGTGCTGCCCTCTCCAGCAGCAGTTTGTGCTTCCCCCACTAGACTGTGAGCGGCACGTGAAAGGGACCATGACTTCCTTTTTTTTTTTTTTTTTTGAGACGGAGTCTGCTCTGTTGCCCAGGCTGGAGTGCAGTGGCATGATCTCGGCTCACTGCAAGCTCTGCCTCCTGGGTTCACGCCATTCTCCTGCCTCAGCCTCCCCAGCAGCTGGGAATATAGGCGCATGCCGCCACTCCTGGCTAATTTTTTGCATTTTTAGTAGAGACCGGGTTTCACCGTGTTAGCCAGGATGGTCTCAATCTTCTGACCTCGTGATCCGCCCGCCTTGGCCTCCCAAAGTGCTGGGATTACAGGTGTGAGCCACCGTGCCCCGCCAGGACCATGACTTTCACTAACTTACTCCAGCCCCTAGTCTGGTGTCTGGCAAACCACAGGAAATAAGAGACAGCCGTCAAAATGGCTGCCATACGCCAGGCGTGGTGGCTCACACCTGTAATCCCAGCACTTTGGGAGGCTGAGGTCGGTGGATCATTTGAGGTCAGGAGTTCAAGACCAGCCTGGTCAACATGGTGAAACCCCATGTCTCTACTAAAAATACAAAAATTAGCTGGGTATGGTGGCACACGCCTGTAATCCCAGCTACTCAGGAGGCTGAGGCAGGAGAATCGCTTGAACCTGGGAGGCGGAAGTTGCAATGAGCTGAGACTGCACCACTGCACTCCAGCCTGGATGACAGAGTGAGACTCGGCTGTCATTCACTGTGCACCTACCAGGTACTGGCTCTTTATCAAGTGCTTTACATACTTGATCTCAGCCAGGAGCGGTGGCTCACGCCTGTAAACCTAGCACTTTGGGAGGCCGAGGCAAGCGGACCACTTGAGGTCAGGAGTTTGAGACCAGCCTGGCCAACGTGGTGAAACCCTGTCTCTACTACAAATACAAAATAAAATTGGCTGGACATGGTGGCGCATGACTGTAATCCCAGCTACTCGGAGGCTGAGACAGGAGGATCTCTTCAACCCAAGAGGTGGAGGTTGCAGTGAGCAGAGATCGCACCACTGCACTCCAGCCTGGGTGACAGAGTGAGATTCTGTCTCCAAGAAAAAAAAAAGAAAAATGCATACTTGAGGCCGGGTGTGGTGGCTCACACCTGTAATCCCAGCACTCTGGGAGGCCGAGGTGGGTGGATCACAAGGTCAGGAGATCGAGACCATACGGGGTAACATAGTGAAACCCCATCTCTACTAAATATACAAAAAAAATTAGCCGGGCGTGGTGGCAGGCGCCTGTGGTCCCAGCTACTTGGGAGGCTGAGGTAGGAGAATGGCGTGAGAACCTGGGAGGCGGAGCTTGCAGTGAGCTGAGATCACGCCACTGCACTCCAGCATGGGCGACAGAGCGAGACTCTGTCTCAAAAACAAACAAACAAAAAAACATACTTGATCTCACTTAATTCTTTCTCTTTTTTCGAGACAGAGTCTCAATCTGTCACCCAGGCTGGAGTACAGTGGCGCGATCTCGGCTCACTGCAACCTCTGCCTCTGGTTCAAGCCATTCTCCTGCCTCAGCCTCCCCAGTAGCTGGGATTACAGGTGCCCACCACCACACCTGAGTAATTTTTGTATTTTTAATAGAGACAGGGTTTCACTATGTTGGCCAGGCTCGTCTTGAACTCCTGATCTCAGGTGATCCCTCTGCCTCGGCCTCCCAAATTGCTGGGATTACAGGCATGAGCTACCATACCCGGCCAGATCTTGTGTTATTCTCACCACAACAATGTGAGATGGGCATGATTCTCCCCATTCAATGGATGAAGAAACAGAAGCTTGAGAGGTTGCCTGACACTTGTTTGGAGGCCACCCAACTGGTAAGTAATGGAGCCAGGTCTGGCTAGTTCCTCATCCTGGGTGCTGACGGTGTAGATTCTGCCCTCCTCCTCTGGGGTTGGATGGGTGGGGGCGTGGGGGCATGAACAAAGGAGAGGATACATAAATGAGCACTGAGCAGCAACACCTCAGAGAAATTAAGGCTGTCAAACCCTCACTTGAAATCAATGTTAATAGGGCCGGGTGCGGCTGCTCACGCCTGTAATCCCAGCACTTTGGGAGACCGAGGCAGATAGATCATGAGGTCACGAGGTCGAGACCAGCCTGACCAACACGGTGAAACACTGTCTCTACTAAAAATACAAAAATTAGCCAGGCGTGGTGGTGCACGCCTGTAATCCCAGCTACTCCGGAGGCTGAGGCAGGAGCATCGTGTGAACCCGGGAGGCAGAGGTTTCAGTGAGCTGAGATGACACCACTGCACTCCAGCCTGGGCGGCAGAGCGAGACTCCATCTCAAAAAAAAAAAATAAATAAATAAATAAAATAAATCAATGTAATACAATACGGTCCTTCTGTCCTGAGGTCCTGCATTCATTCATTCACTGGTTCATTCAAACTCAGTTTCTGAGCCCAGGCTCTGTGCAGGATGTGGGAGAACAGGGAATAATGTGGCCCTGTGTCCTGCAGTGCGGTTCTCCTGGATACTGGCTGGAGAAGGGGCCCAGGGCTGAGATGGACGAGGGCTGCAATCACCCAGGTCCAGGCCACAGGTGGCCAGGGAGGCACACAGGTCAGAGTGGGCACTGCTAGCCCAGAACAAAGAGCCAGGGCATGCAGCAAGGGCTTCCTGGAGGAGGCACCATGTGAGCTGGGCCTGGGAGGAACAGGATTGAGACATGTACAAAAGGAGGACATGAGAATACTAAGGCTGGGGAAGGAACGGACAGTCTAGACAAGGAACAGGCAAACCTCTCTTCTTCACGACAGCTGACCACCAGGGGCTGGGGCTGAATTCTGGCACACTGGTGGCCCCAGGAAAAGGTCCAAGGTGTCCCCATCACAGCCCAATCCTGGAAAGCAGGAGGCACTCACCTCATCATCTGACTGCAGGTACATGTGGGTGAACTCCAGCAGCTCCCGCAGCTCGGCGGTCTGGTTGTGGTAGAGCATGGCCTCCTGGAAGGAGGGAAGGACGGGGTGGGGGGTGAGCCATACCCTGTTGCCAGATGGCAAGAAGCCAGGGCTCCTAGGATCTGGGCCCACTGGCCCTCTTCTAGCTCAAGGATCAGAGAATAGGTATCAGCTCACAAGCTCATCAGATCATCGTGGCTGCTTGGAACACTGGGTTAAGGATTCTGAGAGTTTGGTGACAAAGAGTCCCTCAATCGATTAGCAATGTCTGCCACTGACAAGGAAGGCAGGAGTGGCACCATGTGCCCCATATTTGCCAGCCTGGCCCTCAACTCCAACAGATTTCCTCCATTGGTTACCTAGGGTGTTCCTGGGAAAGAGGGACAAAGGTCAGCAGTGAGGGTAATGAAGGTAGGGAGGGGAGCAGGTAGGAGTGGATGTGTACCTTCATACCTCCCTCGTCTGGACACTGCTGGTGAGGTGGCAGTATCACTGCCATTTTGCAGGTGAGGCAATAGATTAGGAAAGGGCCATGGTCTTCCCAGGACCACACAGCAGTGGGGCTGGGCTCTGAAGCCAGGACTCTAACCTCAACTCATATTCTTTCTTTCCATTTCCCATCCTGCCTTCCATGGAAGCCAGGAGTTTATTTTTTATTATTTATTTATTTATTTTTCTTTTGAGACGGAGTCTCGCTCTGTCACCCAGACTGGAGTGCAGTGGCGCGATCTCCGCTCACTGCAAGCTCTGCCTCCCAGGTTCACGCCATTCTCCTGCCTCAGCTTCCCGAGTAGTTGGTACTACAGGCGTCCACCACCATGCCTGGCTAATTTTTTTTTCTTTTCAGTAGAGACGGGGTTTCACCGTGTTAGCCAGGATGGTCCTGATCTCCTGACCTCGTGATCCACCCGCCTCAGCCTCCCAAAGTGCTGGGATTACAGGCATGAGCCACCGCGCCCGGCCGCCAGGAGTTCATTTTTTACAAAGTGCATATCCAGCAAGTGCCCCAGAAAGCAGTGCCCACCTCCCGGGGCTGGAAGTCCTCCTCTTCCAGGCCCCAGCGAGCCCGGTGGAACCGGTAATACACCAGGTTCTGCTGCATGACGCTGTCCTTGGGGTCGAAGAGCATGTAGCTGGCGGCGCTGCGGGCAGCCTGGCGCACATCATTCACTGCAGCAGGACAGGGGTGAGGAATTGCTCTGGCACTTCCCCTTCAGAGTCAACTCCATCTTCCAGTTCAGTCCAGCACCCCTGCTACCCAGCCACCTCCCAGAATACCTAATGGGCTCCTTATCCCACCCAAGCATAATGCCAGCTAGCATGTAGTGGGCACTTACCCTATGCCAGGCCCTGACTAACTCATCTAAGCCTCACTGTTATTGTCTTTTTATTGTTTTTGAAACAGGGTCTCACTCTATCACCCTGGCTAGAGTGCAGTGGTGCAATTATGGTCACCTCAAGCTTGATCTCCCAGGCTTAGGTGATCCTCTCACCTCAGCCTCCTGAGTAGCTGGGATTACAAGCAGGCACCACCACACCCATCTAATTTTTTGTATGTTTTTGTTTGTTTTGAGACAGGGTCTTGTTCTGTCACCCAGGTTGGAGTGCAGTGGTGTGATCTCGGCTCACTACAGCCTCTGCCTCCTGGGCTCAAGCAATCCTCCCACCTCAGTCTCCCCAGTAGCTGGGACTACAGGCACGCGCCACCATGCCTGGCTAACTTTTTGTATTTTTTGTAGACACGGGGTCTTGTCATGTTGCCCAGGTTGGTCTCGAACTCCTGGGCTCAAGCCATCTGCCTGCCTGGGCCTCCCAAAGTGCTGGGATTACAAGTGTGAACCACTGTGCCCAGCCATGCCTACCTATTACTGTCATCCCCATTTTACAGTCAAGAAATCTGAGTCACAGAGAGGTTAGATAAATTGCTCAAGCTCACACAGCTGGAGAATGATGGCTCTAGTGAATTAGAGGCCCTTAGCCTCTCTGCTATGTGTACCCAGGAAGGGTCTCCTGGCCCCTGGGTTCTCAGCCCCTCTGCTCTGACTCCTGGCTCTGTCTGAATCTTGGCATCTCCGAGCTGCAGGAACACTGGAGGCTGTCCATTCCAGCCCCAGTGGATGCCAGGATCTCTCCAGTGAGGAGAGCCACAAGTCCTGGTGCCACTTTTTATTAGTCATAAGACCAACAGCCCCTTGCCCTATAAGCCTCAGTTTCCCCATCTGAAAAATCGGTCCAGTAATGCCAGCTGCATGGTGTTGGTGAAAGGACCACATAAGATAAAGTGACTTATAAACTCTCAAGTGTTGGCCGGTCATGGTGGCTCATGCCTATAATCCCAGCACTTTGGGAGGCTGAGGCAGTGGATCACCTGAGGTCAGGAGTTCAAGACCAGCCTGGCCAACATGGTGAAACCCCGTCTCTACTAAAAATACAAAAACTAGCTGGGTGTGGTGGCAGGCACCTATAATCCCAGCTACTCAGGAGGCTAAGAGAATCACTTGAATCCGGGAGGCAGCGGTTGCAGTGAGCCGAGATCGTGCCCCTGCACTCTAGCCTGGGCAAGAGTGAAACTCCGTTTCAAAAATAAAAATAAACTGTCAAGTGCTCTGCAGTTGTTGGTTGTCTAGTCATTTGCCCAAAAGACCCTCTTCTTCTCCCTGAGGCTGCTGTCTGTTCTCACTCAGAAGCCTCTCACCTGCCCCAGACTCCCAGGGTGCCTTCCCCATATTCCCACCACCCCTAGACTTTCCTCCTATCACCCAGGGTCCTCAATACTGAAGGAAAGCTCCCCACAACTCTGGGAGGCTCCCATACAGTCCTCTCCCTTATCACCTCGTCCCCTGCCCAAGCCAGCCCACCCAGGGGGCTCACACTTATAGTAGGCAAACTGCAGGTAGTGGTACATGGTGGCCACGAACTTGTCCACGAAGTAGCCACCCACATTGGGGGTCAAATTGGCCTCACAGTCCACCTTGCACTGCAGGGACTCTGCAAAGAGATCTGAGGGTGGGAGGCAGCAGTGAGAGGCTGGCATTGCAATGAACATCTCCGTCCCCCCAGTGGAGAAGACTCTAAATCCAATCTCTGCCTACTAAGCCAAGCTGCTTGTCCAGAAAATGTGTTGCTGTTGCAATCACAGGAGAGAATGTCTGTAAAGTGCTTGGCATACTATATGACAAGTGATGGTGAGGAAGATGACTGTGGGCTGGGCTGACTCACCACCCCTGCCACTCAACCACCACCCCAAGCCAGAGGGAGCCAGGGCATTCTGGGAGAGCAGCAGGTGAGGTCCAGAAATGGGGCAGAAGTCCAAACAGAGAAGCTAAAGGACAGTCTTTTTTTTTTTTTTTTTTTTTTGAGACAGAGTCTCGCCCTGTCGACCAGGCTGGAGTGCAGTGGCGCGATCTGGGCTCAATGCAACCTCCGCCTCCCAGGTTCAAGCGATTCTCCTGCCTCAGCCTCCCGAGTAGCTGGGATTACAGGTGCCCGCCACCACGACCAGCTAATTTTTGTACTTTCAGTAGAGACGGGGTTTCACCATGTTGGTCAGGCTGGTCTTGAACTCCTGACCTCGTGATCTGCCTGCCTCGGCCTCCCAGAGTGCTGAGATTACAGGTGTGAGCCACCACACCTGGCCAAGTACAGTCCTTTCTGCCCCTGCTCGAGGGACCCCAGGGTTAGAGATCCCAAGACTAGGTGTAATTTCTGGTTATCAACTGCTTTCTGCACACATCTGCTGGGTTACTTCTCACCGCTGCACCTTTGCATCTGCACTGCCCTCTGCCTGGAAGGCCTATGAACCCAAGCTTCCCAAACCCTTTAGGGATGTCACTGCCTCTACTCACTGATCCAGCCCCTTGGACACTCCCAGCTGGGGCCCCTGCACCCAGCGTCTTTCTCAACAGACAAGGCCTTCCTCCCGGCTGGCTCCTCCGCATTCGCAGTGCTCCACGTGCATGAAGGGGACATCTGCCTTACCGGGCCCTGTGGGTGAGAGGACCGCCCACCGTGGTCTGGGTGGCAGATACCTGCTATGGCCGGGTAGAAGTCCTTGAAGTCCACCTGCTCATGGGCCCCTTCACAGCCGGCCAGGCACCGGGCAAAGACTGCCAGGTACTCTGACAAGGCCCGCTCCATGTCCTCCGTGCTGCTGCGGAAATCCCCGCTGTTGTAGAGCTTCACAGCCCGGAGGAACACGGCCTGGAAGGGGCGTGGCAGGGGGAGTCAGGGCGCCCCCAACATCTCCCCTCCTCTACTAGCCCTCCTCTACAAGCCTCCTCCTGACCCTCCACCCCACCTCGTAGGGCTGGGCCTCTAGGTCCGTGAGGGACTCGTCGGCGACGTCCAGCATCCCCTGATAGTAGTTGAGATACTTGGCGGTCAGCTCGTGCTTCGGGTTCCTCTGGAGGAAGGTGTAGGCCGCCGCCACCGCCTTCTCCAGCCGGTTAGCCTGGTCGGGGGGTAGGGGGTGGGGGAGCGGGTCAGCAAGACCGGAGCTCGCGGCCCCGAGCGCACGGCGGGCTTCGTGCCTTGGGTGAAGATAACGCTCCTTCGACCGATCTGTGGGGAGCCACGACGCCCAGCCCGAGACAGGTCCCCGGGTGGGGGCGGGCTCCCACCTTGAACAGCGCGTAGTGCAGGTACTGGTAGGGCAGGCGGCTCTGGAAGTCACGCAGCAGCTGCCGCGGCGGGTAGGGCACCTGGAAGGCGGGCAGCGTCCGCTTGCAGCGCCGCAGGCAGGCGGCTCGCTCCAGGACGCGGCCGAAGAGCCGCAGCTCGCAGGCCCACTCGTCTGCGCGGCCGCCGTCGGGATCGGGCTTGGCCGCGGGCGCGGGGCCGCTGCAGTTGGCGTGGCAGAAGGCCTCGCTGTCGCGCAGGAGCCGGTGCAGCCGCAGCGCCGCCTCCAGGTAGCGCGCGCTCTCGCGCCAGCTCTCTCCCTCGTACTGCTCCAGAGCGTGCCCGTACGCCGCGGCCAGCGGCATCAGGTCCTCGGGCGGGAAGCCCCGGAAGCTGTACTTCTCGTACTGCGCCCCGGCGCTGCCCAGCAGCAACCACAGCAGCCCCCACGCCACCCGAGCCATGCCCGCCGCGCCGCCGGCTCTCCGGAGCTGAGCTGGCTGCCCCGCGGACGGAAGGGGACAGGGCCGGGCCCCGGGCGGGCGGCGCGCCCGCTGGGTCTTAGCGCCGGGCACGAGGCGGCAAGGTGGGGCGGGGCCTGGGTCACGACGTCTCCCCTCTTTTCCCAGAGGGTCCGATAGTGTCGTTAAGTCCTCTCCGTCGGCCCGGGCTCCTGCCTTGGGGGTGTCCCCTAGGTAGAGAATGCGTCGGGGAGCGCTTCCCGCCAGAGATGGGAAGCCCAGGAAGCCCCTCCCCATGCAAACAGTGCCCCCGCCTGAGATCAGGACACTGAGTGAGGGCCGCCTCCTCTGCGCTGCCCATACGAGAAGGAAGCCCTGGAGCCGGGCCTTCCGTCGCTGCGCCCTCCTGCACCCTCCGAGTGTCTCCCCCGCCCACGTCGGAGGCACACACCTGCTGTCACCTGCACACCTTGCGCTGCCACCACCCCCCACTCCATCTCCGTGCCCGTCACATCCCAAGTCACAAAGTCCTTCTTTCAGTCCAGCTTTTGCGGGACCAAGCTGCTCTTCCCTGGAGATGCCTTCCCTTGGAGTACAGCTGGGGTCACGGATGAGCACGGAGATGCCTCTCACACTCCGCGGCTTCACCACCCACCTGGAGGGGACTAGAATTCGAAGTGCCCGCGAAAGAAGCAAGGTTCATCTCCGCCCGGCTTTAGGACCCGGGGGCTCCGGAAAAAGTCATTGAACTTTTTTTTTTTTTTTTCCTTTGGTGTCCACTCAGAGTTCTCATCTTTCCCGAGCCTCTCTCCCTGGCCAGGCCCCAGGTCTCGCAGCCAGGGATGGAGATGGGGGGAGGGGGAACCTAGAGTTCTTTGTAGTGCCTCCCTCAGACTCTAACACACTCAGCCTGGCCCCCTCCTCCTATTGCAACCCCCTCCCCCGCTCCTCCCGGCCAGGCCAGCTCAGTCTTCCCAGCCCCCATTCCACGTGGACCAGCCAGGGCGGGGGTAGGGAAAGAGGACAGGAAGAGGGGGAGCCAGTTCTGGGAGGCGGGGGGAAGGAGGTTGGTGGCGACTCCCTCGCTCGCCCTCACTGCCGGCGGTCCCAACTCCAGGCACCATGTTCCCCGCGGGCCCCCCCAGCCACAGCCTCCTCCGGCTCCCCCTGCTGCAGTTGCTGCTACTGGTGGTGCAGGCCGTGGGGAGGGGGCTGGGCCGCGCCAGCCCGGCCGGGGGCCCCCTGGAAGATGTGGTCATCGAGAGGTACCACATCCCCAGGGCCTGTCCCCGGGAAGTGCAGATGGGGGATTTTGTGCGCTACCACTACAACGGCACTTTTGAAGATGGCAAGAAGTTTGATTCAAGGTAACCCCGGTTGGGCGCCCCCGGATTCACCACTCCGTCCCCTGAACCCGGGGTCCTGTTTCCTTGTTGCCTCTTTTAAGCTCTGCATCCCAATACTCTAACCCTAGACAGCACCCCTGGGGCCTCCCAGACACCCATCTCCCCAAAGATACCCTCCTGCCCCCACTTCCAAACCCTCACTTCTCAAAGGATCCCATTTCTTTCTCACAAGCTCTCCACATCCCGGAAAGGACTCGATAATCAAGGTGAACTGCCTTGTGTAGTTACCAGGGCTGTATGTAATGACCTGATGGAGAGGGGTGTTCTGATCTACAGTGTTGGGGGGAAGGGGGTGGTCCCTGCTGCTTAAGAACCCTGGGATGGTCTATCAGCCTGGACCCCGTACCTTTCCACCCACCCTGACTCCCCTTCTGGTTCCACTGTTTTCAGTGCCTTTGTGGTCAGAGAAGAGGGAATAGAACTTTTTTTTGGAGGGGGTGGGAGTTTTCAGCGGCTGGTGGGCAGGGAAAAAGGCTGGTGGGTATTATAAGAAGACAGCCGGCTGGACCTGGGGGTAGCGCGTGGCTCCCTGCGGAGGCCCTGTCTACGTGTCACACAGTCGGACATGCCACCCTGGGCTCCTTGGAGGAATTTCATTCCTCCCTCTCTGGTTCTCCTGGAACCCTCATCTCTCTCCATTTTAGGTACACCAGGCCAGAGGCACAGGCCGCCCATTTTTGCCAGCCTTGGGGTTTGTAAGGTGGCCTCCTGGTCTGACCCAGGCCTTTGGTCTGCCCCAGCAAGTCCACTTTTGTTAGCGGGGACAGGGCAGGGCTGTATGCCAGCCTCAGGGGTAAATCTAGGGTCCCAGTTACACACAGACCCCACAGCACACTGAAAGAAGTCAGTGTTTCTTAGACCCTCCTCTGAAACACACAACTCAGCCCACAGGAAATTAGTGGCCATGACTTTAGAGGCAGGCATATATTGGGGTAAGCCTACAAACTCCAAGAGTCCCAAGACCCTGGTTCAAATCCAGGCTATGACCATGGACAGAGAATTTTGTCTCTTTAGGCATCACTTTCCTTATCTGAAAAGTGGAGACAAAAACAGGACCTACTTGCTAAGGCTGATGTTAGGACTCCAAGGACATGGATGAATGAACGTAGGCTTCTCACAGGGCCTGGCAGTCCTCCAGCCAGTTCAGCACACATTAACATTGACCCTGAGGAAAACCATATGACCTGATGCTGTGGAACTTGTAGAAACTTAATGCAGAGCTTAAGCCTTCATAACAACACTGAGAAGGAAACAGTCCAGACTTAAAACCTGTCTGCTTGGTGGGCAAATTCAGATATAGGGTAGTAGCCAGAAGTGCAGCCCTGAGCCCTTGACTGCTAGGAGTGAGGCAGGGGTTGGGATTTAGGGGATGTCATCCCTGATGGGGACTCTGGGAGCCCAGCTCATGAGTGTTGAGCTTGGAAAACTTTTTGTTTTTTAGCTGGAGGCTCACTCTGTCGCCCAGGCTGGAGTGCAGTGGTGCCATCTCAGCTCACTGCAACCTCCTGGGTTCAAGCAATTCTCCTGCTTCAGCCTCCCAAGTAGCTGTGATTACAGGCGCATGCCACCACGCCCAGCTAATTTTTGTTTGTTTGTTTGTTTTTGTTTTTTGAGACACAGTCTCACACTGTTGCCTGGGCTGGAGTGCAATGGAGCAATCTCAACTCACTGCAACCTCCGCCTCTGCCTCCCAGGTTCACGTGATTCTCCTGCCTCAGCCTCCCGAGTAGCTGGGATTACAGGTGCACACCACCACACCCGGCTAATTTTTTTGTATTTTTAGTAGAGAGGGGTTTCACTATGTTGGCCAGACTGGTCTTGAAAAAGGCGGGTGGGTATTATAAGAAGACAGCCAGCTGGACCTGGGGGTAGGGCATGGCTCCCTGCGGAGGCCCTGTCTGTCTACGTGTCACACAGTCAGACATGCCACCCCAGCCTCGTGATCCGCCCACCTCGGCCTCCCAAAGTGCTGGGATTACAGGCGTAAGCCACGGCGCCCAGCCTTAATTTTTCATATTTTAGTAGAGATGGCGTTTCACCATGTTGCTCAGGCTGGTCACAAACTTCTGAGCTCAGGCAATCCACCCTCCTCAGCCTCCCAAAGTGCTAGAATTACAGGCGTGAGCCCCCGCGCCCACACAACTTAGAAAACTTTTTTTTTTTTTGAGACAGAGTCTTGCTCTGTCCCCCAGGCTGGAGTGCAGTAGCGCGATCTCTGCTCACTGCAAGCTCCGCCTCCTGGGTTCACACCATTCTCCTGCCTCAGCCTCCCGATTAGCTGGGACTACAGGCGCCTCCACAATTTTTTTTGTATTTTTAGTAGAGACGGGGTTTCACCATGTTAGCCAGGGTGGTCTCCATCTCCTGACCTCATGATCTGCCCGCCTCGGCCTCCCAAAGTGCTGGGATTACAGGCGTGAGCCACTGCGCTCGGCCAGAAAACTTTCTTAACCCATGGCCCCTTCAATTAAAAAAAAAAAAATCTCCCATCCTCACTTTACTTCTGAAAACTTAAAATAAATTAAAAGTGTATATAATTGGCTGGGCACAGTGGCTCACTCCTGTAATCCCAGCACTTTGGGAGGCCCAGGCAGGCAGATCACTTGAGGCCAAGAGTGACCAGCCTGGGCAACATGGCGAAAGCCCTCTCTACTAAAAATACAAAAATTAGCCAGATATGGTGGTGCATGCCTGTGATCCCAGCTGCTACTTCGGAGGCTGAGGCAGGAGAATCGCTTAAACCCGGGAGGTGGAGGTTGCAGTGAGCTGATTGCACCACTGCACTCCAGCCTGGGTGACAGAGCCGAGACTCCATCTCCAAAAATACATATGTATAAGTAAAAATAAATACATTAATTAAAAGTGTATAACTAAAAACAAACAAAAGCCATGGCACTTTTAGAATAGGCTTTTTTTTTTTTTTTTTTTTTTGAGAGGGAGTCTCACTCTGTCGCCAGGCTGGAGTCCAGTGGCACGATTTCGGCTCATTGCAACCTCCGCCTCCCGGGTTCACGCCATTCTCCTGCCTCAGCCTCCTGAGTAACTGGGACTACAGGCGCCCGCCACCACACCTGGCTAATGTTTTGTATTTTTAGTAAAGACGGGGTTTCACTGTGTTAGCCAGGATTGTAGAATAGGCCTTTTCAAAATGTGAAACCAGCTCCCACCCCACCTCTGCTCTCCCGTCTTTTCTTGGAGAGCCAATAGTATAATGGCAAATTTTAGAACTCAGCTGACTACATATTAGCTGTGTGACCTTGGGCAAGGCACTGAGTCTCTCAAGTCTCCATTGCTCTCATTAAGAAAAATGAGAACAAGAATGCCCACCTCACAGGGGAGACAAAGAAGATACGGAATGTAAAATGCCAAGCATTTAATCCCATATAGTAATGCTCCTCTGCCCCTCCGTGCTGTACGTACCACTCCCCACTTGCTGTCAGCAAATAGTAGCAGCCATCAGGCCCGGGCATCCCACCCAACCCCGTCCCAGGGCAATAGCAGCCCTTGTCCTCCTCAGGGACTTGCCTTTCACAACAGTCCGTTCTCTTAAGGTGGGCGTCACGGCCGACCTAGGAGGGGGACTTGAAAAGGAGGTGAGAAGTGTGTGTGCGTATCCACACCTGGCTATAGGGAGGGGGGATTGTGTGCGTGTGTGCAGGCACACCTGTGCATCTGTGCCACCATGGGCAGTGTGTGTGTGTCTGAGGTCACTGTATCCCATCTGTCCCTCCCCCCCCAGCTATGATCGCAACACCTTGGTGGCCATCGTGGTGGGTGTGGGGCGCCTCATCACTGGCATGGACCGAGGCCTCATGGGCATGTGTGTCAACGAGCGGCGACGCCTCATTGTGCCTCCCCACCTGGGCTATGGGAGCATCGGCCTGGGTGAGAAGGGCTGGGGCACAGGCCGGGGGTGGAGGAGACCACGAGGCAGAATCAGGGATCCTGGGGTGAGAAAACTGAAGTGCGGAGATGAGGAGTGACTTGCCCAATGTCACACTGTGCACGCAGTATGAAGAGTGGCAGCTCTGGCTGGGGCAGTAGCTGACATATATGGTCCCAGAGTTTTGGGAGGCCGAGGTGGGAGGATTGCTTGAACCCAGGAGTTCCAGACCAGCCTAGGCAACATAGTGAGACCTCGTCTCTACAAAAAATAAAATAAATTATCCAGGTGTGGTGGTGTGTGCCTGTAGTCCCAACTACTCAGAAGGCTCAGGTGGGAGGATTGCTTGACCCCGGGAGGCTGCAGTGAGCCATGATCATGCCACTGAATTCCACCCTGTGTGACAGAGCAAAACCCCTCTTTTTTTCTTTTTCTTTTTTTTTTTGAGACAGCATCTCACTCTGTTGCACAGGCTGGAGTTTAGTGGTGCGATCTCGGCTCACTGCAACCTCAGCCTCCTGGGCTCAAGCAGTCCTCCCTCTCAGCCTCCCAAATAGCTGGGACTACAGGTGCACACCACCACACGTGGCTAATTTTTTGTATTTTTAGTAGAGATGGGGTTTCGCCATGTTGCGCAGGCTGGTCTTGAACTCCTGGGCTCAAGCCATCCACCTGCCTTGGCCTCCCACAGTGCTGGGATAACAGGCATGAGCCACTGTGTCTGGCCCCCTATCTCTTAAAAAAAAAAAACAAAAATAGTGGCATCTCTGTCCCTGGTTTGGGTCTCTTGGTGCTGGGATGAGAGGAAGGGGAATAACAGGGCCCTGGCTGGGATCGTGGTTGGCAGAGCAGAACTCTGAGACCTCCACGCTGCTGCGCTCTCACAGCGGGGCTCATTCCACCGGATGCCACCCTCTACTTCGATGTGGTTCTGCTGGATGTGTGGAACAAGGAAGACACCGTGCAGGTGAGCACATTGCTGCGCCCGCCCCACTGCCCCCGCATGGTCCAGGACGGCGACTTTGTCCGCTACCACTACAATGGCACCCTGCTGGACGGCACCTCCTTCGACACCAGGTGAGGGGCTGGAGGGGAGCCCTGAGGCACTGGGGACTGTGGCATGGGGAGCGGGAATCCGGGGCCCAGCCTGCCTCTCCCACCTCCACCTCATTTTCTGCAGCTACAGTAAGGGCGGCACTTATGACACCTACGTCGGCTCTGGTTGGCTGATCAAGGGCATGGACCAGGGGCTGCTGGGCATGTGTCCTGGAGAGAGAAGGAAGATTATCATCCCTCCATTCCTGGCCTATGGCGAGAAAGGCTATGGTGAGGGTGGGCAAGGACACAAGGGGAAATTCCGCAGAAGAGGGAAAAACCAGGCCTCCACATACAGTTGCTCAGGTTGTATACTGCACGAGGGCATCCAACCAAGGACTCAAGGTGGGATGAAATCTACCCTTGGTGCTACTAAGAAGGGGTGCTTTGGCCGGGCGTGGTGGCTCACGCTTGTAATCCCAGCACTTTGGGAAGCCAAGGCGGGAGGATCACGAGGTCAGGAGATCGAGACCACGGTGAAACCCCGTCTCTACTAAAAATACAAAAAAATTAGCCGGGCGTGGTGGGGGCGCCTGTAGTCCCAGCTACTCGGAGAGGCTGAGGCAGGAAAATGACGTGAACCCGGGAGGCGGAGCTTGCAGTGAGCCGAGATCGCGCCACTGCACTCCAGCCTGGGTGACAGAGCGAGACTCTGTCTCAAAAAAAAAAAAAAAAAAAGAAGGGGTGCTTTATTCTGATTCACACGAAGGCTCAGTATGAGCCGGTGGTGGCCCTGGGGAAAACCCAGCTCAGGTCTTACTGGAGGAGCAAGAAGCAGGGCTGCTGATGGGCGGGAAAGGGCTCTGGAGAGTGGGGCTAGTGTCTTGCATGGTGCCCACTGGGCCTTCCTGAGTCAAGAAGGAGCCTCGGCTTGCTCCCCAATTTTATGGTTCAAGCCCTATCCCTTCCCCAGGGACAGTGATCCCCCCACAGGCCTCGCTGGTCTTTCACGTCCTCCTGATTGACGTGCACAACCCGAAGGACGCTGTCCAGCTAGAGACGCTGGAGCTCCCCCCCGGCTGTGTCCGCAGAGCCGGGGCCGGGGACTTCATGCGCTACCACTACAATGGCTCCTTGATGGACGGCACCCTCTTCGATTCCAGGTCAGGAGGGTCTTGAGGTGGGAGGGCGGGGGCTGGGTGAAACGTGGACGAAGCTGGGGGTCACTCTGAGCTGCCTGGAAGGGGAGGGCCCCTTTGACTCCCTTCCTGGCCCTCCCGCCTTGTATTGCAGCTACTCCCGCAACCACACCTACAATACCTATATCGGGCAGGGTTACATCATCCCCGGGATGGACCAGGGGCTGCAGGGTGCCTGCATGGGGGAACGCCGGAGAATTACCATCCCCCCGCACCTCGCCTATGGGGAGAATGGAACTGGTAGGGGCGTTCCCCAGCCACCACCTCAGCTCCTCCTCCGAACTGCCCATTGTGTCTAGGCCACCCCCTCCCACAGTGGGATTCCAGGCACCGCTCGGCCCCTCTCATCACAAAAACATGCATGCAGCTTACATCTGGTCACCCCATCTGATTCCTGCCACACAGACTCCATCGGTTTCCTCCAGGGCAGCGCCCCACTTCGCCCCTTCCGCAGTGGAGAAGGGCAGCCAAGTTTGGGGAGGGAGGGTGGTTATGGAAAAACAGAACCAGCATACCCCCAGGACCCAGCTGTGCTGGGAGCCTCAGTGTCCTCACCTGTCAAGTGGGCAAGCCATGCTGATCCGCAGGGTAAGTTACTGGGAGTTTGCAAGACGGTGAGTGGAAAAGGGCTTTCTTACTGGAAAGCTGCCTTCCCCTGCCCCCTGCCCCAGTGAAAGTTTGTTAGAATTGACTCTGGACAAACATCCCGTCCCATCCTCCTTTGGATCCTCAGGGTCGGGAAGGGGTATCAGGTCTGGGGACCTCCATGGAGAGACCTCAAGTAGCCTCTCCTAGTGCTCTGAGCTGACCACACTCCCCCATTCTGGCCTCAGGAGACAAGATCCCTGGCTCTGCCGTGCTAATCTTCAACGTCCATGTCATTGACTTCCACAACCCTGCGGATGTGGTGGAAATCAGGACACTGTCCCGGCCATCTGAGACCTGCAATGAGACCACCAAGCTTGGGGACTTTGTTCGATACCATTACAACTGTTCTTTGCTGGACGGCACCCAGCTGTTCACCTCGTGGGTCCGGGGGGGGGCCGGGACTGGGCAGGTGGGTGGGCACAGGCATGGGGAGTCCTCCTCAGTGCACCCCCGACGCCTGCTCCTCCCTCTTGGTCCTCGAGCGCCAGGGGAGCATTCAACCTCTTGCTGCTTTCTGTAAGTCCCCATCTCGGAGCATGTCGAGGAGATGAAATTCTCTGCTTCGCAGGGGAAGGGAAGGTGAAGCCAACAGTTGGGGGAGAACTGCTCTTTCTATTTCACAGAGGGGAAACTGACGCAGGGAGCCATGAGCCCTCGAGGCCACACTTTAGGGGGCAGAGGCAAGATGAGAAGGGAACCCCACGTCTGCACAGCTGGGCCCCTGCACTCTGCTGCGTGGCCCAAGTCACCAGTGGGAGTAACTCCGGAACTGAGGGCTTGTTCTGGGCCCACCTCAGAGGGAGAGGGGTGTGCGCTGGCAGGGGACAGGGTGGCTGCTGACCTGGGCATCTGCTCTCCCCCAGGCATGACTACGGGGCCCCCCAGGAGGCGACTCTCGGGGCCAACAAGGTGATCGAAGGCCTGGACACGGGCCTGCAGGGCATGTGTGTGGGAGAGAGGCGGCAGCTCATCGTGCCCCCGCACCTGGCCCACGGGGAGAGTGGAGGTGAGGGGCTGAGACCATAATCTTTTTTTTTTTTTTTTTTTTTTTTTTTTTGAGATGGAGTCTGACTCTGTCACCCAGGCTGGAGTGCAGTGGTGTGCTCTCAGCTCACTGCAACCTCCACTTCCCAGGTTCAAGTGATTCTCCTGCCTCAGCCTCCCGAGTAGCTGGGATTACAGGCACCTGCCACCGTGCCCAGCTAATTTTTGTATTTTTAGTAGAGACAGGGTTTTGCCATGTTGGTCAGGCTGGTCTTGAACTCCTGACCTCAGGTGATCCACCCGCCTTGGCCTCCCAAAGTGCTGGGATTATAATCATGAGCCACTGCGCTCGGCCCGAGACCGTAATCTGACTGGCATCTGTCCCTTTTGCTCCTGCCCACTGTGGGTCTGATGACTGGTGGGAGGAGTCAGGAATGCCTTCAGGATGGCTCCTTAAACATCCCATGCCCCACTCTCCAGCCCAGCCCCAGGAGGGGAAACTGGCCTGTGGGCTGGGAAACAGTGAAGCCAGGCCCAGACCCCGGCCTGACTAGGACCCCTCCCTTCTCTCCTGCCCTCCCTCCAGCCCGGGGAGTCCCAGGCAGTGCTGTGCTGCTGTTTGAGGTGGAGCTGGTGTCCCGGGAGGATGGGCTGCCCACAGGCTACCTGTTTGTGTGGCACAAGGACCCTCCTGCCAACCTGTTTGAAGACATGGACCTCAACAAGGATGGCGAGGTCCCTCCGGAGGAGGTGGGTGAAGGTTCAGTCCTAATAGCCATGCCCACGCAATCCCCGCACCCAGGAAGCATCGAGGAAGAAGACGTCCCCCGTCCGGACTGCCCACCCGCCCTGGTGCTCCTGCCTGCGCTGAGTCCCACGCCTCAGGCTCCTTGTCCCTGCTTTTTCCTGGGCACACATGCAGGCTGTTCCCTACCTGAGACCAGTCACAGACTATCCCCATGCCACGCCTCCACCCCAGCCCCCACCAGGACCCCAGCACCAGTGCCTTTCCCAGCCCTTCCTGAGTTACAGGGTGCGGGGGAGCCTGGGAAAAAAGAAGAAAAAGAAAGCACTCACTGGCCTCCACCCGGGGCCCCTGCCCCTCCCAAGGCCATGACCCTCACTGCCCGCTCCCCCGGCTCTCCCCTGCCCCAGTTCTCCACCTTCATCAAGGCTCAAGTGAGTGAGGGCAAAGGACGCCTCATGCCTGGGCAGGACCCTGAGAAAACCATAGGAGACATGTTCCAGAACCAGGACCGCAACCAGGACGGCAAGATCACAGTCGACGAGCTCAAGCTGAAGTCAGATGAGGACGAGGAGCGGGTCCACGAGGAGCTCTGAGGGGCAGGGAGCCTGGCCAGGCCTGAGACACAGAGGCCCACTGCGAGGGGGACAGTGGCGGTGGGACTGACCTGCTGACAGTCACCCTCCCTCTGCTGGGATGAGGTCCAGGAGCCAACTAAAACAATGGCAGAGGAGACATCTCTGGTGTTCCCACCACCCTAGATGAAAATCCACAGCACAGACCTCTACCGTGTTTCTCTTCCATCCCTAAACCACTTCCTTAAAATGTTTGGATTTGCAAAGCCAATTTGGGGCCTGTGGAGCCTGGGGTTGGATAGGGCCATGGCTGGTCCCCCACCATACCTCCCCTCCACATCACTGACACAGCTGAGCTTGTTATCCATCTCCCCAAACTTTCTCTTTCTTTGTACTTCTTGTCATCCCCACTCCCAGCCCCTTTTCCTCTATGTGACAGCTCCCTAGGACCCCTCTGCCTTCCTCCCCAATCCTGACTGGCTCCTAGGGAAGGGGAAGGCTCCTGGAGGGCAGCCCTACCTCTCCCATGCCCTTTGCCCTCCTCCCTCGCCTCCAGTGGAGGCTGAGCTGACCCTGGGCTGCTGGAGGCCAGACTGGGCTGTAGTTAGCTTTTCATCCCTAAAGAAGGCTCCTTTCCCTAAGGAACCATAGAAGAGAGGAAGAAAACAAAGGGCATGTGTGAGGGAAGCTGCTTGGGTGGGTGTTAGGGCTATGAAATCTTGGATTTGGGGCTGAGGGGTGGGAGGGAGGGCAGAGCTCTGCACACTCAAAGGCTAAACTGGTGTCAGTCCTTTTTTCCTTTGTTCCAAATAAAAGATTAAACCAATGGCCTTAGGGTGTCTTTTGGACCAGGTTGAGGGGCAGGGGGGAATGGCTAGGGGATGAAGTGGGGATTGTGGGAGGCCTTTAGACCCAGAGATTGGGGAAAAAGTTAAACCAGGCTGTTTCCATGGCCTCATTAGCTCCAGACAGCATGTCCCCAGGTCAGGGGCTCCCCATCTGGAGGTTTCCTGCCTGCCCTGGGCCTAACCTGGGGTCTTCGCTGTGGGAAGGGAGCCCTGCTCTGTGGAGGGGGTGAATGTGTAAAGAGGGGAGGCCTCCAGCAGGGTGTGGAGAGATGATCCTCATCCTCCAATTGTCCCCATTGAATGGGAAAGACAAGGTCCCTGACCTCAAACACAACCTACAAAGTTCAAGGATTAAACCACACAAGTCAGATTATCCTTTCCCATAGATCATTTCCAATACTATGATATTCCCATCTCTCCCTGCTCCTGGCCACCACCTGTTACCACCTGCCCACCCTTCTCCCTCTTGCTAGGGGAAAGGTAATGGAGTTCAGATCTCCACAGTGTCTTGCAGGAGGACTTCAGCCACCAACCAGGCCATCTGTCCTCGCTTGCCTGGTATGACCCGAGCATTGTGAGGACGGGGTGGTGACTTAGGAAAGAAAATGACAGGACTGGACTCATACAGCAAACTGCCCCCATCAGCACTTCTTGCCCAGGGTCCCCTAAGAGACGTGACTGCTCCCCACGGGCAATGACCGACATTCTCTGGCCCCGAAGCATCCAGAAAGCTCCCTGATTGAAGTCTTTTTTTTTTTTTTTTTGAGACAGGGTCTCGCTCTGTCACCACAGCGCAGTGGTATGATCTCAGCTCACTGCAACCTCCGCCTGCCAGGTTCAAGTGATTCTCCTGCTTCAGCCTCCTGAGTAGCTGGGATTACAGGCACGGGCCACCAAGCCCGGCTAATTTTTGTATTTTTAGTAGAGACAGGGTCTTACCATGTTGGCCACACTAGTCTCAAACTCTTGACCTCAAGTGATCTGCCACCCTGGCCTCCCAGAGTGCTGGGATTACAGGCGTGAGCCACTGCGCCGGCCAAGAAAGCTCCTTGATTAAAGTCTGGAAGTGGTTACTAACCCAGCCTCAGATGGTGGCCACTCCCTCCTCCCAAAAACGAATGGAACAGGCCTGAAGCAGAGAAATGCAGCAAAACGCATGGGCTTTGGTCAGAAACATTCAAATCCTGGCTCCAGCTCCTAGCTATGGAGTTTGGGCAAGTTACCCATCCTGCCTGAGCCATCTGGAAGCAGGAGGAGCTGCACCTACTTGTGGGGTCATTGTGAGGGTCAACTGGCAGGCACCCAAGTGCCCAGAGTGGCACCTGGGACACCGCAGGCCTTCAGTAACATCTGTATTACCTCCCGCTTCACATCTGCAGAATAACAGAACTTTCCAACGGCTAGCCGAACACTGCAGGAAGGGTGCTGGTGATTTCCTCTAAGGCTAAGAAAATGCTGAACTGGCTCTTCAGGGTCGGCCCAATAACGCAAGACCACAGTGCACACATCACTTGTTTCACCTTGGCACAGTCTCCCTCAGGTCCCTGCTCTAAATTCCCCTTTTCAGGTCATCCACTTTAGTGGCCCCGACCCATAAGAGGAGGGGAAAGGAGAGCCTAGGGCATAGGGGGACAGCCACACACGAATGCATCCCCTCAGGGATCCCTAAAGAGGGGGCTCTCAGACAGGGTTGCCTCAACCCCACCGATCCCAAATGAATTTCAAGTTTGATGGCTGAATCAGAATAAAGTCAAACCACTATAGGCTAGAACATACCCTTTCAGCCCCACGCTGAACCAGACAGACACAATCAGGCTGTGCTCGGATGGGGTCTCAGGCCAATTTGTGGTGGTTCTCAAACTGTGTTCCTAGAAGCATCCCATGTGCCCCCAGGGCCAAGAGGTCCAGGTTCTACCCCCACCCACATCCCCTGAATCAGAGCAGCTTTTTTTTCATTTTAAAAATTTTGATCTGTTTCACACATTATATTTGTTTGAACTTCCCATGTTTAAAAATTTTGAAGAAAATCCCTGGAGTAGACAATCCCTAGAGCACTGACATGCTGTGGTCCAAGGTTCACCAGGAACAGTGCCTGTGCCCTGCCACATGGCGGGGTTCCTTCAAGCCTCTGGTGATGAAGGTGCTCAGGGAAAGGAGGACGGAGGGGCGCGGAAGGACCCAGCCACTGCTGGCCACCCTGGCCTCTGCTCTGTGTTCACGGGGGAGCAGACTCTGGGGAGGCGCCCCTCCTCACCACGGCCTGCAGGCCGGGCTGGAGCCTGCGCCTTCAGGGGCCTTGCATCTCCAGCTGGACCCCCTGGCACAGGATGTGCTGCAGTAGCCCGTTGACCACATCCAGAGTCTCGTCCTTCTCCAGCACGATGTCATAGGAGTCCATGTAGCGCTCCCGCCGCTCCTCCACCTGCCCGGAATGAGAGGCAGAAGCCAGAGGGTCCCCAAATGCCCTGCCCTCCGTAGCTCACTCTCAAAGCCCCTGGGGCTGGGGAGGAGAGCATTCAAGCAGCAACTCCCAGCTCCCTTTTGAGAGCCAAAGGAGTTCAAGGTTACCGGGCCTACCCTTTGGAGACAGACGAGGGATGGGCATGGGCTACCACAATTAACCCTTGGGTCAATACAAAAGAACAGTAACAAGGAATAAAAACAAAAAACCAGATGTTGCCACTTTGGGAGGCTGAGGCAGAAGGATCATCTGAGCCCAAGAGTTTGAGACCAGCCCAGGCAACATGGCAAAAGCCCATCTCTACAAAAATTGGCCGGGCATGGGGGTGGGTGCCTGTAGTCCCAGCTACTCGGGAGACTGAGGCAGAAAGGATCACTTGAGCCCAGGAAATTAAGGCTACAGTGAGCCAAGACTGAGCCATGACACTCCAGCCTAGGTGACAGAGTGAGGCCCTGTCTCAAAAAAAAAAAAAAAAAAAAAAAAACAGATGTTGCCTCTAATCCATCTGGACTGAATTTCTTTCTTTCTTTCTTTCTTTCTTTTTTGAGATAGGATCTCACTCTGCTGCGTAGGCTGAAGTGCAGTGGCATAATCTTGGCTCACTGCAGCTTCAACCTCCTGGACTCAAGTGATCTTCCTGCCTCAGCCTCCTGAGTAACTAGAACTACAGGCATGCTAACCACACCCAGCTAATTGTTGTTGCTGTTGTTGAGACAGGGTCTCACTATGTTGCCCAGGCTGGTCTTAAACTCCTGGCCTCAAGTGATCCCCCTGCCCTGGCCTCCCAAAATAGGGGGGTTACAGGCATGAGCCACCGCACCTGACCACGACCCATTTTTTTTTTTGAGATGGAGCCTCGCTCTGTCACCCAGACTGGAGTGCAGTGGCGCAATCTCAGCTCACCCAGGAGATGGAGGTTGCAGGGAGCCGAGATCGTGCCACTGCACTCCACTAGGGGACAGAGTGAGATTCCATCTCAAAATAAATAAATAAAATAAAATAAATTTTATTTATTTTATTTAGGCTGGGCGTGGTGGATCATGCCTATAATCCCAGCACTTCGGGAGACTGAGGCAGGCAGATCACCTGAGGTCGGGAGTTCGAGACCAGCGTGACCAACGTGGAGAAACCCCGTCTCTACTAAAAATACAAAATGAACCAGGTGTGGTGGCACATGCCTGTAGTCCCAGCTACTCAGCTGCCTGAGGCAGAAGAATCACTTGAACCTGGGAGGTGGAAGTTGCAGTAAGCCAAGATGGCGCCACTGCACTGTAGCCTGCGGAACAGAGTGAGACTCTATCTCAAAAAAAAAAAAAAAAAGAAAAAAAAGCTGGGTGCAGTGGCTCATGCCTGTAATCCCAGCACTTTTGGAGGCCAAGGCAGGCGGATCACGAGGTCAGGAGATTGAGACCATCCTGGCTAACATGGTGAAACCCCGTCTCTACTAAAAATACAAAAAATCAGCCGGGAGTGGTGGCGGGTGCCTGTAGTCCCAGCTACTTGGGAGCCAGAGGCTCCCGTGAACCCAGGAGGCGGAGCTTGCAATGAGCTGAGATCATGCCACTGCACTCCAGCCTGGGCGACAGAGTGAGACCCCGTCTCAAAAAAAAATAAAATAAAATAAAATAAAAATAGAAATAAAAAAAGAGAATGTGTTCAAAGGCATTTGTTAATGGGCATTCAAAGAGAAGAAAGACATGAAGAGAAGCAGCCCTGGTCCTCTACCCACCTTGTCATTCAGGAAGCCAATTTTGAGAATGTTCTGCACACCAGGAACCCCATCGGCCATGGTGAGGTCCCCGATAGAGTCTCCCAGCAGGATGACATTGGTTTTGCCCTCAAGTTGCTGGAAGTAACCAGAGTTCTCACACGCAGAGCTGTTCTTGTTGTATGTGTGTATGAGCTGGCCCTTAAATCCCTGGAGAAAACCCTAAATAATGAAGACAAGAGACAGATGGAAGGGCTGCAGGGACCCATGTGGCACCAGCTCTCCACTGTCTCTGTCACAGAGAAAAGGGAATCCCAAAAGTGATAGATAATGCCAAAACTTCACTGTAGCCTAAACTACGGCCCATGGGCCAGACTTGGCCTGCTTTTGTAAATAAAGTTGTATTGGGATACAGCCAAACTCATTTGTTTACATGATGCCTATGGCTGCTTTTTTGTGCTATAAAGGCAAAGTTGGGCAGTTGCAACAGTGATGCCACAGCCCATAAAGCCTAAATATCGACGACAGGGCCTTTTACAGCATAAGTTTGTAACTCCTAGTTTAAATGAACAGGAGCCACCCAATATTGCAGATCATCTGTTCTGGTGGATGCACGAAGCTGTGATATAAATGCCACTCAGGTTACACATGTGCTAGTGCTCAGCTGCGGGCCACATCCTCACTGCAGGTCAACATGATGAAAATTCCAACCATCAGTTTTATGGGGAAAAAAGTCAGAACGTGGATGAGTTGGAGCAGCCCACCTCTGGCTTGGGAAAAACAAATCAAAGCCCAAGCCCTTTAGGACCCAGAATGGCACATAATAATATGACAGTGACATAGGGCAGGGCAGGCCCATAAATTAGGTACCCCAGGGCAGAGAGTTGACTGTCAGGCAAACACCAAAGAGAGAGGATCCTTTGAAAGTTTTTTTGTTTTTGTTTTTTTCTGAAGACAGAGTCTTACTCTGTCACCCAGGATGGAGTGCAGTGGTGTGATCTTGGCTCACTGCAACCTCTGCCTCCTGGGTTCAGGCAATTCTCCTGCCTCAGCCTCGAAGGAGCTGGGATTACAGCCACACACCACCACGCCCGGCTTATTTCTGTATTTTTAGTACAGATGGACTTTCACCATGTTGGCCAGGCTGGTCTCGAACTCCTGACCTCAAGTGATCCGCCCGCCTCGGCCTCCCAAAGTGCTAGGATTACAGGTCTGAGCCACCGCGCCTGGCCAAAAAGTAACCCATAAACAACTGCCTGAGGGTGAAGAAGCTAGAGTGGCTTCCCTCCCCTTCTTCCCCAGGTTAGGGTTCATGCAGAGTTAACTGCCCTGGCTGGTGGTCCCCACCCCTCGTCCTTTCCCAGCCCAAACAGGATTTGGCTCACATCTTCATTAAAATCCATGTAGTTAGACACGATGTGGATGTTGGGGTGGAACACTTTCATCTGTCGGATAATTTCTTCCAGGATATCACCAATGCCCGCAGAAAAGATGAAAAGGGGAATGTTGTTATGGTAGAGTGTGTTGAAGAAGGTCTTATATCCCTCCCTGAAAAGAGATGGAGGAATTCTGAAATGGCACTGCCTCTACTGCTGTTCTTTGTTTCCTATTTGGGTTGTTTTTTGGGTTTTTTGTGAGACAGGGTCTTGCTCTGTTGCCCAGGCTGGAGGGCAGTGGCACAATCACAGTTCACTGCGACCTCGACCTCCCGAGTTCAAGTGATCCACCCGCCTCAACCTCCCAAGTAGCTGAGACCACAGGTGCATGCCACCACACCTGGCTAATTTTTTTATGTTTTGTAAAGACGGGGTTTTCCTCTGTTGCCCAGGCTGGTCTTGAACTCCTATGCTCAAGCAACCCACCCACCCTGGCCTCCCAAAGTGCTGGGATTACAGGCATGAGGCGAGATCGCGCCACTGCACTCCAGCCCGGGCAAGAGAACAAGACTCCATCTCAAAAAATAAATAAATAAAATAGAGCATACGATATATTCAATAAGCGGTTAAAGTGTGCTAATCCTAAGTGCTCAGCTCAGTTAATTTTGACATATGTATACACCCATGTAACTAACTAGCTTGAGGCTCCCTCGTGATCTCTCCCAGTCAATATCATCCCTCCCATTGATTAGCTTTGCCTGTCCTTGAACTTCATATAAATAGACTCATACACAATGTACTCTTTTGTGCCTGGCTTATTTTGTTCAATATAATCCTATGTAGTTTATCTATATTTTGCATGTAATGAGTTTATCCTTTGTCACTGCAATGCAGCATTATTCCACCATATAAATATGCCACAATTTATCTACCCAGCTTCTCCTTGATAGACAGTTGAGAGATTTCCAGATTTCAGCTGTTATGGATACAGCTGCCATGAATACCCTGTGCATGTCTTATAGTGGCTACATGCCCTCATTCCTCTGGGGTACATACCTGGGAGAGATGCTGTTGTGGTGGAAGGTAGGCATATGTTTTCTGTTGCTGTCCATACAACCAGGAAGCTAACCTGGGCACCTTCACTAGGGTACAAACACTCCCACCCCGGCACTTACTGGGTCACACATCTCCACTGTCTTGACTTTTCAGGAGCTAGCCAATCTCCCCAATTAGGATGCACAACCCTTGAGGGCAGGCACCCATGTCACTCCTTCCTTTATGAGGATTTCTTTCCTCCAGAAAAGAAATCTCCAGCAGAGACAGCTGTTCAGTGAAGGCCGCCAACGATCAAGCGTCCCAGCCTAGCCAACTCCCAGTCACCATGAAGAACACCAGTCACCAGACAGACCCCAAAAGTCTTTTACCATTGTGAAAAATGAGCTAGACTTGGCCGGGCGCGGTGGCTCGCGCCTGTAATCCCAGCACTTTGGAAGGCCGAGGTGGGCGGATCACAAGGTCAAGAGATTGAGACCATCTGGCCAACATGGTGAAACCCTGTCTCTACTAAAAATACAAAAATTAGCCGGGTGTGGTGGCGGGCACCTGTAATCCCAGCTTACTCGGGAGGCTGAGGCAGGAGAATCGCTTGAACCCAGGAGGTGGAGGTTGCAGTGAGCTGAGATTGCGCCACTGCACTCCAGCCTGGCGACAGAGCGAGATTCTGTCTTGAGAAGAGAAGAGAAGAGAAGACAAGAGAAGGAGAGAGAAAGAAAGAAGAGCTAGACTTGGTTTCTTCTCAGAGATAGTGCCCTGGCCATTTTGTACTACATCCACTACCTGCTGAATGTTTCCTAGCAAGGGTAAGAAATGCTTTAGCTGTATCACATCAGTTGTTCATAGTGCCATGTCCCTTCCGGTCCTTTAAGCAACTAACTGCTCTCTACTCTTCCCCCGCCTCCTTTTTTTGAACAAAACATTCTAAATAGTCTGATAGAAATGTTTTCCAGAGCAAGACGCTTACCTGAGCATTGCATTGGACTCTCTAACCACCTGGGCTATCTGAAACTTCTGAATCTTCTGCTGACATAGGAGATTGTGTGCTTTGGTCCACCTAGAAACAGACACCCCAGAAAACCCCAAATTCAAATCACTGAAGTAAATAACTCACCCTTTCCCTTTACAGAGCCAAGTACCCTCTGACAGCATTGCCGACAGAGGCCTCATCCTTACGTTAGCTGCCCTTAAAAGGAAGAGGGTGGCCGGGCACAGTGGTTCATGCCTATAATCCCAGCACTTTGGGAGGTCAAGGCGGGTGGATCACCTGAGATCGGGAGTTTGAGACCAGCCTGGCCAGCATGGTGAAACCCTGTCTCCGCTAAAAATACAAAAATTAGCTGGGCATGGTGGTGCACGCCTGTAGTCCCAGCTACTTGGGAGGCTGAGGCTGGAGAATCACTTGAACCCAGGAGGGGGAGGTTGCAGTGAGCCAAGATCGGGGCCACTGCACTCCAGCCTGGGTGACAGAGTGAGACTCCATCTCAAAAAAAAAAAAAAAAAAAGGAAGAGGATGAGAAAAGCAACCCAACAGAGACAAGTGCTGGGCAAGCTGACTGCTGAAGTCGGCACTCTTCTGAATCCCTTCCTCCGTGAACCCTCTATCTGGAGAACTGGGGCTCTGTCCAGTGATGATGATTGCTGTGGTTTGAATGTGTTGGAAACTTGATCCCCAGTGTGGAGGTGTTGAGAGATGGGGCCTAATGGGAGGTGTCATGGCGGCACCATCCTCATGAATGGATTAATGTCATTATCACAGATCCCTTATAAAAAGAACTCTCTTTCTCTTTCTCTCTCCCCTACTCTCTTTGCCCTTCCACAATGAGATAATGCAGCAAGAAGGCCCTCGCCAAATGCCAGCCAGTCCTTTGATATTGGACTTCCCTGCTTCCAGAACTGTGTGCCAATAAATTGCTATTCATTATAAATTACCCAGTCTAGGCTGGGTGCAGTGGCTCATGCCTGTAACCCCAAGACTTTGGGAGGCCGAAGTGGGAGGATTGCTTGAGCTCAGGAGTTGAAAATAGCCTGGGTAACATGGTGAGACCCCATCTCTACAAAAAATAGAAAAAATGAGCCAGGCACAGTGGCACGTGCCCGTAGTACCAGCTACTTGGGAAGCTGAGGTGGGAGAATCTCTTCAGCCCAGGCAGTTGAGGCTGCAGGGAGCCACGATCATGCCATTGGACTCCAGCCTGGGCAACAGAGCAAGACTCTGTCTCAAAAAATAGAAAAAATATATAATTCACCTAGTCTGTTATTCTGTGACAGCAGCACAAAACAGACTAAAAGTCACTTCCACAAAGCACTTATCCCCCAACACCAAGCGTCTTTAACTTATTCCAAGGATTCTCTGAGGGTCTCCACTCTAGCAGCAGCCACAAAAAGCCCTGGGTTCATCTGAAAAGTTGGTTCCAATAGCTGGACTAATAGTATTAAATTAAGCCCTCAGTGAAGTAAGGGAGCCTGTCATCTCATCAAGGGTCTGGAAAAATATGCCCCTCCCAGCCTACTCCATCTCAAGGGCCCAGAAGCTTTTCTCCACCACCATCACTCACCATTCCACCATATGAGGTAGCTTCTCCTTGACGGTCCGGTGTGGGTCGATCTCAATTGGGTAATAGTGGTGAAGGAGCGCTGTGAGCTGGGATATCCAAATGGGGAGAAAGGCCATTAGTCCATATCAAGTTCTTCCCAGCAACGTCCTACAGCTTAGTATGAGAAAAAAGTCACCTAGAAGAGGCAACTTCATGGCCAGGGGCGGTGGCTCACACCTGCAATCCCAGTGCTTTAGGAGGCTGAGGCAGGTGGATCACTTGAGGTCAGGAGTTCGAGTCCAGCCTGGCCAACATGGCGAAACCCTGTCTCTACTAAAAAATACAAAAATTAGCCGGTGTAGTGGCATGCGCCTTTAATCCCAGCTACTCAGGAGGCTGAAAAATGAGAATCGTTTGAACCCAGGAGGCGGAGGTTGCAGTGAGCCAAGACGAGATCACACCACTGCACTCCAGCCTGGGCCACAGAGTAAAACTGTGTCTCAAATAAAAAGAAGATGCAACTTCATCTAAGAGAGTGTTACATGAAATTTTCTTCAAGTTTTCCTTTGGGGACATGTCATTTATAAGACCTAAGTTTCTCTTCTCATATTATCTTCCAACATAATCGCTCAATACACTCACATTTTTACCCATTTGGTGAAGTCCAGGGAGCACCTGGATCCACAGAGCTGGTCATTCCTTTGTACTCACCCTGAGAGTGAGGTCTAAAAGTCAGCAATATGAGATTTTACTATCAGAGAAGAAGGGTACTAAGATTTTTTTGCTGTTATTAATTAGCTCAATTTTCAGGGCTTAACCAGTAAGAACTTACTTAATGCTGTGTTTCCCAGAATGTGGTCCACTTTCTCAGGTGATAGGTAAGAAAACTTTAGGGAATTCATGGAGAAGCGCTTTTCAACTCAGAAGTTTTGGATTCATTTTCATGTACAATTTTTTTTTTTTTTGAGACAAGTCTCACTCTGTTGCCCAGGCTGGAGTGCAGTGGCGCAATCTCGGCTCACTGCAACCTCCGCCTCCCGGGTTCGAGCAATTCTTCTGCCTCAGCCTCCCGAGTAGCTGGGATTACAGGCAGGCACCACTACGCCCAGCTAATTTTTTGTATTTTTAGTAGAGACAGGGTTTTGCCATGTTGTCCAGGCTGGTCTCGATCTCCTGACCTCAACCGATCTGCCCGCCTCAGCCTCCCAGAAATGCTGGGATTACAGGCGTGAACCACCACACCCGGCCTGTTTCTTTATAAGTTAATTACAATTTTTAAAAGCAGGCCAATTTAGAGAAAGATTTAGTAAAGGTGATATACAGATATGGCAAAAAAAATGAAATATAACTAGAAGACTGTACTTTGGGACACAGCATGTTGGTGGACAATTCCGTCAAAAGTGTCAATATCATGTGAATGCACAGCATCTATGTGTGTTTCCTCTAAGGTTTCCTTCTATGTGCCAAGACTTTGACACTCTAAAGGGGCTGTTCCAGGGATCATGTGTTACACAGAGCCAGTCCGTAACAGTGCCTAGTAAAAATGAGAATTGACCAAGTAAAGAATTTTAATACATGCATGATTCTCAGGAACATTACAAGATCAAATGGAATCCCTGTCCATCTGTTCAAAAGAAGATTAAATGAAAGATGACATAGTAACAAAGGCAGAAAACTTCTGAAATGTATTAAGATTCTCAATCTGTGTGTTTTTTTGGAGTGAGAACCTTTCTCTAAAAATCAGGCTGGGCAAGATGGCTCATGCCTGTAATCTCAGCACTTTGGGAGGCCAAGGCGGGCGGATCACCTGAGGTTGGGAGTTCGAGATCAGCCTGACCAACATGGAGAAACCTCGTCTCTACTAAAAATACAAAAATTAGCCGGGCATGGTGATGCATGCTGGTAATCCCAGCTACTCGAGAGGCTGAGGCATGAGAATTGCTTGAACCGAGGTTGCAGTGAGCTGAGATTATGCCACTCCAGCCTGGGCCATAGAGCAAGACTCTGTCTCAAAAAAAAAAATACACACACACACACACACACACACACACACACTAGAACCCAACAGAAGAATATAAATTTTCTTTTAAAAAGGCCAGGTGTGGTAGCTCATGCCTATAAGCCCAGCACTTTGGGGAGGCTGAGGAAGGAGGATTGCTTGAGCTCAGGAGTTCAAGACCAACCTAGGCAACATAGTGAGACCCCATCTCTACAAAAAATTTTTAAAATTAGCTAGGTGTAATGTTACATGCTTGTAGTTCCAGCTACTCAGTAGGGCTGAGGCAGGAGGATCACTTGAGCCTAGGAGGTCAAGGCTGCAGTGAACAAAGATCAAGCCATTGCACTCCAGCCTGGGTGATAGAGTGAGACCCTGTCTCAAAACAAACAAACAAACAAGCTCTGCCATTTGGCTGTATGACCCTGGGTAAGTTGCTGAACCTCCAGAATGTTCAAATCTCTTGTAAACTCTATAGCCAACAGTAAATATAATGTCCAGTTCCAACCATTAATCATCATATGTCCTGGCCAGTAAGGAAAAGCTGTCTTAATGTATTAAAACTAGACCCTCCTTAGCAAAACAACAAGTTTTTAAAAATTAATTTTCTAAGGTCTCTATACTGGAATCTTTGGTTCCAATCAGGAACCATTTGAAGTAGCAAATGACAACCATTTCTGAGCAAAGGACGGGAGCAACCCACCTCTTTCCGACACTCCTCACTGATGATCTTGCTATTATCCAGAATATCTGGAAAAAGAGAAAACTCCTTTTACTTGTCCCTTAGAACCCATCGTCTTGTCAAGCTCAACAAGGGAAGCTAGAATGTGACTTACTGTAAGAAGAAGGGCATCGCTTTCCATTATATGCAAACCTGCTCAAGGTCATGTCAAAATCAGAAATCACCTATAAGGCAAAAGAGAGATGATGCCTAAATAGGCACCAGAATTCTAGTGTGGCCCTGCCTCAGCCTGGGGGATGATTATGGAAATCAATACAGCTCAGTGGCCAGGATGTAGGCAAAGCCCTAGGGGAGTTACCGAGTGACACAGAGGGATAGAGGGGAAGTGATCCTAATTAGTACCCGTTAACCCTGAGGAAAACGCAGTCTCCTAGTGTGGGGGCAAGGGTGAATACTCAGGACCCCTCTGACTCCTTCAATATCAGGTCCCTCCTAAGAGATCTCTACCATTACGGCCCATCTGGACATCTTCAACTTACTGGGGAGCCGCTGGCTTGGGGAGGATAAGGCCCTAGGTACTGGTGTGGGCGCCTTCTGTCCAATTAGAGGAAGCAGCATGACCATATTGAGAAATCTGAAATTTGGGTTTTAGGACAGGCGAACCAACCCGCTCTCCTTCAAGCTCCCGGCCATTTCTTGGGGCAGAGAGCTAGGAGGGGTCCGCGGCAGAGCAAAGCGGGAAGGCCCAATGGGCAGGAAGCCTCTCCAGCCGCCCCCAGCCCGGCCGGCCCCCGCACGCCCCAGAGGTACCTGTAACCGGTCTCCGCCGCCCTTGCGGAGGGCGCCCACGATCTCCTGCACCCGCCCAGGCTGCCGCATCAGGACCGTGGCCTTCATCAGGGTGCTCACCTGTCCCGAGACCCGAGAGAACCACTGACCCCTGCGCCACGCTGGGCCCGAGGGGAGCCCGGGGCTCGCTCGGGCGCGCGTGTGAGGCGGGGCCGGGGTGCGCGAGGGGGCGGCTACTGGCCTGGGTGAAGCGGCGGTGCCTCGGTGACCAGCTGGGGGGCTCGAAGCGCCCCGGGGGTCGGAGTCCGGGCCCGCCCCACTCCGGACGCTTCCTCCCTCCTCACCTCCTCTGCCATCCCGTTCGAGGCCTGGTCGGCGGCTCGCGGGACAACGACAGCCCCGCGACCGCACTGCGCAGGCGTCGCCTCCCGCCTGGAGCCCGGGCGGGGGTTGGTGGGGCCGGGGGCGGGGCGGGGGTGGGGCCGAGAATCGAGCGGTCCCGGAGATGGCCGCGATCCGGGTGGGCTTGCCGGTTGCGCTAGGCAAACTGGAGGAGGGTTCTATTTATTATGAAGAGCAGGGTGAAGGTCCCAAGGTGTTGGGGTTACGTGGGTAGGTAGGGTTCTGCCACTCTTTGTGGAGGAAAAGCCTTGCCAAACGTGGTCATTTCCAGGCTGAAAGTTTGTGACAAAAACATGACTGGGGCTGGGCGCGGTGGCCCATACCTGTAATCCCAGGACTTTGGGAGGCCGAGGCAGGATGATCGCTTGAGCCGAAGAGTTCGAGACCAGCCTGGGCAATATGACGAAACCCTGTCTCTACAAAAAATACAAAAATTAGCCGGGCATGGTGACACGCACCTGTTGTAGTCCCAGCTACTCGGGAGGCTGAGGCACGAGGATCACTTGAGCCCGGGAGATCCAGGCTCCAGTAGGCCGAGATCATACCACTGCACTCCACCCTGGGTGACAGATGACACCCTGTCTCAGAAACAAAAACAGAAAAACCACACGGCTGGATGGGAGGAGAGATGAAGGAGCCATAAACTGAATTCTGTTAATCACCCAGAAAGGGCTCTGTTAACTAGGCCATTCCTCATTCCAGAAGAAACTGAGTGACTAACCCATCCAGCGGGCTGGGAGACCCGGGACAGCTTTCTGAAATGTAATCAGCGTTGGCTGGGCACGGTGCGGAGCACTTGTAATCCCAGCTATTCAGGAGGCTGAGGTGGGAGGATCACTTAAGCCCAGGAGGTCGAGGCTGTAGTGAGTTATGATCACACCACTGCACTCCAGCCTGGGTGAGAGAGCGAGACCCGTCCCTAGAAAAAGAAAGATTTTTTTTTTGAGATGGAGTCTCACTCTGTCGCCAGGCTGGAGTGCAGTGGAGCGATCTCGGCTCACTACAACCTCCATCTCCTGGGTTGAAGCGATTCTCCTGCCTCAGCCTCCCAAGTAGCTGGGACTACAGGCATGTGCCACCACGCCCAGCTAATTTTTGTATTTTTAGTAGAGACGAGGTTTCACCATGTTGGCCAGGATGGCCTTGATCTCTTGACCTTGTGATCCATCCACCTCGTGCTGGGATTACAGGTGTGAGCCACTGCGCCCGGCCTAAGAAAGAAATTTAATCAGTTTTACTTCTCCCTTCAGCCTCAATTGACTTGGATTTCCTTGAGTTCGGTGTCTAGGGAGCCAAGTGTTGGGCTGTGGAAGGTAGATGAATGCTCCAGGGATAGAGACCTGTATCAGGTGAGTAACAGGAGCTGGAATCAATAAACACTCAGATGGTGCTAGTGGTCATGGTTCTGTTTTGGGTTCAAGGACACAGAAGGAGGTGTGAGGTGGTTTTCAGCCTAAGTGGGGTGGTAAGGAGGGGAGAAGGAAGAGGACAAGTCCAGGAGGCAGTTCCAGAACCTGAGAGCACAATCCTGTGTGATCTCACTGCAGGGCCAGGATTCTGGAACTTGGGTTGCCTGATAGACCCTATACAAAAGATGTAGTAGGGAAAAGGAGCGACAGCTGGCTAAAGGGGCCCCCCACAACCCTCCCCGACACCCTAGGAAAGCAGCCTCTCTCCGCTGTCCCAGGGTGCCATGGAGATGGAGAGCGCGGCGGCCTCCACACGTTTCCACCAGCCTCACATGGAGAGGAAGATGAGTGCGATGGCCTGTGAGATCTTCAACGAGCTTAGACTAGAGGGCAAGCTCTGCGACGTGGTCATCAAGGTCAATGGCTTTGAGTTCAGTGCCCATAAGAACATCCTCTGTAGCTGCAGTTCCTACTTTAGGTATAACAGGGTTGCCAAATTCAGCCAAAGGGGTAATTGGGCTCATTTTGAGACACTTTGATCCATTTTCTGTTTCCCACCCCATCACCTTAACTTTAGGGACACTGTCAAAGCTCTGGGCTCCTTAAAAATTAAAAAAAAATTTTTTTTTTAGAGATAAGCTCTCATTCTTTCACCCAGGCTGGAGTGTAGTGATGCAATCATAGCTCACTGCAGCCTTCAACTGCTGGGCTCAAACAATCCACCTACTCCAGCCTCCCAAGTAGCTAGGTCTACAGGCACATGCTGCTACGTCCGGCTACTTTTGAAATGTTCTGTAGAGAGGGAGTCTCGCTATGTTGCCCAGGCTGGTCTTGAACTCCTGGCCCAAAGCGATCCTCCTGCCTCAGTCTCCCAAAGTGCTGGGATTACCACTGTGCCTGGCCAACTCTGGTCCAGGCAGGAGCTCCTGCCTGGCTCCTTTGCCTTCTGAAGAGGCATGACTAGGGTCAGGGCCTTTTTTCTCTCTTTTTTTTTTTTGTTTGTTTTGTTTTTTTTTTTCCTTTTGCTCTTGAGAGATCTGATTTTTGTCTTTTTTTTTTGAGATGAGTCTCATTCTGTTACCCAGGCTGGAGTGCAATGGCGCCATCTCGGCTCACTGCAAACTCCGCCTCCCCAGTTCAATCCATTCTCCCACCTCAGCCTCTCAAGTAGCTGGGATTACAGGCGCCTGACACCACGCCCGGCTAATTTTTGTATTTTTAGTAGAGACAGGGTTTTGCCATGTCGCTCAGGCTGGTCTCAAACTCCTGACCTCAGGTGATCTGCCCGTCTTGACCTCCCAAAGTGCTAGGATTACAGGCATTAGCCACCGCGCCTGGCAAGATACAATTTTTCTTTTTTTAAGATGGAGTCTCGCTTTGTCCCCCAGGCTGGAATGCAGTGGCGTGATCTCGGCTCACTGCAACCGCTGCCTCCCAGGCTCAAGCGATTCTTCTGTCTCAGCCTCCCGAGTAGCTGGAATTACAGGCTCCCGCCACCATGCCCAGCTAATTTTTGTGTTTTTAGTAGAGACGGGGTTTCACCATGTTGGTCAGTCTGGTCTCGAACACCTGACTTCGTGATCCACCCACCTTGGTCTCCCAAAGTGCTGGGATTACAGGCATGAGCCACTGCACCCAGCCTTTAAGGTCTGATTTTTCAACTGGATTTCAACCAACTATTGGTGGGCCAGGTGCTTTAATCTTTGATTCTCACCCAAACCAACCTTTGGGAAGGTTGGACATCCCTACTGGATTTCAGATGACAATGCCACTTCAGGGACCCCCCTGTACCCCTATCCCAATAGAGACCATTTCAAACAGGGTGATAAATTAACAAGGATTAAGGGGATGGGAAGGGAGATGAGGGGGAAATACCCAGGAAATATCAGAAGAAAAAGGGAGTTTGGGCTAAAACCATTGTAACCCAGGAGGTAGAAGGGCTATTTTGTTCATGAGCTGAAAATGTTTGAGTAATCAATTCCAATGAAGATATGATCAATGTGTCCTACCTGTTGCTAAAACTTCTCATTCAGGTAGACCACAGAGCAGAGTCCACAATTTATTTTTTATTTTTATTTTTTTGAGATGGAGTCTTGCTCTGTCACCCAGGCTGGAGTGCAGTGGCACAATCTCAGCTCACTGCAACCTCCACCTCTCAGGTTCAAGCGATTCTCCTGCCTCAGCCTCCCGAATATCTGGGATTACAGCTGTGTGCCACCACATCTGGCTAATTTTTCTTTTTTTTTTTGAAATGGAGTTTTGTTCTTGTCACCCAGGCTGGAATGCAATGGCATGATCTCTGCTCACTGCAACCTCTGCCTCCCAAGTTCAAGCAATTCTCCTGCCTCAGCCTCCCGAGTAGCTGGGGTTACAGGTTTCACTATGTTGGCCAGGCTGGTCTTGAACTCCTGACTTCAGGTGATCCGCCTGCCTCAGCCTCCCAGAGTGCTGGGATTACAGGCGTGAGCCAACGCGCTCAGCTGAGTCCAGAAATAGACCAAATAGTAATTGTTTTAGGTTTTTGCAGGCCACACAGTCTGTTGCAACTACTCTGTTTTTATACTGCAAAAGCAGCCTTAGACAATACTAAATGAATGGGTGTGGCTGTATTCCAATAAGATTATTTATGGACACTGAAATTTAAATGTATTATAATTTTCAGGTGTCACAGAATATTCTTTTGATTTTTTCCCCCAACCAGCGGGGCGCAGTGGCTCACGCCTGGAATCCCAATAATTTGGGAGGCTGAGGTGGGTGGATCATGAGATCAGGAATTCAAGACCAGCCTGGCCAAGATGGTGAAATCCCATTTCTACTAAAAATACAAAAAACCGGGCATAAATACAAAAAGCCGGGCATGGTGGTGGGCACCTATAATCCCAGCTACTCGGGAGGCTGAGGCAGAGAATTGCTTGAACCTGGGAGGCAGAGGTTGCACTGAGCCAAGATCAAGCCACTGCACTCCAGCCTGGGTGACAGAGCGAGACTCCATCTCAAAAAAAAAAAAAAGATTTTTTCCTCCAGCCATTTAAAATGTAAAAATCATTCTTAATTTGTGGGCAGCATGAAAACAAGAGGTGGGCCAAATTTGGACAGAGTCCATAGGTTTGCAGACCCCTGCTCTAGAGGAAGAATTTGATTTCTAAGACCACATTTCCTTAAACTTCTTAAAAAAAGGAAGCAAAAGCCGGGCATGGTGGCTCACCCGTGTAATCCCAGCACTTTGGGAGGCCGAGGCAGGCAGATCACCTGAGGTCAGGAGTGCGAGACAAGCCTGACCAATATGATGAAACCAGCCTGGCCAACATGGTGAAATCGCATCTCTACTAAAAAATACAAAAATCAGTTGAGCGTGGTGGCACACACCTATAATCCCAGCTACTCAAGAGGCTGAGGCAGGAAAATTGCTTGCACTCTGGAGTTGGAGGTTGCAGTGAGCCAAGATCATGCCATTGCACTCTACCCTGGGTGACAGAGCAAGACCCTGTTTCCAAAAAAAAAAAGAAAAAAAGAAAAGAAAACAATTAATAAAAAGAGAAGCATTCCTGTTCTCATGAAGTTTACCCCCTGGATGGGGAAACAGGCATTAAATGAGTAAAATGCATATCAAATCATCATAAATGCCTGGGAAAATAAGAAAAGGAAGATAAAAAGCAGTGAGTGGCCATTTTATTTTTATTTTTTCAGACAGAGTCTCGCTGTGTCCCCCAGGCTGGAGTGTAGTGTCATGATCTTGGCTCACTGCAACCTCCGCCTCCCAGGTTTAAGCGATTCTCCTGCCTCAGCCTCCCAAGTAGCTGGGACTACAGGCATGTGCCACCATGCCCAGCTAATTTTTGTATTTTTAGTAGAGACGGGGTTTCACCACGTTGGCCAGGCTGGTCTTGAACTCCTGACCTCATGATCCACCCGCTTCGGCCTCCCAAAGTGCTGAGATTATAGGCGTGAGCCACCACGCCTGGCCCAAGAGACCTGGGTCTTACTCTCAGTTCTAGATCTTAATTTCTCCATCCACAAGGTAAGAGTGACCAAAGTCAGAGTTCTTGGAAAGGTGTTCTTCTTGTCCACTGTATATAGCACATGCCTGCACCCCACTTTCTCAGACCATTTCCAATGTACTCACCTAACAGGAGAGAAATGTTTCCGTGGCTGCTAGTTTCTTTCTTTTTTCCAGAGCTTTGTTTACAAGTGGCTGGAACAACACTGAAAAGAAGGTATACAACATCCCTGGCATTTCTCCCGACATGATGAAGCTAATCATTGAGTATGCATACACCCGGACCGTGCCTATCACACCGGACAATGTGGAGAAACTGCTTGCTGCTGCAGACCAGTTTAACATCATGGGTATCGTCAGGGGTTGCTGCGAGTTCCTCAAGTCAGAGCTGTGCTTGGATAATTGTATCGGCATCTGTAAGTTCACGGACTACTACTACTGTCCTGAGCTGAGGCAGAAGGCCTACATGTTCATACTGCACAACTTTGAGGAGATGGTGAAAGTCTCGGCAGAATTTTTAGAGCTCTCGGTCACTGAACTTAAGGATATCATTGAGAAAGATGAGCTCAATGTCAAACAGGAAGATGCTGTATTTGAGGCCATTTTAAAGTGGATTTCTCATGACCCCCAAAATAGAAAGCAGCACATTTCAATTTTGCTTCCTAAGGTCAGTGTTCACTCTTGATTCATTTATCACAGAGAGATTGTCCTAAAAGCAAAATTCAGACATATGACAGATCCCAAGGCTGTATTTACATGTCCTTAGATAGAAGGCATCTACTATTCTCTGGAATTTTGCAACTGTCTTTTCCCTTGGCATTACTAGTTCTTTTTACCTAAGTTATATTCTTTGACCAAAATCCTTCCTGGTGGTGGGGGAAGAAGAGAGCCTTCAAAATAATTCTAGGTGGGGTGTGGTGGCTCACTTTGGGAGGCCGAGGTGGAGAATCACTTGAGCCCAGAGTTTGCCAGCCTGGGCAACATAGGTTATAAAATTTAAAAAGTATAAAATTTGGCCAGGTGCAGTGGCTCAAGCCTGTAATCCCAGCACTTTGGCCAAGATGGGCGGATTACCTGAGGTCAGGAGTTCGAGACCAGCCTGGCCAACATGGTGAAACCCCATCTCTGCTAAAATACAAAAATTAGCTGGGCATGGTGGTGGGTGCCTGTAATCCAAGCTACTCAAGAGGCTGAGGCAGGAGAATCGCTTGAACCTAGGAGGCGGAGGTTGCAGTGAGCTGAGATCATGCCACTGCACTCAAGCCTGGGTGACAGAACAAGACTCCATCTCAAAAAAAAAAAGAAAAAAAAATTATAAAATTTAAAAATTAACCAGGCTTGGTGGTGCATGCCTGCAGTTCCAGCTACTGGGTGGAAGGCTGAAATGGGAGGACTGCTTGAGCCTGGGAGGTCAAGGCTGCAGTGTGCTGTGATCACCTCACTGCAGTCCAGCCTGGGCAATACAGCGAGACCCTGTCTCAAAAAAAAAAAAAAAATTCTAAAGGGCTGAAATTCCTTTCAGCTTTTTTCCTTTCTATGAATTTCTCCATACCCAAGGTAGAAGTTGAATTAGAAATCATGGCTGGCACAGTGGCTCATGTCTTTAATCCTAGCACTTTGGGAGGCGGAGGCAGGTGGATCACCTGAGGTCAGGAGTTCGAGACCAGCCTGGCCAACATAGCAGAACACTCTCTACCGAAAATACAAAAATTAGCTAGGTATGGTGGTGCATGCCTGTAATCCCAGCTACTCGGGAATCTGAGGCAGGAGAATAACTTGAACTCAGGAGGCGGAGGCTGCAGTGAGCCCAGATCGCACCATTGCACTCCAGCTGGGCGACAGAGAGAGACTTGGTCTCAAATTAACAAAAAAAAAAAAAAAAATCTTAAGTATTGCACACAATTGTTGTCAGTTGGTGCTAATAAGCGTTATTTTACATATTAAGACATACTCAATTACTGAACAATTACCATGGTTTTTCTTGGTCTAATAGTACTGACCACTAACCAAGGAATGGGATTGCTCTCTGGCCACTTGAGGTGCCTTCTATCTAGCTCATTCTCAGCTTCCAAATGTATATATCACCTCCCCATAAATAAATAGTAAATAAATATTTATTATTTATTTATTTATTTTGAGAAGGAGTCTCACTGTTGCCCAGGCTGGAGTGCAGTGATGCGATCGCGGCTCACTGCAACCTCTGCCTCCCAGGTTCACGCCATTCTCCTGCCTCAGGCTCCCCAGTAGCTGGGACTACAGGCACCCGCCACCACGCCCAGCTAACTTTTTGTATTTTTAGTAGAGACGGGGTTTCACCGTGTTAGCCAGGATGGTCTTGATCTCCTGACCTCGTGATCCGCCTGCCTCGGCCTCCCAAAGTGCTGGGATTACAGGTGTGAGCTAGCGCCCGGCTGACAACTATTTATTTATTTTGAGACAAGTCTCACTCTGTCACCCAGGCTGGAGTGCTGTGGTGTGATCACAGCTCACTGCAACCTCCACCTCCTGGGTTCAAGCAATTCTCACACCTTAGCCTCCAGAGTAGCTGGGACTACAGGCACGCGGCACCATGCCTGGCTAATTTTTTTTTTTTCTTTTTTTTTGAGTTGGAGTCTAGCTCTGTTGCCCAGGCTGGAGTGTGGTAGCACGATCTCGGCTCACTGCAACCTCCACCTCCCCAGTTCAAGCGAGTCTCCTGCCTCAGCCTCCTGAGTAGCTGGGATTATAGGCACCTGCCACCACGCCCAGCTAATTTTTGTATTTTTAGTAGAGATGGGGGTTTCACCACGTTGACCAGGCTGGTGTCAAATGCCTGACCTCAAGTGATCTGCCCACCTCGGCCTCCCAAAATGTTGGGATTGCAGGCGTGAGCCACTGCACTCAGCCTGGTTTTTGTATTTTTTTTTTTTTTTTTTTTTTTTGAGACGGAGTCTTGCTCTGTGGCCCAGGCTGGAGTGCAGTAGGGTGATCTCGGCTCACTGCAACCTCTGCCTCCCTGGCTCAAGCGATTCTCTTGCCTCAGCTTCCTGAGTAGTTGGGATTACAGGTGCGTGCCACCACACTCAGCTAATTTTTGTATTTTTAGTAGAGATGGAGTTTTGCCATGTCGGTTAGCCTGGTCTAGAACTCCTGACCTCCGGTGATCCGCCCATCTCGGCCTCCCAAAGTGCTGGGATTACGGCCGTGAGCCACCTCGCCTGGCCCCAATTTTTGTATTTTTAGTAGAGACAGGGTCTTGCTATGTTGCCAGGCTGGTCTCAAACTCCTGGCCTCAAGTGATCCACCTGCTTTGGCCTCCCAAAGTGCTGGGATTATGGTGTGAGCCTCAAAATCGACTATTTAAACTGTGACTTATACATTTCAAAAACAAACCAAAATATTTCCAGCAATTCAAAGGCAGATCGAAAAATGGGAGTTAAGGATGTGGGATTTCCTGGCACTCTCACGTCACCTGAATGACTTTCTGCGTTTGCTTCTTAGGTTCGCCTGGCCCTAATGCATGCTGAGTACTTCATGAACAATGTTAAGATGAATGACTATGTCAAAGACAGTGAGGAATGCAAACCAGTCATCATTAATGCCCTAAAGGCCATGTATGACCTCAACATGAATGGACCCTCTAATTCTGATTTCACCAACCCACTCACCAGACCACGCTTGCCCTATGCCATCCTCTTTGCAATTGGTGGCTGGAGTGGTGGGAGCCCCACCAATGCCATTGAGGCATATGACGCTCGGGCAGACAGATGGGTGAATGTTACTTGTGAGGAAGAGAGTCCCCGTGCCTACCATGGGGCAGCCTATTTGAAAGGCTATGTGTATATCATTGGGGGGTTTGATAGTGTAGACTATTTCAATAGTGTTAAGCGTTTTGACCCAGTCAAGAAAACTTGGCATCAGGTGGCCCCGATGCACTCCAGACGTTGCTATGTCAGTGTGACAGTCCTCGGCAATTTTATTTATGCCATGGGAGGATTTGATGGCTACGTGCGTCTAAACACTGCTGAACGTTATGAGCCAGAGACCAATCAATGGACACTCATCGCCCCCATGCACGAACAGAGGAGTGATGCAAGCGCCACAACACTTTATGGGAAGGTAAAGGACCAGGGTGGGAGGGGAAGATGTGGATGCAAAGTACAAGACCAGAAATGATACTGCTCTTTTTTGGGGTGGATGGAAGACGCAGTGGCAGTATTCACTTTGGAGTACTCATTCTTTCTTCAATTGACAAGGTGACTAGTTGCAACTGTCTTTTATGTTGTTTATTGAAAAGTAATGCAAAGCCGGGCACGGTGGCTCAAGCCCGTAATCCCAGCACTTTGGGAGGCCGAGGCAAGCAGATCACTAGGTCAGGAGTTCAAGACCAGCCTGGCCAACATAGTGAAACCCTGTCTCTACTAAAAATACAAAAAATTAGCCAGGCCTGGTGGCGGGCGCCTGTAATCCCACCTACTCGGGAGGCTGAGGCAGGAGAATCGCTTGAACCCCGGAGGCAGAGGATTTCAGTGAGCCAAGATGGCGCCATTTCACTCCAGCCCGGGCGACAGTGCAAGACTCCATCTCAAAAGAAAAAAGAAAAAAAAAGTAATGCAGGCTGGGCTCGGTGACTCACGCCTGTAATCCCAGCACTTTGGCAAGCCGAGGCGGGAGGATCACAAGGTCAGGAGATTGAGACCATCCTGGCTAACATGGTGAAACCCTGTCTCTACTAAAAATACAAAAAATTAGCCGGGTGTGGTGGCAGGCGCCTGTAGTCCCAGCTACTCAGGAGGCTGAGGCGGAGAATCACTTGAACCTAGGAGGCGGAGGCTGCAGTGGGCAGAGGTTGCAGTGCTCCAAGATTGCGCCACTGCACTCCAGCCTGATGACAGAGCAAGACTCCGTCTCCAAAAAAAAAAAAAAGTAATGTGTAATGTGGCAGAGCCCAGTGTCTTGTGTTTGTAATCTCAGCACTTTGGGAGGCCAAGGTGGGCGGATCACTTGAGGTCAGGAGTTTGAGACCAACCTGGCCAACATGGTGAAACCCGGTCTCTACTAAAAATACAAAAATTAGCCAGGCACAGTGGCACACACCTGTAATTTCAGCTACTCAGGAGGTGGAGGTTGTAGTGAGCCGGGATAGCTCCACTGCACTCCAGCCCAGGCAACAGAGTGAGACTCCATCTCAAAAAATAAAAATAAATAGGCTGGGCACAGTGTATCATGCCTGTAATCCTAGCACTTTGGGAGGCTGAGAGGGGCGGATTGCCTTAACTCAGGAGTTCGAGACCAGCCTGGACAACACGGTGAAACCTCGTCTCTACTAAAATACAAAAAATTAGCGGAGCGTGGCAGTGTGCGCCTGTAGTCCCAGCTACTCCAGATGCTGAGGCAGGAGAATTGTTAGAACCCAGGAGGCGGAGTGAGCAGAGATGGTGCAAATGGACTCCAGCCTGGGTGACAGAGCGAGACTCTGTCTCTAAAAAATAAATAAAAAGCAATGCATGCACATACAAAAAAAAGAAATTCAGACTGTACAGACTGGAATTAAGTGCCCACTACCACCACACACATATCCTTTCTTTCTACTCCCTAGAGTGGGAATTTTAATAATCTTGGAACTCTTCACACAGGTCTACATATGTGGTGGGTTTAATGGAAACGAGTGCCTGTTCACAGCAGAAGTGTATAACACTGAAAGTAATCAGTGGACAGTCATAGCACCCATGAGAAGCAGGAGGAGTGGAATAGGCGTGATTGCTTATGGAGAACATGTATATGCGGTAAGTTTATCTAGTACCACACACACACAAAAAACACATTACCCCTAGATTTTGTATTAGTAAATGGGTTTATGCTACTATTGGTAAGTATTTGAAAAGCTTTTTTTTTTTTTGAGATGGAGTCTCGCTCTGTTGCCCAGGCTGTACTGCAGTGGCAGGATCTCGGCTCACTGCAAGCTCTGCCTCCCGGGTTCATGCCATTCTCCTGCCTCAGCCTCCCGAGCAGCTGGGACTACCGGCACCCGCCACCATGCCCAGCTAATTTTTTGTATTTTTAGTAGAGACAGGGTTTCACTGTGTTAGCCCAGATGGTCTCGATCTCCTGACTTTGTGATCCACCCGCCTCGGCCTCCCAGAGTGCTGGGATTACAGGCGTGAGCCACTGCACCCGGCTGAAAAGCTTTTTTTCATGGAAGATAATGGAAGAGGGAGTTATGAGATCACTGGTACCCCCAACAAGGGCTTCCTCAGTGAACAGAATCAATGGTTAGCAGTCAACCGTGTTTCTTTTGCTATCCACAGGTAGGTGGCTTTGATGGAGCTAATCGACTTAGGAGTGCCGAAGCCTACAGCCCTGTGGCTAACACTTGGCGCACAATCCCCACTATGTTTAATCCTCGTAGCAATTTTGGCATCGAGGTGGTGGATGACCTCTTGTTTGTGGTGGGTGGCTTTAATGGTTTTACCACCACCTTTAATGTTGAGTGCTATGATGAAAAGACCGATGAGTGGTATGATGCTCATGACATGAGTATATACCGCAGTGCTCTGAGCTGCTGTGTAGTACCAGGGCTGGCCAATGTTGAGGAATATGCAGCTAGACGGGACAACTTCCCAGGATTAGCACTGCGAGATGAAGTAAAATATTCTGCTTCGACAAGTACCCTACCTGTATGAGCCTCTTCATTTAGCTAATAAAAAGTCTAAGCAATAAGAATTAATTCTTTTTTTAAAAAAATGCAGTGTTTAAACTTTGAAGAGTACTGGAAAATGTTCAACTTAAGAGAGCCAATGGCTGGATGAATGAGGGAGTAGGAGGGATGGAAGAAAGCAATTATATCCGACAGTGCATAAATAAGAAAAAAAAGTCACACAGTACAAACCAGCTTTAAAGAAATATGTTTATTTAAAACTTACACTGAGACAATTAGTAGCTTTAACAGAGAACAAGATAGCTTCAGGAACATAAAACAAGCTATTTTACAATGTCATGTCTCAAGGTGTTCTAAATGCTACATCTCCTCTGAGTTAAGGGGAGATAGTGAAGATTATATTTTCAGTAGAGTAGGGACCTGGATACTACTAGTCCAAAAAACTTACTGCATCAACTCAAACTAAATGTTTATTTTACAAATAACTCAACGAGCCCAAGCACACGGATCATAAAATCTTCAAACACCTAGCAAGCACTACTTTTCACGAGTGCATTATGCAGGAGGACTAAGTTAACAAGTGCTCTGCAGTCTGTGCTTCAATGTAAGACATTCGTAGTGATGGTCACTGAGTAAGATAAAAAGCCCTACAAGTGTAATAAACAAACCGCAGTGATTTTGCTATCTAATTAAATTACTTGAAGCAAAATGACTACTAGGTTATATTACTGTTATTATATTACATCACCCAACTATGAGCTGTTCTGTTTCCAATGACCAGAACATACGGTACAATAACAAAAACAAAAAATGGACTATTCTCAAGAAAGTAACAAACTGGAGTGATGAACTGTGCCAAAATGTTTGAGAGACTGAATTGTTTCTCAAATATTTTGCAGTTAAAGCACCCTCTGGTGTAGACAGAGTACTTGGTTTACAGTAATGTACAACACTTTCAAAGACATGAAATGTGGCCCGTATACTATATTTAAACTTAATTTGAGAAAAGTATCAAAAAAGAAGTCCCTTTAGTTATGCTTGATTAGACCAAATAACTAAAATATACAAATCAGCTCTCCTGTCTACATACAGTATAGTGTTGACTTTAGAATTACAAAGCAGAAAATGAAATATTTTAAACATACCACATGCTACACTAGTCAAGAGGTAAGGAGGAAAAGTGAGCCCTAGAAACTGCCTTACCAGCAGCCTGACGGGTTTAAAAAACACAAAAGCACACAAATCTTCCATAAACACTATCTTTCCAGCTTCAAACTTCTGTTTTATATTAAAAAGGTATATTTAAATTTTTTGGTCCCAGAAATACTATATAAAACCGGGTGATCAAAACAAAACTTATGTCATGAATTTTAAGAGTTTTTAGCAAAAAAGATATTTTTGAACTGGCACAGCAAAAGCAAAGTTGAACATCATGATACACAAGACTAATCATGCAAACAACTGTAAGTGGGATGTGTTACTTAAACACTAAGCTCATGACTGACATTCTCAATATATACCACTGATTTTTTTAAGCCATGGTGGGGTAGATATAGTTCAAGGATACCCATTCTAAGATATAAGTAGCCTCACTCAAAGTTACATATACTATTACTTTTTGGTATAATAACTTCCTCTCTCTTCTACAAACAAAAGCAAAAGCAACAAAACAAAGGTTTGCTTGAATACGCATTAAGCTGTCTTTCTAAAGTCATGTTTTTAACTGCTTACATTACCAAAAACAATATTTTAAGTTTTCTCATCAAAAAGGAAATTTCTTTCCCAAGGAGCTATTTTAGGCCTGATCCTTGTACTTAGAACCTTTCCAAATACTCTGGGAAGTTATTTCCAGTTTAGAATTTCAGAATGTCAGCCTTGAACAGATTTAAGCAAATCTGGTTTCTTTCCTTATTAACAAGTTAGTTAGGATATTTCAGAAACACAAGTTATTGATGTGAAATTACACATGTGAATTCAAAAATAAAAATTAGAAAATCAGGAAAACCTGCACACATCATCATGCAATGAAGGACTTACCCCTTCTTTTCAGCCATGGCCTAGGCTGCCTGCTAAGTTAAAAAACAACAGTTTCAATCAAGGTTTTAAAACCAGATTATGCCTAAATCTTATGAGTTATAATTTCTGTCACATGATGTGAAAAAAACACAACCCCACAAATGACTTGGTAATAATTATCTCAGAAGACAACTCTGAGAACAAAAAACAAAAAACACATCACACCCTTCCAGTTAAAAACTATTATCGTAGTGAGATACTAAATTATTTAAATACAATCAAGAAAACGAAGTTTGCTAGCACAGTCTGTTGGAGAGAAATGAGAACTTCATTTAGTGAGCTTCATTTAATGATTCTGTCTTACTTGCATAGACCTATCACAGCTAAGAATTAGTGCTTCTCAGAATCCAAATGGCTTTTACTAAAATAACTACAAAGAAATAGAAATTGAGAAAAAGGTAGTGGTGGGATGGGACAATATAATAATATATCCTTATATGTAGAAATAGACTTGCAGTTTCTCACGCCCACTCCAGTCTAAATTAAATGGATTTAAAGTTGATTTTCAACACATTTATTAAAAACTTTTCACCTAGGCAGGGATACTAATTTAAAAATTTCAAGTTCTTAGTATAGAGCCCAAGACCTACAACTTGCAGCAAATAGCCAAAATTTCTGGTTGTGCTTTTCTCTTTTGGTATTTGATCACTAACAAGAAGATTAACTATAATGGACTAGGGAAAAAAAAAATCACTGCACTTGGAATTTGACTTCTAGAATGGTATGACAAAATGTCTAAGAAGGTAAAGACAGTTCTTAAGAAACAGGATAAATCATTGGACAGGTGGCTCTTTGGGAGGCCAAGGTGGGAGGATTGCTTGAGGAAAGGAGCTTGAGACCAGCCTGGCCAATAAGGTGAGACCTCACATCTTAAAAAACCAAAACAACAACAAAAACAAGAAAACCACATTGTAAACTGTTAGGAATCCTTTATATTAACTGAGCATTAAGAGTAAATTTGAGGGCTGGGCATGGTGGCTCATGCCTGTAATCCCAGCGCTTTGAGAGGCTGAGGTGGGCGGATCACGAGGTCAGGAGTTCGAGACCAGCCTAACCAACATGGTGAAACCCCATCTCTATTAAAAATACAAAAATTAGCCGGGCGTGGTGGTACACACCTGCAATCCCAGCTACTCAGCAGGCTGAGGCAGGAGAATCACATGAACCCGGGAGGTGGAGGTTGCAGTGAGCTGAGACTGCGCAACTGCACTCCAGCCAGGGCGACAAAGCGTGACTGTTTCAAAAAAAAAAAAAAAAGTTATTTTGAGGCCGGGCGTGGTGGCTCACACCTAATCCTAGCACCCTGGGAGGCTGATACGGGTGGATCTCCTGAGCCCAGGAGTTGGAGACCAGCCTCGGCAACATGGAGAAACCCCATCTCTACCAAAAATACAAAAAAAAAATTAGCTGGGCGTGGTGGCGCGTGCCCATAGTCCCAGCTACTCCGTATGCTGAGGTGGCAGGATGGCTTGCATCCAGGAGGTGGAGGTTGTAGTGAGCCGAGATCATACCACTGTACTCCAACCTGGGTGACAAAGTGGGACCCCATCCCCTGGCCCAAAAAAAAAAAAAAGTCAATTTGAGTGCTAACTTTTATAAAGCTCAGGAGACATAAGATAATTCGAATAACGTATAAAACTAAATAAAAGATAGCTTCAGTGATCTTTTTAATTTTTATTTGAGACACCGTCTCTCTGTCACCCAAGGTAGAGTGGCATGATCACAGCTCATTTCAGCCTCAACCTTCCCAGGCTCTGGTGATCCTCCCACCTTGGCTTCAAGTAGGAAGGACTACAGGCACGTGCCAGCTACCACACTCAGCTAATTTTTCTACTTTTTGTAGAGACAGGATCTTGCTATGTTTCCCAGGCTGGTCTTGAACTCTTGGGCTCAAAATCTGCCCACCTCAGCCTCCTCCAAAGTGTTGGGATTACAGTCATGAGCCACCGTGCCCAGCCCATAAACCTTTAAAAGCCAAAATTATGTACCCAAATTTGGTATCCTAGGCTCAGGCAAAGTTTGAAAGTGTGGGGCAACTGGATAAAATATAACAATCAGAAATAATAAGGCTTCTCTTTAGCAACATTTCTCTAAATTGTGACTTCCTTCCCATTTTGGAAAAAAACAGTTTCTTGTAGAAAAGAATAATGGACTGGGCACGGTGGCTCATGCCTGTAATCCCAGCACTTTGGGAGGCTGAGGCGGGCGTATCACCTGAGGTCAGGAGTTCAAGACCAGCCTGGTCAACATGGTGAAACCCTGTCTCTACTAAAAGCACAAAAATTAGCCAGGCGTGATGGTGGGTACCTGTAATCCCAGCTACTCGGGATGCTGAGGCAAGAGAATCACTCGAACCTGGCAGGCAGAGGTTGCAGTGAGCCGAGATTGCACCACTGCACTCCAGCCTGGGCAACATGAGCAAAAAAAAAAAAAAAAAGAGAAAAGGAATAATGAAGATTCTATATAATATGCATTAGAGCAAAAATTAAAATGGAAGGCATTGAGTGTCGATTGTCATAGGCATTATTTACACTCATTAACATATCCTCAAATAATCCTGCAACTCCTGAAAAAAATGTTGAAAAAATTTTAAATGCCTTTGATTTCCCAGTCTACACTAATACTTTTCTTCTTAGAGAAACAAAGTTCACACATGTAACTTGCTCTGTATTTAGTCAATTAGCTAAAGATCTATACTTTTGCCAACTACCGTCACCTCAGATTGAAGGCTTAAAGTCTATAAACAGCTGCTAATGAAAAATATTCAAAAAATGCATGAGCCAGTAAAAAATTTCTCATCAGTCACATCTTCTAGGAAGGAAACTGGCATTTCTAGATAAACATAAGAAAATATCAATGCAAACATTCTCAAATTATCTTGCTGAAATATTGAGTGTTTTCATTCAAATTTCAGTCTCACTATTGCACATGCCTCCTGCAGATGAGGGCTCAATGCAGAAGTCAGATCTTGCCAAAACCAATCATTTAATAAAAAATGAAAAAGAATATCAAAGTAAATGTGCAAATAAAATTGGTGCTTAAAGCATGTTCAAAACGTAAGTCCTCAAGACAAAGGAGTCATAACTCGTTGGCAGGAAAACAGCTAAGCAACTACACCTGATTTTTCCACTTGTCCTTAATAAGATCTTATTTAGCTAGCACAAACAAACAAACCAAAGACAAAAATTGCAAGCTAACAAAATGACCATGTATTGAACTGAGTCTCCCATTCTTTAGTTTTTAACTCTATTTCCTTTATATGGGGTAATAATCAGTTCATGTAGAAAATAAGTTATCGACATACTTTTTTAAATAACAGCCTGGGTATCTTCAGCTTCACGAAACGGGTGTAACAGTTTTAATCGGCACGCTTGAGAGAACCTAGCATTCAATCTGAGAGCTTGGCACTCGCCTCATGTTCAGGGCGTGACGATGTATCTCTTGCATCTGTCTGATGCGGTCCTTCTGCCACATCAGGTTTTGAGGCATAGGGTATCTCTGTGTGCCATGCAAGTACCGGTATGGGATCCTCACGTGACAAGCAGTGGCTCTACAACGAGGTTGTGGCATAGGAGGAAGAAGCATCCACCTCTTCCTCTCCGCACAATATCGGTAGGCTTCTTTCCGATACTGTTTATCAATATCATCACTGTTTTTCCAGCCTCCTATAATGAAGACATCATCTTTGTAATAGCAAATGGCTGCTCCTTCGATGCTTAGGACTTCTGGAGGCAAGCTTTCAAGGATCTCATCAGACACTTGGCTGGCAATTTTTCTTACTGCCTCTTCGTTTTCTAAACAATAACTCTTGGGACAACATGATGCTGTCTGATAAAAGTTTGAATTGACCACAGACATTTGGAAAAAGCAGTAATTGTCAATAAGCGGCAAAGATTCCACATCTTGCCACTGTCGAGTCTCTGTATCATAGCAAGTAATTACAGCCTTTAATCCATCTTCAGTGTCCCGGTCTACAGGAGTGCGGGCGGCAATGTATACAAACCGGTCTTCAATGGCTAGTGCTTTGACATCTCGAAGAATCTTTGGTGCCGATTCCAAGTTGTGCCATTTATCAAGCTCAGGATTATAAACAGTCACATCTTTAAAACCAGGACTAAAGTTGCCATGTCCTCCAATGCTATAGAGCTTCCCTTTGACTTCTGTTAGTCCAAAAGAATGCTTTCTTGTCATCAGACTACAAACATGTTCCCATGTATTCAAATTTGGGTTATACCTTTCTACAGTTTTAGCAAACCCTGGCTCCATTGATCCAGCAACATACACGTAGGATTCTGTTACTGCAACAGCATGTCCATCGAGGTGATTATGAATATGTGGCAGATTTACCCATCTGTCCTCATCAACAAAGTATCCCACACATTCACTTAAATAGTCCCCTCCTTCTGACACACCTCCAATAACCATGATCACATCCATGTTTTGCCCATAACGAGGCAATAGTGACACATGAGAAGTGGGGTGCTGGCATGTGCCAGATTGTATATTCTCAGCTCTCAGAGCATGTCTCTCCACTGCGTCAGCGACCAACTTGACACAAACTTCATTATTGGCTACCAGCCTCTCTGGTTTGACATGTCGAGTAAGGTAGGTAGGTTTCATCTGGGACAACCTGAGCAATTTAAAAAGTTCTTCAAAGTATCTCTCTCTCTCTTCAGCATTTCTCTGAACCCATTTCAAAACGGTTTCAAAGAGAACCTCTTCAGAATCAACTGTAATTTCCAAATCTGAAAGCCAGTCTCTAATGAGATGGAAAGGTAACGTATAAAATTCTTCATCCTGAATCACTTTGTGGAAATTTCTCCGTATCATATCAGCAGCCTTCAGAGCAAGTTGGCTCAGGGTGTACATGTGTGCTAAGCTATGAATTGCCACACAATTTGAGAGATGAAGTTTTTTCTTGAGAAATTCTCCACAAAATTCTTTTAAACGAATGAGTAGGAACCTAAAATCAAGAAAAAGAGAAAAGATTAATTTTTCAAATGTGCATATTTTATGTGGTTACTTTTTTCTTTTTTTTGAGACAGGGTCTCACTCTGCCACCCAGGTTGGAGTGCAGTGGCGTGATCTCGGCTCACTGCAACCTCTACCTCCTGGGTTCCAGCGATTCTCCTGCCTCAGCTTCCTGAGTAGTTGGGGCATACCACCATGTCCAGCTAATTTTTGTATTTTTAGTAGAGACAGGGTTTCACCATATTGGCCAGGCTGGTCTCAAACTCCTGACCTCAAAGTGATCCGCCCGCCTTGGCCTCCCAAAGTGCTGGGATTACAGGCGTGAGCTGCCGTGCCCGGCCTACATTTTTTTTTTTTTTTGAGACAGAGTCTCACTTTATCGGCCAGGCTGGTGTGCAGTGGCACAATCTTGGCTCATGGCAACCTCCGTCTCCCAGGCTCATGCAATTCTCCTGCCTCAGCCTCCCAAGTAGCTGGGATTACAGGCGTGTGCCACCACACCCAGCTAATTTTTGTACTTTTAGTAGAGACAGACAGGGTTCACCATATTGGCCAAGCTGGTCTCGAACTCTTGACTTCAAAGTTATCCGCCTCCCTCGGCCTCCCGAAGTGCTGGGATTACAGGTGTGAGCTGCCATGCCCGGCCTACACCATCCCCCCCCCAAAAAAAAACTCCAAAAAAACAGAGTCTCACTTTATCGGCCAGGCTGGTGTGCAGTGGCACAATCTTGGCTCACGGCGACACCCTTCTCCCAGGCTCATGCAATTCTCCTTCCTCAGCCTCCCAAGTAGCTGGGATTACAGGCGTGTGCCACCACACCCAGCTAATTTTTGTATTTTTAGTAGAGATGGGGTTTCACCATGTTGGCCAGGCTGGTCTCGAACTCCTGACCTCAAGCATCCACCCACCTCAGCCTCTCAAAGTGCTGAGATTACAGGCGTGGGCCACTGTGCCTGGCCATGGCCTACATTTAAAAAAATTATTATTTTTTTGTAGAGATGGGGTCTCACTATATTGTCTACACTGGTCTTGAACTCCTTGCTTTAAGCAATCCTCCTGCCTCTGCTTCCCAAAGTGTTTGGGATTACAGGTGTGAGCCACCACACCCAGCCTATGGTCACATTTCGAGAGCATCTAAATTATACATATGGAAATAGTTAGATTAATCTCACTTTACACACAAAATCTGAAAACAACAGCAACAACAACAACAACAACAAAAAACACCACCAAATTAGAAAATATTGTGCTGGCAAAGTATGTTTAAAAGCACATATACGCTGGGCATGGGGGCTCACACCTATAATCCCAGCACTTTGGGAAGCTGAGGGTCGCTTGAGCCAGGAGTTCAAGACCAGCCTGGGAAACATGGCAAAACCAAGTCTCTTTAAAAAAAAGGCACATGGCTGGGCGCAGTGGCTCACACCTGTAATCCCAGCACTTTGGGAGGCTGAGGCAGGCAGATCACTTGAAGTCAGGAGTTTGAGACCAGGCTGGCCAACAACATGGTGAAACCTTGTCTCTAATAAAAATACAAAAATTAGCTGGGCATGGTGGTGGGCACCTGTAATCCCAGCTACTCGGGAGGCTGAGGCAGGAGAATCACTTGAATCTGGGAGGCAGAGGTTATAGGGAGCTGAGATTGCGCCACTGCACTCCAGGTTGGGTGACAGAGCGAGATTCTGTCTCAAAAAAATAAAAATAAAAAGCACATATAGAGCTGGGCAGGGAGATGCATGCCTGTAGTCTCAACTACTCAGGGGGCTTAGGCAAGAGGATTGGCTGAGGTCAGGAGTTCAAGGCTGCAGTAAGCTATAATCGTGCCTGTGAATAGCCACTGCACTCCAGCCTGGGCAACATAGCAAGACTGTCTCTTTAAAAAAAAGCGTATACAGGCCGGGCGCAGTGGCTCACGCCTGTAATCCCAGCACTTTGGGAGGCCAAGGCGGGTGGACCATGAGGTCAGGAGTTCGAAAGCAGCCTGGCCAACATGGTGAAACCTTGTCTCTACTAAAAATACAAAAAAATTAGCTGGGCATGGTGGCGGGCACCTGTAATCCCAGCTACTCCAGAGGCTGAGGCAGGAGAATGGCTTGAACCCAGGAGGCAGTGGTTGCAGTGAGCCAGGATCGCACCACTGTACTCCAGCCTAGGCAACACAGCAAGACTCTGTCTCAAGAAAAAAAAAAAAGCATATATAAAAATCTTATTTATATATAAAATATAAAGTATTATTTATATTAGTTTATATAATTACCTATCATATATGTGAAATACATACATATATACACACATATACATATATAAAAACACAAAATAGAGTTTTTATTTTAAGAGACAGGGTTTTGCTATGCTGCAGTGGCTGTTCACAGGTGCGATCACAGTGCGCTACAGCCCCAAACTCCTGGGCTCAAGCAATCCTTCTGCCTCAGCTTCCAGAGTAGCAGGGACTACAGGCACATGCTACTGTGTCTGGCTGGAGGTTTTTCTTCTCTTTTGTTTAGAGACGGTGTTTCACTCTTGCTGCCCAAGCTGGAGTACACTGGCGCGATCTCTGCTCACTGCAACCTCTGCCTCCTGGGTTCAAGCGATTCTCCTGCCTCAGCCTCCCGAGTAGCTGGGATTACAGGCGCGCGCCACCACATCTGGCTAATTTGTTGTATTTTTAGTAGAAATAGGGTTTCACTATGTTAGCCAGGCTGGTCTCAAACTCCTGACCTCAGGTGACCCACTTGCCTCGCCCTCCCAAAGTGCTGGGGTTACAGGCGTGAGCCACCACGCCCGGCCACACACTTTATTTTCACTTTAATTTGTCCTTGGCAAAGGCAAATCCCTATCCAAACTTGTCTTTGCCATCCTTTCCTAATTCCTTGCTAGTCACCAGCCTCTTTTTTTTTTTTTTTTTTTTTTTGAGACAGATCAGATTCTCACCGTTACCCAGGCTGGAGTGCAGTGGTGCAATCATGGCTCACTGCAGCCTCGACCTCTAGGGCTCAAGTGATTCCCCCACCTTAACTTCCCAAGTTGCTGGGACTACAGGAACATGCCACCAAACCCAGATATATATATATATATTTTTTGTTGTTGTTGTTGTTGTTGTTGTTGTTGTTTTTCTCCCCGAGATGGAGTTTCGCTCTTATTGCCCAGGCTGGAGTGCAATGGCACAATCTTGGCTCACTGCAACCTCCGCCTCCCGGGTTCAAGCGATTCTCCTGCCTCAGCCTCCCGAGCAGCTAGGATTATAGGCACCTGCCACCACACCCAGCTAAATTTTTGTATTTTTAGTAGAGACAGGGTTTCATCATGTTGGCCAGGCTGGGCTCGAACTCTTCACCTCAGGTGATCCACCCACCTCGGCCACCCAAAGTGCTGGGATTACAGGCGTGAGCCACTGTGCCTGGCCACCCAGATAATTTTTTTTTTTGTATTTTTTTGTAGAGACAAGGTTTTGCCATGTTGGCCAGACTGGTCTTAAACTCCTGAGCTCAAGCAATCTGCCCACTTTAGTGCTGAGATTACAGGTGTGAGCCACCATGCCCAGCCCACCAGCCTCCTCTTAAATGAAACAGGGTCTAAGTGAAGGGACTTTATGGTATAAAGTAACAGCCAGGCAGGAACTTCTTTGGGGATCTGCTCAGTCAGATATCAGAAGGAACGCCCCCCTTACTCAGATTTAGGCTTTCTGCTAGAGGTTTTATTTCATTTTTAAATTTTTCTCCAGGATCATAGATTCAAGTTGCCCTGAATATATACTCCCTGTGTCAGAGGTTTTAATCTCGTCACCAGAGCTTTTTCTTTGGGCAGCCAGAGGGGATGGGGTACTGAGAAGATTTGTCCTGAATTGGGTTCTCATCAAAGCAGGGATGCAAAGCAAACTCAAACATCTGAAGAAGCAGAAAACAAAACAAAAACACAACAAAAAAATTGTGTAGGGTTGGGCGCAGTGGTTCAGGCCAGGTGCAGTGGCTCAGGCCTATAATCCCAACACTTTGGGAGGCTGAGGTGGGTGGATCACCTGAGGTCAGGAGTTCGAGACCACCCTGGCCAACATGATGAAACCCCGTCTCTACTAAAAATACAAAAAATTAGCTGGGCGTGGTGGCAGGTACCTATAATCCTAGCTACTCAGGAGGCTGAGGCAGGAGAATCGCTTGAACCCGGGAGGTGGAGGTTGCAGTAAGCCGAGATCATGCCACTGCACTCCAGCGACAGAATGAGATGCTATCTCAAAAAAACAAAAAACAAAAAACAAAACAACAACAACAAAAATTAGCTGGGCGTGGTGGCGTGCATCTGTTATCCCAGCTACTCAGGAGCCTGAGGCATAAGAATTGCCTGAACCTGGGGTCAGAGGTTGCAGTGAGCTGAGATCACGCCACTGCACTCCATCCTGGGCGACATAGTACAAAGCATGTGTAGGTTAAAAAACAAAAGAAAGTGATCTGGCATGTAGCTGACTAGATATTGTCTGCTCACCTAAATCCATTTAAAGTTTAATTTAAAAAAACCACAATCGTTTCAGACAAATTCATAAATCTGGCAGCAATCAGCCTGAGGATAGCCAATTTGAGACCACTGCTTTAAAAAGACTAAGTCCCCAGAACCGAGAAGAACCTTAAACAAGATTAAGAATCACTTCATCAATTCAGGCCTCTCGCAATTCAGTAACCGTTTGTTATTAGTGACTGTGCTTAGTAACTCTCTTAACTATGATATGAAAATCAATAAGGCAGGCTCCCTTCACTCTTTTAAGAGAACATATCATTTTAGAGATAAAGCAAAGACAAAGTAGAGTGGTATGGGATATAGTGGCTCCCAGACATGTCTGGGTGCCAGTGTCACCTGATTCCCAGGCTGCCCTGGGCTCCTAGTTTTAGCAGGCACTCCAGGTAATTTGGAGACAAATTCCCTTAAGTGTCTGGAAGCAATGCTCTATGAAAATAGCTGTCATACACTTGGCATCTGTCATGTGAGGGGCATTGTGCACATCCTATTATTATATTTCTGATCCTTACAAATGCCCAGTGAGGCAGGCATGATCATCAACAGACATATGTACTTAGGGGTTTTGGGGGGGGTGGGGGCGGGTCCTGCCTCAGAGCTGATGGGAAGATTAAATGTGATGGTTGCAGGGCACTTTGAACAGTGCCTGACAAAAGCCATTGGCTTAGCTGCTGACAGATGGAGAGAAGTTAAGAGTTTTTAGTAAAATGCCCAGAGTATCGTCTCCTCTCCTCTAACTCCCCAATAGAGCAGGAGCAAATCTGACAAACTCAAGATGATATGACAGAATCAAACCTAGGTTTGAGTGAGTGCAATGACCCTTTTCCACCCATTTTCATGCAACAAACCTCTCTCCCTCAGAGCTATGCCCATCCCACTCCACCTTCTCATTGATGACCCAGCCTCTTGAGAAAACAGAGACAATCAAGCAGGAACTTCATCTTCCCACCACCCAATCCACCAGCAGTTGTACCCTATACTTTGCAGTCCAACCATTCCAATTTTAATATGGATTCTACACTGAAGAATAACCAGAATATTTCACCCCAAAATATACTCATTTGACATATTCAGAGGGGCCGAAACCACAGGAATAGCTTTGAAGAGCTGTCTTTTGTGGGGGCGATTTGCATCTGTAGAGAAAATCTACATTAATGAGGTAAACAGCAAGGAAAACAGGGATGCAAACAGGCTTTCTCTGAGGCCTCCCCTTACTCAGATCGAGGAAAGACGCACTCACAGGAAAAACTAAGGAGGCTAAGGTCTGACACTTTAAAGATCTGACAGAAACTTTTCCCACAGGCTACATCCATTTTTTCTGACAGCTGCTGCCCGTGAGGTTTCACCTGCATAACAGGACAGCCTGTGCTTGCCAGGCTTTCCTCTCCTGGCTCTCCCATAACCTGTCTTGATGCATTCCAAGCCCCTATTCCTTTCTATAACCACAGGATGGTATAAAAACTTCAGTCACCCTTAGAGTTTTCATATTTTGTATGACTCTCGAGCACAAATGTGCCTGTAATAATCTGCTATGCTTTTCTCTGTCCTATATAACCTGTCTTTTATTATAAGAATGTCAGCTGTGGCCAGGTGCGGTGGCTCACGCCTGTAATCCCAGCACTTTGGGAGGCCAAGGCGGGTCAGGAGTTCGAGACCAGCCTGGCCGATACAGTGAAACCCCATCTCTACTAAAAATACAAAAATTAGCCGAGCGTGCTGGCAGATGCCTGTAATCTCAGCTACTTGGGAGGCTGAGGCAGGAAAATCGCTTGAACCCGGCAGGCAGAGGTTGCAGTGAGCCGAGATTGCGACATTGCACTCCAGCCTGGGAAACAGAGCGAGACTCTTGTCTCAAAAAAAAAAAAAAAAAAAAAAAAAGAATGTCAGCTGTGACCCCTTTATGAGAGGGAGGAAAGGGATCACCCCTCTTCCATCCCGACAGTTCCCTTCTTGGTTGCAAGGACTTTACTCCTGCAATTATTCCCCTGCTCCTGTAACACCAATTACTCATCTTCTACTGAATCATTTTCAGCAGCACACAGACATGCTCTAGTATCTTTTACCTTGGTGGGATTGTCCCCCAAAACATTTACACGTTTCTGATCCTCTTTATAAAGCAAGGCTTAACAGCTCTTGTCAATGGCATCTCTGACCTGCAACCATCACTAATGGGTTGACAGAGTTGACACGACTGGCTACTCCCTCCTTGATATCCTTCTTTTCTACGTTTCCATGAGATCAGTCTCCTCTTTAAGATTCTTTTTTTTTTTTGAGATCCAGTCTCTCACTCTGTTGCCCAGGCTGGGGTGCAGTGGCGTAATCTCAGCTCACTGCAATCTCCACCTCCCGGGTTCAAGCAATTCTCCTGCCTCAGCCTCCTGAGTAGTTGGGATTACAGGCACCTGCCACCACGCCCTGCTAATTTTTGTATTTTTGTATTTATTTATTTTTTTTTTTGAGATGGAGTCTCACTCTGTTGCCTAGGCTGGAGTGCAGTGGCACGACCTCAGCTCACTGCAACCTCTGCCTCCTGGGTTCACGCCATTCTCCTGCCTCAGCCTCCTGAGTACCTGGGACTACAGGCACCCGCCACCATGCCTGGCTAATTTTTTTTTTTTTTGTATTTTTAGTAGAGACGGGGTTTCATCATGTTAGCTAGGATAGTCTCGATCTCCTGACCTCGTGATCTGCCCACCTCGGCCTCCCAAAGTGCTAGGATTACTGGCGTGAGCCACCGCGCCCGGCCTAATTTTTGTATTTTTAGTGGAGATGGGGTTTCATCATGTTGGCCAGGCTGGTCAAGTGATCCATCTGCCTCGGCCTCTCAAAGTGCTGAGATTACAGGCGTGAGCCACTTCGCCCAGCCGGCTATTTTACATTCTAGAGAACCCCAGGGCTCAGTCTTGCCTACTCTCTCCCCGCTGCCCCTTTTCTATGTATACTCCTTAAGTAATACCATCCAGCCCCAAGGCTTTAGTTACCATTTATACGGTAATTTTCCCCAATCTGTATCTCTAGCTCCCATGCACTTCCCAGGGATCTCCTTAACCAAATCCAAAAACTCCTGATCTTACTCCCAAACAGGCTCTTCTGCAATCTTCCACATCTTAATAATTCCATCCTTCCCATTGCTTGGGTCAAAAAGGTAGCAGTCTTTTCCCTTATACCCCACGTCAAATCCATCAGCAAATTCATCTCATCCACTTTCAAAATATATCTGGAACCAGAGCAGTTCTCATCACCTTTACTTCTCCCTCCTCAATCGAAGCCTCCACCACCACTGCCACAACCTCCTACACTAGTCTCTCTGCGTCTGCCCTTGGTGCCCCCTCCTCCCCAATGCCACATCCTTTGTTCTTTTTTTTTTTTTTTTTTGAGACAGAGTCTTGTTCTGTCCGCCAGGCTGGAGTAGAGCGGCGCAATCTCAGCTTACTGCAACCTCAGCCTCCCACCTCCCAGGCTCAAGCGATTCTTGTGTCTCAGCCTCCCCAACAGCTGGGATTACAGGCACACCACCACGCCCGGCTAATTTTTGTACGTTTAGTAGAGACAGGGGTTTCACAATGTTGGCCAGGCTGGTCTCGAACTCCTGACCTCAAGCATCCACCCACCTCGGCCTCTCAAAGTGCTGAGATTACAGGCGTGGGCCACCGCGCCTGGCCGCCACATCCTTTTTTCAGCACAGCACTATTCATCAAATCAGACTGCATCATTCCTCTGCCCCAAACCTTCCCATTTCAATCAGAGTAAAAGCTCATGTCCTTCCACAGGCCATCAAGGCCCTACGGGATCTGGATCCCTGCCCATTACCATCCTGGGGCTTCTCCTGTTCCTCTCATCCTGCATCCCTTTGATACAGCCACACTGGCTCCCCACTGTTCTCTAACATACAAGCTCCACCTCAGAGCCTCTGTACCTGTGTCCCCTACCTGACACAGTCTACCTTACCTCCTTCGGTTCTTAGCAAAACGTCTTCTTCATAGGGCATTCTCTATCCACCCAATTTGGAAAACACTTCCTCTCCCCCAGCAGTTTCTATGTACTCCCCCCATGCTTTATTTTTCATCAGTGATGACAATCATCCAACAGGCTATACATTTAACAATCATCCAACAGGCTATACATTTTACTTATTTACCGTCCATCTACCAACCTAAGTGCGATAAGGAAAAGGACTTTTGTCTGTTTTGATCACTGCTGAAACCCTAGCACCTTAGAATCCCGCATCTGAGCTGATGCGTAATAGGCGCTCAATAGGCATTTTTGTTAATGTATCTGTAAGATGATAATTGCCAAAACAAACGCCTCTCCATCTCTATAAACGGTATTACCTGCCTTCTAACCAGTCTCTGGAGCATTCCTGCTCCCTACAATCCGTTTAACACAGTGGCAGAATAATATTAAAATATTTAAATGAGCTATTTCTTTACCCAGCTTCCTATCACACTTAGTGAAATCCAAACTCCTTATTCCAACGCATCTCACGCATCCTTCTCCCCTTCATCCACTAGATCCAGCCTCACTGGACTATATTTTAATTCTCTTCTCTAAGCCAAACTGGATCCTGCCTGAGGGCGTTTGCGCTGTCTGGAATATTCATTCCCCATCTTTGCACGGTCAGTTATTTTTTGACATTCAGAGGTCGATCTAAACTTCACCTCTTCAGAAAGATCTTTATTCAATCCCTAGCCTTTCATTCCTTTTGAACGTCAGCACAACAGTTACCACATACTGACTTTCCTTTTCATCACTTTTGTCCCATCACCTAGTATCTGAGCTCCTTGGGCGCGGGGCGCCCTCGCCGGACCTGATGGTGCATCCTCCTCGCCCACCGCGGTGGCTGCCCCCAAGCAGGCGCTCAGCGAGTGTGAAACCAATGCATTCACTCAGGACTCGCGAGCTGCCGTGGCAGGCACTGCCCTCCCCTCCGCCAGCGAGCATCTCCCCCTCTCCGCGCCCGCCGCCCTCCGCGCTCCCGCCTCCCTCGCCTACCTGTCGGCCAACTCCAGCACCTCGTGCACGCTGCCCGTGCTGACGCGGATGCGCCCGGTGTACATGTACTCGATTACGGCTTCCACTGTGTCGGGTTCGGGCCCCGGCTCGGAGCTCCACTTGCGCATCTCCACCCGTCCCGAGCGGGACTCGGAAAACTGGCCCGAGAGCAGGGGCGTGAAGTACTCGGTGGCGGCAGCCAGTACCGAGCGGTGGGCCCGGAACTCGCGGCCTCCAGCCCCGCCGAAGCACAGGGTAATGTCGCAGAAGAGGCCCTGGCGCCGCTGCTCGTTCTGCCGCCAGGACAGCTCTGAGCAGTGAGAGCTGCACTCGAAATCCTCGGCTTCTGGGCCCGGATCGCCCCCGCTCGCCTCCATTGCAGAGATCCCCGGCCCAGGCCCGAAGTCCACCGTGCCGCTGCCTCGGACCTCGGCGGCCAGTCCTGCCGAGCCGGCGGCGGCCGTCTCCATGCTCTCCATCTCCAGTACCTGAAGAGATGCAGCCGCGGCCGCCGCCGCCGCCGCCGCCACTGCCGCAGCCGCCATCTTGACGCCGCTGCGCCCGGCCTCCACAGCCTCGGAACGATGCGGCTGTTGGTACGACACAGAGGGATTCTGGGATTAAATAGTGCGCGCGGGGCGGGGCCAGGTCGCCCGCCGGCCGCACATGCGCCGCCTCGCCTCCAGCAGCGCCGCCTCGCCTCCAGCAGCGCCGCCTCGCCTCCAGCAGCGCCGCCTCGCCTCCAGCAGCTCTGCCTGCCTTGGTGAGGTCCGTCAGTAACAGTCGCCCAGTCCAGAAGACTTCGCCCCAGGCCTACCCCCAGGGCGTCGGTGCGAGTATGGCTCGCTTCCTTTCCTTAGTGGGTAGCATGCTCTCTGCAGTCATTTTGTCGAGTAAAGCCACCTTAGACCATCACCTGTTGTTAAAGCCTTGAGTGGCAATACAGGATTTTTATAAGATCTAGCCCCAGCTAAGTGGATGAGGGATGAATGAGTTACTCGTTATCCGTTTTTTTTTTTGTTTCTTTTTGTTTTTGTTTTGTTTTGGGTTTTTTGTTTTTTTTTTTTTTGAGACGGAGTCTCGCTCTGTCGCCCAGGCTGGAGTGCAGTGGCGCGCTCTTCGCTTATTGCAACCTCCGCTGCCCGGGTTCAAGCGATTCTTGTGCCTCAGCCTCCCGAGTAGCTGGGACTACAGGCGCCCGCCACCACTCCAGGCTAATTTTTTTTTTTTTTTTTTTTTTGAGACGGAGTCTCGCTCTGTCGCCCAGGCTGGAGTGCAGTGGCGCGCTCTTCGCTTATTGCAACCTCCGCCGCCCGGGTTCAAGCGATTCTTGTGCCTCAGCCTCCCGAGTAGCTGGGACTACAGGCGCCCGCCACCACTCCAGGCTAATTTTTTTTTTTTTTTTTTTTTTGAGACGGAGTCTCGCTCTGTCGCCCAGGCTGGAGTGCAGTGGCGCGGGTCTCGGCTCACTGCAACCTCCGCCTCCCGGGTTCACGCCATTCTCCTGCCTCAGCCTCCGGAGTAGCTGGGACTACAGGCGCCCGCCACCATGCCTGGCTAAGTTTTTGTATTTTTAATAGAGACGGGGTTTCACCGTGTTAGCCAGGATGGTCTCGATCTGCTGACCTCGTGATCCACCCGCCTCAGCCTCCCAAAGTGCTGGGATTACAGGCATGAGCCACCACGCCTGACCGTAGATGAGCATTTTTAAAACCATATATACTGAAACTATTAGTACAGTTCAGGCCAGGCCAGGCACAGTGGCTCACGCCTGTAACAGCACTTTGGGAGGCCAAGGAGGATGGATTGCTTGAGTCCATGAGTTCCAGAAGAGCCTGGGAAATACAGCAGAACCTTATCTCCACAAAAAATACAAAAGTTAGCCTGGAGTGGTGGCATGCTCCTGTAGTCCCAGCTACTTGGGAGGCTGGAGTGGGAGGACTGCTTGAGCCCAGGAGATGGAGGCTGCAGTGAGCTGTGATGGTGCCACTGTACTCCAGCCCTGGGGCGACAGAGTGATACCCTGTCTGGAAAAAAGTACAGTTACAAAGGAATACAGATCAAAGGATATGGATGCCAGGAGCCAGCAGTATGCCTTCATTGTTACTATATAGTTTATTTAAACCAGACTATGATAATACAGAGAAGAGACTGAGGTGGCAGCTGCCCAGAATCTTTGTGGATTACAGATGCAAAGTAGTTAGGAGTCCTTGGACCCACACTTCAGTTACAGACAGACAAATCAGCTGCATAAATACAGAGAACATAAGACACAAGACATTTCACAGCTTTCTGCATTTCCATTTTAAATGTATGTATGTTACAACTTTACATATTAAGTTACTACTCCACATATTTTGTGACAATGGCTAAGGATGCAATGGCCCCATCCCCCTGACATAAACAGACTCTGGTCTGCAACACAGAACATTTCAGTGGGATACCAAACAAGCCCTTAACACGTAACATACAAAAAGATCTTTAAAAATCAGATTAATACAATGTTCTTCATGTTATATAAGGAAGAAGAAAGGGAAGTAAAAAAAAAAAAAGAGAGACATTGGGGTGCTTTAAATGTATAGTATCTTGAGGCCATAAATGTTTCATTCCCTTCCTCCAAAGGAGAAAAAAATGTTTAACTAATGGAAAAAGAAAGCAACATCCTAACGCCCTACAATGAGGAAGACCCCATCCTGACAGTACTTAGATGCTTCCATATAATAAATACAGCAGGTAGCAGAGCAAAGTCACAAATATTGGCTTGGTTTTTATTTCTATGCTTATAAAAAAAATATGAAGCTTCTTTGTGTGGACTGAAGGGGTGTTAGCCTGTGGATGTTGGTCTTCGGTGCCTGTACCCCAGTGGCTGTTTACATTCCAGGCCCCTGCTAAATAAAGCAGGCTCCACTGCCAGCTGTCTGTACACTTTTTCTTGGGGGAAGAGATCTTGTCTTCAGTTTACTGCAGTAGGGTTCCTGGCTCTGTTACATGCTCATGTGTTCCGGAAGAACATATGAAATATCATCCCACGGATGACGATACAGCCCCTGCTTCAGCCTCTTCTGATCAAGATAGTGTCCTAAAATGAAGCAAACACATCTTTTTTATTAGAGCTTCATAAGCCTGGTGAGAGGAAGAGGCTAAGGAAGGGAAATCTTTCTAACACACAAAAAAAGTAGACACAAAGCAGTGGGAAGTTTAGTCCAAATCCACTGTATAGGTAGATGAGGCGGACTTTGTACAAGGGAGCTGCTGGATCTGATTCTATTTTCCTTTAAATTAAAACAAAATTTTAAAGGGAAAAAATAAAATAAAATAAATAATAAAAATAGGCCGGGCACGGTGGTTCACGCCTGTAATCCCAGCACTTTGGGAGGCCGAGGTGGGCAGATCACGAGGTTGGGAGATCGAGACCATCCTGGCTAACATGGTGAAACCCCGTCTCTACTAAAAATACAAAAAATTAGCCAGGCGTGGTGGCATGCGCCTGTAGTCCCAGCTGCTTGGGAGGCTGAGGCAGGAGAATCGCTTGAACCCGGGAGGCAGAGGTTGCAGTGAGCTGAGACCGCGCCACTGCACTCCAGCCTGGTGACAGAGCAAGACTCAGTCTCAAAAAAAAAAAAAAAAATTTTCCTGGGCTAGCAATCATTTCTAAGAACAAAGGAACAATGATAAAGATAAGGGGAAAGGTTAAAGTAAGAAAGGAAAGATTAAGAACAATGATTAAGAGGATATGACATTTCTTCTGTAGAAACTGAACCACAAAAAGAAAATTAAAAAAAAAAAAAAAGAAAGAAAAAGAAACTCAACCCCATGAGTAAGTGGTGTAGCTGAACCGTGGGGTTTAAAAAAAAACACTTAAAACAACAACGAATGGACTCACCAATGAACCCCATACTCCTTCCCAGCACAAAGATGCCATTGAGGGCTCCAATGTCAATATATTCATCAGCTTCCTCCCTGCAACACACATCAACTTGTAGTTTTAAAAGGCTCACGTGACTGCCCTCCTCCCCACAGACAGTACTACTACTGCCCAAGAATGAGAAGAAAAGGGGTGCTCTGGGTGGTAGCATTACAGGCAATTTTTGTTTTCTTCTTTATACCTCTCCTTATTTTTCAAATATTCTATTATGAGTATGCATTACTTTTATAGTTTGGAGGAAACAACAAAAATCAACAAACGTAATGAAGAAGAAAACAGCTACAATGCTCACCGAGTAAAGGACCCACAGTTTCTAAGCATGTCTACAAATGCGACTCCGATGAGACCATCTACATTCAGGATAAGATTTGGCTTCTGGGAAGGCAAAAAAATTCAAAGCATTTATCATTATTTCTCATTTTTTCTTCATAATTTTCCACTGTCACTACTATTACTACGAATTGTGACCATCATTTAAAAACCTTCTACCAGCCCCACTGGTCGACACTGTGTCTGACTCAGTTCAATTCCCAGCATCTAGCAAAGTACCCAACACCTAGTTGACATTTAGTGCATGTCTGTTAAATTTAGTTATGAAACAAAAATAACATTTCTAGAAAACTAGGTTTGCTTTTAGCTGCATAATCAAAATGTAACGTGGCTCCTGTTTCCTCCAATAAACTTGTCCAACGTGAGGGAATTAGGAAGTTTTTTCTTTGTTACCTTCGAGGTGGTAATCTTCTCTACTTCCAGTGCATAATCGAGCAGAGGAGTGGCAGGGAAGTGCTGCCTGACGTAATCTTTGAGGATCTGCACTCGCATGTCTGGGTTGTTTATCTAGAAATGAACCCAACGGTACAGAGGAACACTCACACACTGCTGGGATGTGTTTGTTCATACTTGTGTTACAGGTAGGTAGAACTGGACATATCCCAGCGGCGATTCAGGAACCTGGCCCACGTGTACCATTCCATGTGGCACCAATTGTGCTAATGCCATGAGGCTGGCTTTTGAAGTCCTCTCATATCTCAATTGGGACACAAAACAACCTTGGTAGGTTCTCACTTTTAAGTTGCAAAGAAGAAACTGAGCCCTGAGATGTTCAGGGAACTGGCCAGGTCCTACAGTGTTGAGCAGCAGAGGTCTGAAAGTTAACCACTCTCCAACTCAAGAGTCTTAGGTTCCAGCCTCCAGCCATGCCCCCGCCAGCTCTGTGCCTACTCAAGCTGTGACAAAGTTCAACACTAAACAAACACGTGTTTAGTGTGGGGAGGCAAAGTATTCCCAAAATTTTAGGGAAAACTCTAGACCTGCTGTGAATGAAATTAACCACCTGTCAGTTGGGGAGGAAGATGATCTAGGGACATACCAAATCGAATACCAAAGCAACTTCAGCCCTCAGCAAAAGAGATAGCTGGGTCAGTACATCCTCTAGAAAGCGGGGAGCTCAAAGAGTGAATGAGTGAGTGTGGAGTGCAAGTCTAGCATTATCTTAGAAAGAGGCTCTGTGCTGTACATAGGCATGTTGTTATATGCTCAGGAGCTGGGGCTGGCTGAGCAAAGTCAAGCAAGTCCTGGATGGAATGTCCCTCAGAGCCACCCACCTTCCCTGCTTGGTTCTGAGCTGGTCCTTGCTCATCAAGCAACCTCTGGGTATCACCTGAGATGGCCAAGTGTTTGGCTGCCTAGAAGGTGGTGTCCTGAATCACATGCATGACCTTCATGTTAATACTCCCCACCTAGGCCAGTGGAGTGACCAAATAAATGAGGTTGCTGGAGCTACAGAGCCAAGGAGCCCAGGGTAAAGGGATCTGCTAAGGAGCTGTCCCCATAAGGCCCTGAGCAGCTGCCAGTGACCTCATCTCTTGCTCTTTGGTTTCTAACCAAAGCACAATATAAGGACATAGAAATGACCGGCCCTGTGTGAGACTATATAAACTGTTTCAAATATTTACTGTCCTTTCCCACTGGTCTCTCCCAATCAGATATGCCTTGATATTGTCACTCTTCCTGCCCCAGTGATGTCACAAATAACCACTTGACTTGCGGTGGCCAATGAAATGTGAGTGAAGGTGAATCATGTAAGGCTTTAAGAGCCTGCACGTGGTCCTGCCATTGCTGTTATCCTGCTGACGTGAGGCCAGCACATCCCAGACGGCGGCTGTTCTTTCGGCACAGATGGCAGAGAACAGGCACAGCAAACCCTCAGTGGATGTAGTGTGAATGAGACATAAACCTTTGCTGTGGTAAGCCACTGAGATTTTTGGAGTTGTCTGTTACTGCGGAATGAGGTATTATCTAGCCGAAGGTGACCAATATGTCCCCTCAACCTGACCTTGGCCCTTTTACCCATAAGATTCATTTGGGAAACCAAAGTTACCAAGTTTTCCATCTCATTTCAACTGCTATTTCCATACTGCAAGCGAACGACAGAAAAACTGTTAAGGGCAATCTGTATTATAACATGGAAAAAATAGCTGCTTTGTATTTGGCATCTGTCAACACATCCAAAGCTTTGTATGTTGGAGTTGAAAGCTTAGGTATTCTCCCAAATAAATTAATGCCCCCACTATCACCACCCACCCAGTAGATCCATCCCACTTTTTTTTTTTTTTTTTTGAGATGGAGTTTCACTCTTGTTGCCCAGACTGGAGTGCCATGGCACAATCTCGGCTCACCACAACCTCCACTTCCCGGGTTCAAGCAATTCTCCTACCTCAGCCTCCTGAGTAGCTGGGATTACAGGCATGCACCACCACGCCTGGCTAATTTTTTTGTATTTTTAGTAGAGACGGGGTTTCTCCATGTTGGTCAGGCTGGTCTCCAACTCCCGACCTCAAGTGATCCACCTGCCTTGGCCTCCCAAAGTGCTGTGATTACAGGCATGGGCCACCGCGCCTGGCCTCCATCCCACTTTTTTAGGAGAGTAACAACTCACCGACTTCACTCGGTGACCAATGCCCATGATCAGCTTCCCTTCCTTCTTCATCTTGTTCACAAACTCCATGGGGATAATGCCACTGTCAAAGGCTTTACTGAACATCTTGGCTGCTGCATCCAAGGCACCCCCAAACCGATCCCCCTGGAGGAGAAACAAGTGCGTGTTGCCTTGAGCTTTAAGAGTTTCCTTCAGCTGGGCAAACCAACCCAGTGTGTCCCGAACGGCCCTGAGCACTGGGTTTTACACTCAGGGGCTCCTTCTAGGGCCCTGCTGTGGCAAAGCAGCATGAGGCCAAGGCCCAGTGTCCCCACTGTTCACCTCCCATGATGACAGTACTTACGATGGTGAGCAGCCCCGAGGTGAGGCTGGAGACCAGGTCTTTCCCAGCTCGCGCACAAATGATGGTGTTGTGGGCTCCAGAGACGGCTGGCCCGTGATCAGCTGTCACCATCAGACACATCTCAATGAACTGGCAAGAGTACTTAGGCAACCTGGAGTGGGGGGAACAAAGGCCAGGAGATGGTCGACAAGGCCATGCTCGTACTTTCCCCCATCTCCCTAAACAAGTCATTCAAATCCAAGAAGGGTAACTACCAATCCAAGTCTAATACTACCACACAACTCTAAGGCAAAACCTCCTGATTCTTTTCTTTAGACAGAGTCTCATTCTGTCGCCTAGGCTGGAATGCAGTAGTGTGATCTTGGCTCACTGCAACCTCCACCTCCTAGGTTCAAGCAATTTGCCTGCCTCAACCTCCCAAGTAGCTGGGACTACAGGTACGCACCACCACGCCAGGCTAATTTTTGTATTTTTAGTAGAGACGAGATTTTGCTATGTTGGCCAGGCTATCTCGAACTCCTGGCCTCAAGTGATCTGCCCACCTCGGCCTCCCAAAGTGCTGGGATTACATACAGGCATGAGCCACCGCGCCCGGCCCCAAATACTGTTTGTAAAACAGAGTTTGAAACCAGAGTTTTGAATCTATTCTTTGATCAGTGATTTTCAGCATGAGTTGCCTGTACCAGGATTTGACCTGTATTTGTGGCTATGCTCCATGTGCCAGACTGACAGGAGGTGAGAACCCTGTCCCTTCACAGTGTAGGAGGCCCCATGCCTCATTCCTGTAGTATTCAACCTCCCAACTAAGAATCAGGAACAAAGTATGGAGAGGTGGGAGGCAGGAGCAGACAGAGAGAGACCTGCTCAGGTGTTATAACCCGTGAACTTTTCCCAGGAAGGGTCCAAAGCAGGACCAAGACCCATCTCTCTGCAGGTGAGGGCATGACACAACCAAAGACATTGACCTGGCCTTCTGCCCAGCATCACATTAAGCCCAGGGCTCTGTGAATCACATACTCACTGGCTCCCCTGCCCAGCCGTCAGTCCCACGGGAGGGCTAAGATTGGGAGTTGCAGAGAAAACCAATTTTTTCTAACATTCAAGCTGATGGGAGAAACAAATTTGCAAAGTGAACACAAGGTACTTTTTTTTTTTTTTTTTTGAGACGGAATATTTTTGCTCTTGTTGCTCAGGCTGGAGTGCAATGGTGTGATCTTGGCTCACTGCAAACTCCACCTCCCGGGTTCAAGTGATTCTCCTGCCTCAGCCTCCTGATTAGCTGGGATTACAGGCGTGCACCACTATGCCTGGCTACCTTTTTGTATTTTTAGTAGAGATGGGGTTTCACCATGTTGGCCAGGCTGGTCTTGAATTCCTGACCTCAGGTGATCCACTCACCTCGGCCTCCCAAAGTGCTGGGATGACAGGCGTGAGCCACCGCGCCTAGCCCATAAGGTACTTTCTATCTGTTCAGCAGCTCCACCAGGCCCACACTCCTTAGGCCACCACATCTTTCCAGTTCTCTCCTGCCTAACCTCTATCTTGCTGTCAAGAGATCTGCATTTGGTTGGGTGCAGTGGCTCATGTGACTGGACTTTCTGTCCTTGGAAGACTTAGGAATAGTTTATGTGTCCTTCCTCTGGCCGCTCAATTGACCTGTGGCCCCAAAGATTGATCTTGGACACACTCCCCAGGCCTGTCCACTCCCACCCCTTTGTTGGGGGAAAATCATTAACTCTGAGCTGCAGGGCCCTGTAATCTTCTGCCCTCCATGCTCACCTTTTCTGGAACCAGAGGAGGCCGAGGACCCCGCCAATGCCCATCTCTTCCTTGAAGACCTCAGTGATGGGCATGCCCGCGTAGATGAGCTCCTGTCCTCGCTCATCGCAGATGCTGGTCATGAACGAGGCAGGTTTGCGGATCAAACCAAGCTCCTGGGCAGAGATGGGGAAGAGGGAAGCAGGGCCCTGGTGACCACCACAGATTTTTCCAGGACTGCCCTGCTGTGTGTACTCTCAGAACCAAAGCACCCCAGGAATGTCGTAAACTCTGGCAGCCAAGTAACAACTCTCAAAGTTTTCCCAAGAAAGAAGTGCAAAAGCCCTTTCATTAGATCATTTTGGACATAGAAAACAGGAGGACCCATGACACCACTTGGCATCAGCACTATCAGCTCTATTTCTATCCTTCCCTGAGCATTTGCTGGGCTAGGAAATAGCCTAAGCAGTTCATATCCATTGCTTCATTTCTGGAGGGGGACCAGAGTCTCTCTGTTGCCCAGGCTGGAGTACACTGGTGAGACCATAGCTCACTTCAGCCTCAAACTCCTAGCTAGGCTCAAGCGATCTGCCCAGCTATGCCTCCCAGTAGCTGGGGCAACAAGGCACGCACCGCCACGCCTGGCTAATTTTAAAATTTTTTTGTAGAGACAGGGTCTTGCTATGCTGTCCAGGCTGGTCTTAAACTCTTGTGCTCAAGCAGTTCTCCCACCTCAGCCTCCCCAAGTGCTGGGATTACAGGCGTGAGACCCAGTCCATTGCTTCTTTTTTTTTTTTTTTTTGAGACGCAGTCTTGCTCTGTCGCCCAGGCTGGAGTGCAGTGGTACGATCTCAGCTCACTGCAAGCTCCGCCTCCCAGGTTCATGCCATTCTCCTGCCTCAGCCTCCCAAGTAGCTGGGACTACAGGCGCTTGCCACCACGCCCAGCTAATTTTTTGTAATTTTAGTAGAGATGAGGTTTCACCGTTTTAGCCAGGATGGTCTCAATCTCCTGACCTCATGATCCGCCTGCCTCGGCCTCCCAAAGTGCTGGGATTACAGGCGTGAGCCACTGCATCCAGCCCATTGCTTCATTTTAACCTCACAAAGGAGAAGCATTCCTTGTGTTATAGCAAAAAAAAAAAAAAAAAAATGAGGCTTAGAGAGGCTCAGTAACCAGCCCAAGGTCACCTGGGTAAGAAATGGTAAAATGAATCCAAAGGGAAAATCTTACATACACTTCAGATATAGCTGCCAACCATAACAATAACGTAATGGGGCAGGGCACAGTGGCTTATGCCTGTAATCTCAGCACTTTGGGAGACCAAGGCAGGCGGATCACTTGAGGTCAGGAGTTCGAGACCAGCCTGGCCAACATGGTGAAACCCCATTATCTATTGAAACTACAAAAATTAGCTGGGCGTGGTGGTATGTGTCTGTAACCCCAGTTACTCGGGAGGCTAAGGCAGGAGAATCGCTTGAATCTGGGAGGAGGAGGTTGCAGTGAGCAGAGATCGCACCATTGCACTCCAGCTTCAGCAACAAAAGTGAAACTCCGTCTCAAAAAAAAAAAAAAAGGGGGGACGAGATACGTGGCTAAAGAAATGGGGGAGCCCCCCTCCCTCTCCCTCTCCCCACGGTCTCCCTCTCCCTCTCCCCACGGTCTCCCTCTCCCTCTCCCCACGGTCTCCCTCTGATGCCGAGCCGAAGCTGGACTGTACTGCTGCCATCTCGGCTCACTGCAACCTCCCTGCCTGATTCTCCTGCCTCAGCCTGCCGAGTGCCTGCGATTGCAGGCGCGCGCCGCCACGCCTGACTGGTTTTCGTATTTTTTTGGTGGAGACGGGGTTTCGCTGTGTTGGCTGGGCTGGTCTCCAGCTCCTAACCACGAGTGATCCGCCAGCCTCGGCCTCCTGAGGTGCCGGGATTGCAGACGGAGTCTCGTTCACTCAGTGCTCAATGGTGCCCAGGCTGGAGTGCAGTGGCGTGATCTCAGCTCGCTACAACCTCCACCTCCCGGCCGCCTGCCTTGGCCTCCCAAAGTGCCGAGATTGCAGCCTCTGCCCGGCCGCCACCCCGTCTGGGAAGTGAGGAGCGTCTCTGCCTGGCCGCCCATAGTCTGGGATGTGAGGAGCCCCTCTGCCTGGCTGCCCAGTCTGGAAAGTGAGGAGCGTCTCTGCCCGGCCGCTATCCCATCTAGGAAGTGAGGAGCGCCTCTTCCCGGCCGCCATCCCATCTAGGAGGTGAGGAGCGTCTCTGCCCGGCCGCCCATCGTCTGAGATGTGGGGATGAGGAGATCCTCTGCCTGGCAACCGCCCCGTCTGAGAAGTGAGGAGCCCCTCCGCCCGGCAGCCGCCCCATCTGAGAAGTGAGGAGCCCCTCCGCCCGGCAGCCACCCCGTCTGGGAAGTGAGGAGCGTCTTCGCCCGGCAGCCACCCCGTCCGGGAGGGAGATGGGGGTCAGCCCCCCGCCCGGCCAGCCGCCCCGTCCGGGAGGGAGGTGGGGGGGTCAGCCCCCCGCCCGGCCAGCCGCCCCGTCCGGGAGGTGAGGGGCGCCTCTGCCCGGCCGCCCCTACTGGGAAGTGAGGAGCCCCTCTGCCCGGCCACCACCCTGTCTGGGAGGTGTACCCAACAGCTCATTGCGAGCGAGCCATGATGACAATGGCGGTTGTGTGGAATAGAAAGGGGGAAAGGTGGGGAAAAGATTGAGAAATTGGATGGTTGCCGTGTCTGTGTAGAAAGAAGTAGACATGGGAGACTTTTCATTTTGTTCTGTACTAAGAAAAATTCTTCTGCCTTGGGATCCTGTTGATCTGTGACCTTATCCCCAACCCTGTGCTCTCTGAAACATGTGCTGTGTCCACTCAGGGTTAAATGGATTAAGGGCAGTGCAAGGTGTGCTTTGTTAAACAGATGCTTGAAGGCAGCATGCTGGTTAAGAGTCATCACCACTCCCTAATCTCAAGTACCCACGGACACAAACACTGCGGAAGGCCCCAGGGTCCTCTGCCTAGGAAAACCAGAGACCTTTGTTCACTTATCTGCTGACCTTCCCTCCACTATTGTCCTATGACCCTGCCAAATCCCCCTCTGCGAGAAACACCCAAGAATGATCAATACAAAAAAATAAAAAATAAAAAAGGAAAAAAAAAAAAGAAATGGGGGAGCCCTTCAATATGTCTTTTACCCAGGGGACGGGGACTGAATTCCTGAATTTCCCATTTCCAGAGTTGAGGCAAATCAGCCAATTTAGTCCAATCCTATTTCTCCAATTATCCTCTATGAATTTTTAAAATGCTTTACAGTTACATTTTTATTACAAAAACAACATGAATATGTTCTCTATCTCTCTCTCTCCTTTTTTTTTTTTGAGACGGAGTTTCGCTCTTGTTGCCCAGGCTGGAGTGCAATGGCACGATCTTGGCTCACTGCAACCTCTGCCTCCCAGGTTCAAGCAATTCTCCTGCCTCAGCTTCCCGAGTAGCTGGGATTACAGGAGCCCACCACCGCGCCTGGCTAATTTTTGTATTTTTTCAGTAGAGATGGGGTTTCACCATGTTGGCCAGCCTGGTCTCGAACTTTTGACCTCAGGTGATCCGCCCACCCTGGCCTCCCAAAGTGCTGGGATTACAGGCATGAGCCACCAGGCCCAGCCCTTTTTTTTTTTTTTTTTTTAAATTACAGACAGGGTCTCACTCTGTCACCCAGGCTGGAGTGCAGTGGCACAGTCATGGCTAACTTCAGCCTTCAACTCCTGGTCTCAAGCAGTCCTTCCACCTTGACCTCCAAAAGTGTCAACTTGACTGGATTGAGGGACACAAAGTATTAATCCTGGGTGTGTCTGTGTAGGTGTTGCTAAAAGAGATTATCATTTGAGTCAGTGGGCTGGGGAAGGCAGATCCACCCTTAGTGTAGTGAGCATAATCTAATCAGCTTCCAGCAAATATAAAGCAGGCAGAAAAATGTGAAGAAGAGAGACCAGCCTAGCCTCCCAGCCTACATCTTTCTCCTGTGCTGGATGCTTCCTGCCCTCAAACATCGGACTCCAAGTTCTTCAGTTTTGGGACTCGGACTGGCTCTCCTTGCTCCTCAGCTTATAGACAGCCTATTGTGGTACCTTGTGATCATGTAAGTTAATACTTAATAAACTCTCCTTTATATATATATATCCTATTAGTTCTGTCCCTCTAAGAGATCCCCGACTAATACAGAAGGCCTGGTTTCCAAGAGTTCAAGGCAAATCAACGCGAAACCCACCACCATAGACCCACAGATCTCCCTTGCTCACACTGTTAGAGACATTTAAGGCACCTACCCTGGCCCAGGAGTAGTCCATGGGCACGGTTGGGGGCGGCACCTCCTGGGCAGGTACAATGACTCCATTGGCCACGAGATCTTCGTATACAGACCTGGGAGGCAGGAAAAAAAAGACATCCATGTGGATTTTCTTATTTTGGGCTCCTGTAAGACATCCCAAGAATGCTCTATCTAACCCAAACACTGTAGGTTTCTTAGTTTACTCTTACCTGCTGAATTCTGAGAACTAAATGAAAAGAAGTTCTAGCCAAGACTGCACCTGCCCTCTGCTCCCTACTACCTCATGTCCCAATCTCTGGATGGCAAGGAAGGACACAGCCGGGAGTCCAGGCAGGTTTAAGAGGTAGAAATGGGAAGAGATCACAGGATATCTAATAACTCTCTATCAATCATAGATAACACTCTCTAAACATTTTCATGTGGCGCTCTCATCTATGGCTGCCACCTCCCAGCCAAATAGGTAGGCTCAGAAACTCAACACATTTTAATACCAGCCTAGACCTACTGCCTCCACAAACTAAATAAAACAAAAGGAAAGCCAAAGAGAAAGAGGATTTTGAACCATCCATACAGCTGCGCTAGACACCGAGAGGGACCAGGAATACATGATGTCCCTGTGTGGGAGAGGCTGCTGTCTCAGGAGGGATTTGGAAAGGAGGGGGAGGCCGGCATCCTCCCCAAGGTCCACTTACTGGATGATCTCTCCAAGCTCATCAAAGCTCCGGGGCACAAACACTCCTGCTTCCTTCAAAGCCTGGTTCTTGGCTACTGCAGTTTCAGAAGCCTGGTTGGCACAAGCTCCAGCATGGCCAAACTGGACCTGGAAAGCAAAGGAAAGTAGCTTTACTGCTAATCCCCCAAGAGTGAACATAGAATCCCATGTAAAGTGTGCTAAACACTTTACATGAATCACTTCATTTAAGCCTCAAGCAAGCTCACTGAATAGGTACAATAGATGATTTCCATTTTACAGACAAGGAAACCAAAGCACAGAGAAGTTCAGGAGCTTCCTCAGGGTCACGCAGCTAAGGTGCATGGAAGTCAGGATACAAAGACTGGCAGCCCAACTCCAGAATCACCTTCCTCTGCCTCCTGGGTTCCAGCGATTCTCCTGCCTCAGCCACCCGAGTAGCTAGGATTACAGGTGCCTGCCACCACGCCCAGCTAATTTTTGTATTTTTAGTAGAGATGGGGTTTCACTATGTTGGCCAGGCTGGTCTCGAACTCCTAACCTCAGGTGATCCACCAGCCTCGGCCTTGCAAAGTGCTGGGATTACAGGTGTGAGCCACCACGCCTGCCCCCCCCGCCTTTTTTTTTTTTTTTTTTTTAAGTGACAGGGTCTCACTCTGTCACCCAGGCAGGAGTAAAGTGATGCAGTCACGGTTCACTGGCACCTTGGCCTCCTTGGGCTCAGGTAATCCTCCCACCTCAACCTCCTCAATAGCTGGGACTATAGATATGTGCCCAGGAGGCTGAGGTTGCAGTGAGCCAAGATTGCGCCACTGCACTCCAGCCAGGGTGATAAGAGCAAGACTCCGTCTCAAAAAAAAAAAAAAAAAAAAAAAAAAAAAAAAAAAAAAAAGAAGTGCTAAATGGTGTCTGTGTCTTTTCTTTCTTTCTTTTTTTTTTCGAGACAGGGTCTCGCTCCAGTTCCCCAGGCTGGAATGCAGTGGTGCTATCTTGGCTCACTGCAGCCTCAACCTCCCAGGCTCGGGTGATTCTCCCACCTCCTCCCGTGTAGCTGGGACTACAGGCGTATGCCACCACAGGTGTATGCCTGGCTAAAAGTTTTTTGTAGTTTTTTAGTAGAGACAGGGTTTCGCCATGTGGTCCAGGCTGGTCTCCAACTCCTGGACTCAAGCAACCCACCCACCTCAGCCTCCCAAGCTGCTGGGATTACAGGCATGAGCCAGCGCGCCCAGCGTGACTGAGTCTTTAATCAAGCGATGGAGGAAATTAACCCACAAGACATCTGATGCAAAGCCTTGTCTTAGGATGGGGTGCAGAGAGTAATCATAGTACTATCTAACCTGTTTACATAACACTATGTTCAGGCACTTTTCTAAGAGTTTTACTCATTCAATCTCAGTAGCTATGATCGTTTCCTATAAAAAAGGAAATGGGAGCACAGATGGGTAAAGTGATTTATCCCAGGTCACACAGGTAGCATGTGGTAGCACTTGAACCTAGGCAATCTGGCCTCAGCCTGTGCTCTTCACCATGCAAACAGAACAAAAAGGTGAAAAGGTTAGGAACTGCTGCTCTGTAAGCAAAGGTTGAAAGACACCTTAAAGCGTGAGTTCCCAATGCGTTCTTTGTAGGATTTAATCTGCATCGGCAGATGGGTGGGAAGAAGAGAGTCTATACTCAGAAACCCTAGGTTTAAAGAAGTTAAGTTTCTTGTAACTCTGGATTTCTCAAAACTAAAAACAAAATTTCTAAAAGGGAGATGAATTATTTAAAAAACAAAACTAAAGGGCTGGGCGCAGTGGTTCACGCCTGTAATCCCAGCACTTTGAGAGGCCGAGATGGGTGGATCATGAGGTCAGGAGACTGAGACCATCCTAGCTAACGGTGAAACCCCATCTCTACTAAAAGAATACAAAAAAAATTAGCCGAGTGTGGTGGTGGGCGTCTGTAATCCCAACTACTTGGGAGGCTGAAACAGCAGAATGGCGTGAACCCCGGAGGTGGAGCTTGCAGTGAGCCGAGACTGCACCACTGCACTCCAGCCTGGGCGACAGAGCGAGACTCCGTCTCAAAAAAAAAAAAACACAAAAACCTAAAATAATTCAAGGACCCACCCCACCCATGGGGCGATGAGTGCCACCAGATACTGAAATGCGAGGTGCTCACCCTCTTAGAAGTGTCCTGATCATGGTGGGGATGGGGAGGTGGGGTGGAAAGGGGGAGGGGCTGGTAATGCAAAGCAAGCCAGGAGAAACAATGGAGGAGGGTGACTGGTTTTTGGCTGTTGGGCGAGTACAGAGTTGGGGGGAGAGCAATGGAGTTGGGGGAGAGCACTCAAGAAGAAAGAGAATCGGCTGGGTGCGGTAACTCACGGCTGTAATCCCAGCACTTTGGGAGGCCGAGGCAGGTGGATCACCTGAGGTCAGGACTTCGAGACTAGCCTGGCCAACATGGTGAAACCCTGTCTTTACTAAAAATACAAAAATTAGCCGGGCGTGGTGGCTGTTATCCCAGCTACTTGGGAGACTGAAGTAGGAGAATTGCTTAAACCAGGGAGGCAGAGGCTGCGGTGAGCTGAGATCGCACCACTGCACTCCAGCCTAGGCGAGAGACTCCGTCTCAAAAAAAAAAAAAAAAAAAAAAAAGGAGAATCAGGAACAGCTTCATGGAATAAGCGGACTGACAAGGCATGGGAAAAAAAAGAAGTTTCTAAGACCTATGCACGCCAGACCTTTACAATTACTTCCTCATTTAAGTCATACAACAACCTTGCGGCATGGCATCCTCATTTTACAGCTCAGGAAACAGTTACCAAGAGGCTAAATGACTTGCCCAGGTCTACCAAGATCTGATTTTAAAGATCTGATCTCAGCTCACTGCATCCTCCGCCTCCCAGGTTCAAGCAATTCTCCTGCCTCAGCCTCCCGAGTAGCTGGCATTATATGCCCCTGCCACCACGTCTGGCTACACAGATCTACCAAGGTCTGATTTTAAAGCCTGTGCAAGCAGAGCTCACCCTGGAGGGATGGGCAGGATTCTGGACCTCTCCTCCCCTTTTACTTACATGGAAAAATAAAAAATAAAACCCACATACACACACACTTTACACAAAATGGATATTATAAGCATTTACTGAACTCTGCCCTTTCTTACAGGTAATGTATCTTAAACTCTTTCTGTATCAACATATCAAGTTCCACCTCCTTCTTTGCATGCCTGCCCTGTTTTCCATTAGTTTGTGGATATGCCATGCTGACAGTCCCCTCCTGATAAGCATGTAAGTTGTTTCCAGGCCAGGCATGGTGGCTCACGCCTGTAATCCCAGCGCTTTGGGAGGATGAGGCAGGCAGATCACAAGGTCAGGAGCTCGAGACCAGCCTGACCAACATGGTAAAACTCCATCTCTACTAAGAATACAAAAATTAGCTGGGTGTGGTGGCATGCGCCCATAATCCCAGCTACTCAGGAGGCTGAGGCAGGAGAATCATTTGAACCCAGGAGGCGGAGGTTGCAGTGAGCCGAGATCACACCATTGCACTCCAGCCTGGGCGACAGAGTGAGACCCTGTCTCCAAAAAAAAAAAAAAAAAAAAAAAAAAAAAAGTTGTTTCCAGTTTTTGCTGTTAATGATACTGCAGAGTATTCTTGTACACACACCAGGTACCCGGCTTTTCCTTCAATTTCATCATCATCACGTGAGCCACCTTCAAGGTGGTAAAGGGTTCTCTAAGCCGAAGCACAGGGGCTGAAGTCTGGCGTATGATCCCCCAGCAGAAGACAGATAGCTCAGAAGCTTAGCAGACAGCAGAAGCCCAAGGAGTGTTTATATTCAACACCATCAGGTGCGCCAGACACTTTCAAGTACATTTTATCATTTTAACACATCAAGAACAAACCTTTCCTTCTACCACCTCTCCCCACACAAAACATCTCACCAAGCCCCGCCCAGCTGAGCCCAGGCTGTGTCCTTCTCCCTCCTTGGCCTCCCTTTCATCAGCAAAGCCCTTCTCATCCCCTAAACTACAGTTCAAACATCACCTTCTCAGGGATGCCATCTCAACTTCTCCAGACAGCTGGTTGCTACCTACGCCAAGTAGGGACTCAGAGCCTGACTGTAGCTTTAATCTGCTTATAAATTGGTCTCCTCCAACTGGATATAAGCTCCCAGAGAGCAGGGCCCTGGCTGGACTTTGTAGTAACCAAGCAAGTAACAAACGTTTCTTGAAGGAACTAGCTGCGAATTAATAAGATGATTACCTGGTTCGCCTCAAATGCCCCCTCTTGCAATCCCCACTCCCAGCCCAGAAGTGACCCATCTCAGCCATACCTCAGAGGAGAACATGGTGGCACACGTCCCGATGCACCAGCAGACGATGGGCTTAGTGAGGCGGCCCTCCTTGATGCCCCGGCAAATCTTATATTCCTCAGTGCCCCCAATCTGCCAAGGAATGGGGAATGAGAAAAAGCCAAGTTAGTGCAGCCCATCCTGACGTAAAAACTGGATAGAAAATGGAGTGACACGGGCTTTGGCCAAATAAAAGGAGTTTAATTTCAGCCTGGACACAAGGAAGATTTCTAAAGGAACAAACAGCAGGTCTCCTAGAGGAATCTCTGGGACTCCCCCTTCCTAATCTAGAAATATAACATGATTTAGGATTAGACCTGCCTTCAGAGGTGCAAACAAGGGATGGGGTTATGGGACTCCCAAATTTTTTAGTATTTAGAAAATTTTTTTTAACCGTTCTATCCAAAAGTCATCACATTTTTTAAAAAGCGCTTTTTTTTTGCTTTTTTTTTTTTTTTTTTTTGAGACGGAGTCTTGATCTGTCTCCCAGGCTGGAGGGCAGTGGCGTTATCTCTGTTCACTGCAACCTCTGTCTCCTGGGTTCAAGTGATTCTCCCACCTCAGCCTCCCGAGTGGTTGGGATTACAAGTGTGCACCACCATGCCTGGCTAATTTTTATATTTTTAGTAGAGATGGGGTTTCACCATGTAGGCCACGATGGTCTAGAACTCCTGATCTCAAGTGACCCAGTTGCCTCAGCCTCCCAAAGTGCTGGGAGGATTACAGGTGTGAGCCACCATACCTGGCCAAAAAAATGCACTTTTTTTACTCCAGCTTTCCACTGCCCACCAGGTAGAGACCATGGCCAGCCAGAGCAGAGCTTCTCTCTTATTGGCGCTAAAGTTTGGGATGCTGGGAGATTAAGAACTCCCTTCTCTGAAACATAAATGGCAGTACTAATAGTGACAACCTTGAGGCCCCAGCATCTAGGGGATGGGATTACCAGGGACTGTCCCTTTAAGTTACATGTAACCAAAATGTTTTAATTTTTTGAAAACTGAGATCATGCATTACAGTTTTAAAATCATAATTTTTTTTTTTAAAGTAACTCACCTCTCCAAGAACCACAATCATTTTGACTCCTGGAGTGTCCTGATAGCGTAACACATGATCCATGAATGTGGAGCCCGGGTACCTGTTGAGAGCAGGGAGTATCAGGATACAGGATCAGGAGGAGGCCTGGGGAAGTGTGTACAGGGTTAGGAAGCACACTTGTACTGGGTACACTGGATTTTGGGGGGATGTGGATGGCCAGTAAGGGTCCAGAGATGCCCCAGCAATAATGGACAGGGGAAGGTAGCAAATGGAACAGAAGAGAAGAAAGAGGGAAGGAGTTGGAGCTATTTAACTTGCAAAGGAAAAGACTGGGCACAAAATAAGCCCAGAGAGGTTCGCTCAGCAGTAAGAGATGACTTAGAAAGTACGCCCTGGTGCAGTTGTTTTAAAATATATCCACAAATTCCGGCCAGGCGCAGTGGCTCACGCCTGTAATCCCAGCACTTTGGGAGGCCCAGGAGGGTGGATCACCTGAGGTCAGGAGTTCCAGACCAGCCTGGCCAACATGGCGAAACCCCGTCTCTACTAAAAATACAAAAATCAGCCAGGTGTGGTCGTGGGCGCCTGTACAGTCCTAGCTACTCAGGTGGCTGAGACGGGAGGATCGCTTGAATTTTTTGATCGTCTCAAAAACAAAAACAAACAAACAAACAAAAAAAACCTAAGAACACACACATATTTTCTTTCTTTCTGAGATGAAGTCTTGCTCTTTCACCCAGGCTTGAGTGTAGTGGTGCGATGTTGGTGCACTGCAACCTCCGCCTCCCGGGTTCAAGCAATCCTCCTGCCTCAGCCTCCAAAGTAGCTGGCACTACTGGCACATGCCACCACATCCGGCTAATTTTTTTTTGGTAGAGATGGGGGTCTCTACCAAATTCGAGACTGTGTTGCCTCAGCTAGTCTCGAATTTCTGGGCTGAAACAATCCTCCTCCCTCAGCCCCCCAAAGTGCTGGGATTATAGGCATAAGCCACTGTTCTTGGCCTCTTCATGTCTTTTGATATGATCATTATAAATCTAAGAAGACAATCTAAACAAGCAGCATTTCCTAGACTTATTCCCTGAGCCTTTGGTCAGGCAGTACCCAAGGACTGGGGATTCCCAGGCTACACCCCTAAAGACCTTGGTGAGAGTTCTTCCTCACCCAGGCATCCTATCGGAAATCATGTGGTAGAGCCAGGGAGACGAACAAGGTGACTCTATCTCAACAGCTTTTGGTTTCTAAGCCCGACAGCAGTAGTAATAGTAGGAATAATAAACAATAATGGCTAACATTTATTATGAACCTACTAAGTGCCAGACGTTACTCTGAGATATAATACTGTATTCATGACCTACTGATCAGTGTTCCCACTACCAAAAATAATGAGGATACTATTATTAACTACAATAAAAACTCACTGAGCACCTGCTGAACGCAGGCCCTGGCTCAGACACTTATATGTATTACAATTCATTTATTCCTCCAGTAGCCCCATGAGGTGGGGGTATTATTTACCCATTTGATGTGTAAAAATGATGGAGGTCTAGGGAGGTTAAGTAACCGGACCAGGATGGCCCCTGCCACCCACCCCCTACTAAAGAGGGAAAATGGGATTTGAACCTCTTTAGTCCAATTTCAGAACTGGCCCTCCTAACCACTGTACTCTGCTGCCTCCCTATGGCCAATCACAACAAACAGAATTATCCCCAAAGCCCAGTCGCCCCTCCTGCACATTGTTGCCCTGTTCTGTGTTTTCCGATTTCATGCTCTGTCAGTCCTGAGACAAGAGCAGTGATGCCCCATTGTTTAGACTTCAGCAGCATTCCTGCGGGCCTGGAACTCAGGGGCAGCAAGCAGCCTGCAGGACACAGCATCGTCTCCTAGCCCACTGCTCTCAAAGCAGGAAGCCCCTCCTTGGCTTCCCAGCTGATTACCTGTCCCCACCAATGGCCACGCCCTCATAGACGCCATCCGTGGTCCGAGAGATGATATTGTTGAGCTCGTTGGACATGCCTCCGGAACGTGAGACATAGGCCACGCTGCCTGGGCGGTACAGTTTGGAGGCCAGGATGTTGTCCAGCATCCCACCTGTGTTGCCAATCTTAAAGCACCCAGGCTTGATGCCTCCAACCTGTGGGGGCAGAAACCACAATCAGGGAGGAAGGTGACTTCCAGATTCACCACAAAGAATCACAAAGCCCCTGCATTACTGCCCAGCCCCTTCTGGCCAGGCTGGGGAGAGAATGACCAAGAGAAATCACACTTGCCCACTGGGTTTCCTGCTTAGGAAAGTCTCCTCTCTCTCTCAAGAGACATACAGAACAAAAGAGAGCCTTATTTGTAAAGCATGGCTCACTAATTCAGGTTCAGATACGTATACTTGGCCCGGCACAGTGGCTCAGGTCTGTAATCTCAGCTCTTTGGAAATAAATACTAGCTCCATTTTTTTAATACAGTAAGAAGTAAAAATAAGCCAGGTGTGGAGAACACTTCTGGAATCCCAGCTACTCAGGAGGCTGAGGCAGGGAGATTGCTTGAGCTTAGGAGTTCGGGGCTGCTGAAGTGTGTTATAACTGCACCTGTGAAAAGCCACTGCACTCCAGCAACACAGCAAGACCCTGCTTCTTAAAAAAACAAACAAAAAATAATTCAAAGAATAATTTCAGCCAGGCATGGTGGCTCACGCCTGCAATCCCAACACTTTTGGAGGCTGTAGGGGGCAGACTACCTGAGGTTGGGAGTTTGAGACCAGCCTGGCTAACATGGTGAAACCCTGTCTCTACTAAAAATACCAAAATTAGCCAGGCGTGGTGGTTCACACCTATAGTCCCAGCTCCTCGGGAGGCTGAGGCAGGAGAATTGCTTGAACCAAGGAGGCAGAGGCTGCAGTGAGCCAAGATCGTGCCACTGCACTCCAGCCTAGGTAACAGGGCAAGACTCCGTCTCAAAGAAAAAAAAAAAAAAAAAAAAAAAAAAAAAGGCCAAACACGGTGGCTCACACCTGTAACTCCAGCACTTTGGGAGGCCGAGGTGGGTGGATCACCCGATGTCAGGAGTTCGAGACCAGCCTGACCAACATGGTGAAATCCCGTCTCGACTAAAAACACAAAAATTAGCCGGACATGGTGGCGGGTGCCTGTAATCCCAGCTACTTGGGAGGCTGAGACAGGAGAATCACTTGAACCCGGAAGCGGAGGTTGCAGTGAGCCAGGATCGCGCCATTGCACTCCAGCCTAGGCATTGCAGTGAGGCTGTGTCTCAAAAAAAAAGCTAAAAATGGACAGACTGATTTTCAACACATACTTCCTGAATCTTCTCAACCTAGGAGGGAGATAGAGGAGTCAAAAAGTAAACTTCCTAAGGGCATTGAACTTCATAAGATAGCATCGAACGTAAAAGGCTTTCCGGAGGGGAAGCTCACAGTGGCAGGTCCGATGATGGTCACTCCCTTCTGGTCCGCCTTCTTGATCAGCTTTCTCGTGAGGGCCTCAGGGATGCCTTCAGCTATGATGGCGATGGTCCGGATCTAGAGGATGACAAAAGTCCCTTCCTGTTAACTCTCTGCCTCAGAAAGGGCAACAAGACAGCACCGTTTAAGGGCCCACCTCCCATTCCACATGTCCTCTTCCAGGGTCCAAGAACAAAGTAATGTTAACAATATGCATATCAGCCGGGCGCGGTGGCTCATGCTTGTAATCCCAGCACTTTGGGAGGCCGAGGAGGGTGGATCTTCTAAGGTCAGGAGTTCGAGACCAGCCTGGCCAACGTAGCAAAACCCCGTCTCTACTAAAAATACAAAAATTAGCTGGGTATGGTGGTGCGCGCCTATAATCCCAGCTACTAGGGAGGCTGAGGCAGGAGAACTGCTTGAGCCCGGGAGGTGGAGGTTGCAGTGAGCTGAGACGGCACCACTGCACTCCAGCCTGGGTGACAGAGCGAGACTCCATCTCAAAAACAAAAACAAAACAAAACGAAAAAACAAAACCAATATGCATCTCATTCTTCCCACAGGCCTCTGCTCGTAATCACTCTAACCATCTCCTGAAAACACAAGTGGTGGATAGCCGAAACTGATCTCCACTAGCTAACACCACAGTGATCCACCCAAGAGAGGCAGGTATTTCGGAAGCCCTGCTACAGTCATAGCAGCTACGTTCACTCTCACCCAAAAGCTCACACCCTCCTGTTGTCTACCTGTTCCTGTGCCTGCTCATAAAGCAGCTATCTAAGGCTTTTCTTCATGGGACCCTCCGAGTCTTGTCACCATCCCCACAGGACAGGGTCAGCGTTTAAGAGAAATGAGCTGCTTCTACACTCAGCCCAGAGGCGGGGTGGGAGGGGCATGGGACAGATCCAGGAATCACTTCTCTTTGGCTCTAAACCAGGGCCAGCAAACTTCTGTAAAGGGTCAAGATAGTATTGTAGGGGCCAGGTAGAGTGGCTCATGCCTGTAATCCCAGCACTTTGGGAGTCTAAGGCAGGTGGATCCCTTGAGCCCAAGAGTTCAAGGCCAGCCTGGGCAACACAGGGAGACCCGGTAGGAGGATCAATTGAACCCAGGAGGTTGAGGCTACAGTGAGTTGCATGATTGCATCACTGCACTCCAGCCTGGGCTACAGAGCAGTATGTGTGTCTCTTTAAAACCAAACAAAAACCCCTGGCTGTGCGCGGTGGCTCACATCTATAATCCCAGCAATCTGCAAGGCCAAGGTGGGCAGATCATTTGAGATTGGGAGTTTGAGACCAGCCTGACCAACATGGAGAAAACCCATCTCTCCTAAAAATACAAAATTAGCCAGGCATAGTGATGCATGCCTGTAATCCCAGCTACTTGGGAGGCTGAGGCAGGAGAATCACTTGAACCTGGAAGGCAGAGGTTGCGGTGAGCCGAGATCACACAACTGCACTACAGCCTGGGCAATGAGAGCAAAACTCTGTCTCAAAAAACAAAAAACAAAAACAAACAAACAAACAAAAAACAGCCCTAAAACTAGGTGATGTGCTAGGTTTTGCCTTGGGCCATAGTTTGCCAACCTCTGCCCTAAACTAAAGAAGCAGCAGCCGGACGTGGTGGCTCACGCCTGTAATATCAGCACTTTGGGAGGCCGAGGCGGTTGGATCACCTGAGGCCTGGAGTTCAAGACCAGCCTGATCAAAAAGGTAAAATCCCATCTCTATTGAAAATACAAAAATTAGCTGGGCGTGGTGGCAGGCGCCTGTAGTCCCAGCTACTCGGGAGGCTGAGACAGGAGAATTGCTTGAACCCGGGAGGTGGAGGTTGCAGTGAACTGAGATCACGCCGCTGTACTCACTCTAGCTTGGGTGATGGAGAAAGGCTCCATTTCACAAAAAAAAAAAAAAAAAAAAAAAAAAAAAAAAGAAGTAGCTCATTTTCAGCAAATGTATTTTTTCACTTCCTCTAGGTATCAAGACAATTTTATATTCTCCAGTCATAAACTGAAATAAGCCAGTCTGGGATCAGATGATAATTTTCAACAAAATAATCAATATCCTAATTTTATTTTTTTTGAGATGGAGTCTCTCGTCGCCCAGGCTGGAGTACAATAGCACGACCTTGGCTCACTGCAACTTCCACCTCCCGGATTCAAGTGATTCTCTTGCCTCAGCCTCCCAAGTAGCTGGCACTACAGGTGTCTGCCACCATACCCAGCTATTTTTTTTATTTTTAGTAGAGGCGGTGGCCAGGCTGGTCTCGAACTCCTGACCTCAAATGATCCACCCACCTTGGCCTCCCAAAGTCCTGGGATTCCAGATGTGAGTCACCGCACCCAGCCTCAAACCTGCACCTTCTGATGCAGTAGTTCAACTTCTAGAAATTTATGCTTAGGGAATAATTAAGGATATAGGCAAATGTTAATCCGAGATTGCCCATCACAAGATTTGCAAAAGCAAAAGTGATGCTGCCAGTTAGTGCTTACTGATGTGGAAAGAGCAACTGAAGAAAGCAGATTATATGAGTGGCATACAGTATTATTCCCTTTGCTCAAATCTAGAAAAGGGGGTAGATAAGGACATACCGTCATAGCAGCAGTCATGTTTTTCTGAAATGGGACCTCAAGTATTTATTTTCAACAAAACAGTATTTATCAGTATTTTGAAACTGTTCTATAATAAATATGTAATATTTTTATAATGAAATGTTGGAGTCTTTCTGAGCCTCCTCTGGCTTGGGAAGCTGACCGATTGAAAAAAAAAAAAAAAATTTGCCGGGCGCGGTGGCTCACGCCTGTAATCCCAGCACTTTGGGAGGCCGAGGCGGGCGGATCACGAGGTCGAGAGATCGAGACCACCCTGGCCAACATGGTGAAACTCCGTCTCTACTAAAAATACAAAAAAAAAATTAGCCGGGCATGGTGGCAGGCGCCTGTAATCCCAGCTACTTGGGAGGCTGAGGCAGAAGAATCACTTGAACCCGGGAGGCGGAGGTTGCGGTGAGCCGAGATTGCACCATTGCACTCCAGCCTGGGCAAAAAGAGTGAAACTCTGTCTCAAAAAAAAAAAATTTTTTTTAATTAAAATAGGCCAGGTGCAGTGGCTCACTCCTGTAATCCCAGCACTTTGGGAGGCCAAGGTGAGTGGATCACTTAAGGCCAGGAGTTCGAGACCAGTCTGGCCAACATGGTGAAACCCCATCTGTACAAAAAAAAAAAAAAAAAAAAAAGCCAGGTGTGGTGGCATGTGCTTGTAATCCCAGCTACTCAGAAGGCTGAGGCACGAGAATCACTTGAGCCTGGGAAGTGGAGGCTGTGTGACAGAGTGAGGCCCTGTCTCAAAAAAAAAAAATAAATAAATACAAACATACATAAAATAAAGTGCTTTAATCCTGATTTGTTTTTTTGTTTGTTTTTGAGACAGGATCTGGGACTTACTCTGCTGCCCAGGCTGGAGTGCAATGGCATGATAACAGCACACTGCAACCTCAACCTCCTGAGCTTAAGCGATCCTCCTACCTTAGCCTCCCTACTAGCTGGGACTAGTGAGTGCCATCATGCCTGGCTAATCCTTTTTTAAGTACAGACAAGGTCTTGCTGTGTTGTTCAAGTTGGTCTCGAACCCCTAGCCTCAAACAATACCCCCGCCTCTGCCGCCCAACAAACACAAGCCATGGCATCCAGCCAATCCCAGTTTTCAAGCCAGTTATGCATAGCACAGAGAGGATATAGTGGGGGTGGGGTGGAGCCTGAGCCACCTCATTTATTTATTTAACATTTATTTATTTATTTATTTAGAGTCTCACTCTGCTGCCTAGGCTGAAGTGCAGTGGTGTGATCACAACTCACTGTAGCCTTGACCTCCCAGGCTCAAGTGATCATCCTACCTCAGCCAGCACATGCCACCATGTCCAGCTAATTCTTTTTTTTTTTTAATTTTTTTATAGGGACAGGGTCTTGCTTTGTTGGTCTCAAACTCCTGGGCTCAAGCAATCTTCTTGCCTTGACCTCCCAAAGTGCTGGAATAACAGGCATAAGCCACCATGCCCAGCGTATATTTTATTTTACTTTATTTAATTTTTTAAAGACAGGGTCTTGCTCTGCCACCCACGCTGGAGTGCCATGGAATGATCATAGCTAACTGCAGCCTTGAACTCCTGGGTGATCAATTGATCCTCCTGCCTCAGCTTCCTGAGTAGCTGGGACTACAGGTGTGAGTCACCATGCCTGGCTTGACTAATTTTTAAGCTTTTTGTAGAGAATGGGTCTCGCTTTATTGCTTAGGCTGGTCTTGAACTCTTGGCTTCAAGCAATCTTCCTGCCTCTGCCTTCCAAAGTCCTAGGATTACAGGCATAAGTCACTGTCCCAGGCCTGAGCAGCCTCTTTGTAAGCCCAGATAAGCAGCCTCTGCCCAGACTGACCTGCCCTAAGTCACTATCCTGACTTCTGAAGATCATGTGTCTCCAACCATTTCCACCTAAACCACTGGCTACTCCCAAATCCCCAGCCCTTTGTCCCAGGCAGCAGTGACGGGACATCAACCAGGAGCCATTCCTGCTTCCCCACCCTCTGTCCCCTAGAGCCCAGTGATCTACCTGCGCATAGTTCATGGTCCCCACCCCCCACCCTCCAGAGCCCAGTGATCTACCTGGGCATAGTTCATGGTCTCCATGGTGCTGTCATAGGCAGAGCGGAGAGAGGCAAAGTTGATGAGCACATCTACCTCCGGATGCTTCCTCATGGCATCAGCCATGTTCTTGAAGACAGGGATCAGGATCTCTTTGTGCCCCCAGTAAAACTTCTGCTTGTGGTCCCCACTGTGAGAAAGTAAAAGAAGAATTAGGATATCCTCAACCTGTCAGGACTGGGGAAGGGGAAGCTGAGGGGAGGAATTTCACCTAGAAGATAGAAAAGGCATGGTCTGTGCCCTCAAAGAATTTTCATCTAAGGGACAAAGATCCCCCAGGAATACTGACTGCCTCTGTCTCTAGGATGGGCAAAGCCTTCCCCAGCAAAGGGAATGAGCTCACTGACTCCTCAAGCCTTGCCTTTTTTTTTTCTTTTGAGACAGGTTCTTGCTCTGTCACCCGGGCTGGAGTGCAGTGGCATAATTAGAGTTCACTGCAGCCTCAACCTCCAAGGCTCAGGCAATCCTCCTGCCTCACCCTCCCAAGTAGCTGGGACTACAGGTGCACACCACCATATCCGGCTAATTTTTAAATTATCTGTAGAGATGGGGGTCTCCCTATGTTGCCCAGGGCTGGTCTCAAACTCCTGGGCTCAAGCAGTTCTCCCACCTCGACCTCCCAAAGCGCTAGGATTACAGGCATGAGCCACTGTGCCCAGCCCCAAGCTTTGTCTTAGCAGAGGAAGGAGATATTTCCCGCCATGGGGTAACTCACGTGAAAGGGTAGACCATGGCAGCCACTGAGGGCTCGTCTCGGGAGCAGACATAGTCAAAGTCCAGCATGCCTTGCACGGCCCGGGTCTGCATGCCCCACACAATGGCCTTGGTGTGGCGGCTGAAGAGGGTGGTGCTCTTTCCTGGTGGGCAAAGACACAGAGAGTGCACCCAGAACACATACCCCCAGGAGACCTGCAGGGGCCAGGGCTGCCTGACAGACCCCTCCACGCCCCATGTCCACAGGGTGATGCCTCATCACAACCGTAAAGGAATGTCAAGAGGACAGAATTCTGAGAACTTGGGGAGGAGGTGCCTCGATTTTTCTGGAAGAAGGTGGCAGAAAGAGCAAATCAAGCTAAGAGGGCCTGCTAGCTGGTAAGTAGCTCTGCAAAGAATGGAGAAAGAAGGGCCCCACAGTCAAAGATGCCCAGGATAATTCCTATAGGACCTGCTTCATTTCCCAGGCAAGGTGTGTCATCAGCTTATATGCAAATGAGGTCTTAACAAATTATTTTTAAAGTCATTGGAAAAAAATGCTTAGCTCGCCCAATTTTGGTGGGTTCAGGACTTATGTTCCAACAATGCTTATTACCCTGTAAATCTGGACATAAAACCAGCTCCAGTCAGGGTTTGAATCAGCATGAATTCTAGGTCAGTGTAGGTCCAAAGAAGAGGTTTGTGCAGCCGGGGCTGAGGACACAGCAGCCTTATCGCTAACTGTGGTTCTGGCCAGGGCTCTGCACAAGGCAGGAGCAGCAAGCTAGTTACACAGGGCCAGTGCCCTCAACCTGCTCTCCTGTTTTTCCTGTCCTTCTCCCTTCTACCAGGTGGCTCTTTCCTGCTCAGGACAGTGCTCTTGGACAGACCCTCCAGTGGGCACTTAAGAGGTAAGGCGCAGGTCAGGTGTGGTGGCTCACGCCTGTAATCCCAGCACTTTGGGAGGCTGAGACCAGTGGATCACTTGAGCTCAAGAGTTCAAGACCAGCCTGGCCAACGCGGTGAAACGCTGTCTCTAATAAAAATACAACAATTAGCTGGGTGTGGTGGGGTGGACACCTGTAATCCCAGCTACTCAGGAGGCTGAGGCAGGGAGAATCGCTCGAACCCGGGAGGCAGAGGTTGCAGTGAGCCGAGATCGTGCCAGTGCACTCCAGCCCAGGTGACAGAGCGGGACTCCATCTCAAAAAAAAAAAAAAAAAAATTAGCGTGGTGGCATGCACCTGTAATCCCAGCTTCTTGGGAAACCAACACACAATCACTTGAACCAAGGAGGCAGAGGTTGCGGCGAGCCAAGATCGCACCACTGCACTCCAGCTTGGGCCACAGAGTGAGACCCTGTCTCAAAAAAAAAAAAAAAAAAAAAAAGGGTAAGGGAACAAAAGGAGCTGGTAGAAGTGCAGTTCTCTAGGTGGGCATAGTGGTGCGTGCTTGAGTCCTAGCTACTTAGGAGACTGAGATGGGAGGATCACTTGAGCCCAGGAATTCGAAACCAGCCACCGCGGCATAGTGAGACCCCACCTCAAAAAAAAAAACAACAAAGAAAAACCTTCCATGATGCGATTATTACGCATTGCACGCCTGTACCAAAATATCTCATGCACCCCTACTATGTACCCACAAAAATTTTAAAAAGAAAATTTTAATGCAGCAAGTATATTTAAAAAAAAAAAGAAAAAAGTGCAGTCCTTAGCCTAAAGGGAAAGGACTTTTACCACGCTTCAGGCAGTTGACTTTCCCCTCTGGGTCCCTGCAAGTCCAAGAGGAGGAAAGCAGCCCTCAGGGAGGTTCTGAGCTCCCCTAGGAAGAATGATGCATCTAGCCCAGTGGCATCTCGTATTAATTAACCTACTGTACTAGAGCAGGCTTGGCTAACCAAGTTCATGGTCTCATTAAATCCCTGTACAGGCCTGCCTCTTCCATCACAGCCTTACAGCTTCTCATGACAGAAGGTTCCTGATGTTGCAAATACCTGGGATTTACTGTCACCTAGACCCCCCGGGTTCTGCTGAGACATGAGATCACAGAACAAGGGGAGCCACCTAATCCAGTTCTCCCACTTCCCAGTCCTAGGAAACTGAAGCCCAGAGATGCCAAATGATTGAGGTCCGAGGTCATCCAGCATCAGAGCCAGGATTACACAATCACTTAAAATGCAGCTCAACTGTGAAAGTGAGGAGGGAGAATATAAGTGTGAGTTCATGACCCGCCATCCTCAGGGGAAGCCTGCATCATGTCACCCCCGCCAGGTGACGCACGTGCACATGCCTCTGATCTATCTACCCTGCCAGCTACAGAAATCAAGACAAAGCCTGGAATCTACCAACCTACCAGCATCTCCAGCAGGAAGGGTGGAGGTAAAGTGGCCCTTCCTCAAGCACAGAGAAACCAAAGCTGAAGGGTGTATCCTCAGCCCACCAGCAGCAGAGAGGCTCCAGAGAGAACCTCTGTGCCAGGGGCTATGCCCCCTACACCAGGCCTCCTCTGGCCTCGCTGAGGGGAGGGCTCGCTCAGCCATAATCTGTTCTCCCTGACACACCCTCCTTTTATTTCTCTCACTCCAGAAAGTAACAAGGATAACCCCCCTCCTCATAACCCTCCTCCCCTTCAGAGCACAGAGAGCTCCTGGAGAACCAGGGCTGGTCCCTGTTCTTTCCACACTGGGCTCACTCTGCTCTTAACTTTTTCCAGAGGCAAAAACATCAGGATTAAAGCCAGGTGGCCACAGTGCTGCATTCCAGGCCTTTCCAGCTGGTTATCGACCCTGCCAATTACTCCTTCCCCTCCCCTTAGCAAGGGGACAACAAAGACTTCCCCGCCTCCACGGCTGTGAATGTCAAAGTTAAATGGACGCTCTGATGCCATGAACCAATTAATCTACTCAGCTAGGCTGGTGGGTGAATGCGCATGCACAGAAGTATCCACTGTAAAATGTGACCTCATACACCAGACAAAGCTCATACCCCTTCCAATTACCCAGTCACTAGATCCGCTGCACACCCTTCTGCGCTTCCGTCTACCTCCTTCTTCACCTCTTTTGTTCCTCCACCACAACCCCAGAAAAAGATAAACTGGTCCCTGGAGCTTGAGGATGAAGCTGGCAGTGGTGAAGCCGAGGCAGGAAAGGTGGGAAAATGACATCAGGAGATGTAAATGAGAAGCAGGGGTGACTTGTGGCTCCCCTTCTGCACCCCAGCAGTGACAGACGCCCACGACTCTCTGCCACTCCCCATTTAGTTGGATGGCTCCCTCCTTCCCAGGCGACACTCTCTCCTTGACACCACTACACTCTCCAGGGCTGTGGGTCTGGCTCTTGCTCCTTCCAAAATCTCTACCCCTTCCCAAGCTTGGAGCCAGAAACAGCCACACAGTGAGGAGAGGACTGAGTGGGGCGCGTACTGAGCACGGATAGGAGGGGAGGAAGAGCGAAGACTTAGGACTTGGGGTCAGGCCACATCAAGGCAGGGACAGAAAATAGACCAGACGACACTGCAACCCACCAGGGGAGGGGGAAACAGAGCACACAGTAAAACTGTCACCCGCTAACAAAGCCACACGCGGAGTGGGGGCAGGGTGGGGGCATCCTACCTTGCAGGGATCTTGGACTTGGGACTGAATCTGTCAAAGAAAATGACCAAGGCAACTGAGTGACCCACTGATGGCTGGAGGCTTTGGAGGGAGAGGGTGGGAACAGGGAAGGGTCCCATGGACAAGCCTTTCAGGGCTAAAGCCCTCATCATCCCTCTCCTGTTCTGCAATGGACAACGGAGTAAGGCCAGCAGAAGAGGTGAAAGCACCGATGAGCAGAATGGAAGCAAGAAAGAGCAAAGACCAAACGGGCAGAGAGGGGGCAGGAGGAGGACAAAGGCTGGGCAGATGTGCTCAACACCAGCGCCTCCCCCAGGCCCTCTGCAGGGACAGCTGGATGACTTGAACTCTGGGCTCTCTAGCTGGCGCAGTCCCACCCTCTTAATGCCAATCCCTTTTTGTCTCCATGAAACACTATGAGATGATTGGCCAGCATGGGGTTGACCCGTGCCATGGACAAGGATGCTGATTTGGGACAGTGTCACTATTTTCCAAAATGCCATAGCAAAGTGTGTCCCAGGAAGAGGCTGCACAGGTATACCAGCCCAGGGGTAACTAACACCACTTATGTAGAGCTGGCTGCAAGGGCTGGCCGGCAGGAATCACATCTACACGGAGAGAAAAATTAGTTGAAATACAGATGGGCTGACAGGCGGGGGCTTTTCTTGCTGGGGATTCAAAGGAGGGAATGTCTGTTAGGGCCCCAAGATGGTGGGGGTGGCCTGGGAACTGCTGTTGTATGAGCTGGCTCTGCCGTCCTGGGGTCCCGGTGTCTGCCCTCCACTCAGGAGAAGAGTCTCAGAGAACTTTCCACTTCCTGGGATTTCTGTAACCCTATCTCCTCCACAGCCTCCCTGCCCAGTCCACACCCCCATAAGAAGAACCAGGGGTAGAAGAGAATAGGGGGAGTTGAGGCGACCAGGCACGGCGTGGGTCCTCTGCCTCAGGAGCGCCCACAGGGAAGGCTCAAGTCATACCATCCTCGTGTCCCAGGTGCACTCCCATTGCAAAACCCAAACCGCTGTTCATCTGCCTCTGCCAGCCCAGGGGGGAAAGGGAAAGGGGAGAGAGATACAGAGGGTACCGCAAGGCCACTCCCTGCAACATGCCTGAAGCCTCAGGGAGTTACCTTGTGGCATGGCAGGCTTGGCCTTCTTTGCAGGCGCCACCTCATCGGCCCTGGACTCAGAAAAAGATGCTGTCCTGCTGGGGGCTGGCGTCTGGGGTGAGATAAGGAGAGAGTGTAAGAGGTAAGAGTCACACCTGGGAAAAAAGCCACTGGTCCTTAAAGGCCCCAAAGAAAACTCGTAATAAAAATTATGCACAGCAATGCTCTTTATAAGCTGCTTCCAAAAGTACTAATAATCCTCTAAGATACGAATTAATATTATCCCATGTTACAGATCAGCAAACTGAGGCCCTGGGTGGACAAGGTACTGGCTAAGGTTGCTCTCTCAGCAAAAAGTAAGAGTAACGATTTTTAAGTTTTTCTTTTCTTTTCTTTTCTTTTGAGACGAATTCTCACTCTGTTGCTCAGAGCTGGAGTGCAATGGTGCCATCACAGCTCACTGCAACCTCCGCCTCCCAGGTTCAAGTGATTCTCATGCCTGAGCCTCCCGAGTAGCTGGGATTACAGACATGCACCACCATGTCTGGCTAACTTTTGTATTTTTAGTAGAGACACGGTTTCACCATGTTGGCCAGGCTGGTCTCGAACTCCTGAGCTCAGGTGATCCGCCAGCCTCGGCCTCCCAAAGTGCTGGGATTACAGGCATGAGCCACCATGCCCGGCCACAATTTGAACTTGGATCCAATTTTAAAATCCTTTGTCCTTCCATTATACTACTTTAATCAGGACAGGAAAAAAATTGGCAGAGATCCACAAACCAACCATGCACTAACTCCCGCTGTATTTCCTCTATGCCCCCAGGGAACAGAGGAAGAAGACTGTATCCTAGTGGAAAAGATGAGATGGTTCCTTCCTGTAAGGTTTGGGGAGGCTGGAACCTACCGATGTGCTCCCGCTGGCGTTGAGGAGGAAGTTTGCAGTGTGGGCCGCTGTGGGTGGCTGGTTGGGGATGGGCCGGTGGCCCAGGGCCATGCCCACAATGGCCGTCATGTGAGTCTCTGTGCCAAAGACATGGATGGGGATCCCAGTGGTCTTCCCTGCAAGGGAAGGAAAAAAAAATCCATAATTCAAGTCTGCAGATAAGGGCCCAAGTCCATGTGACCCTGCAAAGGGCCTTTTACAGCCATGATCAGTGTTTGGCGCATTCAGTGCAAGACCAATATCCAGGACAAATCAGCTGTCATAATTTCACCACCAGACAAATCTTTCTAAAGGCCACTTGCTGATAACAAGAACAAGAAACAGGCCAGGTGCAGTGGCTCACACCTGTAATCCCAGCAATTTGGGAGGCCGAGGCGGGCAGATCACTTGAGGTCAGGAGTTTGAGACCAGCCTGGCCAACGTGGTGAAACCCTGTCTCTACTAAAAACACAAAAAATTAGCCAGGCGTGGTGGCGTGTGCCTGTAATCCCAGCTACTCGGAGGCTCAGGCAGGAGGATCCCTTGAAACTGGGAGGCAGAGGTTGCAAAGTAAGCTGAGATTGCGCCACTGCACTCCAGCCTGGGTGACAGAGTGAGACTCTTGTCTCCAAAAAAAAAAAACCACATAAGAAACATATTTACTGGCAAGATTCAAGTAACCAAATTATCAGAGCCCATATTCCTCCTGTTCGCAGTCTGGACCCCAGCTCTCCAGCTTTCCTTAGCCCTCATCGCATGCATCCACCAGTGCTTGGTCTCTGTTCCTAAACACCCTGAGCCCATTCCCCCAGGGCTCTGGCCCTGCTTCTCCCTCTGCGTGGAGCTCTCCATGGAGCTTCACCTGGCTGCTCTCTGGTCTCCCAGCTCAACCCAAGCACTACCTCCTGAGAAAGGCCCCCTCTGACCTTGATGGTCACTCTCCCATGCCACGCTCCCCTCCTCCTTGTACAGACAGACCCCTAGCATCTTCTCCTACTGTTTACTTGTGGAATGTTCTAATTTTAAGAGCATGATCTGGTAACTTCACTGTGCTGTCCCCAGGCCTGCCCCACTGCACATAGCAGATCCTCAGCTTTGAACCAGCTCTATTAAAAAGAAAACAAAAGGCTCACACCTGTAATCCCAACACTTTGGGAGGCCTAGGCAGGTGGATCGCTTGAGTCCAAGAGTTCGAGACCAGCCTGGGCAACATGGCAAAAGTTCGTCTACAAAAAAATTAGCCAGGTGTGTGCTAATTTTTTGTACAAAAATTGTGTATTTATTGTGGCATGTATCTGTAGTCCCAGCTACTCAGGAGGTTGAGGTGGGAGGATCCCTTGAGTCTGGGAGGCAGAGGTTGCAGTGAGCTGTGATCACACCACCGCACTCCAGCCTGGGTGACAGAGTGAGACCCTGTCTCCAAAAAAAAAAAAAAAAAAAAAAAAAAATTGCCTATAATCTCAGCACTTTGGGAGGCCGAGGCAGTCTGATCACGAGGTCAAGAGATTGAGACCATCCTGGCTAACACGGTGAAACCCCGTCTCTACTAAAAATACAAACAAAAATTAGACAGGTGTGGTGGCAGATGCCTGGAGTCCCAGCTACTTGGGAGGCCGAGGCAGGAGAATGGCGTGGACCCGGGAGGCGGAGCTTGCAGTGAGCCGAGATCGCGCCACTGCACTCCAGCCTGGGTAACAGAGCGAGACTCCATCTCAAAATAAAAAAAAAAGAAAAAAAAGAAAAAAAATTAACCCTATTCAATTCAAACCTAAGTCAAATTGTGTCACTTGGCTGGTTGTAGTGGCTCACGTCTATAATCCTAGCACTTTGGGAGGCAAAGGCAAGAGGATCACTTGAGGCCAGGAGTTTGAGATCAGCTTGGGCAACACAGTGAGACACTATCTCACAACAAATTTTTTTTTTTTAATTAGCCAGGTGTGGTGGTGCACACCCGTGGTCCCCAATACTTGGGAGGCTGAGGAGGGAGGATCACTTGAGCCCACAAGGTGGAGGCCGCAATGAGCTATGATGGTACCACTGCACTCAAGTCTGGGTGACAAAGCAAGGCACTGTCTCAAAAAATAATAATAATAATAAATATGTGGTTCCTCTGCTTGAACACTTCTTGTGCCTGCTGTCTCACAGTGATGGCCAAGTCCTCCTGTGACCTGTAGTGTCTCGCTGCCACTCTCTCAGTCCCAGCCCCTTACCACTGCAGGGTATGGGAATTTGCCCTTCCCTCTCCAAGAGTCACCATGGCGCTGCTCCCTCATTCTAGGTCTTTGCTCAAATGTCAGTTTTCTTTTCTTTCTTCTTTTTTTTTTGATACAGGGTCTCACTCTGTCACCCAGGCTGGAGTGCAGTGGCATGATCACGGCTCACTGCAGCCTCAACCTCCCAGGTTCAGGTGATCCTCCCACCTCAGCCTCCCAAGTAGCTGGGACTACAGGTGTGTACCACCATGACCGGCTAATTTTTGTATTTTTTTTTTTGTAGAGGCAGGGTCTCGCCATGTTGCCCAGGCTGGTCTTGAACTCCTGAGCTCAAGGGATCCTCCCACTTCGACCTCCCAAAGTACATGAGCCACCTGTGCCCAGCCTTGATCAAGTTTGATCAAGCATTTTCTGATCTCCCTGTTGAAGGCTGCCCCGACCCCTCCCACATGCATTCTCCCTTTCCCTGCTTTGTTTTCCTTCCTGGCACTCGGCACCCCCTGACATAGCAGTTTGTGTCCTCCGTTCCATCAAGGCTTGCTGTCTGTCCATTTGTGGCTGTAACCCTCGTCACCAGCACAAAGCCCAGCACAGAGCGAGTGATCTTTAATAAATATCTGTTAAGTGTAGAGCTCAATGAAAATGCTTTCCTGACCACTCCAAAGTTTAGGATAGCACTCTGTGTTGGGACAGGGAATGGAAACCCAAACTGCACACCCAGGAAGGGGAGTAGAGAGCAAAAGAGCCTAAGACTGATGCTCAGGAATCAGAAATCCCAAAGAGGAAGGCCACCCACACTCAGGGTGAGGGGGAGAGAAAAGGTCCTCATCTTACCGACTTCTCCCATCACCCGTAAGCCCTCCTGATAGTTGGGGCCACCTCTTCGGACAAAGATTGTGACTTCGTGCTCCTTCAGGGGGCCCTGGTAATCTCGAATTGCTCTCACGATGCCCTGGAAGCCCAAAGTGACATGTGACTAAAAACAAGGCAGCCACAAGTCAATGATTTATAACCGTGATAAACAAACATACCAGGTATATGTGACAAGTGCTGCTCCTCAGGAAGCACAGGACTACGCATAAGCAGCCACGGCCTGGGATATGATCACTCAGAATGTTGCTGAGGTGGGAACGTGGGGTACCCGGGATTGACATCCCTTAATGTCATGGTGCTCCAGGCCTCCATCATCAGCAAGGCCTTGCTGGTCTCTCTTTTGTCCCTTCTGCAGTCATTACTGCCTCTTACTACATTTTTGTTTTTGGTGGGGATATCTATGTTGGGCTCTATGCAAGGGTTCTCAGAGGTACTAAGACATAGTCAATGTCCTACAAAAGCTTCTTAAGTGATGTGCGGGAATAGTTCTTTCTTTTGAGACAAATTCTCGCTCTGTCACCCGGGCTGGGGTGTAGTGGTGTGAGCTCGGCTCACTGCAACCTCTGCCTCCTGGGTTCAAGCGATTCTCCTGTCTCATCCTCCCGAGTAGCTGGGACTACAGATGTCTGCCACCACACCTGGCTAATTTTTTTATTTTTAGTAGATATGAGGCTTCACCATATTGGTTAGGCTAATCTCAAACTCCTGACCTCAGGTGATCCACCCACCTCAGCCTCGCAAAGTGCTGGGATTACAAGCGTGAGCCACCGCGCCCAGCGCGGTGTAAGAACAGTTCTTACAATGGATATCCACTTTGGAAAAATGAGAGGGTGGAAAGGTGTGTCCTAGTTCTGTTTCTCAAGACAGAGGCTAGATTTTTGAGCCTAGAGTCTGACTTCTGTCACCCAAGGCATTTTACACAAAGTTCCATGTACAGTACCTGCTCCAAACCAAGTGCCCTAACCAAGGGTCAGTACAGGGCAGCTCAGAAGTTAAATAAAAGCTGCTGAGGCTCCCCTGTCCCAGATTTGTCTGTTAAATCAGGTCCAGTTATGGACACCCTGTTTTGGGCAGGACTGATGGGGTCTGGCCCCACATTTTATTTATGTTTTGAGACAGGGTCTCATTGTCGCCCAGGCTGAAGCACAGTGGCACGATCACGGCTCACTGCAGCCTCAACCTCCGGGGCTCAAGCAATCCTCCTAGCTCAACCCACTAATTTTTTTTAAATTTTAGTAGAGATGAGATCTCATTATGTTGCCCAGCCTTGTCTTGAACTTCTGAGCTCAAGTGATCTGCCTGCCTCAGCCTCTCAAAGTGCTAGAATTATAGTTATAAGCCACCACGCCCAGCCTCTCACTTCTTGAGACCTCAGACTTTCAAGTTTGACACTTATCTAGTCATTATTCTCAAAACTCACATGGATCCACCACCAGATGTGGCACACACTCTTTTGAATACACTCACTGAGCATCTGACAGCATGGAATATTAATAAATGGCCTCCTTGGGTGGCTATCTTGAAAGGGATGACTCTTGAGACACGTTAGCTCTGTCTTCCTTGTTGACAGCAGTCACATGTGCTTTAAAGCATGTGCACACACAGCCCTGACTCGTGAACAGGCACCCAGGTTGAGAAGACCCCAGTAGGATGAGAGGAGCCCCGGATCATCAAAGCACTTTCTTCATTCCAATCTTTTGGAAAAAGGGCTCATGACAGAAAGATATAAGACCAGGATGGCCGGGCACAGTGGCTCAAGTCAGTAATCCCAGCTCTTTGGGAGGCCGAGGCGGGCAGATCATGAGGTCAGGAGGTCGAGACCATCCTGGCTAACATGGTGAAACCCCGTCTCTACTAAAAATACAAAAAAAATTAGCCGGGTGTGGTGGCGGGCACCTGTAGTCCCAGCTACTTGGAGGACTGAGGCAGGAGAATGGCATGAATCCGGGAGGCGGAGGTTGCAGTGAGCCGAGATTGCGCCACTGCACGCCAGCCTGGGCAACAGAGCGAGACTCTGTCTCAAAAAAAAAAAAAAAAAAAAAAAAAAAAAAAGAGATGCAGAGAACCCAGAGTCTCACGAGAGTGTTGAAAGTAAGGAGGATCGGTTGGGCATGGTGGTTCACACCTGTAATACCAGCACTTTGGTAGGCTAAGGCGGGTGGATCACCTGAGGTCAGTTCGAGACTAGCCTAGCCAACATGGTGAAACCCCTGCTCCACTACAAATACAAAAATTAGCCGGGCACGGTGGTGGGTGTCTGTAATCCCAGGTACTCAGGAGGCTGAGGCAGGAGAATCACTTGAACCCAGGAGGCAGAGGCTGTAGTGAGCTGAGATCGTGCCATTGCACTCCAGCCTCAACAACAAGAGTGAAACTCCATGGAAGGAAGAAAGGAAGGGAGGGAAGGAGGAAAGGAGGGAGGAAGAGAGGGGAGGGAGGGAGGAAAGGAAGGAAGGGAGGGGAGGGAGGGAGGAAAGGAAGGGAGGGAGGAAAGGAAGGAAGGGAGGGGAGGAAGGAAGGGAGGGGAGGGAGGAAGGGAGGGGAGGGAGGAAGGAAAGGGAGGGAGGAAAGAAAGGGAAGAAGGAAAGGGAAGGAAGGGAAGAAGGAAGGGAAGGGAAGAAGGAAGGGAAGGGAAGGGAAGGGAAGGGAAGGGAAAGGAAGAGAAGGGAAGGAAAGAAAGAAAGGATCGATTGAGCCAGTGCTCCAAAGCATTGGTCCTGAGAAGGAAGAAAGCAGAAATTCGCCTCCCATGCTTCAGGTGGGAGAGTTATAGTTCAGCGTAGCAGCTGCTTGCCCAGAGACACACAGCGCAGATGGGCAGCTCCTGTCCCAGTGTCTTCTCCACCCCTTTAAGAGACCCTGGGGCAAGAGCTCCCTACCTGACCTGGGAACTCATGGTAACTTGGCTCTGGCTCAAACTCTGCTTTCAAGGCCCCTTCCCTGCTTTCCCCAAACCACTTTCCCCAGAAACTGCACCACTGTTGCAACTGTTACCTTGAACGTGGCAGCCACGTTGGTGAAGTTTGCGATGCTGCCTCCAATGATGAGGATCTTGCCTGGATTTGGAGTAAGAGAGAATCAAAAACAGTTACATAGGTAGACTTGAGCATCTTCCCAGCAATCCAACTGAGGAAGTTCTTGTTCCCCTGAATGAGGGTCCCCCATCTGCCAGGAGGTACTGGGGAGTGAGTAGGACAGTCTCTCCAGACATTCCACTTTATCAGCTCAACTCTCCATTACCTATGCCACCAGACAGGGGTCAGAACAAACCCACAGGAGCACTACATAACTCCTAACCAACATCCAAAAATCCAGGTTGGTTTCTAGATATCTCTGGAGGGAATCTCTCTCCCTCTCTGGCTCAAGGAAAGAAGAACTGGTATGCAGAGCTCCAAAACACAGGTGGTAAAGGGGCACTGAGACTCACAGAGGCCAGGTAATATAAGAGGGTCACTGAGTTTATTGCAATCAGAGTTTATCGCAATCGGATAAACTGAGTTTACTGCAATTGTAGCAGGAGCATGCCACAGCCACCTCCTCCCCTGCACTTGTTTGAAGGGCTTTATCACACATCACCTCTTGCCCTCTCAGTCCCCTCCCACTGATAGATGTGGTCCCTGCCCTCTGTGCAGTCAGAGAAACTGAGAGCCAAAGTTCAATGATTAGCCTCAAGTTGCAAAGGACCACACACAGCCTTGGTGACTCCTCAGACGAAGCTGTCCCATTGCAGCCTGCTGGGCTGTCCTGGGGAAGTGGGGACAGGTATGTGTGTGTGCAAGTATCTCACCATCTGGGTGCTTCTCTCGGGTCATGAGGGAGAGGATAGTCTTGGCATAGTCATAGGTCTGCTGCTCGCTGGGGGCGCCTGAGTACTCCCCATAGTTTGCCAGCTCGTTGACACCCCCTAGATCACAGATGGTATCGCTGCCAAGGAGACAGAAGTCAGTGATGGCTCTCACACTTGGGGCAGGGAGTGGCAGCCTGGTGCCTGGGAGGACACACGGATCCCTCAAAACACTGGAGTTAGCCTGTGGAACCGGCCTCTTGGATCTCCAGCCCCCAATTCCCATGCAAGTCTGGCCTGCAGGTTAATGGTGCTACATCAGACTCTTCTGGGCAGTGCACTCTGCCAGCCCTAAGGCACTGGGGAGCCCTGGACAGACAATGGCAGGTAAAATGAACAATGAGCACCTCCCTAACACAAAGACAAGCAAAATCACACACTGCAGGAGTCCCTGACGGGCTACCCAAGAGAAAGTGTGCTGCAGCCAGAGGAAATAGTGCCAGTCACACACAGAAGGGAATGGCAGATTGCACATCTAGAAGTGAGCAGGTGTCTACCATGCTTAAAGTGAAAAAAACTGCTAATTATTGTAAAGGGTGTAGAATATGATCCTAATATTCTATAAAGCAAAGAGTATAAATATTTATATATGCTTGACAGGACATACAGTAACTTGCTAACTGGGGTGACCTGGTCAGGGAGAGGATGGGGAAATGTCCAGGCAACTTTCACTTTCTAGCTCATTTTCTGTACCTTTGTATGGAGCACGTAATTTTCAGAATTAAAACTCATAAAACAGCTTCATTTTGACACAAACAAGAAGGTTATAGAAGACACTGGGTGCAGGACAGGCCCTCACCAACATCCCTCGAAGCCCTCTGGGATGCCACTGCTTTCCTCTGCCCCAAATTCCCACACCAAAGTGACAGGACCCCACCCACCCAGGCTACACACATGTTGATGCTGGGTAGACTGGGCTGGCATCCCTTCAGCAACCCCCTTCGGTCACCTGTACACGACAGAGGCGCCACCCCCGGCCACCATGGTCCAGATCCTCCCTTTGGGGTTCAGCAAGGTCAGCTTCAGGCTTGCCCCACTTTTGGCATCGAGGTCTGCAATGTAGGCTTCCTGGGGACCAGACAGCAACAGGTAGGCCCTTGGGGTACCCCCTTTACCAGGTCCCAGATCCTAGGACCCCTCCCCGCTTTCCCTGGAAGCACATGAAAAGGTGCCTTAATGGGGTGGGAAGAAGGGGCTACGCAGGGCCCCACATGCCTTGAAGACACTTGATGGTGTCTCCAAGTACCAAAAACACCCATAGTCACAGTCACTGCCTAGGGACAAACTTCCCATCTCCCTTCTCTGACGTCAAGTACTTGGCCCTCTGCCTAAGTCCTGAGCCTAACCATGTCCCTCTGCTCAACCATGCCCTCACCCCAGCATCTGCCTGCTCGGCCCATCACACGTCCCCCCAACCCCAGGCCTCCCCAGACGAGACCGTCTCCTAGCCCAGCCTCTTCCCTGGGCCTGGGGTACTTCCCAGAAAGCCCAGTCCTGCTGTGAGGACTTCTCAGAGGACAGAGTGGGAAAGAGCAATTAAAATTCTCAGTGAGACGCGGAGAGAATGACCTTCCATCAGGATTAAGGCGAGACACTTGGAATCATGGAGAGGCAACAAATCAAGTGAAGAGTCGAGGGAGGCTGATTGAGAGAGAAATCTAAAAGGATTTCTGGCTGGGATTCAGAGGCTTGGCTCACTCCCACCCCCACCCCATTGAGGTTTTAAGAAAATTAAATGCTTCTCAGTCTTCCTTTCCCTGCCAAATAAACAGCTCATGAAGGGGGGCCAAATGCACATCAAAGATGAGTCACCTCCCCACCGCCCTCCCCCCAGTCCCCATCTCCTCTCTAAACCAGCCTTACCTCTGGATATGCCTCCCGCCCGAAGGGGGGAGGGAACTCGATGTCACCCCACTTCACTTTGCAGATGTAGTCGGCAGTGGCGTCCACCTTGGCCGCCAAGTCAAGGACATAGACTCCATCTTTGGTCACTACTTCAAGGGGAGCAGAGGCAATCATCAGACACCGGCTCTGGGTAGAGACAACCACCAACCTCCAACCCCTCCACAAACACCGATCCCATGGTGGCCCATTCAGGCCTCAGAACTCTCTAAGCTCAGTAAGAAACCAGAGAGGCCCTTATGGAGACAGAGCTTTTCCCCATTAAAGGCAAAACAAATTCTACAAGGCCATTCCCCTCTCCCTGACCTATAGGCAATGGGACATGGAGGTCTGTATTAGTTGCCATGGCAATTTTCAAACATCTTTACAAAACGCTACACTCCCTGCTTTTGAGTATCTAACCATGCGCAAACCCATGGTCCGGCCACTTTTAAAAAGTGTTTAAAGGTACATGTTGCTGACAGAAGACCCCCCACCGGTATGCACATCTATGTCTCCCAGGGTCTGGCTAGGGGAAGCCTCAGTGTCAGGTGGAGCAGGGGCCGCAGGGTGCACTGGACTCCCAATCAGCAGGATTCGTTTATACCACCTCACTGGACACCCATCTTCCTCCTCCCCCAGGGCCATTTAGCTGATTGAGTTAGCACAAGGCCATCTGGTCCATTAGAGGGGCTGCATCCTCAGCTGGAATGATTTGATTTCTCGCCTTCCTAGACTCTGCCCTGAGAAGTCCTGGCCAGAGCCAGCCCACGCCACTCTCCCTCAACACCACCTGCTTCCTTCACAGCCCAAGAGACTGAGACCAAGCTCTTCCCAGCATCAAGGGTTAATGATTGACCAACTCCCACAGAGGGAGGCAAGTGTGAGGCCTCTGAGTGTACCAGGAGGAATGAAGGGCCAAAGGGTGAGAGCAGTGCAGAGGCTGCCCACCTCCTGCTGTCAGAAAGCCTGACCTGGCGGGAGGAGCAGAAGCACACAGTCAGATCAAAACCAGGACTTCTGGCCGGGCGTGGTGGCTCACGCCTGTAATCTCAGCACTTTGAGAGGCCGAGGTGGACAGATTACCTGAGGTCAGGAGTTCGAGACCAGCCTTGGCCAACATGGTGAAACCCCGTCTCTACTAAAAATAAAAAATTAGCCTGGCGTGGTGGCGGGCACCTGTAATCCCAGCTACTCGGAAGGCTGAGGCAGAAAAATTGCTTGAGACCAGGAGGCGGAGATTGCAGTGAGCTGAGATTGTGCCACTGTACTCCAGCCTGGGCGACAGGGCAAGACTCTGTCTCTAAGACCAAAGAGAGAGGTTGGAGTTGACTAAGAGAAGAACTACAGTCTTCTGAGAGCTCAGAAACAGGAACTGGCACTAAACCTGCATGGGGACCCCTCTGCTTGTGCACATCTGTCTTGTGTTACCCTCTGGCAAGTGGGAGTCTGGTTCTCTGAATGCCAAGGCCAGGGCTGTCATAGGCACTGGGACCCTTGCCCCCTCCCAGCCAAGCACACCCAGTTACCAAGGGGATTGATCTCGAGGTAGGTGAAGTACAAGTCCTCGTAGAAATTGAAGAGGCCGGAGATAAAACTGGCCAGAATTCTAGAGGTGGGAGGGAGAGAGGGACAGTTCATCCATCAGGGAGCAGCTCGGCAGCACCCCAGGCGCCCCGCAGCAATCTCTCACTGCCACCGACAGCTCCATTTCCCTAAACGCACCCCACTGGCCCTTCCATCTCCTCTGCAACCCCTGCTCCCTGGACATAGCTCTTCAGCCACTGAGGCGGAAAGGAGCTGTCAGGCGAGAAGCTGGAGGCAGAGGTGTCAGACAGACAGGGGCAAGGAGGTGAGGGATGCTGGCGGCATATTTCAGTCTGGTTCCAAGCCAGTCCCCGCCCTGCACCCAGCTGTCTTCCTCAGGACAGGGCCGTGTCTACCACCTGGCTCCCAGAGAGGAGACCGCTCTGCTCTCCCCAGTCTGTGCCCAGAGCCTGTCGGTCTTCTCATCCGAACTGCCACCTCCCTACCGTCCCTCTCACTCAACTCTTTCTTGTCTTCAGGGGCGTGGACCAACAGGTGTTTTTTGATGTCCTCAGGATTCAGTTTCTCATCCACGCCAACAAGCAGCTTCTGGGCCTTGGCGTCCACATCACCCACGTCCACACCCCCCTCGTGGTGGAACAGGACGTAGTCCCCTTCTCGGGTGGCATAGATGCAGACATAGAACTCCTCAGCCTTGCAGGTGAAGAGACAGGACAGTGGGATTGGGGTTGTGGGGGCGAAGCTGGTGAGGGGCGCTGAACTGGGGAAGATGGTCTACCATGTACTGGGAGAGGAAACCAATCCCCACGGTCTCATTTTCTAAAACCCAGTGAAAACCATTCATCCAGAGACTTGTCCACCATCTTTTCCCCGAGGACAAGAGGAAGAAGCCTCTACCCCACTGGCTGGTGGTCCAGACTGAATCAGTATGACCAACCCCAGCTGAGGGGTGGGGCCTGCCTGCAGGTCGTTCTCATCCCTGCACTTGGAAGTCCCCTTTGTTACCAGTCCTAACTCCTCTCTGCTGTAGACCAAGCCCTTTCCTTCCCCTCTGGACTCCCGAGTCCGCAGCACCCTCAGATCCTCAGTGCAGCTTCAGGGACCCTGGTCCCTCTGACTGTCCTCATCAGCTTGACTTCTTTCCTCAGGTTACGGTGGACAAACCCAAGGTTCCAGGAGGGAGAAGACCCAGCCTGGAGCCGCCTCACACATACCTGACTGTGGGGGACGAAGGGCTCGATCAGAAAGTTCTTGAGGAAGCCTGTGGCCTTGCCAACCTACAGAAAAATTGAGGGAGATGAAACTCAGAGGGACAGCACGTCTTGCCCCTAGGGCAGAAGGAGGGACTGCACAGGGGTGGTGCCCAAGCACTCCCACCACCACACCCAGCAAAGAGAGATTTTTCCAGAAAAAATGGGGTCACAGATCCCTAAGCTCAGTAAGTCCTCAGGAGATGCCCTTTCACCCCTTGCTCTGGTGCGGGCTGTGCCTGAACAGGCACCGACCTTGCCCACTCTTGGCCTCCTCTGGAGGGTGACACAGGACCTGCGCAAGTGAAAGGGCTCCAACAAGTCACGGCTGTGGCAGAGCTTGACGGGGAGGGGAAACCGGGTAGAAGGGAGGTAACCATTCTGCTTCATGAGCCTTGAGGAAGGCACAGTGACTCAGCCTCAGGACATGGGTCCGGGCGCAGGGAATGGGTGGAGAAGTGGGGAGCCAGGGCTTAATCAGGGAAACTTCTCCACGCAGACTCTCCTGGCTGAGGACCACAGGCCTGCAGAGCTAATCAGTTCGAGTGATTCCCTGGCGGCGGCTGTGGCGAGACAGCCCTCATCCTAGTAAGTCCCAAAACCCCCGCCTGGCCTGTGCGTCACTGCTGAGTCAGGGACCAGACAGCAATCCATAAGAGGTAATGAGCCACTCCTGCTGGCCCAACGCTGCTGCCAGCTCAGATGTCTGATGTCCCACCTTCCCCTCCCAGAGGCCAGCAGAAGGAAGCAGGATGTGCTCCCTGGGGACATGCTCAGCATCCCTCCCTCCAATCCCACCATCCTCTCTCCAAAGGCCTGGGAACTCAAGGGACAGGTCGCTTCACGCCTGGGTCCATGTGCAACTTCAAGGATCCCGCTTTACCCATGAGGGCCAGAAACTGGGAAATTAACATTTAAGGGCTACTCTGAGGAAGCCCAATGAGGGAGGAAGACATCTCCATCACCACCTTCATTGCTATTCTCGAGGCAGCCAAGGAAGAGAACAGCTCATCCCTGGTACAGTTTCACCCCAGATGAGCACCAGGCCCTTCAGAGCCACGTGCTCTACAGAGCCAGGTGTGGATGGCACATTCTTCCCAGGCTAGGCCAGGCCTCAGCTCCACTCCCTCCCTTAGTCCTCCAGCTCCCCTGGGGAATAAGAAGAAACATAATTTTATTCCAGGCATCTCTTACCCTTCCTAAACCATGTTTCACTTTAACTCTCTCATCTACGTGGTTGAAATTCATCACCAAGCTGGGAGAAGTTAATAATTGAATTTGGGCTTGGTGGCACACATCTGTGGTTCCAGCTACATGGGAGGCTGAGGCAGGAGGATTCCCTGAGGCCAGAAGTTCGAGACCAGCCTGGGTAACATTCAAGACCCTAACTCTATAAAAAAATGTTAAAAAGCAGCCTGGATGGTGGCATGCACCTATAGTCCCGGATACTCAGGAAGCTGAGGTGGGAGGATAACTTGAACCTGGGAAGTGGAGGCTGTAGTGAGATGTGAACATGCCACTGCACTACAGCCTTGAGTGACAGTGTGAGACCCTGTCTTAAAAAAAAATAAAGTAGGCCGGGCGCAGTGGCTCATGCCTATAATCCCAGCACTTTGGGAAGCCGAGGCAGGCAGATTACCTGAGGTCAGGAGTTCGAGACCAGCCTGGCCAACATGGAGAAACCTCGTCTCTACTAAAAATACAAAATTAGCCAAGTATGGTGCTGCATGCCTGTAATCTCAGCTACTCAGAAGGCTGGGGCTAGAAAATCGCTTGAACCCAGGAGGCGGAGGTTGCAGTGAGCCAAGATCACGCCACTGCACTCCAGCCTGGGCTACAGAGCAAGACCCTGTCAAAAAAAAAAAAAAAAAGAATCAGACCATTTCCACCTGGCTCTTGAATTATATTGAGGTTACCTCTGCAGCACATCTTGCCCAAACCAATAAAACAAAGAAGTTTGGATGATGAGGGAGCTGGGAATGGGCATCAAGACTGAGCCTACTGCTGGCAGCCACCTGAGTGGGTCAGCGCCACAGGACTCCTGCCTTCCCTGAGCTACAATGAGACTGGCTGTGGGGGTGATCCACAGAGCTGCTGACCTGGAGGTGACCATATTTGCTTCTGTTACCACACACGTTCATCCTGACCCCATGCCCACTCACTGTGGCTTCCTGTCCCAGCCGTGGCTTCAGCCAGGACTTGACCCCATCCAGAGTGAGGTTGACCCCAACGAGACCAAGTTTTCCACGACGTTTGATCAGCTGGTCTGGCTTGACTACCAAGTTCTGGAACAAAAGCGGTTTGTATTTAGAGTGAGGAAGAATTAGATAAACCGTAGTATTTTGGGGATCCAAATAGAGGACAGCAGGGATTGACTTCCCATTCACTCTGCTCCAAAGCCAGCCCTAACCATCCTTCAGAGTCAACTCCTGGATGCTTCCTCCACCTACCCTAGCCAATATCTTGCTTTTGACAACCAGGTATCTAGAGGCATTTGTGCCCAGATGGAGCCTGGCACAGAGTAGGCGCTCAGCAAATACCTGCTGAGTGAATAAGTGATTCTCTACCCTCCCTATGTGATACATTAGCTTCTTCATTCAACAGTAAGCCCCTCAGAATATGGACCAGAACATGTGTTCCAAAGAGGAAAACAGAGAGACAGAGCCTTGAGGCAGCAAGGAACCTTAGAGGTCATCTGGTCAACCCCATCCCTGTGCTTGAACCCTGTCTACAACAGGCCCAATAAGCAGCCCCTAACCACTGCTCATACATCTCCAGGGCCAGGAAACTCCCTCCATCCCTTTGTGGTTGAGCTGCCTCCTAGTGGGAAGAAACACCACCACTAGTCCTAGGCTTACTCTCTGAGCCCTGCCAAGGAAATCTAAGAGCTTTCTAACAATGGCCCTGCAAAGATCTCAAGAACAGAGCCCTCTATTCCAGGCTGACCCTCCAGGGTCGGGGCCATTCTTCACAAAGTACAACATCACACTTCCTAATTGCCTTGATACATTCCTGATATACTCCACTTAGGGGAGGAGAGGGCACATCCCTACTTTTTACTGAGCATCTACCATGTGCCAGGCACCAAGCACGCTAAATGCTTCTTGCTAATCTTTACAGCTCAAAGTGAGTATTATCCCATTGGAGAGATGGGGAATCTAAAACTCAAAAGAGGTGAAATGGCTTGCCCCAGGCCACATGGTTAATAAACACAGCTTTGATTTGGACACCAGTTTGTCCAGTTTCAAGCCCATGGCAGGGTATACCATGCTGGGGTACCTCAACATGCAGGGCTCAGCATGAACACAAACCCTGCTCAGCCCATGGCATGCTTCCCACAGCTGCTGCTGGCAGCCTCCAACCCCATGACCCTATCGGCATCACCAACAAACCAATGGCTTTCTCTTCCTCAGACCCCGGGCCTGGAAGAAAGGCCCAAAGTGGAGGCAGGGCTCACCTGGCTGAGCAGCCAGGGGTGGTCCTGCAGCAAGCGGGCCCAGTCTGTGTCAGGAGTGACCCGAGCATACTTGAACCGATTCTGGATGGCTGAGGTGGTACAGATGAACTTGTAAAGGAGTTCTTTGCCCGTCTGCTCTGAAATTGCCTTGGCCGACATGGCTGCAGAGAGACCTGCTCTACCTGTCTGGGAGAGAGAAGCTGGTCAGAAGGGGGCAGGCGTGTGGAGGCACTATCTTCCCCAGCAGGGCAGACCCACTCCCAGTTGCCCCCAGACAATAAAACCAGATCTCAGCTTTTCTCAAGAGGAAGGAAAAAATGCTGTCCCAGCGGGAGGGATGGAAGAGAGATATCAAGCAGCACTTTTGCCAGCAGAGGAAGAAGATCCAGAGATAATGGGTGAGGGAAGATAGAGAAAAACAAAAGTGCCATTTCCCCTGGGACTCTTGCCTTACCCTGCCCCATTCCCTCTAGGCAAACTAGCTGATCCACAACCACACTCATCCTGGAGCAAAAGGCAGCTGGCTAGAAGGCCAAGAAAACCGGTGCTTTGACCCAAATCTGAGTGCTGGTCCCATCTGAGGTGGGCAGACACTGAAACACCTTTCTGTTCTCTGACCAGTGCAGAGTACGGCTGAAATTGCAAAAGGCTAGCCTTTCTCTCCCTACAGGTTTCATCTCCCCCACACCCAGATTTACCCCTATACACACCCTTACACACCACCGGGCCAATGGCCAAGCCAGCAAGTTTACTTAGCCTCAAAAAGGGTCACACCCCCAGGTCCTGGTTAGAAGGGGAGTAGGGGAGGGGGGAGGATCATCGCTAAGCTCTTTTCTCCTCTTTTCTCCTGGACACTAGCCTCCCAATCCTGAGTATGGAGCAGACACAGGGCAGGGAAACCGACCTTTAGCACATTCCACCCGCCCCACTGCGTCATCCAGCTGCTAATTTAGAGCAAAACTCACTAAGAAGAACAGATGCCTCTCTGGGGACCACCCTGTAGTGGTCACTTCTAACTGGGGCGGACTGAGAGGAGGAGGAGGAAGAGGCAGAAACCATCCTCCATCACATGTATAGGAAAACTCATCTTGGAGTTCGAGGCTACAGTGAGCTATGATTGCACCGCTGCACTGTAGCCTGGGTGTCAGAGCAAGACCTTGTGTCTAAAAAAAGATAAAAAGAAACTCATCTCATATGAGCTCTGGGAGGTACACTGAGATTTATAACCCCATTTCTTAGATGAGGAATAAAATCTCAGAGGCGTTAGGATAACTTGCCCAAGAAGCCCACCTAATAATAAGCAAGGTTATGACCCAAGACTCGAACCCAAACCCTCTTACACCTAGGTCCCCAGAAAAATCCACACCAGCCCAAGAAAAGACCATTTTTCCAAGAGCCAGGCCCATGTGTCCTTTTCACTTCAAAGAGTCTATGATAAGAATTTCATCATCTCCCCTCTCCAAGACTCTGTCCTGATACACCCATTCTCCTGTGGGTAACTCAAGGACTGAGCTGGGGAGGGGAATCGGGGGAGGTGGGCATGGAAATTCAGGCCAAGAGCTTGGCCGGATCAGGAAAAGTCACTCCTGACTCCCCCAAAGCCCAGAAGCAAAGCTGTTTAATTTGCTGGGGGAGAAAAAAGTCAAGTACAAATAAAGGAGGGCAGAGTGAAGGAGCCGGCTTGTTTACACGTGCTGGAAGTTGGGTCTCCGTTCCCAACTCAGAGAAGGCCAACATTCCAGGGGCTACATTGCGCCCCCTCCCAATCGGCCAGGCTGGTGGGGCTTCAGGTTCTCATCCTGGCTTGGCTGCCTCTGTCGGCCTCCTAGCTAGTATCCAGCATGGCACAATGGGTGTATTCAGCCTGGTGTCTGCCTAAAGTGGGGTAGCTGGGAAGGGGCTCAGAGATGTTCCCTTTTCTGGCCTTCCCCTGGAATGACTTGAGATTCCTTCTCAGTATGAGTTTCCAGAGACGTCCCAACCACCTCACTGCCCCACGGTCCTCCACCCCCCACCCACTGCTCCATTTCCCAATATTTTTGACTCAGACCAGAAAAACTGGTCCTCAGATTGAATGGGTACAGCCCCCACCCCCTTCCAAAGAGAGTGCAGCCCAGGGCAGATCAAGGAACACTCAGAGAGGAGGGGGCAGTGGCTGACCATCCTCAGCAATTCAGACTCCTTCCATAACTCCAGGGGAAAGGAAGTCCCTGGGCTATGCCTCTCTAGAAGAAAGAAGTCTGAGACTCCCAGTAAAACAGTCCCCTGAACCTGGCACCTCCAAAACAGACACAAGACCCAACTTTGGAAAGGACAAGGGAGAAAAAATGGACCCCTGCAGCTGAGAAATCACAGTTTTCTTGAGACCCAGATCAAATTTCAGGTCCAAGAGCCCATCTCCATAGGGTCTTTGGAAGGGGGATAGGAGAGAAGACACAATGGGATAATACAGGATAGAAAACAAGAGATTTGCCACTAGAGCATTCTGGCTTAGAGACGGGAGGTTGAGACAAGGAATGTATACAACATAATAAAAATAAGGCCTCTGCAAATTCACCAATAAAGAGAAGGCAAATGGCTCACAAACCCAGGGAGTGGACTCAGTAGAGATAAATCGCAACTTTAGTGGTTCAGTGAGGTCTTCTGTTTTTTTGTTTTGTTTTGTTTTTTTTTTTTTGAGAAGGACTCTGGCTCTGTCGCCCAGGCTGGCGTGCAGTGGAGTGATCTCGGCTCACTGCAACCTCAGCCTCCCAGGTTCAAGTGATTCTCCTGCCGCAGCCTCCTGAGTAGCTGGGATTACAGATGCACGCCACCACGCCCATCTAATTTTTTTTGTATTTTTAGTAGAGGCGGGGTTTCACCATGTTGGTCAGGCTGGTCTCGAACTCCTGACCTCGTGATCCACCCACCTCAGCCTCCCAAAGTGCTGGGATTTACAGGCATGAGCCACCACGCCCGGCCTTCAGTGAGGTCTTAAAGTCTCTCTAAGGCAGTGGCTCTTAACCTCTTTGAGGCCTCAGACTCTTCTGAGACTGAAAAAAACCCCAGAAAAAGGTACACAAATCCAATTGTGCATATTGTTTCAAGGTGCTCACCTGTGACAATGATCCGATGGCCCACAGACTGACCACCAGTTAAGAACATTTGCGGCCAGGCACGGTGGCTTGCGCCTGTAATCCCAGCACTTCGGGAGGCCAAGGAGGGCAAATCACGAGGTCAGGAGTTTGAGACCAGCCTGGCCAATATGGTGAAACCCTGTTTCTACTAAAAATACAAAAATTAGCCGGGCGTGGTGGTGCACACCTGTAGCTACTGGGGAGGCTGAGGCAGGAGAATCGCTAGAACCCAGGAGGCGGAGGTTGCAGTGAACCGAGATCCACCACTGCACTCCAGCCTGCCGACAGAGCAAGACTCTGTCTCAAAAAAAAAAAAAAAAAAAAAAGAATATTTGCTCTAGTGGAATCAGCAAATACCTACAAATACCTATCTGGGTTTGGGACCGCTCCCCAGAACGTCTTAGTCTGCCTCCCCAGTAGCTGAATGTGCTGTCAAACAAGTAACAGATGATTGGGCTGAGCTTGGACTCCAGGAACTGTTACTTGGTAACAGCTAAATGTGTAAACCATTTGGGGGAAATCATGCCAAGGAACCTGAAAACACACACATACACACATTCTCTAAGGGAGGGGCCTTATGAGCTGAATGGAGTCTTTCTGCAGACGGGTGAGTGACCCAGGATTGAGTTCACTTTTAGCAGACACTGAGAGAAGCAGCCCACACAGGAGGCTGAATGAAAGAAGCCTGTTCCCCAGAACACGCCCCTGGGACACAGCCAGGGGAAGGGAATCACTGGGGATGCTACTAAGGGTGCCTCTGGGAAAGACAAAAACACTCATTTGAAGGTTAGTATCTGCAGGATTGGGACTTACGTATGTAGGTATTTATTTATTTATTTTTTGAGAAGACAGGCAATCCCTGGAGTAAATTCTAGAGAGGCAGAATTCTGTGAGTGCCCCTTACTGCGGCAGGCATAGTGTCAGAACGGGGATGGAGCCATAAGCTGTCCAGTGTCTGAGGGGTCTTCCCACTACCGCCCCCCAAGCTGTTTAGGAAGGTTTCTAAGAGGTGAAAATCACCCATCTGGGCAAATGAGACCTACCAGCTGTCCCTCACCCCACATTTTAGTTCAGCTGAGCCAGCTGAAAACACAGAGGAAAGTTAAGGGTGGAGAGGAGTAGGCTAGCTGGCCAAACTGTGCTGTGCACTTTTCCTTATCGTCTCTTCCAAAATCCTCTTCCCAGGAAGACCTCCAGGGACCCCATAACGGCAGAACTCGGCACTGCACGGTATCTGCCAAGGTTGGAGACCGCGGCAGGCGCTGGGACTGGCCCATTGCCAGGCTCGACAGGAGGGCGGCGGCAGCATCCTCCAGCCCCTTGAGGACCTTTCCCCGGCCAGACTTGGCGTCAGCTCAAGGGTGGGGTGGCACCCCGGCCATCTGTCACTTAGGGGCTGGACTCGACGATACCTCCAGTGCGAGGAGGGTCCTTGCTGCGAGATTCCAGTCCTCGCGGCGAGACGAGGCGAGGCCTCGGGCACCCTGGGGCAGCCTGGCCCCGCGTGGCCCGCCCCGGAGGCGCGCATAGCTCATTCTCTCCACTTGGGCGTGGAGCTCAATTTTGTACCCACGGAACCAAGAAGGGCCTGAGCCCGGCCAGTGAGGAATCGGAGTGGGACCAGTCGCCACCGCTTTCTCTACTTCCCGTCCCGGCATCCGATGGGGGAACCCGGATGGAGCCAAAAGGCGTCCCGATGAGCCCGAGGAGCCTCGATAGCTGTGCCCGGGAGGGGTGAGGCGCGCCAGGAGGGGGACCATGCAATGTGGCAGAGGCAGAAGAGGCAAGGATGGCGGCAAGCCCCATGCAAACTCCCAGGAACTGGAATATGTGTGTGTCGCGCGGGGGGAGGGGAGGGGCGTCGACACGCGGCCACCGGCCGGGACCCCGGGCGAAGGCTAACCTAAAGCTAAGACCCTCAAAACTTCCGAGCAGGGCGCGTGGGCACCGAGCCCGCGTCGGGGAAGGCGGTTCCGGGTTGGGGGACGGAGGCAGGAAGCTCCTAGGGCGAGCGGGCTCCAGCCAGCGAAAACAGCCTCCCGTGCTCACCTCTGCCGAAGTCCGTGCGCGGCGCTTCTTCCACAGGCCCGACGAACCCCGCAAAATCCGGAGCACCCCAGCAGCCGGTAGCTTCCCGGGATCCGGCTTTTGTCCCGGCCCAGCCGGACTTTTCCCCGCCCCCATCGGCTCGCGGCGAGAACGGCCCCGCGATTGGCCACACGCGTTCCCTAGCCTGAGCGCCAGGGCTCCTCCCAATTCGCTGCTGGCTTGGCTCCGCCCCACGAGGGCGGGCCCCGGGGCCTGCTGGGACTTGTAGTCCCGCTGGCCCATCCACCGCCTCTTGGGAGCCTGCGGGGCCGGGGCGGGGCCCCGGGTGGGGAGATGGGCCGGGCTAGGCTGGGAGGAGAACGCGCGGTGCTGGGGGTTGTGGCCTGATCGCTTGAGGGGCTGGACAGATTGCCACTCGGGGAGTTGGGGGAGGGGCGGGTAGGATTAGCCCAACTGGCTGTAACGCAGCTTTGGGACCTGGAGTACCCTTGCTCCTTCCCTTGGGAGAAACGGACGTCTGCATCTCGGCCGCACCGAATCCGATTGCTTAGACAGTCTCCTTAAGCAGCAGTGTCTGGCAGGCCGCTTTCCTTTAGCACGTGGAGCCTCTCTCCTCCCTGGACTCTCCCCACTGGGCCGATGAGGCAAGGCTGAGCCGAGGCTAACAGAGCATACTTCCCAGTGTGGGATAAGGCAGGGGCCGCGGTAAGCAAGTGGGGCTAGGAGGGTGCAGGCACAGCGCTGTCCGTCCCACTCACCTGCTCGCCTCAGCACGGATCAGGGCGGAGCTAGGAATTCAATGCGAGATTCCAGCGAAGGGCTGGAGCCATCCCAGACAGTCTCTTGTTCCCACCAACCACAGGCTTAGACACTGGAATGAATGAACTGCTGTCTCCCCCTTCTCCATTACCTGAGACAGATCGAATTTTCCAAACCAAAAACTGGGACATCCAATCTGACAGGTGCTGGTGAACTTGTGGGGCAGAATATGTGAAATCAGTCCTGGAAATCAGGACATGTATTTACCACTCTGACATGCTGCAGCCTCCCTCCCTACCTGCACCCCAACCCTGTAGGTCCGGAGCTGCTCCCTAAGCCTAACAGCTGTCTAGCTCCAGGAAGGAGGCCAAAAGCGTCCACTGACCGACTCAGGTGAAGAGGTCAGCCCAGAATGCAGGGAAGCAGCAGGCCTGTCCCCCTGCCAAGCACTTTGGGTCATACTCACACTGCAACAGTGTTGCGACATTTGCAGACAAAATCTTCTCCAAGACCCCCTCCCCCAATCCTGTTGCTGCCAGGAGTAAGGTAACTGAACTTGCTACCCATGCCTGAATCAAGTGTTCCCTGATGATGTCACTTTCTGGTCCCTTCCCTCCCATTCATCTTTTTGAAATAGCAGTTCCTTATCACCTCTCTTCTCTTGTCCTAAAATGGGGGTGGCCAGTCTTGGTGGCTCACACCTGTAATCCCAGCACTTTGGAAGGCCAAGGTGGGGGATCACTTGAGGTCAGGAGTTCAAGACCAACAAGGCAAAACCCCATCTCTACAAAAAATACAAAAATTAGCCAGGCATGGTGGCACACGCCTATAAATCCCAGCTACTCTTGAGGTTGAGGCATGAGAATCGCTTAAACCCGGGAGGTGGAGGTTGCAGTGAGGTGAGATTGCACCACTGCACTCCAACCTGGGTGACAGAGAAGGATTCTATCTCAAAAAAAAAAAAAAAAAAAAAAAGATACACTCCAGGCAAGGCATGCTGTCTCATGCCTGTAATCCCAGAATTTTGGAAGGCCAAGTCAGGCAGATTGCTAGAGCCCAGAAGTTCAAGTACAGCCTGGGTAACATGGTAAGAGCCCCCACCACCACCATCAAATCTCTACAAAAAATAAAAAGACCGGGCGTGGTGATTCACATGCCTGTAATCCCAGCAATTTGGGAGGCCTAGGTGGGTAGATCACCTGAGTTCGAGGTCAAGCGTTCCAGACCAGCCTGGCCAACAGGTGAAACCCTGTTTCTACTAAAAATACAAAAAATTAGCTGGGCGTGGTGGCAGGTGCCTGTAATCCCAGCTACTCAGGAGGCTGAGTCAGGAGAATCGCTTGAACCCAGGAGGCGGAGGCAGGAGAATCGCTTGAACCCAGGAGGCGGAGGCAGGAGAATCGCTTGAACCCAGGAGGCGGAGGTTGCAGTGAGCCGAGATCGCACCAGTGCACTCTAGCGGGGGCAACAAGACCAAAACTCCATCTCAAAGCAAAAAAAAAAAAAAAATTTAGCTGGGCACTGTATCGGGTGCCTGTAATCTCAGCTACCTGGGAGGCTGAGGCAGGAGAATTGCTTGAACCCAGGAGGCAGAGGTTGCAGTGAGCAGAGATCGTGCCATTGCACTCCAGCCTGGGCCACAGAGTGAGACTCCGTCTCAAAACAAAACAAAACAAAACAAAAAAATAAACAAAAATTAGCAGGGCATGGTGGTGCACACCTGTAGTCCCAGCTACTTGGGAGACCGAGGTGGAAGGATCACTTGAGTCCAGGAGATCAAGGCTGCAGTGAGCTGAGATTGTGCACTCCAGCCTGGGCGACAGGGTGTGACCCTGTCTCAGAAAAAAAAAAAAAAAACAAAAAAGAAAAAAAGGAAAAGAAAAGAAAGAAGGAAGGAAGGAAATACTCCTGGGAGGCCAGGTGCATAGGCTCAGGCCTGTAATCCCATCACTTTGAGAGGCCAAGGAGGGCTTGAGCCCAGGAGTTCCAACCCAGCCTTGGCAATACAGTGAGTCTATGTCACTACAAAAAATAAAAAATTAGCTGGGCAGCTGGGCATGCTGGCTCACGCCTATAATCCGAGCACTTTGGTAGGCCAAGGTGGGAAAATCACTTGCGTCCAGGAGTTCAAAACCAGCCTGGGCAACATAGTGAGTCACTGTCTCAAAAAAAAAAAATTAGCTAGGCATGGTGGCACACACCTGTAGTCCAAGCTACTCAGGAGGCAGAGGTGGGAGAATCACTTGAGCCCAGGAGGTCAAAGACGCAGTGAGCTGGGTGGGCACGGTGGCTCGAGCCTGTAATCCCAGCACTTTGGGAGGCTGAGGCAGGCAGATCACTTGAGGCCAGGAGTTCGAGACCAGCCTGGCCAACATGGCAAAACCCATCTCTACTAAAAATACAAAAAATTAGCTGGATGTGGTGGCACATGCCTGTAATCCCAGTTACTCGGGAGGCTGGCTGGGTGCAGTGGCTCACGCCTATAATCCCAACACTTGGGGAGGCCGAGGCGGGCGGATCACAAGGTCAGGAGATTGAGACTATCCTGGCTAACAAAGTGAAACCCAAGCTCTACTAAAAATACAAAAAAAATAGCCGGGCATGGTGGCACGTGCCTGTAGTCCCAGCTACTCAGGAGGCTGAGGCAGGAGAATCGTTTGAACCCAGGAGGCGGAGGTTGCAGTGAGCCGAGATCACGCCACTGCACTCCAGGCTGGGTGACAGAGCGAGACAAAAAAAAAAAAAAAAAAAAAAGATGCAGTCAGCCGTGACTGCACCACTGAACATCAGCCTGGGTGACAGAGTGAGACCCTGTATGAGAAAAAAAAAAAGAAAGACAAATACACTCCTGGGGAAATGGTCATCCAGGCGGGACATAAAATATAATAAACTCTTTGAAGGTCAATTTGGTAATATCAGTAAACATTTTAAATTCACTTGCCCTTTGGTCCAGTAATTCCACTTCTAATAATTTATCCTTCAGATATACTTGCGTATGTGCATGACGAAGATAGGGATCTTTGTCTATTTTCTTCATTGCTGTATTTCTAGCAGTTTAAATAGGGACTGGTTACACAGTAAGTACTCAATAAATGTTTGCTGAATGATTGTCCTCCATTTAGGTGTTGCTAGGCCTAAGTTTGACTATTCCTGGGCAGGAACAACAAAAAATAACTGTCCAGAGAGTGAGGGGGAAGAGGTGCTGGCCAGAGGGCCCATGAGCCAGCCACTGAGGTTTTCCAGTTCACTCAGTGGTCTCATACCAAGTTTCTGCCCCCAACGCCCAGCCTCCTCAAGTAAGACTCTCTCATTACCCCACCATGCACCCACAGAGGTTCATCTGCCTTGAATTAATCAATCTAGAACCCATCTTCTCATCATTCTATTTTCTAACTTAAAAGCTCTAAACCAGGCTGGGTGCAGTGGCTCACGCCTGTAATCCCAACACTTTGGGAGGCCAAGGCGGGTGGACTGCCTGAGCTCAGGAGTTCAAAACCAGTCTGGCTAACATGGCAAAACCCCCATCTCTACAAAAAATAAAAAATAAAATAAAAGCTCTAAACTCTTTTGATTTTCCCATTTGAATCACCTCCCTCCTCTTCTAGACTGGACTAGAGGACAGGTCCCTATCAGAATACAGAGGGTTATAGGCACCATCTCCAAGCCCAGGTTTGGGCATTCCACCTGGGTTCCAGAAGCCTAAAACTGGCTAAGGACTTCCTCCTAGATTTGGACCAATTTTAGTTAATATTTATTGAGCACCTACTATGTGAAAGGCATACTACTCACAGCAGCCACTTGAGCTAACTAAGTGTTTTCATCATTTTGCCTATGATCAACTAACCTAATGATCTTCAGACTCCAAGTCCTTGGGCCTGTACCCTGCAACCTGCTGCAGGTGAGTAAGAGGGAAAGATCCTATCCAGTGGATCTCCTTTATCTGACTGTAAGCAACCCAAGGCCTAGGAGAGTGCCTTGTTCATTTTGGCATCTCCAGTGCCTAGCATGGGACTGGACACATATTAAGCATTCACTGTAAACATGACTAAAAAAAGGCTCTTATAATATGTGAATGAAAGAAAGCAATTGTAGGGGAAGGGCAGGGAGAGGAGGGAGGAGATGCAGCCTGGAGAAGGGTCTACCTAAGTGTCCAGTTCTACTATTTTTTTGTTTGTTTGTTTGTTTGTTTTGAGAGGGAGTCTCACCCTGTCACCCAGGCTGGAGTGCAATGGTGTGATCTGGGCTCACTTCAACCTCCACCTCCCAGGTTCAAACGATTCTCCTGCCTCAGCCTCCTGAGTAGCTGGGATTACAGGTGCCCGCCACCATGCCCAGCTAATTTTTCTATTTTGAGTAGAAATGAGGTTTCGCCATGTTGGCCAGGCTGGTCTTTAACTCCAGACCTCATGATCCGCCTGCCTCGGCATCCCAATGTGCTGGGATTACAGGTGTGAGCCACCACGCCCGGCCCAGTTCTACTATTTTTTTCTTTTTATTTATTTATTTTTTATTTATTTATTTTTTGAGACTGAGTCTCGCTCTGTCACCCAAGCTAGAGTGCAGTGGCGTGATCTCGGCTCACTGCAACCTCCGCCTCCTGGGTTCAAGTGATTCTCCTGTCTCGCCCTCCCAAGTAGCTGAGACTACAGGCACGTGCCACCACACCCGGCTGATTTTTTTTTTTATTTTTAGTAGAGATGGGGTTTCACCATGTTAGCCAGGATGGTCTCAATCTCCTGACCTCGTGATCCGCCCGCCTCAGCCTCCCAAAGTGCTAGGATTACATGCGTGAGCCACCGTGCCCGGCTACTATTTTTTTCAAATGCATTTTCTGTTTATGTAGAGTATCCAGTTCTAAACCCACCTCTCTCCTTGTAACAGCCCAAGACAGGAGCTTCCAGCAAAGCCCCATCATCATCCACCCTGTGAAGAGCCAAGGATTCTAACTTCCGCACCACTCACTTTTGCCCAGTACTGACAAACCTTCCATCAGAGCTAAGGGCCTGTGTGTCCTGGGGAAGGCTCTCCAGGGAGATGCAGCCAGGGCCCCTCTCTCTAACCCGACAGAGGCTGCCTGCCACCAGGGAAGCTGGAGGGATGGCTAGTTCCACTCCTGGGCAGCAGTTATCTCTCTGGGGATGCAGCATCTGTGCTCAGGGAATAAAGTTTCTCCATGCAGCCCAACCAGGTCCAGGCTGGCCCCTTCCCAGAGTCACCCCCACTCCATTCTGACTCTCTCTCAAAAACTGCCACTGCCTCCTCCCCACCAGGTATGTTCCTATAAAATTCCCTCCTCTTTCAGGAAGAACCTGTGCAGCCCCTCCCACACACATAAATCACTTACCCTTGACTTTTACATATGACACGTTTAAACTTATCTCTGAATGAGTTTATTATTATTATTATTATTATTTTGAGATGGAGTTTCACTCTTTTGCCCAGGCTGGAGTGAAGTGGCGCGATCTCCGCTCACTGCAACCTCTGCCTTCTGGGTTCAAGCGATTCTCCTGCCTCAGCCTCCCAAGAAGCTGGGGTTACAGGCGCCCACCACCACACAGGGTGGTGGAGGTTCAGCGAGCCGAGATCCTGCAACTGCCCTCCACCCTGGGCGACAGAGCGAAACTCTGTCTCAAAATAAATAAATAAATGAAAATAAAAAAATAAAAGGAGTCTTCTGGCCAGGCATGATGGTTCATGCCTGTAATTCCAGCATTTTGGGAAGCCAAGGCAGGAGGATTGCCTGAGCTCAAGAGTTCAAGACCAGCCTGGGCAACATTGCAAAACACCTTCTCTACCAAAAAAAAAAAAAAAAAAACCCAAAAATTAGCAGGGTGTGATGGCATGCACCTGTAGTTCCAGCTACTGGGGAGGCTGAGGTGGGAGGATTGCTTGAGCCCAGGAGGGTGGAGGTTGCAGTGAGCCGAGATTGTGCCACTGCACTCCAGCCTTTATTTAGACACTCTGTCTAAATAAATAATAAATAAATAAAAGTAATCTTCTGACTGTTGTGTTGAGAAGGAAGTGGGGGAGGGGAGGCCAAGGAGACCCACTTAGAAGGATGTTGAAGTAATCCAGGAGAGAGATGATGAGGGCTCACAGTGAAGGCAGTAGTTACCTGGAGAGGGAGCTGTGAGTGGAGAGAGGCCTTTCACAGGACCCCCTGCTAGCAATATGTTTCTTGATTTACCTGTGTGATGACTACATAGGTGTACTTTTTTTTTTTTGAGAGAGAGTCTTGCTCTGTCGCCCAGGCTGGAGTGCAGTGGTGTGATCATGGCTCACTGCAACCTCTGCCTCTCGGGTTCAAGTGATTCTCCTGCCTCGGCCTCTGGTACAGCTGGGATTACAGGTGTGTGCCACCACACCAGGCTAATTTTTGTATTTTTGGTAGAGATGGGGCTTCACCATGTTGGCCAGCCTGGTCTTGAACTCCCGACTCGAGGTGATCTGCCTGCCTTGGCCTCCGAAAGTGCTGGGATTACAGGAGTGAGCCACCACGCCCGGCCAGACATGTATGTTTATTTACTTATGTTCTATTTCACAATAAAAGAAGAAATAAAGCAATAACATGAGGAACATAGCTATAAATGGCTGGGACACACTGGAATCCAATTCTAGCACTCTTTATCCTGCTAATCGAACCCAAGGAATAGGCCCCAACCCAGCTCACTTATATCCTTGTGCTGTAGCCTGGAGCAAACCTTGTCATTTCTCTCAGCCTCAGAGTTTCTCATCTGTGAAACCAGGAAACCACTGACTGGCTCTTTACTTCACTAGGGTGTTGTCAAGCTCACAGTGCTTTATAAATTGCCAGAAAGCACACATTATGATTGGTATTTTATGGTTTTTGTTTTGTTTTGTTTTTTTGAGATGAAATCTCATTCTTGTTCCCCAGGCTGAAGTGCAATGGCACGATCTTGGCTCACTGCAACCTCCACCTCCCAGGTTCAAGCGATTCTCGTGCCTCAGCCTCCCGAGTAGCTGGGATTACAGGTGCCTGCCACCATGTCCGGCTAATTTTTGTATTTTTAGTAGAGACAGGGTTTCACCATGTTGGCCAGGCTGATCTTGAACTCCTGACCTCAGGTGATCCGCCCGCCTCGGCCTCCCAAAGTGCTGGGATTATAGGCATAAGCCACCACGCCAGGCCTTATTGTGTTTTTAAAACAGCTTTCTTAATATATAATTAATGTACAATAAACTGCACATAAAGTGTACAATTTGATGAGGTTTTTGGTCTTTTTTTTGAGATGGAGTTTCACTGTTGTTGCCCAGGCTGGAGTGCAATGGCACGATCTTGGCTCATCACAACCTCCGCCTCCCAGGTTCACGTGATTCTCCTGCCTCAGCCTCCCGAGTAACTGGGATTCCAGGCATGTGCCATCACGCCCAGCTAATTTTGTATTTTTAGTAGAGACAGGGTTTCTCCATGTTGGTCAGGCTGGTCTTGAACTCCCGAACTCAGGTGATCCACCCACCTCAGCCTCCCAAAGTACTAGGATTACAGGCTTGAGCCACCATGTCTGGCCAATTTGATGAGTTTTAATACATGTATATACCTGTGAAACAATTACCACAATCAAGATAATGAACATATTCCTCACCTCCATGAGTTTCCCTGTACTCCTTTGTAATCTACCCCTCACTTCCCTACTGCCATGTTCCCAGGCAGTTAGTCTGCATTTTCTAGAATTGTATTTTATTTGAGATGTGATGTCACTATGTTGCTCAGGCTGGAGTGCAGTGGCCTGATCATAGCTCAACCGTGTTAGCCAGGATGGTCTTGATCTGCCCGCCTGGGCCTCCCAAAGTGCTGGGATTACAGGTGTGAGCTACCACACCCGGCCACATTTAAATATTTCTAGTTAATTTTTGTATATGGTATGAGGTAAGGATCAAGGTTTAGACTAGGCGCAGTGGCTCATGCCTGTAATCACAGCACTTTGGGAGGCTAAGGTGGGTGGATTACCTGAGGTCAGAAGTTCGAGATTAGCCTGGCTAACACAGTGAAACCCTGTCTCTACCAAAAATATGAAAATTAGCCGGGCATGGTGGTGCACACCTGTAGTCCCTGCTACTTGGGAGGCGGAGGCAGAAGAATCACTTGAACCTGGGAGGCAGAGGTGGCAGTGAGCTGAGATCACGCCACTGCACTCCAGCCTGGGTGACAGAGTGAGACTCCATCTCAAAAAAAAAAAAACTCAATATTTATATTTAGACAGGCATGGTGGCTCACATCTGTAAGCCTGGCACTTTGAGAGGCCGCGGTGGGAGGATTGCTTGAGTTCAGGAGTTCAAAACCAGCCTGGGCAACATGGCAAAACCCTGTCTCTACCAAAACAACACAAAAATCAGCTGGGTGTGGTGGTGCGTGTCTGTAGTCCCAGCTACTCAGGAGGCTGAGGTGGGAGGGTGGCCTGAGCCCAGAAAGCAGAGGTTGCAGTGAGTCAAGATCTCACTACTGCACTCCAGCCTGGTGGACAAGGCCAACTCTCTCTCAAAAAATAAAAATAAAAATTAATTAAATACATATTTACATTAAAATATTTCCAGTTGATTTTTGTATATAGTGTGAGGTAAGGATCAAGGTTTTTTATTTTGGATTTTGTCTTTCCATATGGCTATCCAATTGCTTCAGCACACATTTGTGGAAAAGAGTATCCTTTCTCCATTGAATCTCTTTGGCAACTTCATTGAACATCAATTGATCATATATGTGTGGATCTATTTCTGTTCCATTAATCCATATATATTTACATATTTATGCTAATACCATTACCGTAGCTTTAAAATAAGTCTTGAAATCACAGAATTTAAGTTCTCTTTTGTTCTTCTTTTTCAAAATGGTTTTGGCTATTTTAGGTCTTTTGCATTTCCACATAAATCTTAAAATCAGCTTGTTAATTACTGAAAAAAAAAAAAGGCTGCTGGGGCCAGGCACAGTGGCTCATGCCTGTAATCCCAGCACTTTGAGAGGCTGAGGCGGGCAGATCACCTGAGGTCAGGAGTTCAAGACCAGCCTGGCCAACATGGTGAAACCTCATCTCTACTAAAAATACAAAAAATTAGCTGGGCATGGTGGTGTGCACCTGTAATCCCAGCTACTCAGGAGGCTAAGGCAGGAGACTAGCTTGAAACCGGGAGGCGGAGATTGCAGTGAGCCGAGATCACATCACTGCACTCCAGCCTGAGTGACAGAGTGAGACTCCACCATAAAAAAAAAAAAAAAAAAGCTGCTGGAGTTCTGATTGGAACTGCACTGAATCTGTAGATCTCTTCCTTGCAGGAGGTTTTTTTCTGATTAATCCTGGTTGCTCCAGCAACAGTCCTCAACTCATCAATGAGCCCACCTTAACTTAGAACAGGACCAGTTTCACTGCAGGTCCTTAAACCTGTTGCTGCTCCTTAAACACCCTGTGAATGTACACACCTCCAGCCTTTGCACATGTTATTTCCTTTTTTTTTTTTTTTTTTGAGACAGGGTCTTGCTTTGTTACACAGGCTACAATGCAGTGGCCCAAACATGGCTCACTGCAGCCTCGACCTCCCACGCTCAAGTGATCCTCCTGCCTCAGCTTCCTGAGTAGCTGGGACTACAGGCACACGCCACCACACCCAGCTCACTTTTGTATTTGTGGTAGAGACAGGGCTTCGCCATGTTGCCCAGACTGGTCTCGAACTCCTGAGCTCAAGCGATCCTCCCACCTCAGTCTCCAAAGTACTGGGATTACAGGCATGAGCCACCACACCTAGCTCTCATTCTCTACTTACGTCTACTGGGCTCCACCATACTCACCCTCAGCTCAAATATTACCCCTCTATGAACATGTCTCTAACCCATCCCAGACCCTGGCTGAATCATTCATTTGCCTGGGTTTCACACCACTTTGTCCTCATCTCCCTCACAGGCACACAGAACTTTTAATTACTAGTTAATATCACTTAAGTGGCCGTTACTTGTTTATACATCTTTCTCCCCTATTAGATAAAACTCCTTCAAGCAGGGACCATATTATTTCTTATATTTTGAATTAAACCTTTTGAGATAATCATAGATTCATATGCAGTTCATAAGAAATAAATACAAAAGAGATCCCATGTACCCTTTTCCCAGTTTCTCCCAATGGTAACATCCTTAAAAACTTTAGTACAATAACACAACCAGAAAATTGACACTGATACAATCCACTGATCTTACTCAAATATCCCCAGTTTTACATGTATGCCGTGTGTGTGTGTGTGTGTGTGCATTTGTAGTTAAAGACATCTTTTTACTATTTAAACTTTAACAATGACATTAGGACGTTTTGGAAGTAACGTAGTAAAGGCAGTTAAGCAAGCTACTTAGGGTATCGTTGGAGCCCAGAAGAAGCACCTAGTCCACTTTTGGAGGAGTGGTGATGGTGAGGGAATGGGGAAGGACGTCAGAATATGCCTTGGTCAAGGCCCGCTACTAGTAGCTGCTCAAATAACTGCGTTAAATTATGTTGAACCCAACGTTATTTTCCATGTTTTCTTATGCAAATCCTCGCATCCCTGAGTGTTCCATTATTTTCATATTTATTTGGCAGGTGGAACATTCGAGGCTGGGAGCCCTTACATGCCCCGCGAGAGGTCACGCAGTTAGGAAGTGACAGGAGCGAAGTCAGCCCAAGTCTGCTGACTCCAAGCCCAGTGCTCTCTCCCCCTAATGGCGGTACGCCGTGCACATATCCTTACCACGTATGCCTCATCCCTATTCGGAACTTTGCCTCCAACCCTCTTCCTGTTTTCTTGGCTGTCTTACAAGGGAGCCTTTTCAGGCAGCAACTCCAGAGAGAACCGCCAGAGCGTGCAACAGCAAACACTAACCAGCCCAGCCGTCAGCCACGCAATCATCACTCCCTGGCCCAGTGCGCGGCAGAACTGGCGCAAGCGCACGCCGGCAGGTTGTACCCAGAATCCGGGCCCTTGCCAGACGGGGGCGGAACCGGAAGTCGCTGTACATCTCATGGTTGCTAAGAAACGGAGCTTCCACAAACCAGATAGAGGTTCTCCAGCTTTTCTTTGATTGTCTCTGCTTTAGCGTCTCTAAATCCGGTCACCATGTCGGACCCCGAAGGCGAGACCTTGCGAAGCACCTTTCCCTCTTATATGGCCGAAGGCGAGCGGCTCTACCTGTGCGGGGAATTTTCTAAAGCCGCGCAGAGCTTCAGCAACGTGAGTCGAGCTCTCAACCTATCCATCACCCCATCACCCGTCACTTTTTTTTTTTTTTTTTTTTTTTTTTTTTGTGACGGAGTTTCGCTCTTGTTGCCTAGGCTGGAGTGCAATGGCACGATCTCGGCTCGCCGCAACCTCCGCCTCCCGGGTTCAAGTGATTCTCCTGCCTCCACCTCCCAAGTAGCTGGGACTACAGGCGCGTGCCACCATGCCCGGCTAATTATTTTGTCTTTTTAGTAGAGATGGGGGTTTCACTGTGTTGGCCAGGCTGGTCTCGAACTCCTGACCTCGTGATCCACCCGCTTCGGCCTCCCAAAGTGCTGGGATTACAGGCGTGAGCCACTGCGCCTGCCCCCTGCCCTCACCTTTTGATTGCAGATAACACTGAGGTCTTGATGATGCCTGGAGGACCCTGTTGTTTCTATTATTCACTGATTTTTGATGGACACACTGCTGTCACAGATAAGCCCTGTGGTTGGCCATTTTCTACCAGTTCCCACTTGCAATCTCCATTCTCTGCGTTAACAGTGACCTTTTCCTCCACTTTTACTTAAATGTTTCATGATTAACCGGCCTCCTTCCACAGAGCAGCCTTACCTTCCCATCATTTGCTGGCAGATTGGATGGGAGGTTGCATGCAGAAGCCTCAATGTCCCCAGCACACCGTTGCTTATAAAAGGTGGCCAGTAAGCAACATATGATTATTATTATCAATTTTGAGACAAAGTTTTGCTATGTTGCCCAGGCTGGAGTGCAGTGGCAAGATCTCAGCTCACTGCAACTTCCGCCTCCCCAGGTTCAAGCGATTTTCCTGCCTCAGCCTAGGGAGTAGTTGGGATTACAGGCATGTCCCACCACGCCTGGCTAATTTTTGTATTCTTAGTAGAGACAGGGTTTCACCATGTTGGCCAGGCTGGTGTCGAACTCCTGACCTCAAGTGATACACCTGCCTCGGCCCCCCAAAGTGCTGGGATTACTGAGGTGAGCTGCTGCACCAACCAGCAACATTATTATAGTAACCCTAGTATAAATTGCATCATCCCACCCTAAGGGGATTGGGTGATGGTTTTTGTTGTTGTTGTTGTTGTTGTTGTTGTTGTTTTGGAGACGTAGTCTTGCTCTGTCTCCAGGCTGGAGTGCAATGGTGCGATCTTGGCTCACTGCAACCTCCACCTCCTGGATTCAAGTGATTCTCCTGCCTCAGCCTCAGGCACACTGCTAAGCAGACTGGATTTTTGTTGTTGTTAAGATGGAGTTTTGCTCTTCTTGCCCAGGCTGGAGTGCAGTGGCGCAATCTCGGCTCACCCCAACCTCCACCTCCCAGGTTCAAGCGATTCTCCTGCCTCAGCCTCCCGAGTAGCTGGGATCCCAGGCATGCACCACCATGCTCGGCTAATTTTGTATTTTTAGTAGAGACGGGGTTTCTCCATGTTGGTCAGGTTGATCTCGAACTCCCCACCTCAGGTGATCCCCCCCCACCTCAGCCTCCCAAAGTGCTGGGATTACAGGCGTGAACCACCCCACCCAGTGCATACTCAATTTTATAGATTAGGAAATATACAGAAGTTGAGCAACATGCCCAAGGTCGCTAAACTAGCAAGTGGCAGAGGAAGGATTCAAAGCCGGGCTCAGACTCCAATGCTGAGGTGCTAACCACAAAACTACACATCTGACATCTGCATAAGGAAACTGTTGTTTTTTTTTTGTTTGTTTGTTTTTTCAGAGACAGGATCTCGTTCTGTCTCCCAAGCTGGAATGTGGTGGCACAATCACAGCTCAATACAGCTTCAAACTCCTGAGCTCAAGTGATCCTCCCACCTTAGTGTTCCAAGTAGCTGGAGCTACAGGCTTATGCCACCACGCCTGGCTAATTTTTTCTTTTCTTCTTTTTTTTTTTTTTTTTTGTAGAGATAGGTGTTTTGCTATGTTGCCCTGGCTGGTATTGAACACTTGAGCTCAAGTAATACTCCCGCTTTGGCCTCACAAAGTGCTAGGATTACAGGTATGAGATACAGTGCCCTAAAAACATGTTTTTATGACCATTTCTTTTGCTCCAAATTGCCCACTTCTTCTGCTCCAAATTGCCCACTTCTTCTTCTAGATGGAGTGATAGGATAACCCTGTAGTTTTGAGACTTCCTGTAAGATCAAGCTTCTCAACAGCTCCCCAGAGTCGTTTGTCCCTTTCAGTCACCAACCACACCCTAAAACCAGAAATGATGACCAGATAAGTGAACAATTGAGTTCGGTAGCCCTGTCCCCACTTATTCTCCTCCTGCTGGATCATGTCCCATCCTGAAGTACCCACCAGCAGAGAAAAAAGAACACCCTGAGGGAAGGGTAGCCTTGGATGAGAAGCAGTCACTTTCCAGAAAGACAGTAGCTACTTCCTCTTCTTAGAAAAGTAGGAAGGTCTTAGAAAGGGGTGGGTACCAGGAGACAGAGGGTTGCAGTGAGCCAAGATCATGCCATTGCACTCTAGCCTGGGCAACAAGAGTGAAACTCTGTCTCAAAAAAAAAAAAAAAAAAGACCAGGTCAGGTGGCTCATGCCTGTAATCCCAGCACTTTGGGAGGCCAAGGCAGGTGGATCACCTGAGGTCAGGTGTTTGAGACCAGCCTGGCTAACATGGTGAAACCCTGTTTCTACTAAAAATACAAAAAATCAACCGGACGTGGTGGCGAGTGCCTGTAATCCCAGCTACTCCGGAGGCTGAGGCAGGAGAATTGCTTGAACCCGGGAGGCGGAGGTTGCAGTGAGCCGAGATCGTGCCATTGCACTCCAGCTTTGGCAACAAGAGCAAAACGCCATCTCAAAAAAAAAAAATTAGCCAGGTGTGGTGGCGGGCACCCGTAGTCCCAGGTACTCGGGAGGCTGAAGCAGGAGAATTGCTTCAACCCGGGACTCGGAGATTGCAGTGAGCAGAGATCGTGCCACTGCACTCCAGCCTGGGTGACAGTGTGAGACTCTGTCTCAAAAAAGAAAAAGGGGGGTGGGTACAGTTAGATGCCTCAGGAAGGACAGTACACCACAGACTATGGTAATCATCTCACACAGAAAAGAGGACACTGGGAGTGGGGATATTGCCCTCAACCCCACTTTAGGGTCAAAATCAGTTTCATTTTCCTAGCATTTTCTTTTTTTTTTTTCTTTCTTGTTTTTCATTTTTCTTTTCCCTTTCTTTCTTTTTTCTTTCTTTCTTTTTTTTTTTTTTTTTTTTTGAGACAGCGTCTCACTCCATCACCCAGGCTGGAGTGCAGTGGCATGATCTCAGTTCACTGCAACCTCTGCCTCCCAGGTTCAAGCGATTTTCTTGCCTTAGACTCCCGAGTAGCTGGGATTACAGGTGCTTACCACCATGTCTGGCTAATTTTTGTATTTTTAGTAGAAATGGGTTTCACCACGTTGGCCAGGCTGGTCTCAAACTCCTGACTTCAAGTGACCCACCCACCTTGGTCTCCCAAAGTTCTGGGATTACAGGTGTGAGCCACTGCACCCGGCCTCTTTTTGTTTTGTTTTGTTTTGTTTTTTGAGACAGAGTCTCATTCTGTCACCCAGGCTGGAGTGCAGTGGTGTGATCATGGCTTATGCAGCCTCGACCTCTCCAGGTTCAAGCAATCCTCCCATCTCAGCCTCCTGAGTAGCTGGGACTACAATCATGGACCACCACGCCCAGCTAATTTTTTTGTATTTCGTAGAGACAGGGTTTTGCCATGTTGCCCAGGCTGGTCTCAAACTCTTGGGCTCAAGCGTTCCGCCCACCTCGACCTGCCAAAGTGCTGGGATTACAGGTGTGAGCCACCACTCCCAGCCTTTTCCTGGTATTTTCATCTTAATCCCCGGATATAGTGATTAGTTCTTGATTAGCTACATAAAAAGAGAAGGCTACTGGAATGGTTAAGCCACATGGCAGATTGTCCTCAAGTCCACTTCAGAATGCTTAGCCTTTGAAATTTGCTTTGAGTATGATGTGTTGCCATTTCAGGTTTGTAGTTGAGTTTGGTGTGCACAAAATACCCTACAGTTCTATTGCCTGAGGGGACTGAGGGGCTCTCAGACATTGGTGGAAAGTCAGCGTATCCACAGAGCAGCATATTCCTACTCTTCAGCCAGTGGCTTCCACAATAGCCATGATTTGACCTTGTTCAAGGTGAGCCATATGCAGATAATCAAGTTGACTGAGCGCAGATCGGAGTTGTTCTGCTTAGGAGCCAGAGGCCTGTGTGCTGGCCTGAAGAATCCCCTTGATTCTTCAGAGCCTTGATTTCTTCAGAGCCTGAAGAAATCCCCTCTGCAGGAGGGTTTGGGCTGCCCTTCCCACTCCAGCTTCTACCTTGCTCTTCATGCTGGCTGTCAACCTGACTGGTTTCTTTGTCAGGCTCTTTACCTTCAGGATGGAGACAAGAACTGCCTGGTTGCTCGCTCAAAGTGCTTCCTGAAGATGGGAGACTTGGAGAGATCCCTGAAGGATGCTGAGGCTTCGCTCCAGAGTGACCCAGCTTTCTGTAAGGTGACTGCATGGGCGGGAGGACTGGATCCTGCCATTGCCTGTAGCAACTTCTGGTTACAAGTAGTTGTTACAAGTAGAACCAGCCAGACTGCCTAGTGTTTGATGCCATTTTCTCTTCCTAGGTCATTGCCTAAGTCCCTGCCCCCTGTATTCCAACCTTGACCTTCAACCCAGGACCCTTCTGTTCCACCACATGTGAGTCCTATAAGGCCTTATCTGTTCACATTGATTTGATTTCCTCCCATTCCAGGGGATTTTGCAAAAGGCTGAGACACTGTACACCATGGGAGACTTTGAGTTTGCCTTGGTATTCTATCATCGAGGCTACAAGCTGAGGCCTGATCGGGAATTCAGAGTTGGCATTCAGAAAGCCCAGGAAGCCATCAACAACTCAGTGGGAAGTGAGTGACCACAGGGCCTATGCCCTTATCCAGGAAGGTCCTTGGAATCCTTAGGTTTAGAGGAAGGTTGAGTCACAGCAGGTGAGCAGCCACCACCAGGCCCGCAGGGAGTCCTACACCTGGATTTGGCTGCTGCAGTGTTGTTGAGGATTAGCCGGGCATGGTGGCGGGCACCACCTGTCTGCTGGGAGGACCATTCCCTGATGCACACACTGATCTCTGAGCGCTGCA